>NC_000009.12:115095552-115720552 GCF_000001405.40 Homo sapiens
TATGTATATATATGTATATATATGTATATATATGTATATATATGTATATATATATGTATATATGTATATATATATGTATATATATGTATATATATATGTATATATATGTATATATATATGTATATATATGTATATATATATGTATATATATGTATATATATATCTCCATATATAATATAATAGTTGCTCCAATTATATTACATATAATATTATAATATGTGATGTAACATAATATTACATATTATAATACAATGAAAGATAATATATTATTACATATCATATTATATATGTAAGTGTGTGTATATCTTTGATGGTGATATTTAAGGATCTGGTAAGTCAATGATTGCAAAGAAGGGAATCAGGAAGAGACATAGTCTTTGCATTGGCACAAAACGCAGATTTTTGGGGTCCCATATCCAGGACAAATCTATTTCCAAGCTAAGCATGTTGTGCTGCTTTTTGCTCCGCCTCAGCTTATGTATCTAACGCAAAACAAGACACACTTGTGTCAGACTTTGCTTTCTTTATTAAAATTAATTTTTAGAGTCAAACAAATACCTGTGACTTATGAAATTGTTTTTGTGAGATTTTCTGTGTATCTCCATCCCTGTCAATGTCTCAAAAGCTAGTTAATCTGGTGAACATAAAATCCACAATAAAAACTTCCCCGTGAGATAGAAAATTTAAAAAGAGATAAAACACTTCGAATTCATTGGTCTTGAATTCGAAGTGCTCTGTCCCATATTCCGCATGTGATTATTAAAATTAATGAAAATTAAATACAATTAAAAATCTCATTGCTCAGTTGTATCACTCACATTTCAAGTACTTAAGAGCCCATGGGGCTTGTGGTTACAATATGAGACAGTGCAGATGAAGAACATCTCTATCATCCAAAGAAGTTTTATTGAGCAGTACTGGTTTAGAGGATTGCTTGTTTTTACTAAGCGCATGGTACAAAATGAGGAAACTGAGACTCAAAGCGATCAAGAAGAGTCTATAAGAAAGTTTCAATGTTGTTAAGTTTCTTGACTAATGAAAATGGGTGAGTACCTCAGACACAAGAGCCCGGGGATTAGGGAGAAAAAATGGCTTCTTTTTAGCAACTAACTCACTTAACTATAGCAAGCATGTATGTGCATTGTAGTTTCCATACCTTACATGTTTGAACATATCCAGGTACAAGTGAGAAGCAATCCTCAATGCTATTGTCCTTTGCAGATCTGAAGAGATAACTACCCTGTGTCAGATCAGCATCTTTTCCCCCAGCCTTGTCCTTGGGTTAAGAAATATTTTTTTCTTCCTCCCTCTGCACACCTTAGAGTCTCGTAAGAATCTTCTCCCCACGTTAAACTAAAACCAAGTTGCTCCAGGAACCACTCTGGCCAAGTCTAATGTCTCTTTCTGTCTGCTTCAGCCTCTCCTTAGAAGCTGGAGGAGCTTGTCAAAGACAACTCATGACTCCCGTTTCTCTGCTGTCCTGCACTGCTGTGCTCCAGAGTTTTGAGGGCACTCAGTCCATATCCTTCAGCCATCTAAACATTTCCATTAATGAAGCAGTTGCGTGTGGGGGAAAGAGTCTGGTCTTTGGTGTAAAATAAACCTGTGTTCGAATCCAGTTCTATCACTTTAGCAGCTGCTCCCTATGGCCATTCCCTTTCTCCTCTGAACCTCAATTTCCCCGCCTCCTCTCCCTGGAGATACATATGTCTATCTCATAGTGTTGCAGGAGAGTGGGATGAAATGAGAAGACATATGTTAAGCTACTGGCACAGTGCCTGGCACACATTAAGGTGTGCTTAATATGTGGTAGCTAATGATAGCAGCAGCGGTAATAACAACACTGATCCAATAGAGAATAGATCAGAAAGAAAACCTTGTATCCAGAAGGGATGGGGGAATCAGGGAGATACATTCATGATTATAACAAGTAACAAAAGAGATTGGCCAACTCATATCCATTGAAGGTCCCAAGAAAGACATCTCAAAAAAGTGGTATTTGAGATGTACTTGAAAGATGGGCAAGATTCTGAAAAATGGTTGGATACAACTCCAGTAGGTGGGTTCAAATTGAAGCCTACAGCACCCTAGAAAAAAGAAACACCATGAGAAAAGGCAAAGAAGTTGGAATGCATGGGTGGTGAGGAGAATTAAGAAGATAGCTGTAATAATAGTGGCATCTCCTTGTGGGTGCCAGATACATGCCAAGGTGGTGTAGCATGCAGGGAATATGGAGAGGTCTTGTTCTACTAGGGTATAAAATAATGCATAGGAAAGCAGAAAGGTAGAGACTACATGGTATTGGCAGAAGCCATATTGGGAAGGATATAAAAGATCAATATGAAGAGCTGGTACTTAACTCAGTAAGCAATATGGCACCTCTGTAAGGCTAGGTGCCTAACTGCTCACAGTTAGTCATCTGTTGAGAAGGCTGGGTAGAATATAGGCTTTAATATTTAGTCCCCCATTCTCCAAATACCTGGTACATTTATGGCCCCAGCCCGCTACAAAAAATAAGAAGATAAAAACAATGGTCCTGAAAGCTTTTGTGGGGAGTGTGGGGTGGAAGAAGGGTTAAATGTTAAGCTTTAATCTTATTTCAATTGCCTTGGTGTTAAATGTTATCAGTGTTGAATCATTTCTTCAGATTTTGGCATTATAGACTTTTATTCAGAGCATTACTGTGAGATAAAAATTTATTTACCAGGTTGGGAAACCAAGGCCAGTGTCATGCCAGTCGTAATGGCTTTTTAGCTCATAATTTTACACATTAAGCTGCCTCTTGGCTTGCTGTCAAATCCTTCTTTTTTTCTCTTTTACTAGTAGAGCTGTTTGGTAGCTAACCTTTTGGAAGCAGCAGGGAATAGGCTAACAGTTATTTTTGGGCACCTCACTGCAGGACAAAGATCATTGCTAGACGAAGAAATCAACAATCTGATTTTTTCCCTGGTCACAGCTGGAGAATAAACAACTTCATTTTTAGATAAAGATGAAACTTCCAACTGGCTAGAATCATATTTCAGAATTAGTTACTTATGATTTCATTTTTAGTAGCTCATGGAATATATTTATCTTGTTGACTTAAGCACATACATGAAATATTCTAGGTTTGGGAGGACGAGGAGAATTCCTATTGTTTAGAAATGCAGATGAATTTGTTTCCACATCATTTTGGCAACCCATGAGGCAGCTTACACCAAATTTTTCTTCTCGCTTACAGGCCAAAGAGTTTTATTGTGCATGGCCTGTCAAGCATAGAGTTGCTTACATGGGCGTTCTTAAATGTCCTAGAAATTCCTCACCCTTTGTCCTTCCCAACATCCATAAATTCCTTTTTGGAATGTGTCAGGAAGAGAGAGGAGCCAGGAAACAGCCTTAAGTGTGTATTTTTTTTTTTTTTTTTTTCCTGAGGACATCTGATCTCCATAGTTGAGTGAGTCCGGTGCAACCTGTGTCATAAAAGAATTGAGAAAACTCTAACTGCCAAAGCGAAGACCCTCCTAACCCTAGGTGTTTGAAGAATTCCAGAACTGAGAAGTGGTTGTCCATTTAGGCAGCACAGTGGCTTAGCTGGTGCCCAGTTAAGATGCTGGGGGAGCCAGTGATTATCCAAGAGGACTGAGAATTAATTTCTAAATGGTTTATTCTTGCATTCAACAGAGATGTGTTGAACAAGTGTAAGAACGGGCTATGGGATAGCCTAGTGGTGGTGGGGTGTTTCAGAAGCCAATGATGGATAGGTCTTGCCCTTAATGAGCTCACAGTCAGGTATAGAAAGCAGACATGTAAACAGATACTTGTTGTGAAGAATGATAAATACTAACATGGACAAATATCCAAGAAACATCTGTGCAATGTTTGAGGATATCTGCTCTACATCAGTCAAACACTGTTAGATCTTTACTCTGCCACTTGCTATTAATTTGAACCACATGGAATCACCACTCTTTTAGGTCAGAAATAGTTGGGTAGTAGCAAATCCAAAGGGTTCCATCCAGTAGCTGTTTTGGTTGTGTAACATTGCCTGTCTGGGCCTTAATTTTCACATCTGTAAAATGGTAACACTAATATCAACTGCACAATAAAGTTCTTTCAACTGAAAGTGAGAAAAATGAGATAATACAGGCAAAACACTCAGTAACAAATACTTAAAAGGATGGAGACCTTAGCAACTGGTGTGTATTGGTATTATATGATTATTCTGTCTTGTGCTTGGAGACAGCATTTCTAACAGAAGGCTAGTCTCTGAAGGATGAGATCTATAAGACAAATCTGGGAAGCCCTCTCTTTCCCACTGTTGCTTTTTCCATGGAAATGTATAAATCTTAGTATTTCAATTTGTCAAGTAGCAGGGACACTCTAAAATTTTTAGGAAAATGAGGAGGCTGTGGCTACAGCCCTGGTTTTCCTGTTATCCTATCTCTTCTAACTCAGTAGCAAGAAAAGCAAATGAATTAGCCTGGTGTGGGGCTCTTTTCTGGGAGGTCAGGACCCTGGCCAAGGTTCCTCAGGGGCAGTGCTGCTGTTGGGATGGCTGTCCATGCTGCTGAGCCAGGGCTTTCTACTGAATAGACTGCCTGTGGTTTAGTCTTTCAAGACTGTGTTCCTAACGGGAAACATTTGGCCCAGCTTCTCAGTACTTTCCAAAGACACAGACAGACATCAAATTATAGGATCAAAATCATGCTTGAGCAGGACTTAGAAGCAACTGTAGAAGATCATTTGGTATAGGCATGGCAAGTCTGTGGCACAAAACACTTCATTCTAGTGCATGGGGCAGACACAGCTAATCGATAACAACACAATTCTGAGGAGCCCCACTTAAGAATCATTCTAAATCATCACTTCAGGCAGCCAATTAAGTAGTATATAAATAGAGGTAGTATATCACATGAAACTTATTTGCCATAATACCTAGTTATTTAAGAGAATAACTGAATTGAAACACCCAGAGTCACTAGCTAATCAGTGGTGACTTTACTAATTAACTCCTAAAGCTGATATTAAAATCCAGAGATTTTGCCTTTGGGTCAAGGAATTCGATTAAGATCTATCTCTTCCTCTAGACCATTGGGAGGCCTTCAAAAAGGAGTGCATATGTACGGCATGGTGACTACAGTTAATAATAATGCATTGTATACTTCAAATTTGCTAAGATAGTAGTAGACCTTAAGTGTCTTTATCATTGACACACAGAGGTAACTATGTAAAGCGATGGATGTGTTAATTAGCTTGAATCTAGTAATCATATCACAATGTATACATATATTAAATTATCACGTTGTATACCTTAAATGTATAAAATTTTAATTTTAATTTGTCAATTATACCTCAATAAAGCTGGGGGAAAAAAACCTTTAAAAATGCATATGAAAGTCTTTCAGTAATTCTTAGTCTGAGGTCATTGTAATGATCTCCAGAGAGAAATATCAGTGGTGGGATCCTGGAGAGCATTTGTGTTAAAGTATTTCTAGACTTCTTGGCCCTGATGAGTTTTTTACTTTTCTGTCTATCTATCCATCAATTCATCCAACTATCTACTTTTTCAGTACATACGTGCCAAGCCCTGAGTTAAGTATAAACGATACAACACCAAAGAAGATAAACATGTTCTGTATAATCGCAAAGCTCATAATTTCCTCCCAAAGAGTCACAAAATACAATTTATTTATTTTTTGAGATGAAGTCTCGCTCTGTTGCCCAGGCTGGAGTGCAGTGGTGCGATCTCAGCTCATTGCAACTTCTACCTTCCAGGTTCAAGCGATTCTCTTGTCTCAGCCTCCTGAGTAGCTGTGATTACAGGTGCCCACCACCACGCTCAGCTAACTTTTTGTATTTTTAGTAGAGACAGGATTTCATCATGTTGACCAGGCTGGTCTCGAACTCCTGACCTCAGGTGATCTGCCCACCTCTGCCTCCCAAAATGCTAGGGTTACAGGCGTGAGCCACTGCACCTGGCCGCAATTGATTTTAACTCCATGTACAGTTGATTTAGTATTTGTGATATTCTTAAGTGCCACTGCAGGTTGGGAACATGGTGCACTCTCCCAAGCCAATAGCAAGAGTATAAATGTTAACATTCTTTCAAGAGCGAAATGCTATTTACTTAGTATGGACCTCCCAATGTGCTGGGTACTTTGGAAAATAGGCCAAGTAAGGAGCTATTTTTTGTTCCTAGAGATCTCAGAAACTAGAATATCATACACAAGCAAGGTCTGGTATTAATGCCAGCCTGAATGAGATAATTATGTGACACTTTGCACTGGGAAGTTCATGGGGGGCTTCCTAGAAAAGGAAAGAATTACAATCACCAAATAGTGGTTGAAAAGGCCTTGGAAGATCATTAAGAAGTTGACATAATAATAATAATCAGGAAGTTGACATCATCATCATCACCATCATAAGTAATACAGATATCATTAACTATAATTTATTAAGTGTTGATTTTGCCAGAGCCTGTGCTTAGTTAGCATTTTACATTTCCAATTTCAAATTCACATACAATTATGAGATAGTATTTGTACCCTCATTTTGCAGCTGAAAAAACTGAGGCATAGAGTCTTTACATGGCTTGTGCAAGTTCAGACATTATTAAGTTATGGAGTCAGGATTTGAACCAAATCCCATCTGAGTCCAAAGTCAGGGCTCTGAACCATGATTTTATACAGCCTTTTGTGCTGGAGGGCCAAGCAAAGGAGCTATGAGTCAAGACCAGCCCCAACCTCTGACTATATAACTTCCCAACACCTGGCTCAAAGCAGAATACTATCAATCCTCCAGAAGTAGACCATTAAGATGCCAGACAGCCTGTGGCTGCTGTGGAGATGAAGCAAGCTGACAGATACATTTGGGATGCTTCCATTTCTCAGTGATCATTCAGCGAGGGTTCCAGATGCCTTGAAGGCTTCTAGAAGCCTTTTTGCCATCTCTGCATGAATAAATCTATCAGTCCTTCAAGATGCTGCTTAAAGAAATCTACTATTGAAAGGTTTATCAGGTAACTTTGGCCTAAATTTATCTTTCTCTCTTCTGAATTGTCTGGGGAATTGATATGATATTATTTGATTTATCATTTAAAAAAAGATTTGGAATGGCTTTATTATGCATGCATAACTCCTTCTCTTAGGAAATTAGCTAATTCTAGATTGTATTTATATTAGTCTATAAACAGTTGGTTTGCATATGTGCAGTTAGATTGTATGTAGACTATAAGCTCTATGAGGGCAGGGATATATCTGAGACATTCATCTCTGAATGCACAACACAAAACACTTTATCTAGAACATAGTAAATGCACAATATGTTTATATTAAATGAAATGAAGCTGAATGTATTTCTTGGTTTGAACTTACACATAGCAGGTTCTTATATTGTGGAATTAATGAATGAACAAATACTCTTACTTTCCTGATGGCCCTAATGTAATTAGCTCTCCTGTAATCTCTTCTACAGTAAGATGTATCAAGGAATTTGTCACAGCCTCAGTTCTGTAATTAGTTCGTTTTAATTCATTCAGTTATTCAGTGAGTATTTACTACGTTCCAGACACCACACTAAGTGCAGAAGGTACAAAAGTGACAAAGACAGACCTAGCTCCTTCCCATGAGATTCTAGACATCAACCCAAGGGCTTTTAAGAGCTCAGTACTTTCTACTTTGAGACAAGATTTCTCTATGATCAAGTAAACTCCTTTGGCAGAAGGTGGAATTGGCCAGGCCTAAGATGCACTCAGCATGAAAATTTGGTTTTGGTGTGAAGGAAGCATCCTGGGTTATTAGTTAGTAACCCTTTCAATTTCATTGCAGTATTTATCATTTTGTTGTACTGTTGTTAAATATAGGTCTCCCTTTCTCATTTTAAATTTTTACCTTCATTACTTTTTTTTAAGTTCCCAGATACTTGGCCTCTTATGAGGCCATATAACAGGAAGTGCAATAAATGGAAGATCTGGAGGAGAAGCTCTGAGCTCCTCTTCTGCCAAGCAGGTCTGACCAACAGGGTCATTGTGTGACCTTGGGCAAGTCGCATCCACTCTTGAGGTCTCAGTTTCTCTTGTAAAATGAGCAACTGTGTATGGTTTCCAATTCTAAGATCCCTTTGGTTCCAGTGATCTGTGGTCCATTGCTAATTTCACAATATTTTTGTTGAACTTAATTTTGAATTTCACTTTAGACCCAAGTCAACTGGCCAACATTAAGTACAAACCCTCCAAATAGTGTTTCTTTCCATAGTTTGGCTTAAGCATTGGTGGTGCCTCACGACTTCCTCCCTCCTGCCCCTTGAACAGAAGTTCCATTACCAACCAAATTAAATCCACAAATCTTAATCCATAAAATATTTCCATCCAGACACAATAATGAGATTCATATTTGTGGTTTAGTATACCTAAGAAATGCTCAGATGAAATATGACTAGATCCATTGATACATTCAGACCACAAACTGCCCTGGTGTGGTCTGGTTTCAATTTTTGAAATAAAACTGCAGAGCACTTGCTTTCTCTCTTCTATTTCTTGCCTAGACAGAAAAGAAAATAAAAAGTGGTTCTGGACAAGTGGCAACAATATAGATTCCTGTAAAATTCTGGAAAATTATTTCAAAAATAAATTTGAATTCATTTCCCAATGGAACAATGACCTCTTCTATTTTGGTCTTCATCCAGAATTTTAAGAAATCTAGTTGGCTCTTTCAGAAGCATTGAATAGTGAGTTCTCAAAGTCTTGAGCCAAGGTTAAGAAATGGAAGAGATTTATCTAGGAAGAACCGATTACAGACAGACTTACAACACAACCCTAAATAAGAGAACTTCTGAATAGGGGTCTGTGAGATGGTTGCCTTTGTGAAACTGTTATCAGCCACCCAAAGTCAGAAATTTAGTCCCGAAAGACCCTGAAAAATTTTAAGAAGGCATTGTGATGGGAGAGACAGGGGCATTGCCTTTAGAGTCAGGAAGACTTAAGACCAATTTCTACTTATCTGCTGGGGAGCCTTGGACAACGTCCTATACCTTCTGAATTGTGGCTTATTCAACTATAAAATCTCTCCAGGGTTGTTTGAGGCAGTGAATGGGACAACAAAGCTATAAGTGCCTGACATATTAATAATAAACGTTACACATATGTTAGTATATCTTCTCCTCTTCTTTCCTTTTCCTGTCTCCCTTTATGAGAGAGCTCCATGACATTGGGCATATTAAAAAATAAAAGAGTAATAGTGTAGAGGTGGTTCAAGCACTGGTTAAGAAGTAGAATTGGTTTGGGATCAATTATGTTTCAACTCAAAGAGCTGACATAGCTACCTGGAACTGCCTTGAGAAAGATTCTGTGGCTATGATTAGGCTTTCGGGAAAAGGTGCTGTGATGGATTAGCAATATCCACCATGGGTACAGGAGTGGAGAGTGTTGACGTGTACACCAAATATTTGGCATAGCAAAACTAGACAGCTTTGGAAATCTTTCCCGATCCAATGTGCTAATATTCAAATGAATGGAATCCTGCTTGAGTGGGATTTGCATCAGAAGGAGCCAGATGGAGCCATTGACAATTACAAAATCCTGTTTAAATCAAGTTCAATAAAGTCTCATACATTTTGATAGAATATGACTCATGAAACAAAAATACGTCTCTAGGACTGGAAGCAGGAAACCAGACTCTCAGGGAAAACTAAGACTACTCCCGTAATTAATTTGTGTGACCTCAGGCAAAGCAAACATACTTTCATTGTCTATTTTCCCTTTCCCAAAATGGGACCATCTAAATGCTATAATAATAATGAACATTGATTGCATATGTCGTCTGTGCCAGACACTGCTTTTTGTGTCTTCTGTGGATTATCTCATTGAATCCTCCCCAAGACTTCTGAGGTAGTTGTCTTTATTTTTCACAGTTTATGGAGGAGAAAACTGAGGCTCACACAGCTCAAGATCACATAGCTAGAAACGGGGAACAGAAATTTAAATCAGGTGAACTGATTCACTTGTTTTAATTATGTTAAAGGGTGGTTTGCATAACTAAGGTCGGGGTCCAGAGAAACTACTGGTAATGAAATATCTTTATGATCTACAGGCAGGACAGGAAAAACTGCAGAAAAATCTGAAAAATAGAGATATGTCTAACCCCCTTAACTTGGCTTTAACTTAGCTGTGTAACTTTAAACAGCATTTTCTAAAGTGTAATCTACAACACGTTGATAGGTACTAATCTGAGGGAAAAAGATTTCCTAATTAAACACGTTTGGAAAATGTTATTTTAAACCAAATATGATTTTAAGCCAAACAAATTACACAACTTTCTTTACTTCAGGTTTTTCCAGGGTGTTTAATAGGTTCATGCTCGTTGGAAATCTCGAAGAAGGGGACAGTTTATAGAGTGTTTCCCAAATCTACTTGATTATTCTGTTTGAAGTGAGTCACAGGATTAGGTTGGATGGCACACGATGGGGGAAGAACTGATAGAGAACAAATCCTAGACCCTTACTCCTTTCATTTCTTCCTGTATTAGAAGGAAGTAGAGATATACCTAACTATGACCTCTCTGGGATAAAATGTGAAGCTCTATGTTAGAGGATCTTGAGCAATTTAAACTAAGAGTGAAGCAAGTAGGTCAATATTTATACTGTGCGTGGCACTTTACAAATGCTGTTTAATCATGTTACCAACTCTGGGAATTAGGGAGCATTGTTTGTATTTTACTGGTAAGAGAACTGAAGGCTTAAGAAGGTTAAGTAAGTGGCCTAGTCAGCAATTATTTGAATCAGAATTAAGAACAGTCTTATAATTCCAAAGTCTATGCTCTTTCTGCTATATCAAGTTACCTTTGAAGTAAGATTCATTGTTCAAGTTAAAGAATTAATATTTATCTACTAACTATCAGAGAGAAACACAATATCATTAATATGAATAGAGTTGTTGGATTTGCAAAATGGAACAAGGTAGGATGGTGTTTGGGAATTGGGGTTTACATAACTATTTTATTTACTGTTGTGAACTTGAGGGGAGGGCATAGGCCAGGTGGACTATAATATCTGTGTCTTAGGCAAATCTTTAAAGCCCCTGGAGAAAAGCCTGCTCTCCTTGAGTCTGACCTGAAGAGAAGGTTAATAAGTGAGAGGAAGATACAGTGAGAAGTAGCAGATGGGGGAGCTAAAAATCTATCATTTCTGGAAAACTGGGCTTCACACTATGTACTATCTAAAAAACGTGTGGTTTCCAAGAAATCAGTCAAGATCAGAGAGCGTTTCAGAGGGGCTGGAAATTACCACTTTCAGTTTTGAAAGCATGGACTTCTATGAACAAACAACTTATTTGTATAAGTAAGGAAAGGAGGGAAAATTCCTTCTAAATAGGATCATTTAATTCAGCATATGGCAGGAAATTCAAGAAATTAGCCAGAGAGAAATACTAGTCAGAGGAAGGCAGAGGCAAATGAAGATGAATCATACAAATGAATAACTTTTAATCATTATTCTGAACTTCTTTTAGGTATAGAGTTTGGCATTATGTTTTTGGAGGGGAACTTACTAGATGATTTTTTTTTTCTGCTTCAATCTCTATATACACAAGTATGATAATATCCACCTTGTTAGGTTAAGGTGACTGGAAAGTAAGTATAAAAATTTAGTAAGGTTGACTGGAAGGGATCAGTAAACATTTCCTTAAATGACCAAATAGAAAATATGTAAAGCTTTGCAGTTAGATGATTTCAGTCACAACTATTCAACTCTGCTATTGTAGAGGCAGCAGCTATAGATAATACACAAACAAATGAGCATGGCTGTGTTCCAATAAAACTTTATTTACAAAAATAGGCTGCCACCCTATGGTTTGCTAACCTCTGCTGGAATATAGTAGTTATTCAATAAATGACAGCTTCTATTATGAAACTAAATACAGATTGAATTGAACAATAAGGAAACTAACATTTTGTTGAGTGCCTATTATATACATTTTTATGCCAAATCTTACACTAAATGCTTTTTATTCATGCTATCATTTATCTTGTCATTTGTCATGACAACCTGGTGAGTTAGGTATTATTATGCTTATTTGAAAATTAATTTGAGACTCAGGGAGTTTCCATGACTGGCTTAAGAGGCAGAGCCAGCTTTTGAATCCTGATTTATTTGTGGTTCTAAAATGTCTGCTTTCAACTACATTGAGCTACACTGGGCTGACTCCTAAAGGAATTTTCTTAGTTCAGATAAGGTAAAAACTTAAATTTTTACTGCTCCATAAAGAAAGAGATCAGCATTCAAGTGGATGAACTCACTTTCCATTTCCTAGACCTTCAGCAGCTCTTTGGTGGCTGTGCACATGTAAGCACCAAAATATTTGACCTCTGTTTTTCTCCCAGAACCTCTGGCTGGATCTCAAGTTTTATGTACTTCCTTTTTGGAGAATACTTAAGCCAAGGTGTACTGTTTGCAAACACTTATTAGCCTTGGGTAGATATTGGCGAGTTTCCGTTGGCATCAAATGGGCTTCCAGAATCTGCTGAGGCCTGGCTGTGCTCATTGATTGTCTTTGCCAAAAAGAGCTGCTAATTAGGATGACATCCTGCTTGTCTCTACCTCTAGAGCTAGGTTTTCCTTCCTGGGCATGCCTATTTTGTCCCAAGCAGTATGTTTGGATTTTTAGTGCAGATCTAGATGAACAAGAGCAAATTTGCAGTCCCTTTAAAATCTATGAAGCCTTGTGCTCCAGTGAAGAATTTCCCAGACTACGTTGCAAGATGTTTTTAGGTAGATGTCCTATGGTCAGGTATGTTTGGAGATACTGGGCTAACGAAAGTTGAACAGATTAATTACAGCAAGATATCTCAGATGATGCACTCTACTTCCCTGAACCATCCATTGGCTTCTAACCACACTCAGAATGAAATTCAAACTCCTAGCCATTGCCTACAGAGCTCCTTCTCTCATTTCATTCAGACATCTGCACAATGGCACATTCACCTCTCACCCCATCTAAAAGAGCACTCCTCTCACCACCAGTCATTGTTTATGCCCTTACCTTGTTTTGTCTTTCTTCTTAGCAAATATCACTACCTGAAATTGTGCTATAAGTTTATGTGATTCCTTTTTATTGTCTGCCTTCCCCCTGCTATGGTCTGAATGTTTGTGTTCCCTCAAAATCCACACATTGGAACATAATCACCAGTGTGACAATATTAGTTGGCAGAGTCTTTGGGAGGTACTTAGATCATGAGGGCAGAGGCTTCATAAATAGAATTTGTGCCCTTATTAAAAGAGACCCCATAGAGCTGCCTTATGTCTTCTGCCATGTGAGGACATATAAGGTGCCATCTTGATCTTGGACTTCCCAGCCTCCAGAACTGTGAGAAAGTAATTTCTGTTGTTTGTAAGTCACTCAGTTTATGGTATTTTGTTGTAGCAGCTTGTACAAACTAAGATATGCCACCATAATGTAAACACCATGAATAAAAGGATCTTGACTGTATTGCTTTCTATTGTATCACCAGCCCTAAAACTATGTATTGAATGGACATATGAGCTGTGCATTTCCAAGAACAGAAGAGTACCAAGTGTTTCCCAAACTCATTTGGCCACAAAACCCTTTTTTAGGTGATTCCCATGAGAATGCTTTTCCACATGACACACTTTTGGGAACTGCTTCTCTAGTGGGATCTTATCATCAAGAACTATTTGATCAACAGGTAACAAAACAATGACAACAACAAAACATTTATATTGAATGCCAGTTTCTGTGCTAAGCAGTGTTCATGAACTACATCATTTAATCATCACAATAAACTTTAAACTAGGTGCTACTACTTTGCTTTTAATATGGATAAGAAGAAATTAGCTTAAAGAAGCTAAGTAACTTGGCCAAGATCACATAGCAAGCAAATACCTCTCAAACCCAGAGGATTCTTATGCCAAAGTCATACTCTTAACCATTATTCATTTCTTCTTGTGGGCTGTGAGCTTCTCCATGTCCTAAGATAGAGAGCTCTTTGTCTCCATCCCACCCTTGAGCCTGTTCTTTCCTCCTATTAGTTGTTGACTAATCTTTGTTATAACCTCCAGATTTTCAGCTATCTCTTGTGACTCAGCCTCAAATCCCCAGACAGGACTCCTCTGTCCTTGGTACTGGTTTTTCCAAATCCAAAGCAATTTGTGTTTTTATCCTGAAGGCCACCTCTGAAAGCAAACACATTCCTTGAGGTCTGTGTCCTGAGACAGTTTCCTGTCCTAGGGCTGGGATGGTTTCCTCCTATCACATGTTGTGTCATCACACTGCATACTTGCAAGCCAGTGGGTGAAGCGTGAAAACAACTTCAAGCTCTGGGCTTTCTGAGCAAACTGCTAAGGAAGAGGATGTCCAAATCTGGGACACAGCAAGGACTCCTATTAATTGCTAAAGATTAACTTTATTCCAGTTGTGCTAGGTTTCAGATAAACCAGATACAATTTTTTCTTTTAGGAACTATATTGTCAAGAGGGGCAGACAGGCCATTCCAGGATGATAAAGGAGATGATAGATTTAAAAAAAGAAACATAGGTAGAATGAGATGACAGTAAAAGGGCATCTAATTTACCTGGAGGAAGTGGTGCCTGAACTGAATTTTGAGAGAAAAATATGAATAGGTGAAAAACATAAAAAAGGATATTCTAGGCACGAGGGAATGGCATTTACAAGGATATAAAAAGAATAAAAGGGTTGATGTGAACAGTATGAATGACAGCTGAAGTACAGGATCTGTTTAGAGACCAGAAGCAAGATCATGGAGAATCTTGAATGTCAGAATATCTGGACTTTTTTGCAGGCAGAAGAAAAGCATTTGGAAATCTTGAGGCCCAGGAATGTTAACCTCTATGTCTCAGGTTGAAGAAGGGGAAGGCTGGGTTGCTGGGGGCCAGTGGGAAAGCTGTTGCAGTGGCCCATCTGTGAGATGCTAAGATCTGAACTACAGGGGTAATGGAGGTGGGGCAGGGGGTGGTGATCAAGAAAGTGGGGAGGCAGTGAACAGATTTGCTTGTCAAGGCAGTAGAGACTACAACATTTTGTGTGTGGGGTTAGTAAAGAAAAAAGAATTAATCGAAGATGTTACTATTCATTATATCTGCTGAGAGGAATAGATTGAGGGAGGAACAATGGATGAGTTTTAGTTTTGGTCACACTGACTGTCTTGCTTTAGAATAAAATACATTTGGAATCATTGCCGTGAAAGGCCCCTCCCTGGGGTGAAATTCAAGAGAAATTATGGCTAACCAATGAGTTAAAACAACTAATCAAAACACTTGGCTCCACTATATACATGGGAGGATGTTAAATAAAAACTAGTCCACTTTAGTGGCTGCCAGAATTTTTTTTTTTTTTTTTTTGAGACAGAGTCTCACTGTGTTGCCCAGGCTGGAGTGCAGTGGTGTGATCTCGGCTAACTGCAAGCTCCGCCTCCCAGGTTCACGCCAGTCTCCTGCCTCAGCCTCCTGAGTAGCTGGGACTACAGGTGCCCGCCACCACACCCAGCTAATTTTTTGTATTTTTAGTAGAGACGGGGTTTCACCATGGTCTCGATCAATTTTTTTATTACTCATCAGTGAGGGTACTGAAGGGTTGAGTGAACTTGTCATTGATAAGAGGTTGCCAGAAATTGGTGACACTGGAGTGCTGGAGGCTGTGGCAGGCAGACTCTAAGGTGGCCCCATTGATACTGCCTCCCGGCATTCTCATACGTGTGCAATTACCTCCCCTTGAGTGTGGGATGGCCCAGTGACTTTCTTCTAACAAACAGAATATGACTAAGGTGATGGAATATCCCTTCCATGATTAGGTTACACAGGATTGTGATGTGCCTCTTGCTTATAGACTTTCTCTCTCTCTCTCTTTTTTTTTTTTTTTTTTTTTTTTTTGAGATGGAATCTCGCTCTTGTTGCACAGGCTGGAGTGGAATGGCTCGATCTTGGCTCACTGCAACCTACGACTCCCAAGTTCAAGTGATTCTCCTGCTTCAGCTTCCTGAGTAGCTGGGATTACAGGTGCCCACCACCATGCCAGGCTAATTTTTTTGTATTTTTAGTAGATACGGGGTTTCAGCATATTGGCCAGGCTGGTCTCGAACTCCTAACCTCAAGTGATCCACCCGCCTCGGGCTCCCAAAGTGCTGGGATTAAGAGGTGTGAGCGACCATGCCCGGTAACTCTCTTTCTCATTGGCTTTGTTAATGTAAATGGCCTTGTTGGAGAAGCCCATGTGGCAAGGAACTGAGGGTAGCCTTGGACCAACAGCTTTGAAGGAACTGAGGCCCTCAGTTCAATATCTCTCAAGAAATGGAGTCCAGCCAACAACCACATCAACAAGCTTGGAAGCTAATCATCCCCCAATTCAGCCTTTAGATGAGACATCAACCCTGTCCAACACAGACAATAACCTCATGAGAGACCATGAGGCAGAAAATCCAACTAAGCTGTGCTTAGACCTCTAGAAACCATGAGATAATAAATGAGTGTTGATTTAAAGTAATTTGGTATGCAGTAATAGATAATGAATACGGAGATACTAGTCATCCTTGGCTCGGTCCGTGTGAGTTAAGGCTGTTGAGAGAATAAGACTCTGCTCATTTTTCTTTTCTAAAAGAATGTCTTAATTCTGAAACTTTTAAGATTGTCCCTGGCTTCCAAGAGCAAGAGTCAGAAGACCTAGGATTCCAACCTGACCCTGTTGCCAACTGGCGGAAGATCTTAGAAAGATCTTTCCCTTCTCTATGTCTCAGTTTCACCCTCTTTAAAATGAGGTATGCTAACCTAGGCCAGCAATTTACAAAAACATTCTGTTTTTTCTGCACAGAGCCCTTTCATCAAATAAAATTTCATGAGGAGGCTCAGTGTACAAAATAGATAAGTGGAGGGGCTTTCATTGAAATAAGGTTGAGGGGAATCCCCTGCTTGGCCTCCCTGTCTCTCCACAGCAGCCCCCAAATCTTTTTAAATTCTTTTTAAAATCCAGTCTGCAAGATTCTGGCTTAGAGGCTGCCCGTAAGCCCTTTTAGTTTGAAAATTCTGTATTCCCTAAGGAGATTTAAGAAAATAGTAACCTACCTAGAAGTTAAAGCATTCCTCTGCAATATCTGTGCATCGACCTTCACAAGACCATCCCACAGTCCTGGGCATCTCCTTTGGGGACTGTGCTAATGGTGCGTCTGCCCATGGTGGGTCCGTTTTTGGGGAAAATGAACTCCAGCAGACAAAGCTCCCGCCTCCCTAACATTCTTGACCTCAGTGGTGTACAGTCCAGTGTGGCAGGGAAGGCAATCATAGGGGTAATTATGACACAGACAGTGGGGGACGTGCAGAGCTCAGTTGGAACCTGGAGCAGGGGGATTCCAGGCAGCCTGCAGGGCACTCATGGCTTCCCTTGGGCAGCACTTGCTTATGTGTGTCTATGCTTCAGGTCTCAGGCTGGTTGCAGGGATGTGATGTGGATCGGGCTTTGCCCTCATGTAGCTTAAAGTCTAGTAGAGAAAACGTATTACATTATGGGTCACATGCTAATCATTTAATTACAGTTTTTTTCAAGAGGTGAAGCCTGAAGGAGCAAGCTGGAGATAGCAAAATTAACCAGTCTGTCAAAGAACACCAGGGCCAAAAAGACAAGCTTTTGTGTCTTTCTTAGCTTTGCTGTGTCTAGCCCTCTCTCTTGTCAGAAGATGAATAGAATTAGGGAGCTGAGCATGACTTCCTTACTGAAATGGTTATAACTAGCCTCTCAGGACTGGGAACTGGGTTTGATTTTTAACTCCACCAAGTACTTTCTGCATGGTATTGGGTAAGCTACTTAAACGTTTTCAGCCTTACATTGTGCATATTTGAATAGGGTGGGTGATAAGACTTACTAGAAGCTATGGTTGACTAAATGGCATGATGCCTATAGAGTCCTCAGTAAATATTAGCTATTACGATTATCCCCTAGGATTCTCCTAGGAGAACATTTCAGACACATTCTTGTCGAAGTTAGCAGCAGCCAGCTTTAGGGTTAGAGGTGAACAACGGTCAATTCTGAAGCAAAGCTATCTATGTTCAGAACTCATGATATATCTCTGGCTCTTGGTATAGGGTATTTGAGGAGGGTTAAAGGACCAAACAAAGCTATTTAAGTTACCATGGCTATATCATGAAGGACCTATGAACTTCAGGAAACTTCAAAATTCTGAGACGACGTGGCATGAAATACATATTTTTAAAATCTCCATTCACAGATAGACTAAAAATGCACATGGAAGGGATTTTCCGTTCGCGATCTGCTTTTGACTTGGGCATTTTGCTTTTATTCCATGATGAAGGGCCAAAGAGAGTAATGATAGTGACAGGGTTGTTTCTAAAGTGGAAGAGAAGCTGGAAATGTGAGACAAGGTGGAGGGAAAGGAGTTTAGGCTTAAGGGCATAACTGAAAAATGTCTGGCCACCAGGATTAGAATCAGGTTGGTTTGCAGACTTTTCTCCTTTACAGAGAAGTCACAAAGCATGTATAGCCCCCGAAGGTAGGTAAGTTCACCATCTCTGTCTTTTACATTGAATGGAATTATGGCCTGGGGTTTGCAGGAGGCTGGTCATGTCACACTTTGAGGGGGGTTTTCCTCCTTGGAAGGGAGCCTTCATCTAATGTTTCCCACATGTTGAAGGTGTTCAAACTGGCCCGGGATAAGATTCAAGGGGATTCCCTACAATCTTCTCAGAGTGAGAGGTATTTGAATCATAATCTTCCTCTCTGAGGCTTCCGCTGAATTTGTGGCTCAATTTGTGGCTCGGAGCCTACAACCATTTCCAAGCTGTCCTGGGATTCATGGCCCCAAGGCCGATTTCACTTTACCTACCAATCAGCCCTTTTAAAACCAGATGTTTGGCTCACCTGTGTGCCTACTTTTCTGAGATGAAAATCAGCAGGAGTGACCTGACTGCTACCTCTAGTTTCATTCTTCTCTCTTCCAGGGCTGAAATTTGAACTTTCCTGTTTCCAGGCAGAGAGTTGCACCATTGAGAGCTGACCTTTGCTGAGAACCATGAAAAATGATACATGCAGGGCTATTCTGTAAAATCAATAGGCACCAATGCCAGCTGGGGGCTTCTCCACCATCTTGATCATTCACTGAAAGACACCATTTAAGGTTCTAAACTTGGTCAGCACAGCCTGACTTCAGAAGGCAATATAGCACAGCAGAAAGAACAGTGGGGTATTAGTTAGAAAGCTTGGGTCAAAGCCAGCTCTGCCCCTCAATTACGGAAAGACCTCAGATGAGTCACCTAACTTCCTTGAGTGTCGATTTCTTTAAAATTGAGCTAGTAATTTATAATTTGTAGTGTCTGAGTGAGAATGAGATGAGAAACCATTGGCAAACCCTCCTATTACATATGTGACACTATTAACTTTGTGTTTGTGTGTTTTACCATCACAAAAGGACATATATTTCGAGCCAACTAAATGTTTGCAACCTACTTTTTACGTTTCAAACTGAAGTGGCTTCAGCATGAAGGGGGCTGCGCTTTGGTCCAGTGGATATGTTTTCTTGTAAGAAAGCACAGCTAGGTGTCTATAGAAATCTAGAGAGAGAGGAGAGAATATGTGCTCTTAATTTATTGTTAGCATTAGAAAGGGTAGGATTAAGGGGGATATGTTTTTCATTCTGTCAGCTTGAATTCTCTTTCCAAATTCCATTCTGGTTATATGATCAGGCTACTGCTGTATTTATGGGTGGCCACAGTCTGCCTGGAGGGGCATATTTAGTCAGAAAGGAAGTGTTTTCCTTCTAAAGGCAGGCAAGAAGCAGAGAAGCATTCAGAAGGAACACGGCAGAATGTACCTCTGACTTGGTGATCACGGGGACCTGGGTGTGAAACCTGGCTGTATCACTCTGAGTTCTAGGACCTTGGTAAAGTTATTCAGTCTCCCTGTTCTTGAAGCCATCTCTTTGTCCAACAAATATAGTCCATACCTCAGAGACATGCTGTGGATGATCCCACAAAAGCCTACAGTTTAGAGAGTAGGCTCATCATATATTTTGGCTATCATTGTCATTAGAATTAATTAAAATAGCCTTTGTTAAGTCTTTTATTTCTCATTCATATTCCTGTCTATTACACTATTTGTGGACTTGCTCTTACTTCTGCTACAGATGGTGACTCAGAGGGGCAAAAATCCTTGTTGAAGGGCAGAATGGCAACCAGAATGCACACAGCCTGGTTTCATGATTTGTAAATGTGCTTTTTGTCATTGAAGATTCTGTGGCAATGTCCCAGAGGCTAAGAGCAAAGGTGTAAGTTTTAGACCTTGTGACCCCACTTCAACCAAAGCAGCCCTGCATTTACCTGTCATATACTGGGGGTTTGCCCTAAATTCATGTAATGAATATTTTCATCATTAAAAATAAGTTTAAAAATCATGATCTTAGAATATTAATCTTGGACAAGTCCTTGTAAAATGATAAACAGAGAAACTAAGAAAAGTTTCCATTTATTGAACCCTTAATATGTGGAAGGTACTATGCCAAGTGTTTGCCATATATTACCTCATTTGAATGTTGCAAGAGCCCTGTGAGACATAGTTTGTCATCTCCATTATATGAATGACAAAGTTGAGGGCTGAAACGTTAGTCACTTCTTAGAGTGGGGAAGGAGGAGGTTAGTGTGGGATAAAATAGAGAAGCTAGGTTTTTAAAACAAAGCATAGAGGAAAAAAATATTTAATGACTGTAGAGCTTGGCAACATCCCTTTCAATCCTTGTCCAATTTACCCTGTTTGAGCAAACCAGAGAATACTCATATTGTGCACCTTTTTCTTCCCCACAAAGCAGTCACCTTCCTGAAATGCAAGGGCCAAAGCACGCTGACTTACATCTCCTGCAAATGACTTGTATGCGCACAAAGCCAGAAACTCTTCACTTGGTTGTCTAGGACTGAATAAATCTTCTTCAGTCCTGAATTGGGCTTGCCTGGCTGGGATGGATAGTAGTTTTCCTTTCTAAAACACATATGGGAAAGCTCTGTAAAAATGGGGGAAAAAGTCTACAAAAACATGAAAAAGAGGCATTCATTCTTCAAGTGGTGCTCCCTGTCCTGCCCTCCCTCCGGACAGAAAGCTTTTCCAAAGAGTTTCCAACAGCATCGTACTTCATAGCTGTCAGCTTTAGAATCTGCAGATGCCTAAACTCAAAACCTCCTGACATTCTGGAATCAAAATTTGACATTAACTTCCAGCCCCGGGCTACTACCTTTTCTCCAACCTGTGCCAACACAACCTCCTGCTTGTAAAATACAGCCAAGTCTCAGACCTGCCAGCCTAGTGAGACACCCTCAGATTGGGTGAGATAAAAAGCGGGGGCTGGGGGCGGGCTGAGGAACAACACACAAGAAACAATCCAAGACTGGCTCAATGCCTCTTTTAACTTCCAGAGTGATGGCAGTTTTTGGCAATGACAATGATTATCCAAACTTCCAGTTATTAAGCAGTCATTGCTGATCTTTCTATACCTCATTTTCTCCTCAAAACGACAGCAGACGCTATTGTCCCCATTTTAGAGATGTGAAAACTGAGGATTAAGGAAGTGATGTATCTTTCTCAGGGTCATATGTATGGTGGTGGGGAGAATACCAAACACCTCTGGCTTCAAACCTAAGCTCTTATTCCTCTTACAACACTGATGGGTGAGAAGAACCCCTGTGTTCTTTCCAAAGTACACCAGGGGCAGCAGGGTTCCCATACCTGGGGGATGTTGTTGCTCAGATCTTTCTGTGATGAGAGGTGAGGAGGAGGAGGTGATTCTAGAGACATGTGGGACGCTGCTGGCTCTAGGCACCCCAGTAAAGCTGTTCTCCACCACTCTCTAGCTGCCTGTCAGTTATTCATCTGGCCCAGGAGCCACCTCCTCTCTTCTGTCCCCCAGCTCTCATTTCCAGGGTGAATATTTTGAGGACCAAATGAGGGAATGGGTACAAAACTCTTTGTAAACTTTATGTAAGTGCTGTTTAGATATAAACTTTTATATTCTCCCTGCACTCCTCTATCAAACTCCCTCTAACCCATCCCAGGGGCAGGCTATGAGCAAAGTCTGCCTTAAAACTCTACTGCCCTAACCCTCAAAATAAAAGATATATACAGGTGAATCAGCCAGACTAGAAGTAGGAGAGCAGTTGAAGAGAAAATTTTTACTTTTCCTCTGCAGAACAGCAGAAGATAACAACTTTACGAAAAGTTCCTTCCAAGTCTGACTATTCATAAAGTTAAAACAAACAAAATTACAAGACCAGAAAAGTCAAGGTGCATCTGATATAACCAATACACACTCCTTTTTTTTCCAGCGGTGGAAAAAAAAACCCCATATGTTTTGTAATTATAATATAAAATCACAACTCATTTGGTACCAGGAATGCAATCCTTACATCATAAGGATCTCTAGTGATGAGGGCAAAACAGACTTACCTTTCCGATGGGCGAGAGACCTAGGTCCTTGGAAGAAGTACCTGGAGTGTGGAGCTGCGGCGGTTCCCACGTGCGCGTTCCCCCGAGTTCCCCAGCAGCGCTGCCTTTGTGCCCACGGAGGCGGGGGCGTGTATCTGCGCGCGGGAGAGGCGGGTGACAGTAGGCAGGCTGTGGCCGGTGCAGCCAACTTTGGCTGGCTTATATAGCGAGCTCCTTCCTCTGTAATGGGACGCCTCGCCTCCAGACATCCTTTCCCACTTTTTCAGTTGGCGAATTAAAGGAACAGCCCTCCCAGCGGAACAGGGTTAGCTCATGAAAGACGCACTCACTCCTGGCTCTCGGCCAGGGAAGGAACCCATTTGCATACAATTTATGGCGAAAGTAGGAATTCCCGCCTGCCCGCCCCCGACCCCGAGTAGCTGTTAGTGAAATGTGATTTTTGCTTTGCTCCCCACACGGGTTTTCTAATTGTGAGACGGATGCCTGGGGAGCAAGAGGGAGTAGGATCCGCAGCCCTGGCTCCCCTCTTGTACTTGGTCAAGCTGGAAATGGGACCAGGGCTCGCCTGGGCTCTGGGCAGCAGCTGCTCAGTGGCACCTCGGAGCGAGTACAGGGACTGAGCCCAGTTCCTGGAAAGAGGAGATAAAGCCCTTCAAAAGCCTGGGGGGTTTCAGGTTTCTCTGGGCCAGCGGAGAGATAACCCAGGATTAGGTCTCAGCAGGTGGGGATCGTGCGGGACGCTCACATCAGCCCTGCTTTTCTTGTGTGGGAGCCAGCCTTGCCCAGCTGCTGGGAGGCATCTTTGTTCCAGCCCCAGTGTCCTGCAGGGCAGTAGCTTTTTGACATTGTTCATGCCCTGTGCCTGGTGTGGTCTTCTCAGCTGGGTCTCCAGGGGGAAGGATTTCTGAGGTTTTCTCTTAGTGCTGAAAGGCGTCCCCCACAGCCCTTTCTTTAAAGAAAAGCAATAATTTAAAAAGGTAACAACCTAATCCTTGAGCCATAAGCTGCGCCTTTGCTTTCCAGCCTGCCGTGGATTTCCTCCAAGCTCTGAGTCATCCGTTCGTTTGGTGGTTAGCATGCATTGAGTATCCTCAGGGCATACAGGGGCATTTAAGGGAGTGGAGAAGTAGCACTTCACCCGTGCCTAGAGACTTCTGAGCCTGCCGCAGAGCATAGTAGTTTGTGACAGTGAAGTAAAATGAAGCATTAAATGTAATTCAAAACGCAACTACCATTGAGCCCTCCCTTATTAAGTCTATAATCAGGTGCTGTGCAGGGTACTTTATGAACACTATTTTTGTTCACTATTTTTATTATATCCTTGTAACCAGTAAGTAGGATAGACACAAGTGTCTCTTTTTTACACAAGAAAACTGACGTTTAGAGAAGTAATGAAACTTTACCAAGGGAATACACCTGGGAAGTGTTTATATTACAACACTGGGCTCCAGAGATCTATTACACGTTACTGTTTAGGAATAGGGTATGATGATATTTAAACAATGTTTTATGCTGTATTAGATTGTTAACACCATTTGTGTAGAAATCACAGCCATATTTGAATATGGAAAATATATTTATTTGCTCCATAAAGCTAATTAGGAGAGATCTTTGATTTTTAAAAATTAACTACTAATAATGGAGGTCTCAATTATCCACTTATTTTCAATATTAAATGATATCATCCCCACAGTTATTATTGTTGCTGTGGGCCTCAGTTTCCCCATCTGAAAAAAAAAGCAAGACACGATTAGGTCATCCTACGGTTGCTTTGGCTGTAGTATTTTAGGATTCTCTGCTAAAGTGACCCTCCCAGACAGCAAGAAAGCCCATAAATAGTCATGTCATAAAACCGCTCATTTGAACTTTTGATCCATTTTGGCTGATTCAAATGTTGGTTGTTTGGGAAGTTTTAAATTCTGTGCTTTAGCCAAAGGATATTTCAGTAGCATGAAGCTGTGTCTCAACCAGCAGTGAGTGGTTCCTACTGAGTTAATCTCTTGGGTTAGGGATTAAAATATTAGAATAGTGTACAATATATGTCATATGGTATATAAACTATATTTGTATAGAACATATAATCAATATATTTATAATTCTATGTGAGTTTTTAAATAAGACAAGAGCGCATGCTAGAAAACTAGATAGATATGGCTTTTTCGGGGAATGTCTCAAACTCGAACTCCTCTCCCCAGTTCTTTAGGATTCTACAATCGTTGATTAGTGTCTACCACAAGTGGTATGGTCAATCACAGGGAAACTAAGCCAAATATGACCAGGCTGGCCCTCAAAGCAGGAAAAGGCTAGCAGAGGTGACAAACAAGAATACTATTATGGGTTAAGTTAACAACTATCATATAAGTGTATTCTGATAACATAGAGAAGAGATGATTTATGCATTTTTAGGAGAGGCTACTTGTAAAAGGCATTTTCTCCAAAAAGCTATGTGGCATCTTAAGCTTTTTGGCATTTGAGTAAGGAGTGCCCAGACGAGGACGTGTTTTCCATCCCTGTACTGTTCGCAGCCTCTGTTTCTGGTAGATGGGTCCATATGCACCAGGTACTCTACAATACCCAAACTTTGTTCATGCTAGGATGATGCCCTAGGCTCCTCACCTCCATGCCCTCACATCTATTTATCATCCATTTCTGATCTGACTTCACTATGGAGCTTCCTAAATGGAAGAAATCCATCTAGGAAGAGATGTTTCTATGCACTATGGCATTTGTAACTCTATTAGGACATCCATTGCATCTACATGGTATAATTACACATGTGCATGTCTAGATTTTCCTCCTAGATGCTAGGCTTCCTGAGGCTGGTGATCACACTTGCTTTTTCTGTACCTGGCATAGAGCCTTGGGTATCATAGAAGCTCAGTAAATGTTTATAGAATGAATGAAGTAATGGAGGAACAAATAAATGTTTGACATGTTGTGCTTTATAATTAAATTCTTCCTTTTACAACCATAGAACCTGAAAAGGAAACTGGATTATTGTGTCCAATGCTTCCATCGCACAGATCAGAAAGTGGGGTGCTGAGAGGAAGAATGACTTGTCTGAAGCCACTATGCCTGCTTTCCAGGAAGAAAACTGTCACAATCAGAACTGAGCAACCAAGCCACACTAGACATTACAGCAGAGGAAGTTTATGGAAATGAAGAACCATTTTTCCTCCTGTTTGGCAGAGGCCATACCTCTTGGCATCTAATCCCTCATGGTTGCATCCTTCTGAGAAGCATAAGCACTTTTTTCCACTTGAGAGGGTAGAATGAATGCATGTAAACACCACCCCTGCACAGAGCTTCCTGCCAAAGACTGATTTTGTTGTTGCTTGTTTGCAGTTCTTATTCAGGAGTTGCTGGTGGAGGCTGTGGTTTAGAGACCAGAGGAATGTCATGGTTTGCCTCAGGTGAGATCATTCTCATTTCTTTAAAGGTCTGTTAAATGTAATACTTTTTCTTCCAGACAGAACAGACAATGAGTGGAATTTTGGCCAGGACTAGTGCTGAGGAAGCTGAGTGTCCACTTCCCCATGGAATCCCCTGCTTCCTACTCTGATTACATACTCCTTCACTGTTCCCAACCTTCCTCCTCCTCTTCCCGGGATTCATCTCATCTGGTGTGCTAACTCCAGTCCAAAAGTCTCATGTGACTCCATAATTACCAGAAATCTTTTCCAAAGCCGGGATGGATCTCTGATCCCACACAGTGGGCCAGTCATTTAATTAAATGCATTTTGTTAGAGTCAAGGTTTCCCAACTTGCTTGCAGATCATTGTTGAGTGGTCTTTTCCAACTCTTCTTGCTTTTCCTTCGACAACAAAGGACAAAATCAAGTTCAAAGACCATATGGAGTGTGTGGCAAGACATATGAGAGCTTCTCTGATGGATGGACTATGGCAATTTAGCTGCGCCATCAACCAAGAAGTCATGCCTGGTCAGCACAGCAGAGTGGAGAGCATTGGTTGAGTGTCTAAGTCTTGATGCTGCATCAACTCGCTGTGTGACTTTGGGAAAATCGCTTTCCCCGCTGACACACAGGGTCCTGGTTAGCAAGTGGGGAATTCCCAGGGATTATAGCAACTCAAAACTCTCAAGTAAAATCTTTAAAGAAATAATTTAGAAGTCTCCAAGCCTTTGCACATTCACTTCCCTAGGAAGAACCCTGTCTTATTGCCATGACAAATTCCTTTATTATTTTTTTCAAGAGTTCCTTCATAGTGCTTCTTCTAACAAAGTTTTATGACCCTCACATCCAGAGAGAAGGGCCTCTCCTTCATGCTCATCTACACCACCATTTTTTAACTTTTAGTATGTTGCACATTTTATTTCTCTTGCCTGTTTACCCTGCTAGATCATGGACACCTGAGGGTAGACACTGTGCCTTTCCATCTGTTTGTCAGCAGTTCTCTTTGTTGCCAGCATCTGTTGATGGCTGCTGCCTATGTCATGTTATTTGTTAATTATTTTGAATATCATTCCTACATATCATAGTGTTTAGAATAGCATACGACCTGTCACAGATTTTGGAGGTAAGCAATAAAGGCATTCTTGAAGTGACTTTTATGAAATGATTAGAGACCTTAATTGTTATCATCAATTTACTCATTCATTTGCCCAGCTGGTCTGTGAGGACTCCTTGAGGCCAAGGACTGTGCTTTTCACCTGTACAGACCCAAAGCACTTGGAGGTTGATTAATGTTCCTATGAAATGATTGACTGATCAACTAATTGGCTGCATAATGGAAAATATATGATATTAGCACACAGTCTTGGGTTCTATTTGGCCCAACTGCTTACAATGTGAATTACCTTGAGAAAAGCATGTCCCCTCTCTGAAGCTCCTCCTCTTCTTCTTGGGATTCATCTGGTTTCCTGTTTTATAAAACTGAGATAAAAATCTGTACCTTGAGTACCTTTCAAAATTGGTATGAAGACCAAGTAAGAGGGTGTAAGACAAAGTGCTTAGTAAGCTGGGATGCCCTATGTAGAGTTTTTTGATGCTAAATGATGTAGTTCCCTTCCCCGCCCCCCACCCCCCAAATCCCAACAAAAAGCTCAATCTCTGCATAGCTATATTGTGTTTATGAAAGCACGGAACCCAGCTTCTATCTGAAGCACTTCTGGGCTTTGCAGGGGCTGGCAGCAGGGAGAGGGGAGTTGAAGCCACCTGGTGCTGTCTTGTTAAAATATTCAAAAGGCTGCCTCTTCGGAGGTTGAAGGGAAAGAGGAAAAGTTTAAAAAACTAGCATTGCCCAAGCTAAATTAGAAGATGTGGAGTTGTATATTTCCAACAGAGGGCTCGGAGGCAGTTTTGATCATGTTTACCGGTCTGAGCTCAGGCTGAGGTGATGAATACAAATGGCTCAAACCATCTTGGGCTTAATACAGGTCACAGAGGGAATATATAGCTTTGAAATCAATGCAAATTGAATTTCTTTCTTTGATTTTCCACAGCTGGGTTGGATACTTGTGAGGAAGTATAATTTGCTTGTTTTCCTTCTCTCTTAGGTTTCTTAAGATTTCTTTTGTGGACCACAAAGAATAACAGTGGCTAACACTGATTGAGTATTTTCTGTGATCTAGGCACTCTTGAAGCAGTTTGGATGTATTAAATTATTTAATCTTTACAATGAGCCTTTGGGTTAGTCCTATCATTGTTCCCATTTTGCAGATGGGGGGTGTGAGACATGGAGAGGTTAGGGAAATGTCCAGGGTGCATGGGTAATAAATAGTAGCAAGAGGATTCAAACCCACCAAGAGGACTCCAGCTCCCAGTTGTCTATTATTATGGGTGCTTTCTTATGTATTTAATGTAACAATTGCCCAAAGGCAAAGATGGCATTCTTTGATTCATGAACTAGATTGAGTGATTTGGAGCTTGCACATAAAGATCTGAGGAGGCAAGGTTGTCTTTGGTTATTTTCCTTTGTCCCTGTCTATTTGTGCCAATCCTGGAGTTTTGGGATTACCTAGCATGCACTTGGTTTCAAACCTTAATTTAACCAATAATAGCTACAAAAAGGAGTAGGACCTTGGGTAAATTACTTAACACCTTTCTTATAAGTTCTCCATCTGTAAAACGGGTACAATGATAACTGATACTCCTTGGAGCTAGTCTCAGGATTAAAAGAACAATACTTAGTCAAATGCTTATGCCGTTGCTTGCCACATTCTAAGTAATCTCAAAATAGTGGCCTTTGGCTATTGTAGATAAGTCACTTATTCTACTGTGAGCCTTTACTTTCTCATCTGTAAAATGATGGAAAAGATAATGTCAGAGGTATGTTTCAGAAATGTGCTCACTAAAATAAGAAGGGTTAATAAAACAAATGTACATGCAAATAAAAATATACAGCTCTTTTCATCATGGGACATAAGATTTTCAGATTGACCGAACTGTACTAGTCACCCTGTGTGCTCTAATATTCTTCATAAATTTCCCCTCCATCCTGCTATACACATGCAGTACACATGCACGCACGCACACACACACACACACACACACACAGAGAGAGAGAGCTCATTGAAATGAGTATTTTACTGAAGGGATGTTTAGTATTGCTCTGAGAGAGAAATAGTTTGAACTTCCTTTGAAAAGTAGAACTACATTTGCCCATCCAGTCAATAGCAGGCATTATTATTTTTAATCGTCTTTCAAGCCTTGTACATTCTGTTTCTCAGGTGGAAAAATTTACCCTATCCAGAGTCAGCTGGGTGGTTTCACTTGCCTCAGAGCCAGAAGCTCCCTCGGCAGGGCCTAGAGGTTGATGGATTGGCATCACATAGGTATTTGAGTCACTCTCCTCCTTGGGAAGTACTCTGGGCTGGCCCTTTGTCCCTTACCCTTCCTAAGGAGGAGAGTAAATTGACCCTCCTTATTTTAGTGAGCACATACTAGGCAGTCCTAACCTTGACTACTTCCTTGCCCCACAGCCTTCCAATGGTAGGGGTGGTGACAAATATACCCACTTGTATTTGCTAATAACATGACAAGGCATTGGCATTATCTCAGTCCTCACGCCAGGCCATTCCCCTAATACAAGTGAGAAAGCTGAGGTGAGGAGGGATCAAGAGACTTGCTGAAAGTCACACAGCTTGTATGTGGTCTCACAGAAGGTCCGCATATGAAAATTACTGAGCTACTGGGCTCTTCAGGTTTCCATTACAGAACCATCTATAAAGAGTATTATTTTATCAGTTTTATGGGGTACAGTGGTATAAAGAAGAAGCTCATGATCTGATACTAGACAGATGGGATCAATCTTAGCTCTACCATTTATTAGTGTTTGACCTTTTTTCAATTTCCTTCACTTATGTGACCCCATCTTGTATCTGAGTCTGTAAAAGAGGAGTGAGAATACTTATTTTACAGGGATAAAGGAAGGGCCATGGGAAACTGAGTAAGGATTCCCAAGATGTGTGTTTGAATCCATGGAATCTGTGAATATTATCTTGTATGGCAAAGAAGACTTTGGAGTTGTGACTAAGTTAAGGATCTTGAGGTGGGGAGACTATTTTGCATATACTTAAAAGTGTCTTTATAAGAGGAAGGCAGAGAGAGATTTGACTACAGAGGAGGAGAAGGCAGTGTGACCAAGGAACAGAGATTGGAGTGATGTGGCCACAAGCCAAGGAATGCCAGCAGACACCAGAAACTGAAAGAGGCAAAGAATGGATTCTCCCTTGGAGCCCCCAGAAAGACCAGGCCTGTTGACAACTGGATTTTAGCTTACTAAAACTCACTTCAGACCTCTGGTCTCCATAGTTGTAAGAGAATACATTTCTGTGTTATTAAGTCATTAAGTTTGTGGTAACTTGTTAGAGTAGCAATATAAAACTAATACAAGAAATAAATGGGAAAGTATCTTTGTGTTGTGCATAACAGGGCCTTAAAAACAGGAATGCTTAACTTGAACTCATGGAGATAGAGAGCAGAAGGATGGTTACCAGAGTCTGGGAAGGTTCTGGGAGGAGGGCTGGGGGGTGGGGATGGTTAATAAGTACAAAAAATAATTAGGAAGAGTAAATAAGATGTAGTATTTTGATAGCACAACAGGGTGACTATAGTCAGTAATAATTTAAATGTACATTTAAAAATAACTAAAAGAGTGTAATCGGATTATTTGTAACACAAAGGATAAATGCTTAAGGGGATGAATACCGCATTTTACATGACATGATTATTAAACAAAACCTCTCATGTACCCTGTAAATATATACACCTACTATGTACCTACAAAAAGTAATGAATTTTTAAAAATGGTAATGGTTAGTATTGGTCCAAGAGATTATTTTCTGGGAGAAATGGCATTAACTTACCTTGAAACTGGAATGCTTTTCCATAGAGATGTAGTTCTATGATGTAAATGCACATTGCTAGATTTTCAAGTAGTTTTTTTTGTCACAGCTCCTTTAACATGACATTTTAGTTGTAGGCTGAAAGACAGAGAAGGAAAGGGAAGTTGGAGGGAGTTGCAACCTCCATCATTAGCCCGACAGTTTTGAAGTGGCCTGTTGACATGGGAGCTTTGCAGTGTCGAGTGGTTTAGCCCACAGTGAGGAGTAAATCTGGACTTATACATGACATTCCTATCATTCCAGGGTCAGTCTGAACCCAGCAAGTGGCAGGCTTATCTGGGTCCCTGCTCATCCATAATTCAGAGGATTCACCCACAGCACACTTTGACAAGTGTGAAAAGAGCTATGAGACAATCCTGCTCAAGTTAGAGATAAGAAAATGGGGCCCAAAGCAGTTGCTTGTCTTGCCCACTCTGAGCTAAAATCCAGGTCTGCTCATTTGTGAAACTATGTTCCACATGGAGGAAGAAGCTTGCCTAGATTGGTGTAGAACCAGCCAAAATCAAAGGAATTTATTGCTTAAAAAAAATCCTTTACACGGATTGGGCTTCTTCACTTAGAAAGGACATAAAAAGGGGACCGAGAGGAGTAGGTGAACACACACCAGGCTCTCTACTCCCTCTGAGCTTCCGTGAGCAGTATAATGTTGCTTCTCTCTCTCTCCTGCTTTTCTCCGGTTTTGGATGTGTGCAGTGCTCTCATCGATGTGGCTGTGGTATCAGAGGACCAAAGAAGCCCCCTAGTGAGATGCCAGGCAAGTTTTTCAGACACTGTATCAGAAAGCAGCCTCTGTAGGAGAACTTCAAAGACTTTCTAAATGCTTTGGAACACCTGCCCAGGCCCACATTGGGCTCAACTTGCAGATGAATGGTATATGGGGAGTGCTCTTGGGTGAATATAGATAGATGACTCATCGTTTGAGACAGATGATGGATTTCCCTTGTGGAAATACTATATAAGGAAATTATGGTGAAAGTTTGATAATCCCCATGGACAGGAGTGGGCAGGGGCCAGGATGAATCAGTGAGACAGCTGCATTGTGGAAGACCAATCCAGGGAAGCTTACTTTGAAGTATATTTTGCCAGTGGCTCCTTTAAACTAGTAAAGTATTGCCAAGGAGAGATCTTCCGAGAGTCTGGCTTAATGAGCAGAAATCAGTCATAAGTGGTTGCTTTTGAAGGAAGTGGAAGTACTTTGGCTTTTAGCAAGTTGCAATCTTGTTTGCTCAGTTAATCTAAGAAGTAATTCATATGAAATTGCTCCTGTTCAGCCATATTTGACCTACAAAAATGATACTTTAATATGATTAAACTTAATACAGTATAAGCCCTATCACCAAATCTGTGACAAAGACAAATTCCAGACCAGACCTTGGCTAAATTTAAAAAGGTTTTGCCCACCGTCACTCTTGCGATGGAAAGACAGGCCAGGTTGGTATGGGGCAGGGTATTTGTGAAGGACAGTGAGTTAACCCCATGCTTGCAGTTCTGACAGCCATGGTTGGCAGATGAATTTTTTTCTCCCATCTGTGGATACTGTACTGATATCAACACCATGGTAGAACCTAGGTAGAGCAGGAAGACACCCAATAAAAGAGATGTCACAAGCTGATATTGTGTATCAGAGTTCAGGTTTAGGCCCTTAGAGAGCCATGGAGATGACCAGATAGCAGGGGTAAAAGGCATGGTGTTCTTGAGACTACACCTGGGCAAACATGTGAATGGATAGTTGCTATCTAATGAGCCCCATGGAAGGGAATGGAGTTTTACGCTATCACTTCTATGACACAGGGGATCTTCTGTAAATAGTGATTGTTAATTTTTATTGAGCATTTATTATGTGCTGGATACCATTTTTAGAACTTTACATACATTAACTTCATTTAATCTTCATAACATTTCTATGGATAGATACTATTATTAGTCCCAAATGAAGGCATGCGCAAGAGGAAGTTACTTGATCAATAATAAATAGCTGGTGTCAGATATGGGATTAGGACCCAAAACTCTTTACATGTTGCACAGGATCCTCTTCACTATGTTTTCCTGCAGAGGATGTTTGTATTAATCCATTCTATGCTGCTAATAAAGACATACCAGAGACTGGATAATTTATAAAGGAAAGAGGTTTAATTGACTCACAGTTTCACATGGCTGGGGAGGCCTCACAATCATGATGGGAGGCGAAGGAGGAGCAAAATAGTCTCATCTTACATGGTGGCAGACAAGAGAGAGCATGTGCAGGAGAACTCCCCCCCATCCTTTTTTTTTTTTCTTTTTTTGAGAGGGAGTTTTGCTCTGTCTCCCAGGCTGGAGTGCAGTGGCATGATCTCGGCTCACTGCAACCTCTGTCTCCCAGGTTCAAGTGATTCTCCTGCCTCAGCCTCCCAAGTAGCTGGGACTACAGGCGCATGCCACCATACCCAGCTAATTTTTTGTATTTTTAGTAGAGATGGTGTTTCACCGTGTTAGCCAGGATAGTCTCCATCTTCTGACCTTGTGATCTGCCCATCTTGGCCTCCCAAAGTGCTGAGATTACAGGCATTAGCCACCGCGCCTGGCCTGGGAACTCCCCTTTTTAAAACCATCAGCTCTCATGAGACTTATTCACTATCACGAGAACAGCATGGGAAAGACCCACCCCCATGATTCAATTACCTCACCAGTCTCTCCCATGACACATGGGAATTATGGGAGCTACAATTTAAGATGAGATTTAGGTGCGGACATAGTCAAACCATATCAATGTTTTACTGCTTTACTTTCCTTGTTGAAGGAAAGAAAAAGAAGGGAAAGAAAAAGAAGAGGAAGAAAGGAAAGGGCATGATAATATTTATTTGTATTTATTTTGTTGACTAATTCTTCCAACCATTTCTTCATTGCACTTAGATTGATGGGATACACAGGCCCTGTGCTAATAGCTATTGGCGATATAGCCACAAACACAACAGATGTAATCACTTTCCTTTTGAGCTTACCTTCTAGGGCAATGTTTCTCAACCAGGGATGGTTTACTCTCTAGAGGATATTTGCTAATGTCTGCAGGCATTTTGGCTGTCGGAGTTTGGAGGTTTGCTATGGGCATCAAGTGGGCAGAGGCCAGAGATTCTACTAAAAGTCTGCAATGCAGAGGATGGTCTCCCACAACAAATAATTCTTTGTCCCAAAATGTCAATAGTGCTGTTTGAATAATGCTGATCTAGTGAGGATGTAGGATGTTGAATCGTGACAAATATCCAACATAGAGATTGAAAAGACCTGAACTTGGACCCCAGAATCACTCTAACATTTATGACCTTGGGCAGAACTAACCCAACAGACATGCAATGGGATAGTGTGTAGAGACACAGGTTTCATGAGATGGGATAAACACTCTCTTCTAATGCAGTGTCTTAGGAAGTAAGGAGACTTGAACTGGTCATGCCACAGAGTGCATTCAGAGGGGCTGTGTCCTGAGTGAGTCACCAGGATCCCAATATCATATTTGGAGATGGAAGAAGCAGAGCTACTCACTTCTAGGGGTGCAGACCCAAAACTGAGGATATCTGCCATGGCCAGAGAGGAATGGGGCATGCAACTGGTTCCTAAATGTTCTAGGCCATGTAAGACTTCTAGATTATTGAATAAACTAGTGGACAAGAGAAGCAACACTCAACACAGCTGAGACTGAATTTTCTACCGTCACAAAGGAGTATGGCATGGTTGAAAGAAATAAAGAAGTGAGATATATCTTACCCTCAAGTATTGTAATGTACCCATTATGAGGAGATATATATATCTCCCAGCTTCTCTGGCCAGCCACAGAAATTGGTAGTTTTCTTTCTTTCAAAAGAAAACAATTGCAGTTGAAGTAATAGCTTTCCCTGTTTTTATGAAAGTTGCATGATGAGGAGATGAGACCCATGGGTATGATAAACTTTCCAATGCCTAAGCATTCTGTTTTGGATGCTAACCTCTAGTTAGGAAGTATATACGGCTTGGCTTATAAACTGTTTCCTTCGTATATTAGATGTTCCCTTCTCCAAGGACCAGGATGCTGAGACCAGAGGTTTAAGAATTTGTCTCCAAGACTCCTGAGCCCCTTATTGCTGTCTGCCTCAAGCAATCCAATAGAAACAGCTGGTTTCCTTTGGGTAACTGAGAAGAATGCTCAATGTCAAAATCATTCTCCAAGCCTTAAAATATCCAACAAGATTTAACCGGTACCTTGAACAGTGGCTGGCTCATACTAAGCACTCTATAAATATTTGTTATAAGAATTTATGGCAGAATCTAATCACCTTTGAGGTGCTAGCTTGGATATGGAAAATTTGGCTCACAACTTTCCTTGTAAAAGCAGCCAATTAAATTCAATACAGAGTTATTAATTATCTACACTTTTCTGGAACAATAAAAATAACAGCCCCAACCTTTTGTTCTTGGTGATTAGATGTTGTATGAGCAGGGTTGGCAGTAGTTAGGGTTGCCAAAGCCTGGAACTATAATTTTTTTGGAACTCCAATTCAGTGGGCCAATGCCCCCTAAGGCATCAATATCTTTATTTTACAAATACTTGTTAGATTCAGACATGTATCACACCTTGGCTGCAAGTAATGGGACCATGTCATAGGGATTGAAAGTGATCCATCCATGGTGGCGGGCGCCTGTAATCCCAGCTACTGAGGAGGCTGAGGCAGGAGAATGGCATGAACCCGGGAGGCGGAGCTTGCAGTGAGCTGAGATTGCACCACTGCACTCCAGCCTGGGTGACAGAGCAAGACTCCATCTCAAAAAATAAAAATAAAAAAATAAAAAATAAAGTGATCCATCCAGCCCTGAAGGAGTTTATAACCAAAGAAACAGTAATTGTAAAACAATGTCATAAGTGCTGCAGTACAGTCACCATAAGAGGCTATGATTGGGACACAAAGAGATAGAGAATCTTATATTTCCATTGCTTGAGTATTTTTAATGTCCGAAAACTCATTGTCATAGAAGGAACTACAGAGAAAGAAAGTGCACTAATGTTTACTATGCATTGAGCATATTTTAAATAAGTACTTACTATATGCCAAGTACTATGGGAGGTTCTGAAGAGGCAGAGAATAAAAGAGACAACCATTAAACACACAAATACACAAATAAACATGTAATTCCAAAGAGCTATGAGTGCAATGAAAGAAAAGTCAATTGCCTATGAGACACTCTATATTAGTTTCCACTTCCTGGTTTTAGTTAATCCCATCAATCCTGAAATAAGTATTTTAATCTGTATTTTGCTAAGGAGTTTACTGAGGCTTCCAGCTGTAAAGTGTTTTGCCAAAAGCCACCCGGCTGGTAAGTTTTGGAGCTGGGATTAGAAGCCAGAATTGTCCAACGCCAAGCCCATGCACTTCACTCCAAGTCCTCATAAGGGAGCCTCATGAGATATGAGCCACCACATTCAGAGACAGTTTCACTAATTTATTAGAAGCATGCTTATTAAAACGCATTCTTTCTATTCAGCCTGTTATTTACTTTATACTCCTTTAACATCTACCACCCATATAGGGGTTAATTATATACTATCTCATGTTGATTTATAAATGTGGATTAGTCTTGTTTAAGTAAGGACATGGAAAGTCTGATTCTCCCACTCAAATCCACCCACCTTCTGTCTAGGCTGATGCTGGATGTAGAAGTTCCTATTAAATACTCCCTGGTTTAAAGCACAGATCTTGAAATTTTTATGGTATTGGATACAGACTCCAGAGTAATGGACTAAGAGAACCAAATGGCTCTGAGTTCCCTTAAAATCATGCAGAGCTGTGTTCAAATCCCATCTCAGTCCTTACTAGCTATATGCTTCTAGGCAAGACTTTCACACCTCTGGGCCTCAGAGTCCTTACCTATGACAGGGAGATCAGACGCCTACCTTCAGTGTTCTTTTGAGGGGTCAATGAGTTAAAGCGCTTAGCACCATGCCTAGGACACAGAAAGCACTAAGTAGATGGTACTTATTATCACTTCTAGGTTTTCCTCTTTATTGGAAGGCTCTCACCTGAACCATCAAAGCTAGCTGCTCAACTTTTAATTCATTTCTAAAACTACATAAGGAGTTGGAAACTTACTGTATTCTATTTTTTTCTGGATTTTTTTCCCTTGCTTTTAATAGAAAGGGAGTCTGATTTGTTCCACTTTTTCGGTGCCAGTGGTTCTCGTTCTCGACGGGGGGCAATTTTGTCCCCCATTGTTTGGAAATGACTGGAGACATTTTGGGCTGTCACAACTAGGCTGGGTGGAGATGCTATTGACAACTAGTGAATGGAGGTCAGGGATGCTGCTGTACCTCCTACAATGCACAGGGCAGTTCCCCCCACACTTCTCAACAAAGAATTATCCAGCTGAAAAATGTCAATAGTGCTGAGATTGAGAAACCCTGGTTTATAGCGGCTAGCAGACCGGAGCCCGGGTGAGCTCCAAGATGATGTCATGCTGGGGGAGACCCACGCTGGCCTGCGGTGAGACACATTACACATGGGGGATCGCACCATTTCCTTGCAGACCCCTCACCTCACCACCGCCGCCGCCTCATATCCTGCTCAGGTCCCTCCTGGGAACCCAGGGAAACCTCGCAGCAGATGGGGTTTCGTTTAGTCACATTCTCTGCAGCCAGATTGGATTACATCGCCAGCAGCTCTGGCTCTGAGAGACCAAAGTTGCTTGATGAGCTCTGGGCTGGCCTTTCACCTTCCAGGACCCAAGCTCACCCCAACACACAGGAGGAGAGGGGCTTGTTTGTGGTTCTATCTCTCAAAAGGACAAAAGCTGAGAAACAGAAAAAGCCAAAAGGATATTGGTATCTTCTGTTGAAAATGGTGCCTGGATATTTCTGTCTTTATTTCTTGTGTTTATTATGACAGGTGATAAATATTCCGTAGTCTTTTTGAAGAAATATATAAATTATAGAGATCTCCAGGGCGTCTGTATTTCATACGTGTCTTTGTTATAGGCTGTTAGAACACCACAGACTGGGTGGCTTATAAACAATATAAATGTTATTTCTTATAGTTCTGGAGGCTGGGAAGTTCAGGATCAAGGTACCAGCAAATTCAGTGTTTGGTGAGGACCTGCTTCCTGGTTCATAGACAGCCATATTCTTGCTGTGTCCTCACTTGACAGAAGGGACAAGAAAGCTCTCTGAGCCCTTTTTCATGAGGGCATTAATTCCTTCATGAGGGCACTGCCCTCACCACCTTCCTGCCGGTGGTTCCACCTCTAACTACCATCACATTGGGGATTATATTTCAACATAATTTTAGGGGGATACAAATATTCAGCCTATAGCAATGTAAAAGAGTCAAAATGGCTATTAATTTTTGAGCAGTTATAATAACATAAGTACTGTGTTATGTGTTTAACAAGTATTGCCTCATGTAATTCTAAAACGATGATGTGTAGATTAGCTTCTCCACTTGAAAGCAGATGTAATGGAAGATCAGCAAAGCTGGCTCACTTCAGGGCCACAGCTACTAAGTGGAAAAGCCAGGATTCCTACTCCTCTCTCACTTCCTGCAAGACCTAAGTCTTAACCACTAAGCCAGATGCTTCTTACTAAATGGTTTAGTTTGGTTCGAGTGAGAAGATAGCTAATGTTTTGCAGAAAGCATGACTAATCCAAGATCTTCCAGCAACTGAGGAGTGATGGAAGCATTTCTGATTCCTCTTGTTGTTGCTCTTTAGCAAATGGGTGAAACAGGTAAAATGAGTTACCAAAGCCTCTCATCTCTCACCTGGGCATGAATTCTATGCCTTTCCAATATACACATGCTGCCTCCTGCCTCAAATTCCAGGTGTTCCCTTTTACTAGATACTACGCTAGGAACCAGGGACCTAAACATTCAGTACCTGCTCTTCAAGAAGCTTACAGTCAAGTGTGAAAACAAGACAAGGAACAATGTTATTACAATGCAGCAGAATAAATCCTGTGACTGAGGTAGGTACATGCTAGATGTAGGTTGTCTAACCCAGGCTATAGGGAGGATTAGCTGATTTATCTCTGAGTTTTGAAACATCCTCAAAGCAAAGTAGTTTGGGAAGGATAATCTGGTAGAATATACAGCATATGCAAAAGCAAAGAGGCATAGAAGAGACTTCAGGAGCAGTGAGTAGTTTGGGAGAGATGGGCACATGATCCATAGGGGAGAGATCATGATGAGTACTGTGTGCTAAGCAGTGTGCATTTATTCGGTTTTTCTGACCTCCCAAAAATAACAATGTCCACTTAGGAATAGAGATTTTCACAATATACAAGGGAACTGCCCACAGCTAACCCTTATGAGAACTTGCTGGTCTTCCATAGGGATTTCGGCACCACCAGCCACCCCAGTGTGCTTGGCACTAGGTTAGGGACTTCTAGTCAAGTGATCCTTGAGGCCGTAGTCCACATACAACATCTGCTACACATTCTAGTCTCTCATGGCTATGATGCATGCCGGAGTGGGCACTGATTCTCTACCTACTTAGGTACGATTCTGTTTTGCCAAGGATTCTCCTATACAATGATGTCCTTCCTCCCTCCATGCTCAGGGAACTAGATAGCTGTTTCCTTTCTTCAGAGAGGAAGATAGACTCACTGTATAGTTACTATGAAGAGATTTAGCACCTTCCCGCCACCAGCATCTATGGAAGATACAGGGGATGAGGATTCTTTGGGAACTAGAATCTAAACTTCTCGTTTGTAAGCTATTTTTGGATAGGAAGCAGAGCCACATGGAAAAGATTTGATAATGTTAACAAATGACACAATAATGACTAGCGAAGCCAGGAAGTGTTTCTTTTTATGCTCAAATGATGCACTTCAGTTACATAGACTTCTGAGAAGATAGCCTTCCCATTCTATCTAAAATGCCATTACATCTTCTAATATGCAACAAAATGCCACCTGATCCATAAATCATTCCTCCATATTTAGCCCAGAATACCGCTTTATATTTTAGTTTTATCTCTATTCCTTGATTACCCTACTTTGCCAGGATCCTAAGTAATTGCTTTCTTATGTTCCCCTCTCATGAGATTATAAAATAAGGAGAGCAACATTTATTATGAACCTCTATGTGGCAGGCACTGGGATAATTGTTTTATAAATTCTTGTTCATGGAATCTTCCCAAATTGACTATGGGCAGATGTTACCAGCCCCATATTAAAAATAAAACTGGGTGTGATGGCATGTTCCTGTACTCCTGTGACTCAGAAGGCTGAGGTGGGAGGATCGCATGAGCCCAGGAGTTCAAGTCTAGCCTGGGCAACATAGCAAGACCCTGTCTCTGAAAAAAAAAATAACAAAAATGAGTAAAATGGAGGTTCTGAGATTTTAAACTCCTGGAGGGCTTAAAATTTATGCCTTTATTTAGCTCTGTATGCTCCACCAACGTGACATAACAGTTCTCTGAATATGGTAAGAACAAAGTGAGTTTTATTGAAATTCTTGGACTATTTCTTTTCCCTACTGAAGTAAGGCAATCTCCATCCAAGGTTCATCTTATATTAAAAAAAAATATGCTAGGAAATCTCAACAGTGTTGTATCAAAGGAGTCAGAGCATTAAATATTTTGGGCTCCTGCCACAGGCATTTACTGTGAAGTAAAGGACATGTATTGTTCTGTGCTTCATCGTGATAGAAAGAACGCCAGCGACGTCATGAAATATTTTAGGATCAGATTTGCAACACTGTGCTTCCAAACAGCTGTGTGTCACAATGAGGGGCAGGGCCTGGGCATCTGGGCCACCGGTGTTCGGCTCCTTCTCTTCTTCTCTCTTGACCTTTAGCAGACTCCGTGTCTCTTTCCTTTGATGGAACAGCTAATGAAACACATCCTTTCCTTGAGTCAATCCCTGATTTCAGAAAAATTTTTAGACATCTGTGTGTGTGTGTGTGTGTGTGTGTGTATGTGTGTGTGTGTGTGTGTGTGTATGTTGGGGGGATGGAGGGAAGAGTGAGGAAATAGTTTCCATTCAGTAGTCTGGAGCCTGATCTATTGGAAAATCCCCACCCCCCAAAAGGAAATGCTACAAGAGCTCTTCTTTCACAGAGTTTGGAGTGGATTCTTTTCTGTTGTGAAGTGCAGATGTGAAAAATTCACCTGTTCTCACCTATGGTCAGACAGACTGTTCAGACTTTTAAAACTGTGGCAGGAGCATTTGCTAGCCCTAGTTGCCAATGAGCTGGATATGTGGGTTTCCCCCACTAAACGGAACTTGGTCTTATGGCAATTATAAAGCCACATTGACCATACTTGAAAGAGAGAGGCTGGGGGTGGCCCTAATGAGTTAATGGCAATGTTCAAGTTCACTTAACTTTTGTAATCATCCAGTTTGCAAATGCATAGCATCTACTAGGAGAATGTATAATATTCATTAGGAGTTAAAGATGATAATGAGAATATTTATTCATTTGTTTAACACCTATTTGCCTGTCTCTTGCTATGCATTGAGTATTGTGCTGGGAAGTGAGGAATTTAGATGAACCAGGGGGTTTGTCCTTAAGGGGCTCATAGCTTAGAACAGGAGACAGACAAGCAAAGTGACAATGGTAACCCATTGTGATCAATGTCATTAAAGGGAAAGTACAGGATTTAGGAACTAATAGTGGCTCAGGGTGTGGGGAAGGAAGGCTTGCTAGAGAGGATTACACTTGAACAGAATCTTGAATATGATTTAGAGCTTGGGAGGAAAAGGGAAGAAAGGAGGCAGTGGGAGAGAGGCAGAGATGTCTATCCATACCAGAGTGTGAAGAGGAGAAACAGCATGCTGCATTTGGGGAAAGTCCATGGAGTGAGGGTCAGGAATGGAGGGAGGGTTTGGATGAGACAGATGAAATTGGCAGAATCTCATGTAGGACCTTGAGAGCCCTGGGAAGGATTTTGAACTCTTCTTTTCTAGAAAAGTTATAGGAGGCCATTTTTGGATGTCAACAAGGAGGAATAAAGATAGATTTGTGCTTGAAAAATATCATCTTGGCTATAATTGTGAAGCAGAATTGCAAGCAGATTGGAGTTGGAGAGACCAGCAAGGGGCTGCTGTAGTCATTTAAGCAAGAAAGGATGGTGGCTCAAACCAGGGTGGGAGTTGCAGGGATGGAGGGAATTGGGCAGAGTCTAGTGATATTAAAGACAAACTTGCAAGGGTTTGGTGATTGATGGGATATGGGTAAAGAGTAGAGAGAAGTAATATCCTGAAATGGAATTGGCAGGTAGGGAGAAGAGGGAGAAGTGACTGTTGTTTGGGCCTGGTAGTTCCAGCTTAGGAATAGAGGCAATCGAAACAAAAAAATTCTGTTGTAGACCTGGCCTCAGCAGGAAACCGTGCCTGTGCTCTCCTTATCTCCAGACTTGGCCTGCCAGCACATACATATATCACCCTCTCACTTAAGATGGAGCTAACAGCAGGCAAAGTTCATCTCTTAGAGGCCCTTACCCTATTGGTTTGGCATGTCTTTATTCTCACAGTCCACAGCAGTAAAATAATAATATTGCTTACAGAGGGATGGCACCATGGTTAAGTGCATGTAAGTCAGACTGCTGGATTTGTAAATAGGCTCATTCTTAATTAGCTATGTGAGCTTGGACAAGTTACTGAAGCCATCTGTGATTCAGTGTCCACTTTGATAAAGTAGGGGCCATAGCTCTTATTTGACAAATTTGTTTAAGAGAAAAAAAAAAGCAGAATTATATGTACATGAGTAGGCACCTGATAAATACTGATAAAACAAATGAATAGTTCTTACCTTATTCTTGGTTCATTTTCTCTTCTCAGTATATAATACTGGATGCACTTTGTCTTGGGGATTCAGAGCCCTGCTTTCTTTAAGGGAGAAAGGGAAGTTGAAAGGTCAATTAAAGTTTTTTGGAGAATCTGTATCCTGTGCTGCATTAGGCATTTTTCTCATGTCCTCTAACCTCGGATTATCATTCTAAAGTCTTTATCTCATCATGTTCCTTCCTGTTGCCCAAAGGATCAAGTTCAATTTTCAAATGTTGAGTAAGGCTTTCTAGAGTCTGAATGTTTGTGTCCTCTCCAAGTTCATGTTGAAACCAAATCCTCAATGTGATGGTATTTGGAGGTGGGGCCTTTGAAAGGTGATTAAGTCATGAGGTGGAGTCCTCATGAATGGGACTAATGCCTTCATAAAAGAGACCCCAGATAGCCGCCTTTCTTCTTCCACTATATAAGGGCACAGCAAGAAGACACCAGGAAGGGGCCCTCACTAGACACTGAATCTACTGCTGCCTTAATCTTGGACTTCCCAGCCTCTAGAACTGTGAGCAATACATTTCTGTTGTTTATAAGCCACCCACTGTATGGTATTCCGTTACAGCCACCTGAAAAGACTAAGACAACTTTCATGGCCCTTTGTGACCTATCCCCAACTTGCTTCTTTAGCCTTATCTCCTGCCTCCACCTGCTAGGTGCTGACTCTACCCTCTGCTTTAGATATGATATATTTTCTATTTATCAAAATGTCATGACCACATATGGCCCCATGCTAAAATGTGTGCTGTACCTTCTGCTGGGACTGTCCTCAGTTCTTACTCCTTAATTAAGGCTTTGCTCAAATATTACCACCTCTTATAGAATTGATCATTCTATCCTCTGATCCCTGGAACCTTGAGTTTTTTCTAATATAGAGCTTATTGCAGAGCATCTCAATTATTTGTTGAGTTCATCTTTCCCTTAGTAAACTGTGACTCTTCAAGGGAAAAACCTGTACCTTCTTGGCCTTGGTAGCCCCCAATCCTAACCCAGAACGTGGCGCAGAGTAAGTGTTTAGGAAAACTTTACTGAATGAATCAGTGGATAAGCAGATTCAAGTTAAAACTGAAACAACAGTAGGTAGATGACATACCTTTTTTCCTCCCACCACCTTCTTGCTTTGCCTTGCCTTCACCCCAGCTCAGCAATCTGCTCAGAAAAGAGAGCATCAGAACTGACCAAAAAAGGAAGGAATATCCTAAGAAATGATGCAGCTACATATTGCTTGGCTTGTGTTTCCTAGATAAGGCATTGATTCCTAGGCACTAGAATTATATACTATAATTAAAGAGATTTTTTTTTAAATCTATCAACAAAGACCTAGAGTTTGAAAATCTTTCAGTTTTCTAATCCAAATTAGGGAACCAGTTACACAGGGTAGCATAGGTCAAAGGGTAGGGCTATAAGACCTGGATTGGCTGGCTGAGGATAAATAAGGAAGTGTAGACTTAGTCCAATTGCAGCCCAAACTTGACGTGTAACATTTATACTTAGAAAATGTGTCATTCTCACGTCCTTTATACAGATTTGTCCATCAGTACATTGGATTTTCTTAAACAACTACCATTTGATTCCCCTATTATAATTATTGAAGTGAATTCACTCTGATAAAATACAGTCCTTAGTAGTTCGCTTTAATGCTCTCTAAAATATTCTTGGAAAAATATGAACGTTTTTAAGTTGACAAGTGCTTTTATTATAAAAGTTTAAATAGTTGTGAGGGATATAATGTAAAGTATATTGAATATATAGTCATTTAAAATAAAACTAACTATTATAAATAGATTTAATGGATTGAAATTCCACTTTAATTTGATACCACCATTCATCCATTTAAAAATATACAAGTAGAATCTTCCCTAACAGTTGAAAACTTACATAGTTCTTTTGTTTTCCTTAAATGTTTATTTCCATTTCATTTGCTCTATAGAAATGTTTCCTAATGTAGTATATTTTTTTATACTGGAAATTCTTTCACTGATCATGTTGTTATATTATTCTGAAACAAAACATGTATATAAATTCATATTAAAATTTCTTTAATGTTCTGTAAATATAAGATGCTAACAAAACCCAATTTCTTCTGGATTAAATTATCATAACAATTATTAGATGTATACAACTGATCAATCTACCATACACTTATTAAAATTTTGCTAAATGTGATGTGAAACATAAGGTTTTATTAGAAATGCTTCTCTGAATGAGGTGAACTTTTTAAAAAATTAGGCCATATGTCTGCTGAGGAATATTCATTATTGCTAACGTGAGATGGTATTTCATAAATTTTATTTACTTTTCATTTTTTGGTTGTAAGCACTGAGAAACCTATTCACAAAAATAAGTAGATGGGAAAAGAAAAACTTTTCTTATAGCAGTGTTATAACTTCTTACCAGGTTGTATGCCAAAAATCACATAAAGATCAATCATCAAATAGGATTTTTAATACTTTCTCAGGTGACATTTTAATTAGGTTCCCCTTCAGTTTTGTTGTAACTAAAGCATTGAAAGTCATCTGACTTGCAGAATGATTTGCTGCAAGGTCATTAGTCATTCACTTTCTCAACACTTTTTCTCGAAAGAATTTTGAGTTGTACCTTTGTTTGGTCCCCCAGAAATTTTTATACCCCAAAGCAACTCGAGATGAGTGAGAGGTATGAATTCCATTTGTAAAGTGAGAGAAAAGCATTTACGAAAAAGGGACTCTCTTCAGATTCCTGAGAAAGAGTGCAAATGAAAGCTGAGAATCTGAAAATTTCCTTATCTCTGCCAACTAGAGCCCATGGAAAATCTTTGAGTAACTCTGGGGGTACTATGCATCACAGTCTGAAAATTATTATATGGGATGTACTTTCTATACTTAAATTAAATTTCCCCATGGAGGCAGCATTGTTATACAGGTGACAATGAGATAACAATGCAAAGAAACCAGAAGTCAAGTTCATATCGACTTATATAGCTCTGTCTCCATAAGTCAGAAACAGGAAAAATTAACTTGTTCTTCAGCAATCTAGGTTGACTTCATGAACGAGCTGGCGTTCAAATGAATCCTTGAATTGTGGAAACAGAATGTTAAATCTGGAATGAACTTCAGATATCATCTAGTATGGAGAGGACAATTAAATGTTGACTTTTACATCAATTTGGATTAAATATTTGTGATTGCTTACAATTCTGTGTCAAGAAGTAGTCAGAGGAATCATCTGAGATCTGTAGGAAAGCATGTTGTGATTGATTAGCTATGCCTGTCAGAGGAAGCAGGGAGAGAGGGGCACAGGTGATCTGCTCTTGCCCCCCTAGGTACATAGTCCTTATCACATGAACCACAGGGAAAACTGAGGCTGACTGAGAGCAGGAAGCTTGACCAAAACTCCACAGTGAATTATTGCCAGGATGGGTAGAATTACATATGTTTTATTCAACATTTGGTGGTCATTGTAAATTTGGTAACATTTGCAACTGGAAAATTTGGGGATGTTTTAGAGCTGGAAGGGAGCAAATTCTTAATTGAGCAATACACGCTGTCCTTTCTTTCAGGCTCCTTCACATTTGATCTCTGTGCAATTTGATAAGAGGAGGGAATGGGCCGTCAATTATGAAGAGACTGAAAACCTGAAAATACTGAGTATGGTCTTAGTTCCCTCTCCAAAGGGAGCTCAGGAAAAATGCCAAGCCATACAAGCCACTGATTACTCATCTAGCTATTGTTTCTACCTCACCCTGGCCCAGGAAGACAGATCTACTGAGGAAAGGTAATAGAGGCTGGCAAGGTTCCTACTTTTACATCTATCTGTAATATCCACTCATTCTTAGCATCTTGCACATCCACAGGGCCGTACAGGAGTCTTCTTGCCTTGTATTATTGAATCTTGGGATAGGGGTAGGAACAGACAGAGGTATTAGCAGAGATCCAACAGGATGTAAAACATACATGTTGATGCAGGGGTTAACTTTATGTATAATAAATAGATTTTTACCATGCATACCAAACTGAATATTCCTTCCTCCTTTTTCTCTCAGACCTCTTTCTATGTGTGGCTCATTCTTTTACTCTACAACATAATGTTCAGTTGATTCTGGACTTTTTCTGTGACAAACAATGCTGTAATAAACATCCTCCTTGTGCATTCATCTGGGTGCACTTCTGAGAATTTATCTGAAGGATAAATTCCTAGAAGTAGACTGTCTGTAACATAGGGTCTATGCACTTTCAATTTCCATAGATTCTGCCAAATGGTTTTCTTAAGAGGTTATACCAATTTACACTCTCAGCTATGGTATATGGTAACCCCTGCTTTCCCACAACCTGCCAACACTGGGTATTTACAAACATAAATAAATGGAGGGTTTGAATAATTGTAGTTTTGAATTAGACTTGGGGCGTCCCTCTCATCTGCCCCAACTTGTGTCTCCCCAAAGCAACCTAACTAGGGGATGGCTAATGCCATAGACTCTGAGGCTTACTCAGAGCAGAGGCTGAATGCTCCTGCTTCAGTGGGAACAGGGGGTGTTTCTTCAGTCTGTGCCCTACTTGGCATCTGTCCCTGACAGACCCAGCCAGTGTGGGGAGCCAGCCTCTCTAACCATAAGAAAGAATGGATTGGAAACAAATTGATCTTTTCACAGCTGGCTGTTCCCCTCTTTCCCCTCAACTTGGACTCAGCTCAGAACAAGGTTGCCGATGTTCTGCTGCAACAAAGATGGCATTATTGAGGACTGCCTCTTTGGGGGGAAATGTCCTTCTCCAAGAATCGCCTCTGTAGTTTCAACTATGACAAGCCTGGAGACCGAGCATAGCTGTGCATCTCCAAGGGTCTCCAAAGCGACACCCAACTCTATCCGTCCTGTTGATGACCATGTACTCTTCTATTGGTGTCCACAACTTTATTTAAATGATGTCAGATGACTCAATTCAACAGAATCTAACCCTTTATTCATCCTCCCTGGAGACCTGTGGTCAGTGGGCAGGAGAGTTTGGGATTCAAAAAGAGGAGAACTGTGTGAACACAGGGAAAAAGGATCTAGTGTTTATTTCTAGCAACACCATTACTATTGCTGTCCATCCTATTATTCTGCATTCTTTTGCTTCATAGCATTTTTTTAACTGAAAGAAATGGCTCCACGAAGGCAGAAATATTGTTTAGTTTAAAACTGCATCATCAGTTCCTAGAATACCTCCTTATACATTGGAGGTGCTTGATACCTATTTATTGAATGGATGAATGAATTTCATGAGCACCTGTGTTGGACAATTTAATGTACATGATGATATTTAATATTTTAACTCTGTGGGGTATATATATTATCTTTATTTATAGCTAACGAAATTGGGTCTCAGAGATTAAGTAATGCTTCCAGAACCACACAACTGGTAATTGGTAAAACTGAGATTTCATTTAGACCTGACTGATCCCAAACCTATCTTTTAGAACACTGGGATTCCAGTTTATCTAAGCTTAAGCTCAAAAGTATTAAAATATTTTGCAATCAATGAGGGAAGTTGTCATCAAGGACATTTCCAGGTGAGCATGGTGTGTTCAACAGGAAGAGAAACTCCTCCATACTCCCACCAAAGTGAGCAAGTACCAAAATGTTAAGTGTTAATTAAATCTTATTCATCTGGGGACAAGCAGTAGGGTGAATTTATATGCATGTAGCACCGATTTTGAGCTAAGTAACAAGGGGATTCTGAAAGACCCTTATGCGGACAATGAGTGAATGTAGGCAAGGGCACTAATATTTAACAAAGTTATGCTGTGTGCTAGGAACCATGCTTTAAATTTATGATTCCACTTAATCATTATAATAATTTCCTTTCTTTCCTCTTTTATTGTCTTGCCCTTCCCTTCCCTTCCCCCTTCTCTCCCCTTCCCTTCCTCTTTCCCTCCCCTTTCATTCCCTTTGTCCTTCCCTTCCCCCTTCCCTTCTCTTCCCTTCCTGTCCCCCTTCTCTTCTCTTCTCTTCCCTCTTTCTCCTTCTCACCCTCCCCTCCCCTCCCCTCCCTTTCCCTCTCCTTCCCTCCCTTTCCCTCCCTTTCCCTTCCCTCCCCTCCCCTCCCCTTCCCTTTTCTACCCTTCCCCTCTCTTCTCTTCCCTTCCCTTCCCTTCCTCTCCCTTCCCCCTTCCCTTCCCTTCCCTTCCACCTTCTCCTCTCTCCTCTCCTCTCCTCCCCTCCCCTTCCCTTCTCCCCTTCCCTTCCCTTCTCCCCTCCACTCCCCTCCCCTTCTCCTTTCCCTTCCCTTTTCCCCTCCCTTCTCCCCTCCCCTCCCCTTCTCCTTTTCCTCCCCTTCCCTCCCCTTCTCTTCCCTTCCCTTTCCTCTACCCCCTTCCCCCTTTCCCTTCACTTACCCTTATTTCTTTTCTTTCTTTTTCTTTGTTTCTCCCTCCCTCTCTCCTCTTTTTTCTTTTCTCCTTTCTTTCCTTCCTTTCTCCTTTTTTTCCCTTCTTTCTTTTTAAATTCCCAGACAAGAATTTTGAAGTTCAGCTAAGGTAAGCCACGCATAGTGACGGAACCAGCATTCAGATTTACATCTCTTGCTACCCATCATGTCACATAGTGTTAGGCAGAGACTGGGGTCTCAGTTGCCTAAGTAAAGTCATAGGCATGAAGGGTGCTGCAGGAATGACTGAGTGGCAGGCTCCTGACAGCCTGGTTGATAGACCCCAAGGACTACTTGGGTTTTGGCGCCATGCCTAGTATGACTTTATCCTTTAACTGTTTCTCTTGTCAGTCAGCCCCCTGAGGGAGCCCTGTCTCCTCCTTGAAACTGTACTATAATGAGAGGTCTCCACAAGGGTTCCAGAAAGCCACACAGTGTGCTGTGGTTTTCCCGAGAACTGGCTCCAAGGTAGTGCTCTGAGATCAGTCCTTCCAGCTCCCATCTCAAAGATCTTCAAACTCCAGGCTCTCAAGGGTTTTGAGCTGCCAGTTATGATGAAATATTAGCACAGAAGAAAATAATTTTTTTTTCTATTCTGTGTTTCTTACCAGGACACCATGGTTTCAGAATGATTTATATACTTTGAATATTTTCAAAAAATTTCTTTCAATGTTGTTCCTTCTTTAGGTATTTCTCTTATCACTTGGGCTCAGCTTGATGCTTCTCTGGAATTTTTCTTTTTTTTTTCCTCCCATTTATAAAATACCAAACATGTGTCCCCAGTCTGGATCCATGTAACTGAAAATCATGGGGAAATTCTTTATGTAAAAAGCCCTATAGATTGTTTCGGACAAAATCAACCCCAAAGAGTTTGTCCCCACAATATTTGTGAATAAAATCATCCCTCTGAAATAAAAACACCACCTTAAATAAAGGAGTTCCTCTCAAGCATTTTACTCTATATTTATTGTTTGTTCATTCATGCCATCATTTGAAAAATACTAATTAAGTATTTACCCTGTGTTGGTAATTGTGCTGGGCACAAAGAACATAATAGTAAATCACATAAAATTCCATCCTCAAGGATCCCATGTTCTATCATACTAGAGAACTGAGTACAGCTGCTCCTCGACTTATGGTGGGATTACATCCCAATAAACCCATCATAAGTTAAACCTATCATAAGTCAAAAATGCATTTAATACACCTAACCCACTGAACATCACAGCACAGACAATGTCAGGCACTTTATTACATGTAGTAAAGTTGACATGACTCTTAATCCTACTAACAACCCTAGGAGATAGATTCTGTTATTATTACCATTTCATGATTTAGGAAGCTGAGAATCAGAGAGGTTAGTGGCTGGGGTTGAAATTCAAGTAGTACAGTGTAAGAGCCTTTGCTTCTCCTAGAGGCTCTGTAAAGGTCTGTTGAATAACTGAGTAGACGATAGATTGATTGCAATATAGTTCCTCTGTTGCCTTTTTGAAGTGTTAGTTTAGTAAGCAACCACAGAGAAATTATTATCTACTAGAGATGGGAATAGGAACGGTTTCCTAAATCAGGGTTGGCCAATAGTCTTTAGTTCAAACTAAAAGCCATCACTTCTGCAACATTATGTGTCAAGCATGAGCTATATGACATGAAAGATAAAGTGATGTAGCAAATGTATTCATAATTCAGCAATATGAGATTATGAGAAGGAGCATATTCCTGTGCACTCACTCTGAGGTCAAAGGAGACACCCATTTTCCTCTTGAGGGAAATAGTGAGAGGTGTTTACCTGAAGGCCCCTGGTTTGTGCTCCCCCATAGCTGGGGAGAGGGAGCTGCTGCCGCCCTTTCCAGTAGGAGTTGTATATTCTATAATGTCCTTATCACAATTCCTTTAAGGGCCTCCAGCACTTTGGAAGCATAGAAAAAAGAAACAACATTCCTGCATCGCGGGGCCATTGATGAATAAGAATGTTTATAAGAAGGCAAGCATCTTTGCACTCTATACATTTCCAAATCTTTTAGAAACATATCTAAGAACTTCTTAGTTCCCCTCCATGGTTACTGGATCTACAAACTTGGAATTTCCCCATTGGCCCTCTGATTGTATTTGGAGTCTGTTCTTCATCTTGTGGATCCTCTGGGCTCTGTCTTGAACTGTTGGAACATTTTGCTCCCACAGCTGTTGGAAGTGACCCATTAAGGTAGCCAGAGTCAGTCACTCAGCATCTTAATGGCAAGACCAAAAGGGGTGAAAGAAATAGAAGTCACGGTTAGTAAGCGACTGACCTCATTCTGCAGGAATTCTTTCTGGAAAGAGAGCAGTAGAATGTTGTGACAGGCAGTAAGTCATCTGTAAGAATGTTTACCGTGGAATTCTAGCAAAAGAAATGGCTCAAGAAACTTCCTGGGTAACACAAATAGAGTCTGCTCAGAGGCCCCAAAAGAGAGTGACTGGAAAACTTTAGCCTTGTGAGGGAGGCTGTCTACTCCAGTGTTGGAGTCAGCTGGAGGTGCAGCAGCGCTTGAGCTATCCAAACTGCTAGGATGTTGTTAATAAAAGAACCTTCTCGTTCTCGAGTCAACATGGCTAAAACAGCCAGCCATGAGATGTATGGGAAAGAAGTGCAGAGCAAGTTGTTATTTATTGAATGTGTAGTTAGGAATTACTATTTCCATTTCATGGAGGCTTAAGTAGATTGAGAAATTTGTCTGAGTTCACAAAGTTTGTTAAGTTTCAGACTCTGGGTTTAGACCCATGTGTTTCTGACTCCAAATCCTGCATGGTTGGCTTTTGTGAGAGCAAGGTTACACACTGTACACATTTTTTTTCCTCCATTGCACCATTCACTGTCCTAGGTATATAGAATCCTGGAACACAGGATTGGAAGGACCTTTAGGCATCCCATGGTCTAATCTTCTCATGGTACAGATGAGAATGGGCTCAGAGAAGGGAAGGGCCTTGCTCAGACTCACACAAAGGCTAGGGCCAGAATAGATGGTGCCTGACTCTCAGTTCAGGATGCTTATTCTGACAAGGCCCGTCACTTCACATGGATATTTAATGTATTTTGCTAGTTGGTTAAAAATAATGTAATGTATGGCAGAACCATCTCTCTTTCTTCAAGGTAAGCCATTGCTAAGTCTCGAGTCCTTTTTTGTCCCACAGCTCCTTTTTTCATTGATTATTATCATTTGGTCTATAAAGCCTTTCACCTTCATTTCAGTGAACAATACTGCTGTGGGAGACACTGGAGATGCAAAGATAAATCAGTCCTGGTTCATGAGCTTCAGGAACTTAGGAGCAGTTTGGAGAGTCAGATATGAGAACAGCTTGTTTTCATACATTATTACACAATCATATGTAATATATAGCTGGGGGGATATAGAAGTGAATATGAGAAGACCTACCCCAACCTGGGAAATTAGAGGAGTCTTCCTGTCTTCCTGGAGGATTAATTGATTAAAGTGACTCATTATTTCATTCCTACAACAAATATTTAGCAGACACCTCTTCTGTGTCAGATACTCTTCCAGTTATTAAGGGATGCAGCACTAAGAAAGCAAAAATATTCCTCACCTTCATGGGAGAAATGCAACAAGTGTAACTAAACAAAATATTACTCAAGTTTGCAGCAGTGACAGGCCCATAACAAGGCAAAGGTCTACAGACTAATATTGGGTTGAAGATTTATTTTTACAAGGGTGGCCAGGGAAGGCCTCTTCAAGGGGAAGTCTTTTGATCAAAGAACTAAAGCAAGTGACAGGGAAGAACCTTGCAAATATCTGCTTCCCAGGCAGAGTAAAAACCAGGACCAATGTCTTAAGTCAGGAACCAGCTTGATGTATTTGAAAAAGAGCAAAAGCCAGGCGTCTGTAGTCCCAGCTACTTGGGAGGCTGTGGCAGAATGGTGTGAACCCCGGAGGCAGAGCTTGCAGTGAGCCGAGATAGCGCCACTGCACTCCAGTCCAGCCTGGGTGACAGAGCGAGACTCCATCAAAAAAAGAAAGAAACAAAGAAAGAAAGAAAGAAAAAAAGAAACAAAGAAAGAAAAAGAGCAAAAGCCAGTAGGGATGGAGGAGAGTTATTGAGGTTACTGCAGGAGGAGATGGAGATACAGACATAGACAATGACCAGATTGCAGATGTTGTGCAAGTCACAGGTGAGTAGGTCTTGTCAATAATTTCCCTCCTGGTCAGCATTGCTGGCAATACTATGGCATCATGCATAGAGAAAGAAAAAGCTAATAGCAAATGAATCACTCTGATCATGCATCTTGAGATGTTGCCATGGATTACAATTAATGCGTTCCTATCCACAAGGCCAGATTCCCTCAAAGCATCTTTTTGGGAAATGCAGCGAGCTCTCCTGGCCCCAGCACTCCCACCCACCCCATCACACACCCTACATTCATCATCTCTTTCTCTGTTTCTTTGTCATGTTGCTAACATCCCTTGATGGAGATGGTGCAACTCCAAGTAAAACTGTCTCCATAAATATTTAGACTGAATAGAAAATGTGCCAAAGATGCAAATAATCTGTCCAGAGGGAGAAGAGACCTTTCTCTTTGTTGTTTTCTTCAGGCTTGTAATTTAATTCGTGGATACATGTCTTTGAATAATACATAACTATCAATTTACCTAAAAGAGTCCCATAGAAACCTTAGCCTCTTCATCCTTCTGCCATGCCCCTCATGGCATTTTCTTCTTACGCTGGAGTATACATTTCTCTGCTTTTCTTTTATCCCTTTCTTTCTTCTTTATTCCCATGTTTTTGATCACATACTGTGTGTCAGCCTCTGTTAAGCTCATCTGTGCAGAGTCTATACTCACTGCCTGTCCTCCTCTCATAGTCACTTGTCAATTCATTTTCATTAGCCTTCTCCCTCCACCCTCCTTTCCTGAGTCTGTTCCCACTGAGGTCAACCCAGTGTTCATATTACTGAACCCAGTGGCCATCTTTCTGTTTCTTCTTTTACCAGACCTCTTCACTGAACTAGATAATGTTAATTAGTCCTGGCTGGAGCGCAAGTCTCCTTTGACATCTATTTGCACTGTTCCTCTGCTTGAACCACTCTGTCTATTCCTTCTCTGTCCCTTAAATTTTTGGCTTCTTGTGGGTTGGGTTTTTGGTATTCTTCTTTGTCTAGCACCACCCTTGCTTGCCATCGTGCCCTCATTCAGGCCTGGGCTTTGACTTGAATAGCTTCTGAATCTCTATGCTCTGCCTGTATTGGATAGCTGGCAGGCTATGGGCATGGGCTGCTAGGTCCCAGACAACTCACACTCTCATCTGATAAGTGGGTTTTAATGTGACCCTTGTTGTACCTCCTTATTTCTATTTCAGTCTCACTTACTGCTTCCTCTTTATCTGTTTTCAAGTCTTCCTACTAGATATTTCCTTAAGAAGGCAGAGAAACCGTGCTCTCTTAGTAATTGCACAATTGAAATTATTCCTCTTGAATATTTGATGATGACATATTTTGACTTGATATAGCTTTTTCAATCTTACAGGAATTCTAAAGCTGGAGGAATGTTTAAACTCCTTCCAGCTGCCAGTTTCACGTAAAGAACTCTTTTCTAAACCTGGGGATATGAGGGACTCTTACATTCTCCTTTAATCAAATCAATTTAGGCTGAAAAGAAGGCCAAGTTGACAGCCAGCATTTCACTGCTGGCTGTGTATCCATATACGTATGTATGGATGCTTAGAAAAGTGGAATGCTAGTGATATATATATATATGCATATATATATACATATATCTATATATATAGACATATTTCTGCTTTACTAGGTGAGAAGAGTTGCTTGATTTTAAGGGCTCTCAATCAACAGGCACCAAATGAACTTACAGCTTGCAAAAATATAAAGCGCTCAAGGCCGTACAGACAAAGGTAAGGGGGCACAGACCTTTCAGTTGTCTACAGGTATTATCATCTGAAATTGACATACGAAGAAAGAAGGTCAGAGAAGAAATGTGACATGCCCAAGGCAATCCAACTGAAAAAATAGCCAATGTGGACAATAATCCCAGTTTATAGCTTCTAGTGCAATGACTTTTGCCAGCACCCAGCATATCAGAAGATAAACCCACTGACTTTCTTTAGTGAAGATTGCGAATTGTTTAAATCAGAGCATGTGTGCAAAGTCCAGGGTACTATCTAATTCAACACTTCTGTAATTTGAAAGCTAATAATTATAAGAATTATTGTCCTTGTCCAACTGTTCCTTATACTATTTCATTGTTGGTTAATACATTGAAAATTACGAAACCTTATTTTTGATTGGAAGAGTGGTATAACTTCTCTTAGGAATTATACTACTAGTATCCTAGTGAATTATGAATTCCTACACTTAAGGAAGCACAATTATAATAGCATTGTTTTTCTTTACTTTTGCCAATAAATCAGTAAGTACTGCATGACTACATTCTGCTAAAACTTAATAGTTGATGTGGAAGGGAACTTACTCCTTATTCCATATAGAGACACTGTAGAGTCCCTGGAAATGCTGGCTCTCCTCCCTCTTCTCATCTGCCCCCAGCAGGGGAGAAATGAGTTTATGTATTCAATTGATGAGTTTTGGAGCTGCTGAATATACTTAGCTCAATGTTCTTATTGTGGTCTCCGGACTAGCAGCATTAATAGCGTGAAGCAACGTGTTAGAAATGCAGATTCTCAGGCCCCACTCCAGGCTCCTGAACCAGAAACTCTGGAGATGGGCCCAGCCATCTGTGTGTTAACAAGCCCACCATATGGTCCTGATGACCATTTGAGTTTGAGAACCACTAGTTAGCTGGTTCCTTCATCCTCTGTGGACCTGCCTGCTCACAGAGAGGCTGTGTCTGTTTTCTGCCTTGTGGTTAAAAAAAGGGTCTGCCTGTTGGAGTTGGGGAAGGACATGCAGCTATGCAGTGCTGTCCTTGAATAGGTGTTCCTGTATGCTAATTTCAGGTGCACTGTTGGAAAGCCCATGATTTCAGATACCTAAACCATGTTCTCCAACCAAACCTTATCTAATGAAGATGACATTTTAATTCCCTTGTTTAAATATGACTCTAATTTCAAAGTAGGAAGTTGGTTCTGACTTTGTGGGTGAGAAGAGGATATGGTGTCTAAACATGTGCCCCTTAAAACCACCATAATAGCCAATTACTTATTCTTTATGGCCATATGTCAGGTATATTTTAAAGTTGGAAGGAGCTTTGGAGTGGTCTAGCTGACTTTATAGCTGCTGGCAACTGAAGTCCAGAAATGGGAAGGCATTTTCTCAAAGTCACTCAGAAAGTAACTGGAGATAGCAGGCTCCCAGTCCTGGGCTCAGACCCACACATCCAGCCAACATAACCATGGTGCACTTTAACCAATTCCAAGTTGAAACAGAGGAAATGCATATTTGGAGCAATTTATCTCATCACATTAAAGATTTCCTAATTTACATTTCTGCCCGGTAATCATGGATGCCTCTGTATCTACCCCATGGTCCCCTGGTGAATATGGCCTCTCTCAATGTCAGGTCCTTGTATTCCTGCCCTAGCTTCTTGCATCCACCTTCCTTGACAGGAACTGAAAATGAATTGCAGCTGTTCATCATCTCTATGGAGGGGACCAATTTCTTACTCCTAAACTGAGCTCATCCCAGGGAAAACACATAGGGCAATGAGGAATTCCTCTTAACTATGACACTAAACTACCCCTTGTTTTTTTTTAGTCGTTTATATTTTCAGTCTACAGTCTAATTATTTCTCCAAATTGGGTTACTTGATCACCTGCCAAAGACAGTTTCTATTCATTAACAAATCTTGGCCTTCAGAATTATATTTTCACCAATCTAATTTTCATTGGCATTATGCTTTTCTGTTTTCTGACTCCTCTTATCGGTTGTCTACTTGTATGCATTTTTCATGTTCAAAAGTTTCATAGCAGCTCCTCCTCACTTTGATGCTAGGGACCAACCAATTTATCTCTACTTTTATGGCTTGATATTGCCAGCTAATCTTTATTGTGTAATTACTATAGCCAGAAAAAATGTTAAGTGTTTTATATGTTAGCTTAACTGATTCTCACTGCAATCTATGAAGCAGGTACTGTTATAATTTCTATTTTTTAGATGAACAACTGAGACACAGTGAAGCTATGTAACCTTTCTAAGATTACCCAACTAGTAAGTGGTGGAGTCAACATCTGAGCTTTGGTTATCTGAGCCCATAAATTGCCCGTTAGCCCTGCGTTATACTATGATCATGCACAGGGGTCTGGAAAATGCCTTGATGTTATACTTTCCTTCTTCTTTTTTTTTTTTTTTTTTTTTTTTTTTTTTGACAGAGTCTCGCACTGTCACCTGGGCTGGAGTGCAGTGACGCGATCTTGGCTCACTATAACCTCCGCCTCCTGGGTTCACGTGATTTTCCTGCCTCAGCCTCCCAAGTAGCTGGGATTACAGGCACCTGCCACCAAACCTGGCTGATTTTTTTTTTATTTTTAGTAGAGACAGGGTTTCACTATGTTGGCCAGACTGGTCTCGAACTCCTGACCTCGTGATCCGCCCACCTCAGCCTCCCAAAGTGCTGGGATTACAGGCATGAGCCACCGTGCCCGGTCTATACTTTCCCTCTTGAAACACCATTCCTTTCTTTGTTCAGGATCTACTGTGGCAAGCATTTGAGCTCAGGTCATGGGTCTCCAAAGCCATTTTACACAATGATACGTGTGATGGTTTTCTGGGATGGCCCAGCTAGCAGGTGGGGGAGGGATCACTGAGGTAGGGGACAGTGTAATTGACAGGCTTCATAGAAGCTAAGCAAGGGACACATTTAGTTCAAGTTCAGTGGCAAGGGGAAAAAAACTAATGATTGGGAGATGCTTAGGTGTTTTCTAGTAGTGTACAACAACTAAAACTTATCCCCATAGACAACTCTTGGGTCTGAAGATACCCAGCAATACAGAGTATGTGGTAGACCCTGGAGATCCTGCTGCTCACCCTGTGTTCCAGATTGGCCCCAGGTCATAGGAAGGTCCCTGGAAGTCCACAGAAAGGATTCTCAAGTTCTGGTAGGGGGAAATTTCAAATGTATGCAACCCATAGAAAATGGATTCTTTGGGGACACCTACAGAAATCAAAGATCTAGGCAGAATTTGTTCCTAGGATCTAAGAATTGTAGGGTTAATAAAACTAGCTGTTTATAGAAAATTTATGTAACTTGTTTTACTGATCCAGGCAGAATGGATCCAGAGTTTGTGTTCTGGCATACAGACTAAACTTTAGGAGGGATATAATGACTGAGTTGAATCTTGAAATGTTAGTAGGAGGTAGACAATGCAGGAAGATGGTAAAGGTTGATGTTCCAAAAATGAACAACTTATTTCCTGGTATCAGTTAGGATGTGTTTGGTTGCCACTGACAGAAAAATCTGACTAGCAATGGGTAAAACAACTCTGAGTTTATTTTTTCACTTATTAAGAAATCTGGCCCTAACAATATCAACTAATATCAAAGTTGGTATCTGTATTTGATTTGATTTTTCATGAGCATCTCATTTGGCAGTCACAGTTTTGGACATTTCACTCAAATCAGGAGGAAGGGGGATGAGTGGCATTACCTACACGCAATCCTCTTTATCAGAAAAGGAAAAGTTTTTTTCAAAATACCCAGAAAATTTCCACTTGTTCAGGCTCAAATAATGTAGCCATTTCTGGTTGCTTTTCCAGATTCTAAGGACTGTGTGTTAAGTTAGGTTAGCCAACTGACAGTCTTCCATCACCCCTGCCATCCCGGAAGATTTATGAATTCAGAGTTGGTGTTTGCTCTTTGTTTATTTCTTCTTAGTAGAGAGCACAGTGTCATGCCCAAAGAAGGGATAACACAAAACATTCATTGCAAGAATAAATAAATTCAGTTAATCTCAAAAGGCATTTATTATGCAGTGTGACCTGCATGCCAGGAACTGTATAGGTACAGATCAAGGAACATAGAGCCCAGGGACTGGTGAACAGATACTCAACATATACATGTTCCAATATGCCATGGTACATGTTAGGACATAGAAACACATAGGGGCTTTTCAAGGGAACCCAGAGTGGGAACACACGGCCCATGTTAGAGGGCTGAAGAAGGAGGACAAAAAGGGAGTCAGTCAGGATAGTTTCAATTATGCTTAGGTAACAAATGATCCCTAAACCTTAATGTGCAGCTACAACTTTCAACTCCCTACTGTGCTATGTGGCCATGTTGCTTAGCTGTGGCTCTGTTCCACTTCAGTCTCTGCCTAGGGCCCAAGCTGACTGAGCAGCCTCTATCTGGAACTCTGTCAGATGGACCAGAGAATATAGCAACCACACATTGGCTCTTAGAAGCATCTTCCTAGAAGTGACACACATCACTTCTGCTTATGCTTCCTTGGCCAAAACAAGTCTTGTGAATCTACCAGAATTGAACAGGATGAAGGTATATAATCCTCCATGTGAGGGGCACAGGATAGAGGCACAGGATAGGTGAGCAGTAATATCATCTCCTACAAACAGCAAGGACAGGGCCTAACTGGCGGTGCTCTCTGCTCCTTCTGGTTTACCTCCCCGTCTTTCTCCTTTCACTAGTGACCAGCTGTCAACCTCACTTAGTGTGGGAGAGCTGTGAGCTGGGCTGAGTCGCCGGGGATGAGTTGGAGGAGCCAGGAGACTGACTTCATCTCCACCTGGTCCAGGAAGGGAGACTGAGGGAAGGGGCCTGGATCCAGAGCTGGAAAGATCTTGGCAGGATGTGGCTTTTTAGGAGGTAGAAAGATGGATTTCACCATCTGTCTCTTTCCTAATGTTTGGAGGGGTGTTCTCCCGGGATATAGAGGCTGGTGGCCCAGATTTCTGAGACATCTTTGTCAGCCAGCACTGGCTCAGCACATATCAATTGTGAAGATCAACTCCTGGCAAGTGTGGAGTTTGGCATCTACAGGGGCCAGTAGGGGAGTGAACCAGGGATAGGGACAATGACCAGAATCCTTACTTGTTGTCAGTGGAAATAAACACGCATAAATTTGTCTTTAGCACACGAAGACCCAGGATAAGACCCGTTCGACCTGCCTATATGGAGCCTTGGGTGAGAGATCATCTTAGATTTTTCTGCCACCTTAAGGTATTTCAAACTCCCTTATCTTAACCCTGCCTGCCAGCTGTGTTTGTGGACCCTGCATTCAAATCCTCCTTTAAAATGCTATTTGGAAAATAAGCTTTAAGATCAACTGTTTTTAAGATACAAACTCAGGCTTCTGTCTGTAGGCACCAAAAATCATGCCCTGGACTTCTAGCATCAAGGTAGTTAGAATACCTGTTAAGAATACATGGAATTGGCCAGGCACAGTGGCTCATGCCTGTAATCCCACCACTTTGGGAGGCCAAGGCGGGCAGATCACAAGGTCAGGAGTTTGAGACCAGCCTGGCCAGTATGGTGAAACCCCGTCTCTACTAAATACACAAAAATTAGCCGGGTGTGATGTTGGGCACCTGTAGTCCCAGCTACTTGGGAGGCTGAGGCAGGAGAATTGCTTCAACCCGGGAAGCAGAGGTTGCAATGAGCTGAGATTGCGCCACTGTGCTCCAGCCTAGAGGACAGGGTGAGATTCCTTCTCAAAAAAAAAAAAAAAAAAAAAACATGAAATTTAGTTTTATTTCTGGCTCTGAAGCTTTCTTGGACCATCAGGCACTCATTAACTTCTCTGAGTCTCATTTTTCCCATCTGTTGAATGGAGATGCTGATCATAGCTCTCCTGCTTACCTTAAAGGACTACTGGGGGAATTCAGTGAGAGCCTTTACTTACTGAACATCTACTGTAAAGTAGACATTGGCTTTAAGACAAGTGGGAACACATTGTCATTTATAAGATTTATGTAAAGTAAATAAAAGAAATTTTTATTGTTGTAGTTATTCTATTGGAGAAAATTAAAGTTGGGTATACAATCACGGACTGTACCTGATTAATTCTTGCATCTGATTCTTATGCCTCTGTCTTCAGAATATTTGTAATAATCTACAATTGTCCATTTTGGACTGTGAATCTTTTGAAGTTGAAATTACCTTTTCTTAGGTTGGCAGTGTTTCTCACCTGGATTATGGCAGTATCCTCTTATCTTGCCTCTCTGCCCTCAGTCTCAGCTGCTCCAATCCATTCTATGCATAGCAGACAACTATAAAGATATTTCACTTCTGCTGAAAATCCTTCCATTGCTTTATGCTCTTCTGAGACATCTACTTTTTTAGACTCTCTTTAGAGAATCTTTAAATCCTAGCCTCTGATAGTTTCTCCAGGCATATCTCTCAACACATCTCTTCCTACCCCACTAATACAGTCATGTGCATTCCCACAGAGAAGCCCAAAATCAATATTGGAGTCTCTCTGAAATACCTGAATCCTTAATGAGGTCCCAGCACCTTGGACCTTTGCATAGTTTTGGCTAGAACATCTTTGTTCCTGTGACTTCCCACTTAGGTTCAACTCCAAAATATCTCTCAGATTTCAACTTGAAAGTCCCTTCACTTCCTCTGGGGAATCTTGCATGATATTCCTTTTTTTTCTTTTTCCTTCCTAGCTCATTATCAAACCTGACATCTAGTAATTGTAGTTGCTATTAGGCAGTGTCTGTTTCATTTTTAGGTGGTTACTAGACTTTGAGCTCTTTGAAGACAGGGATTGAGTCTCACTCATATTCTCTTTTCTTGAATTCTTTCCTTTCTTCCATAAATAGTACGTGATTTTCCACTTTGGGCCAGGCACAGTATTCTTAACGTGCTCATATCTTCATGCCTAATATGGTGCCTGGTACAAAGCAAGCAATAAACATGAATGATGGAATGAGTCAACCAGTGAATCAAAGGTTTAGTTCAAACAAGTTAAGCCCTCCCTATGGTCTAGGAGCTTCGAGAGGATCAACACCTTTTCTAACTTTTGCTTTTTACCATATTCTAGTTCCTTTTTTGTTTCACCCTCTGACAGAGAGAAGCTGAGTGGGAACAGGCTGCCACATTTTTGTAGGATATATCATCCAACTGGTGAATCACCCAGGCCCTTGATTTGGCTTACTATTTAACTTTTTTTTTTTTCTTTTTTTTTTTTAGATGGGCTGTCACTCTGTCAACCTAGGCTAGAGTGCAGTGGTGCAACTTTGGCCTGCTGCAGCTTCAACCTCATGTGCTCAAGCAATCCTGCTACCTCAGCCTCCAGAGTATGGGACTACAGGTACAGTCCAGCATGGCAGGATAATTTTTATATATTTTGTAGAGACGGGGTCTGTCTTTGTTTTCCAGGCTGGTCTCGAATTACTGGGTTCAAGCAATCCTCCGGCCTCAGCCTCCAAAAGTGCTGGGATTATAGGCATGAACCACCATGCTCGGCCTATTTGACCATTTTAATGTTCTTATTAACTTGCTCTCCTGGGTGGTAGGAAGATCATGGCATGGAGTCCAAGGTTCTCTCACTTGCAAGTGTCCTTTGTGCACTTCGCTGAGTGTCCTTGTCCTCATCTGTAAAAAGGAGATGGTGATATTTAGTCTTGTGAGAAACTACTTGAGAGAAGTATTATAAGTACCTGGTTACTTGATGTAGTCCTTGGCAAAGGGTGGATTCTCCAAAATTATATCTTCCTATTTCTTTCATTCAACACCCACTCAGCCAGGATAAGACCATACCAGAGCAAGGAGGGGGACTATAAATAACAGCAAAAGGACAATATCTGCAGAGAAAGTAGGGAGCTGGAACACTGACTAAAGGAAAGTTTTCATATTACCCTGTGAATTGTTGGACAAATCATTCATTGTTTTTTGTTTGTCTGTTTGTTTTTTGAGACAGAGCCTCACTCTGTCATCCAGGCTGGAGTGTGCAGTGGCACAACTTCGGCTCACTGCAACCTCTGCCTCCCAGGTTCAAGTGATTCTCCTGCCTCAGCCTCCCAAGTAGCTGGGATTACAGGCATGCGCCACCACGCTCGGCTAATTTTTTTTTAATTTTTTTTTTTTGAGACGGAGTCTTGCTCTGTCGCCCAGCCTGGAGTGCAGTGGTGTGATCTCAGCTCATTGCAACCTCTGCCTCCCTGGTTGAAGCGATTTTCCTGCCTCAGCCTCCTGAGTAAACTGGGATTACAGGCATGTTCCACCACACCCAGCTAATTTTTGTATTTTTAGTGGAGACGGGGTTTCACCATGTTGGCCAGGCTGGTCTTGAACTCCTGACCTCAAATGATCCACCCACCTCAGCTGCCCAAAGTGCTGGGATTATAGGCGTGAGCCACTGCGCCTGGCCTGGCTCATTGTTTTTATATATAAAACTTACATATTTTCTTTCCTATGGGAGTGTTGTGATTACTAAATGAGAGAATGAATGCGTAGTCATTCTTCAAGGGATTGTCACACAGGGAAGCTTCAATATGTTTGGGTAACAGTAATATTATATGATCCATTTTCATTTCTATCAATTTGGTCAGCTAAACTGTACTTTAATTCTGAGATTCTTTAACTCCGACAGCTGGTCCAGACTGGCATAGGTCCTGGGGGCAATGACAGAGTCCAGATGTCCCCATGGGCATGACTTGCAAATTATGTACTTTGACAGAATATGGTGAGGACAAGAACCAGACCATGCAGCACTATTTTCACGCCAGCTGCAGAGTCTAAATGTGTTTCCTGACACCTCAGAACCTTCTTGGGGGAGGGCATTCTGGGCTGGGTGATGGGACATGCTGGGATTTTGTTGCTCTCCTTCCCTTGTGGGTCTTAATGGAAAAGCTAAGTCACCAGCAACAGAGAAATAGCGGTGTCAGGCATTGTTGAAACTTTCCATGTATTCTCATGACACATCATTTCCAGTTATAAAAAAGAGTGGAGGTGTTGGGCTCTGTTGCCTAATCGTGGTAAGAAGTCCCTTTTACTAGAATGCATTTTTTCATCACAGCATCATGGTCAATGATCAACCATGTGAACTTGTGTAAGTTGCATAAACTTTTCAGTATCTTGACGTCTCTGTGGGAAAAGATGGAGGCCATATGTGGGAGAACAAAATCATGATTAGAGACATGGGAGAGAATAGGGCTTCAGAGTGCAGCTCCACTTCAGACCAGTGCATGGCATAGTACACATTGCCTGAACTCTCTGAGACTCAGTTTTCTCTCCTGCTAAATGGAAGTGATAGTTGGTCCATTTTATGGAGCCGATGTAAGGACTAAAAGTTATAATGCATATAATGTCCTTTGTCTGGCACACATTAAAGGATCAACCCACTTCTGCTACCATTATTATTAGGAACAAATACTTACTAAGAACCTACCATATTCAATATCACCTGAGTGCATTTTCATATTCAATTCTCACAATGACACAAGGAGATATTATCCTAATGTTGACTGTGAAAAAAATTAGACCTGGAGGGTTCAAGTCACTTGCCCAGATTCACATGGGTGTGAGTGGCAGAGTTGGAACTTAAACCAAGAATTTTTGATACCAAAACCTATTGATGATCTTTCCACTGAAAGATACTGACTAGATGTCACCTTGCTTTCCCTGTCAAATGCTAATCAGAGATCAATGACTAATCAAATGGAACTAATTAATTCTGAGTCAACAAATATTTATAGAGCCCCTGGTATTTGCCGAGTGCCATGGAGATGAGAGCTACCATGGACAAAAGGATGGTCACCCAATCCTCGGTGGTACAGGACTTCTGTAAATGCCCCAGGAGGTCTTCCCTTTTTCCCAGGTTGATGCCTTCTGAATCACTTCTGTCCATTCACTGCTTTGTCAGCAGCAGTTTACTTGACTGTTACCTTGGGTAATTCCTTGAGCTTATTTATTTACTATTTTTGAGATGGAGTCTGACTCTGTTGCCCAGGCTGGGGTGCAATGGTGCAATCTTGGTTCACTGCAACCTCCACCTCCCGGGTTCAAGCGATTCTTCTGCCTCAGCCTCCTGAGTATCTGGGATTACAGGCATTTGCCACCATGCCCAGCTAATTTTTGTATTTTTAGTAGAGATGAGGTTTCACCATGTTGGCCAGGCTGGTCTCAAATTCCTGACCTCAAGTGATCCACCCACCTCAGCCTTCCAAAGTGGTGGCATTACAGATGTGAACCACCATGCCTGGCCTCCTTGAGCTTCTTGAGAGCAGGCACTGGATCTTTCTTCTTTGCTACTTTCTCTGCAACACACTGCCTGGTACATACTAAATGCCAAAATCTTATTGACAGGCTTGCAGCGAGGAATGAGCATCTACCTTGCTGGTTAGATTGCTTTTATCCAGAGTGGTGATCCCTGGGGAGATGTTTTGCACTTGGCCTCGTGGCAGATGGGTAACAAGTGCTGGATCCCAGAGGAATGATGCATTCAACAAGTCCTGAGTTTTATCTATAGTGCCATGCAGTGAGTTCCTCCTGCTCCTACTGCCATGGGCCTTGGGATGCACCTTGAGCACTGACCCCACCTTGTCATGCTTCCTATGTGATAAGTTTCCTTCTGCAGCCAGATAGCTCTTTGACTCAATATTACATCAGTATTATAAACTGAGTAATTGTGTTTTCCTTCCTCCAATCAACATGTTGAAGTCCTCCTTCCCAATGTGATGGTATTAGGAGGTGGGGCCTTTGAAAGGTAATTAGGATTAAATGAGGTAATCAGGGTGAAACCCTTATGAATAGAATTAGTGTCCTTATAAGAGTCATGAGAAAGCTTGTTTTCACTTCTGCCATGTGAGGACACAGAGAGAAGATGATCCTCTGTGAACCAGGAAGAGAGGGCCTTCATGAAATTCTAGATCTTGGAGTTTTTGATCTTAGACTTCTCTGACCCCAGACTATAAGAAATAAGTATTTTTTGTTTAAGCCACCAGTTTATGGTATTTTTGTTATAGCAGCCCAAATGGACTAAGACACTCAGAAACCTTCCTGTGGCCTCCTGGAAGACCTTTACTATCCTGCAATTTCTCCAGGGCTGTCAGAAATTTAGACTTCAGTGTGGTTCCAGAACTAGTGTGCAGAAATATAAGGCAAAGCTCATAACCATCCTCCAGTGTTCAGGCTCAGCATAAGCCCTCTAGGAAACCTTTGTACCTTTCTTTGGGCCTCCCCCACCATAGCCCTCATCATGCTATGATTAATTGCTCAATTATCTTTCTCTCTACATTGTCGGTTATTTTTAGCTTTAATTAGTTTGCCAGATAAATGTATCAGCTACAAGCCCTTAGAGGACTTAGAAGTCTGGAAACTTTGGAGAAACTGTTTATAGGACTGGCAGTTTCTGATGGAGAACATAGGAAGTAGAAAGAAAATATCTGGGTAGTCTTTGGATATTCCCCAGTGAGGGTCTCTGAGACTGATATGATTGAGCAGCTTTATGAATAAGACCCAAGAGGAAAGGCTGGAGAAAATGAGTAAAACAAAGGGAAATTTTACGTACGTTTTTTTGCCCATGAGCTAGTCATGAAAGGGAGAATCAAATGTGATCTCATCAAAGATGTTCCCCCTTGAGATCATAACTATATATATATATATATATATTTTTTGAGACAGCCTCTCTGTCACCCAGGTTGGAGTGCAGTGGCATGATGTCGGCTCCCTGCAACCTTTGCCTCCTGGGTTCAAGCGATTCTTGTGCTTTAGCACTGAGTAGCTGGGATTACAGGTATGAGCCACCACACCCAGCCCATAATCATATATTCTTAAGTGGGTGTGTGTGCATAGGTATGTGTGCATGTGTTTTGCTTTTCAACCTAAAAGCGATCATACAATATGTCAACAGCCTTGTGTGTTAAGCACAACAGAGTTCCTCTCATTCGTAAATGAAGAGTCTGAGGCTTGAGACTTGGTTTGCCCAAGTCCAGTAGCATTAATACAGGCAGCCAGGTCTTCAGATAGCTGCCCAATTCCCTTTTCGCATCTCAAATATGTGAGGTCTTCAGACACCTTGGAGATAATATTTGCTCTCACCTCTTTCCTCAAAGAATTAAATGTGACTTGCCATCTTGAGTTTTGTTACAAAAGATTGTAATGCTATTCAATAGTGGTATCATATGTTATTTACCATGGAAAAAGATGGCAAAAACTCCCCCTGAGGAACTGCACTAAAAGTAAAAGATCAAGACCAAGGGAAGAGAAAATACAAATATTCGAACCCTATGTATCTAACATGATTAATATATCCGAGATACATATGCGGCTCTGGTTACCAGAAGCCAAAGAAGAAAAGGGAAGAAGATTCATTTATTTGTCCTTAGGAAAATAGCAGTTCCCCAGTCAAAGAAATATTTTGCAAGCACTTAGATCTCAGAGAGGTCATTTAAAAGGCCTTTAGCATTTATTCAACAAATACTTATTTACTAGCTACTATGTACCAGGCACCATGCTAAGATATGAATATACATAATGAAGAAACAATGTCCTTGTTTCTGTGAAGCCAAGTCTAGTGAGGGAGAAAGATGTTAAAATTATACTCTTCTATATATTATGATATGGTCAGTGATATCTTTTGGCTCTGCGTCCCCACCCAAATCCCACCTTGAATTGAAATAATCCCCACATGTCAAGGGCAAGGCCAGCTGGAAGCAATTGGATCTTGGGGCAGTTTCCCTTATGCTGTTCTTGTGATAATGAGTGAGTGTCACAAGATCTGATGGTTTCATAAGTGTCTGGCATTTCCCCTGCTTGCACTCATTTTCTTTCCTGCTGGCCTGTGAAGCAGTGCCTTCCACCATAATTGTAAGTTTCCTGAGACCTCCCCAGACATGTGGAACTGTGAGTCAATTAAACCTCTTTTCTTTATAAATTACCCAGTCTCCAGTATTTCTTCATAGCACTGTGAGAACAGACTAATACAGTCAGTAATGGAAAAGAGTAAGATGATGGGAGAGAATTTGAAAGGATTTGGTTTAGCTAGAAGATAGCTCTTGTTAAAGTGATACTATAGCTGAGATTGAAAGCTAACTAGGTTTTAAAAATTTGGAGCATTAAGAAGAATAGTGTTCAGCAAGAACAGCAGATGTGAAGGTCCCAAGTCAAGTACAAGACTGATGTATTCCAGAAACTTTTAAGGACAGTGTGTTAGTGTGAATTTCAGAGGCCAAGGAGGAGAATAGTCTGGGATGAGCCCTGAGAGTAGCAGGAGCCCAGTCCCCTTCCCTGCAGAGCTTTGCTAATGTTGGTGAGATGTGGTCTGGAGAGAGACATTAAAACTACTGAAGGATTTCAAGAGAGAAAGTGGCTGTCAGATTTGCATTTAAGACTATTGCTCTGGCTATTGGAAATGATAGCAAGAAAAGTGGGTGAAAACAAGAGTGCAAGTCTGGAAACTAGAAGGAGGTTATGGAAGAGGCACCTTTGCCAGAGATTAGGGTGATCTGGAAATACGATAGAAAATAGACATTCTAGGACGGGCACAGTGGCTCACGCCTGTAATCCCAGCACTTTGGGAGACCGAGGTGGGTGGATCACGAGGTCAGGAGATCGAGATCATCCTGGCTAACACGGTGAAACCCCGTCTCTACTAAAAATACCAAAATTAGCCGGGCGTGGTGGCGGGCGCCTGTAGTCCCAGCCACTTGGGAGGCTGAGGCAGGAGAATGGCAGGTGAACCCAGGAGGCAGAGCTTGCAGTGAGCCGAGATCGCACCACTGCATTCCAGCCTGGGTGCAGAGCAAGACTCCATCTCTAAAAAAAAAAAAAAAGAAAAAAGAAAAGAAAATAGACATTCTAGAGTTAAAAACTCAACAAGCTTGATGCAACCATCTTGTTTCAGGGGAAGGCAATTACTGCACAGAGAATAATCATGGACAATGCCCCTCAAACCTCCACATCCCCAAAATCAGGACATATAGAAGGTTGGAGCAAAAATATAACCTTGGCTAAAATAATTAATAGTGTTCTTCTTGATTCAATTTGCAGGAGACATTCAGAGAAAATATCCACACTCAAAACTGAAATATGAGTGCCACACAGTCATTGCAGCTCACATCTGGGAATTTTCACCAAGCAACTGAAAAAAAGGCTATTTTCAGTTCTTTCATATGCTCTTTTTGTCATAAGTTGGGTTCGGGGGGTGGGGTTCAGAACCACAGTTGCTGTGGTGAGAGAAGCAAATTTGACAGCTTCTGGCAGAGCAAAGCACAAGTATTTCCTGCAGAGTTTTTCAAAGTAAATGGGTCTCCCTCCCTGGGCAGATACTGGCAATCCTTGATGACTCACTTCTGAGGGGCTTAGCCCATCAAGGATTCAAAGAGAGGGAGAGGCCTGGCACCAGGCCCAGTGCTGGTGACAAAGTGGCTTCTTGCCTGCTTTTTTGTAGTTGCTCCAGTGGGCACATCTGTGCCCGGAATTTGTCATGAGACAATGAGGGTTTGTTCCCTGTATCCGAAATGATGACTTCATGATTCTTTTATGGCAGAGTAAGAGTTGGAGCAGAGGAGATAGAGGATTAATGGAGTTAAAGGAGCATATTACAAAGATTGAGTTTCATATTGGTTAAGATCTGGAATGCTTTCTATCTGGCAAACTGTAAAATCCAAAGCATTAATTACATTGACAATAAGGACCCAAGTGTCCTCCCATTTAGCTGTTTTCAAAAGGTATTATGAGTATCCAAGCTGTCAGGGTGATGTGTGTAGACTTTTTTTCCTTTCCTGTGTCAAAAGCATGATGTTGAGCAGTGGCTTTTAACATTTTTGACAATAACCCATAGTCAGAAGTACCTTTTTTTTTTATTGTGACTCTCAACACACACATGTAGTGGAAAAAGTTTAATAAAAAATACCACTGCAATAAGTAACACACACAGTTTCTATGATATTTTACTTATTAAATTATTTCCTGTGTAAAAATGTGCCTGTGACCCAGTAGATTGTTTTCATGACTCTCTAACAGGTTGTGACCTGCAATTGGAAGACATAGATATTGAGGAAAGAACACAGGTCTTGGCTGTTGAGGCTCATGACCTACCTCCCCAGCTGTAGGAGATTTTTCTGTGCTTTAGTATATGAGTAAGCATGAGAGAGGTGATGCTTCAGTAATACACACTCCCAACATTTCAGTGGCTTAAAACAACAAAAGTTTATTTCACACTCATGCTATAATGGAGGCTTGACTCCATATGATGCAGAGATCCAGGCTGCAGGAGCCTTCACATCAACCCTACTTTCTCCTCATCTGCTGCAAGAGCAATTTTACTTCTAGCTCTGACTCTTTTTTTTTTTTTTGCTGTATGGAGCTGGGCAAGTCATAGAACCAGGGCTGACTTTATGTGCATGTGACTTAGGCAGTTGTATAGGGCCTGGTGCTCAGAAGGGCCTTGTGGCTTGGCTTACTACTCTGCTGTCACTGCCTTGAAAGTCTTAATAATTTTTTAACAAGAAGGCTCTTTTTGCACCAGGCCACACAAATTATGTAGGTCATTTGCATACAATCTTTTCTAAGTCTCCATTTCCTCATCTGTAAAATGGGTTAATAGAGAAGAACTCATAGCATTCTTAAGAGGACTAAAAGAAAGAGCATAGTACATACACATGTAGTTTTCAACTTGCTGCCTTTATCTTCAGTAGTACCGCTACAGAAAACTTTTACTTAATCAAGTTAGACTTCTCACCTTGAAAAGCTGTACTTCCTTATGTTGCCCTCCCTACTCCCTTCTGTTTATCTAAATTTTGTTCATTATTCAGGGCTCTACTCTAACACCTCCTCAGGGTCCTCTTCCATGACTGTCCAAGCTGTTTTCAGAACCCCTACCCCATTAATTGTGGATCCCTTCTTTATGACTCACTTACTTTTGTTTCCTCTTCTCCTTTGGACCCTTCCTTGGTTAGGATCCCTCCTACCTCGCCTGGAACATTAAACAGCCTCCCCATTAGTAACCCTTTTAGTAGCCCCTCTCCAGTTTGCCCTCCAGTTCCACTCTCCATCATACCAGGGTCATCTTCCTGTTACCCCGAAATGTCTTTTCTATCATGCCATTTCAGTTTTCAGAGACTTCAGTGGCTCTTCTCACCTAAAGGGCACTGCCCTTAGTCTTGCATTTAGGATCTGGCTCTCAGGCCACATTTTGGGTCTCATTTTCCTCCACTCCACTCACACACTGCTCCTGCATTCCTGCTCTACACCATCTCTGGAATAGAGCTTATTCTCCTGCCTTTGGTTCTTTGTACATTCTCTTCCTTCTACTAAGATGGCCTGCCACCATAGGCGTGGTGGCTCATGTCTGTAATCCAATCACTTTGGGAGGCTGAGGCAGGTGGATCACCTGAGGTCAGGAGTTCGAGACCAGCCTGGCCAATATGGCGAAACCCTGTCTCTACTAAAAACACAAAAATTAGCTCGGTGTGGTGGCTCGCGCCTATAGTTCCAGCTACTCAGGAGGCTGAGGCAGGAGAATCACTTGGACCTGGGAGGTGGAGGTTGCCGTGAGCCGAGATTATGCCACTGCACTCCAGCCCGGGCAACAGAGGGAGACTCCATCTCAAATATAAATAAATAAATAAAATGGCCTGCCCCAAGATTTACCCCACACCCCTGAAATAATCCAATCTACCTTTTACTGCTTGGCTGAAATCCTATCTCCTCAAAGACCTCCTGTGCCAGCTCAGGATGAAAAGTCTCCCTTATTCCTTGGAATCCCTATGGCATTTCTTAGAATCTGACATATATCCTGTATGTGTGGGGCAATTCCCCCAACATCTTGGTTGCCTTTTCTGCTGGGTCTGTGTTCCAGGGAATAAGGACAAAAACAAAATATGGCTAGAGTTTCAGTCACACTTCGTAGGAACTCCCTGGAATGAAGGGTTCCTGCAGAGATTGCCTGGGGCCCTTCCCGATCCCCTCAGCTGTTCTGAATCATCATCCTCCTCTGGGTTCTCCAGGAATTTTGTACATTCTTCTAACATAGCACTGACTACTTTCCATTTGAGTTATTTCTTGACATGACTGGATCCCCCACGAGGCATATCTTATTCATTATTGCAGTTCTAACAGGGACTGGTGTCAACAGTGAATGGATGGATTGATTGAAGGATAGAGACTAGAGAGGAAGGAAAGTTGCTGGGGAGGAGATTCCCTGTATATGTAAGTGTGAGACAAGGTGGGCTGTAATAACAACCTCTTACTGGCACAAAGCAACAAATATGTATTTCTCATTCATATTCATGTCCACTGTGAGTTGGCCAAAATTCTACTCCACTGCCTTTTTTTTTTTTTTTTTTTGGAGACAGGGTTTGTTCTTTTTTATAGCCTGGAGCATAGTGACATGATCACAGCTCACTGCAGCCTTGAGCTCCCATACTCAAACAATCCACCTCAGCCTCCCAAGTAGTTGGGACCACAGGCCTGTACCACCATGCCTGGCTACATTTTAAGATTGTTTTGTGGAGACAGGGTCTCTCACTATGTTGCTTAGGCTGGTCTAGAACTCCTGGGCTCAAGTGATCCTCTCGCCTCAGCCTCCCAAAGTATTGGGATTACAGGTGTGAGCCACTGCGCCTGTATTCCCTCTTCATCCTACAACCAAGCCTGATGGAGAATCCCTAATCTGGGGCATGCCATTCAGTGGCAGAAGGAAAGGAAAGATGGCAGAGACACACAATGGCTCTCAGAGCATCTGTGAAGAAATGGCTCATGTCATTTCAACTGACATCTTGTTGACCAAAGCAAGTCTTGTGGCCACAGGAAGGATAACACTCTCAAAGGGATGAGCACAGGAGAAAGAGGCAGTGAGTATTTTGACAAGGACACAATCTTCTACAGTGGGGGCAGAGCTTCATGTGGAATTCCACTCACATAATGCTCTTTGTCTGTCTGCATACCCACACTCGTTCTGACCAGGGAAGAAGGAGGGGGCCATCTACTTGGTGATTCCAGGAGCTGGATGTGCAGGGCGTTGCATCTGTCTCTCCTCTTGCTATTGAGCATAAGCTGCCTCTAGCGGGCATGCTTTCTACCTTGCCCTCTCAGGGATTGAGGGATAGACTCTCTGGATATATGGTTGTCTACAACTTGGTAGGTAGGTCTGTCTAATCCTGGAGCTCCATTTATTCATCCGCAGAGCCATATCCTCCAATTTGAGATCTACAAGTAACAACGGTGGTTTTGATTCCCGCCATTGCCTTTACTCCTCTGCCTTAATTTTCAATTGGTTTCAAGCTTGGAAAAGAAAGAGAGTTCAATTTTTTGATCTCTCTCTCATATCTCCATAACAGACTTTGCAGAAATATCAGGTCAGGTCCTGTTACTGATGTGTTCATTCTCATGGGCAGGAAGAGACACTTCAGTGTTGCTGCTGCCAGGATTGTTTCACTTAAAGGAACTCTCTAGCTGTCAGAGAAAGAGTGATACTCTGAAAATAGTCTCTAACATGCTGCTTCCTGCTCTAGGATCATCTTATAGAAAAGACACTATGTTCATCCTGAGCCAACCTGGTCCCTTTATAGTCAGATACTAGAGAACAATGAGAAATGGACATGGGGGATATCTTTAGCGAACATCCTTAGTGAGGATCTGTCTCTTCTTTTCCTGTTGGGCATGAGCTGCTTCTAGAGAGCATGCTTTCTACATTGCCACCCACCCCACCCCACCCTGAGGGATCCAGGAATAGACTCTCCAAATCCAGGGATGTGTACAACTTGGTAGGTAGGTTGGGTAGGGAGAGTGTTTTGCACAAGCTAGAGCTGGGGTTCATATGTGTCTGGCAAGTGGAGTTAATGGTACTGTTTTCTATCAAGTGTCCAGTTGCATAAGTTGTTATACAAAGACGGTGCTTTAGCTTTTAACTGGAGGAAGAGGGGGACATACTGACATGTGGGACAGAGGGTAGAGAAGGAAGAGGTAAAATTGAGAGGGAATAACGTGATTAATTTCCACTCAGCCTGGCCCGATGAGAGACTGTGAGGGTGCTATCTAAAGCTTAAGGAATCATGTTTATGAAAAAACTGTAAGATTTTGGGAAGCAGCAGCGCTCTTTGGAGATTGGCAACAAATATGACAATTTACTCAAAAGATTTTTATTTCTGGTGGTTCTAGACTGAGTGACAGCATTGGACAAAGATGTGTGGAGCAGGATGGTAGCTGGAGGAGTGCCAGAGAGAGACCCGGGATCTCACCAAGGTTACAGTGTCTGTGGCTTTGCGAAGATTCCTCCTAAAATTCTGCTCATGGAAGGATTTCAAAGAAAGACTGAGTGAACTTGTTCCTGAGAATGCTTGAAGGGACGGGGAAACATTAAAAAATAAAGACTGGGTTATTGGAAATTGATGGTGGTGTTGGTGGGGGTTGTTAAGAACTACCGTTATTTACACACTGATGAACTTGTGACCTCATCTATATTCACAGGCTGCTGGTCTCTGAGCTATTGAGTCCACCTACTTATAGGGATGTTCTTTATATTGGGGTGAATGTTTTGCTTGTGATATATCACTCTGTATTAGTTTCCTATTGCTGATTTAACAAATTAGCACAAACTTAGTGACCTCAAACACACACACACATACACACAAACTCACACACACATTTATTATCTTACAATTCTGGCAGTCAGAAGTCCTAAGTCAGCCTCACGGGCTAAAATTAAGGTGTCAGCAAGCTATGTTCCTTTTGGAGGCTCTAGAGGAGAGTTTTTTTGCTTGTTTGTTTGTTTGTTTGTTTTACGTTTTCTAGATTCTGTGACTGCCTGCTGTCCTTGGCTCATGGCCTTTTCCTCATTATCAAAGACGACAGTACAGTATCTTTCAGCCTTTCTCCTAACTCTGATCCTCTTGACTCCATTTCATAAAAGCCATTTATCTCAATATCTTCATCTCAATATCCTTAACTTAATCACATCTGCAAAGGTTTTTTTTTTTTTTTTTTTTTTTTTTTTTTTTTAACATATAAGGTAACGTCTCCCGGGGAGCATTATTCAGCCTGCTATATTCTCCAAATAGTTTTCATTGGCTTTGGTTTCATCTTATCAAGAGGAGATCAATTCAACCTTTACTTTGTACCCATTGAGTGCCTTTTGTCTGCTAGAAATTTTTCAGGCTTTATTTCAATCAACCCCCACTGTGATTCTGCGAAGTAGGTATTTATGTGCATTCTATGAATGAGGAAACAGGGTTGCATGCAAATTGATCTGGCTTAAAAACTCACTCTTTCTTTACAACTTTAAATATTTCATCTCCAGAACTACTATATTGTCATGATTGAAATGACTGGATGAGAAATACTCAGAAATTTCAAGTCCCTGCTCCCCTGGTGGCTACAGAAGTACAGTTGAGAGGCCTTTCAGTATTTCTTAATAGACAGCCACCTTCCCTCTGCCTGGAGTAGATGAGATTCCTGACTCCTGTCTTTCTTCTGAGACTCTGCCCAGGATACCCTAGTTTTGCGGAACTGACACACCCAAATGTCCTGAATGAGTCATAAACTCTTCCCGAAGCTAACATGTGATGAGGAGGGAAGGCTCTTTCTGCCACAGCCTGTGAAATGGTTTCCATTACAGTGTTTCTGCTGAGAGCAGCAATTCTGTCTTTATCCTCTTTCCCATGACTACAGAGCCTCCAACATCTGACTGAGTTGACAGAAGAGTGAGGGGGACACTGGAAAAAGTCCCAGGCTGGAGGCCAGGGGACCTGGAGGCCGATATTGTCATTGCCTCTGACTAGTCCTATGCTCTTGAGCAAGCTGCTCCAGTGTCTGAGTCTCTGGTCTCATTTGGACTAAAAGTCTTGGTCCTTCTTTGTGCTTACAATTTAAAGGATCCCTGCATAGCCAAACGGTACCATTCTTAATGGCATGAACAATATCAGAAAGACTTTAGATAACATTCATTTGGAGATAACTTTGCCATGTGCTTCACTCCCTCTCAACCGGCAATATGGCAGAGTGGTTAAGAGTGTAGAATCTGCATTAAAATTCCAGTTCTGCCTTTTTTGACTGGTTTATCTTGGGCAAGCCGCTTAGCCCCTGTGTCTTATATTCTTCATCTATCCAATGGGGATAATGATAAAGATGATGTTCTCCCCCGAGGGTTTTGATGACTGCTAGTTAGACCAGCACTGACCACTGTTCAGTCCAATGAAAGTACTTGTCTCATGCCCTGCTATTCATTCTTCCTCAATCTCCCGTAGAGAAAGAGACTTCAGCTTTAAACTCAGAGTCTTTATAATAGGCCATCAGCTGTGTGACCTTAGGCAACTCAATTCAACTCTCTGATCTTCAGGATTTTTCAACTTTAAAATAAGGATAACAATAAGAGCAACTTCATGGTGAAGGGGGATAAGGATTAATAAAACAACACATGTAATATTTCTAGGAGAATGCCTGGCATATGGAAAATGTTTGCTCCCTTTAGATGTTATCCTCGTCTTGTGTGAATCTTAAAATTTCTAGCCTGCTTCAGATTTAATTCCATTTTCTTTCTAAGATGTGAGAAAACATAATTTGATATTTCAGGCCAAGTTAAGCTTTTTTATTGAGCTCACACAGTTGTAAATATGTACATTAAAGTATGTCCTCATGAAGAACAAAGGGCATGGATTTTTCCAGCACCCTCCATCCCCCAACTCACAGCCTCAACATCCGCAAATAATTAATGCATAGAGGAAGTTTACGGTTGGCCACCCAAATGCATCTCAAACATTAAATTTAAAAAACTAAAAGGATGAACCCAGAAAACTGCTATAAACTTCAAAGAATCTATTAAGGACTTAGACATATGGTGTTAAAAGATATGTCCAAGATTTATGGCACTGGGCCTACAAAAAAGAATTCTGGATAGGCTTCTGCTATGTGAAATATCAGGAAAGGGTCAGCAGAGGTGAGCTCTGTGTCCCCAACTGCCTGGAGTGACCTCACGAGCAGAATCAGATAGCAGTGGACTTAGCTCAGTTCTTGGCTCCTCCAGATGCAAGCCAAACTTCAATGCTTAGGGCAGCGAGAATGTACTGGACAGAGAGCCGCTAAAGATAGGAGAAGATAGATCAGATATGTTTTGCATTTAGGTCCTTTCTTTTTTTTTTCTACCTGGAACACAGGCAGTGATAATTATGGCCACTAACCATATTGAGCAATTGAGCAATTGCAATGTGTTAGATGGTTTTACATTGAATTTAATTTATACCTCATAACAAACTGTAAAGAATGTACTACCGTTTTCTTCTTCTAGAGGGGAAGAAACTGAGGCTCAACAAGTTTAAGAAAGTTTCTGGGAGACATATAGCACACAAACATAAAACCAGAATTTGAATACACATCTATTTCATGATGGACTACTTTTGTGGAACTGTTAAAGGAAACAAGTAATGGCCGAAATGAATGGTTTAGTCATTGATCTGCTTGAAGGCTGAGCAGCAGATCAAATGGCCTCTTGGACACCCAAGATTTTGGGAGTCTAAGACTCTGCCTTTCTGAATTGCATACCTTATATGTCTACATGAGTCCTTCCAAATAAGCTGCTCAGCACCCCTGGTCCATAGATCCTTTGTAATTATTGCCTCCTCTCAAAAGCACAACATTGATTTTATCCACCTGGAAGTTACTGTCTGCCTGCTTTTAGATAGAGAGCAAATCTCCTCTTTGAACAAATTCATACAAAACTCTCACTATAGTCGGGACCCAGGATATGTTTTAAAATTGATTAGAAGTGTTCCTTGAGCTTTTATTTCCCTTCTGTTTGTGGAGGAAGGAACAGAAATATTTCCAACTTACCTTATACAATAATGACTGTTACAGGTATGACCTCAGACCCAGAGTTTGGGGATGGAATTTTCTGCCTTTGATCTTGGTTTGTACTGTCTCTAAGATGTGACATCTCTTCTACACTGTTGCCACCCAGCATCCATCTGTCATATTCCAAACTGCCAATGTGTGTCACCCAAAACATTAGATGACCTAGTTGTTCTCCCTGCCTAGAGCCTTGCCTCCTCTAATTCACTTCATTTAAAAAGAAAGACATTTATCTTATAAAAGAATACAAGCATACGGAAAAGTACCTAATAATATAGTAAATAACTGTATTGCCTACTGTTAGCAACTTTTAAATTACATATAGATGCATCAATAAAGGCAATATATAGTATTGTTGTAAACACATTTAAACCTGGTTTAAATTTTATCACATTACACAAACCATTAAGTGAGTTTCTTTTTAAAAACTCAACATCATGTTTTAAGAATTAGCTCTGTTAATATATGTAGATAGTTTATTCATTTTTAACTGCTCTATGGAGTACCTTTGTGTGAATATTCCACAATTGAATTAATCCACTCTCTTACTGGTATGCATTATTTGTTGTTATAAACAACACTGCAATAAGCATCCTTGTACACATTTCTTTGTGCATATTTGCACAAGTAACTGTGGAGTACATACCTAGATATAGAATTTCCAGACACATAATATTGTCATATTTATATTTACTAAAGAATATCAAATTTACTTTCTCAACAGCGTTGAATGAGTTTCCATTGCCCTACATTCTTACCAATAATTGGTATTGTCAGATATTTGACAATCTTATGGGTTTGACAAAGGGTTTCGTTTCCTAACTTTGTGTTTGTTAGTGAGGAAAATTAATTCACATTTATTTATTAGATTTTAATTCAAATTTATTAGTGAGAATAATTATCTTTTGTATGCATATTGGCTACTGGGATTTTCTCTCTCGTGATTTGCCTGTTTGTGTCATTGTGATTTTTTTTGTCTTGAATTTTTAATATTTAATCTGTTGATTTGTAGAAATTTTTATCCCTGCATGGTATGTGTACTAATTTTGACACAAAACTTGCAAATAACTTCTTCAAGTCTGTGGTTTATTGTTTACATCTTTTTGGAGATATATTTATCATTTACAAGATTTTTAGCTTTACCATAGTCAAATTTATAAAATTTTGAATGTTTTTATGGTTTGAGCTTTGATGTCTGACTCAATAAATCCTTGCTTCTGACAGTCAAGAAGTTATTTTTCATTTATTTATCATTTATTTCATCTATTTATCATTTTATAAGTTTTAAAGTTTTACTTTTTGTATTGTGATCCTCAGTGTATCTGGAATTTATTTTGATCTAAGGCAGTCTTCTAATTTTGTTTTGTTTCCATATGGAAACCCAATTGCCTTTGTACCAATTATTGAATAGTCTAACATTTCTCTATTTTTTTATAGCAGCATCTCTGATAATGCCAATTTTTTCATTCATGTCCCTGTGAAGAGACCACCAAACAGGCTTTGTGTGAGCAATAAAGCTGTTTATTTCACCTGGGTGCAGGTGGCCTGAGTCTGAAAAGAGAGTCAGTGAAGGGAAATAAGGGTGGGGCCGTTTTATAGGATTTGGGTAGATAAAGGAAAATTACAGTCAAAGGGGGGTTGTTCTCTGGTGGGCAGAGTGGGGGTCACAAGGTGCTCAGTAGGGGAGCTTTTGAGCCAGGATGAGCCAGGAGAAGGAATTTCACAAGACAATGTCATCAGTTAAGGCAGGAACAGGCCATTTTCACTTCTTTTGTGGTAGAATGTCATCAGTTAAGGCAGGAACCAGCCATCTGGATGTGTACATGAAGGTCACAGGGGATATGATGGCTTAGCTTGGGCTCAGAGGCCTGACATTCCTGTCTTCTTATATTAATAAGACAAATAAAATGAAATAGTGGTAAAGTGTTGAGATGGTGAAAATTTTTGGGGGTGGTATGGAGAGATAATGGGCGATGTTTCTCAGGGCTGCTTCGAGCGGGATTAGGGGCGGCGCGGGAACCTAGAGTGGGAGAGATTCAGCTGAAGGAAGATTTTGTGGTAAGGGGTGATATTGTGGGGTTGTTAGAAGAAACATTTGTCCTGTAGAATTATTGGTGATGGCCTGGATATGGTTTTGTATGAATTGAAAAACTAAATGGAATAAGAGAAGGAGAAAAACAGGTATAAAAGGTCTAAGAATTGGGAGGACCTAGGACATCTGATTAGAGAGTGCTTAAGGAGATTCAGCATAGTCCTGCCAGCAAAGATTATTTATTTACTTCAAGAGTTTAGAGTGGCAGTTTGGGGATAGCACTAGGAGATATCAGCTGTGATGGCTTGGAGAAACAGTGTAAACTGGCAGTGTAAACAAGAGCAGGGCATGTATGAGTAGTTGAGAACAGTGAATAGGAATGACTAGACAGAAGATAGTAGGGATGACAAGTTTTTTGGGGCACAGTCCAAGTTGGTCTGGTGTCTGGAATGAGACTGGGGCCTAATAAAAATGAGCGTCTATACAGGAGCTTAAATGGGATGTACCTTGTAGCATTCTGAGGACAGGCCTGAATTCTGAGAAGGGAAAGTGGTAAAAGTATTATCTAGTCCTTTTTAAGTTGGTGGCTGAGCTTGGTGAGGTGTGTTTTAAAAGACTATTAGTCCGTTCTACTTTTCCTGAAGACTGAGGACTGTAAGGGATATAAAGGTTTCACTGGATATTAAGAGCCTGAAAAAATGCTTGGCTGATTTGACTAACAAAGGCCAGTCTTCTATCGGACTGTGTAGAAGTGGGAAGGCCAAACTGAGGAATTATGTCTGACAGCAGGGAAGAAATGACCGTGGTGGCCTTCTTACACCTTGTGGGAAAGGCCTCTACCTATCTAGTGAAAGTGTGTACCTAGACCAAGAGGTATTTTAGTTTCCTGACTCAGGGCATGTTGAGTAAAGTCAATTTGCTAGTCCTGGGCAGGGGCAAACCCTTGAGTTTGATGTGTAGGGAAGGGAGGGGGCCTGAATAATCCTTGAGAAGTAGTAGAATAGCAGATGGAGCACTGAGAAGTTATTTCTTTGAGGATAGATTTCCACGATGGAAAGGAAATCAGAGGTTCTAAGAGGCGGGCTAGTGGCTTGTACTATAGCATAGCCTGCCTTTGCTGGTGTGTGGTGATTAGGCCTGGTGGAACTGCCATCAATAAACTAAGTGTGATCAGGGTGAGGCACAGGAAAGAAGGAAATATGGGGAAATGGGGTGAATGTCAGGTGGATCAGAGGGATACAGTCATGGGGGTCAGGTGTGGTATCAGGTATAATGTGGGAGGCCAGATTGAAGTCCGGGCCAGGAACAATGATAATTGTGGGACTTAACAAAGAGTGAGTACAGCTGAAGGATCCGGGGAGCAGAAAGTATATGCATCAGCTATGAGGAAGAAAATAGATTTTGGAAGTTATGAGAAATGTAGAGAGTGAGTTGAGCATAGTTTGTGATTTTGAGGGCCTCTAAAAGTATTAGGGCAGCAGCAGCCGCTGCACGGAGACATGATGGCTAGGCTAAAACAGTAAGGTCAAGTTGTTTGGACAGAAAGGCTACAGGGTGCGGTCCTGGCTCTTGTGTAAGAATTCTGACCGCACTAACCATGCCTAGGAAGGAAAGGAGTTGTTGTTTTATAAGGGATTGAGGTTTGGGAGATTAATTGGCACAATCAGCAGGGAGAGCACGTGTGTTTTTATGAGAATTATGCCGAGATAGGTAACAGATGAGGATGAAATTTGGGCTTGACTGAAGTAATGGGGGCTGTCTGTGAAGCCTTGTGGCAGTACAGCCCAGGTAATTTGCTGAGCCTAATGGGTGTCAGGGTCAGCCTAAGTGAAAGCAAAGAGAGGCTGGGATGAAGGGTGCAAAGGAATAGTAAAGAAAGCATGTTTGAGATCTAGAACAGAATAATGGGTTGTAGAGGGAGGTATTGAGGATAAGAGAGTATATGGGTTTGGCACCATGGGGTGGATAGGCAAAACAATTTGGTTGATAAGGCACAGATTCTGAACTAACCTGTAAGCCTTGTCTGGTTTTAGGACAGGTAAAATGGGGGAATGGCAAGAAGAGTTTATAGGCTTTAAAAGGCCATGCTGTAACAGGTAAGTGATAACAGGCTTTAATCTTTTCAAAGCATGCTGTGGGATGGGATATTGGGATTGAGCGGGGTAAGAGTGATTAGGTTTTAATGGGATGGTAAGGGGTGCATGATCGGTCACTAAGGAGGGAGTAGAGGTGTCTTATACTTGTGGGTTAAGGTGGGGAGATATAAGGGGAGGATGTGAAGGAGGCTTTGAACTGGGAGAAAAGGCAGCAATGAGGTGTGGCTGTAGCCTAGGAATAGTCAGGGAAGCAGATAATTTAGTTAAAGTGTCTCGGCCTAATAAGGGAACTGGGCAGGTGGGGATAACTAAAAAGGAGTGCTTAAAAGAGTATTGTCTAAGTTGGCACTAGATTTGGGGAGTTTTAAGAGGTTTAGAAGCCTGGCTGTCAATACGCACAACAGTTATGGAAGCAAGGGAAACAGGCCTTTGAAAATAAGGTAATGTGGAGTGAGTAGCTTCCGTATTGATTAAGAAGGGGACGGACTTACCTTCTACTGTGAGAGTTACTTAGAGCATCTGTGATGGTCCTGTAGGCTTCTGAGGCGATCAGGCAGTGTCAGTCTTCAGCTGCTAAGCTGAGAAGATCTGGGAAGGAGTCAGTCAGAGAGCCTTGGGCCACAGTTCCAGGGGCTCTGGAAGTGGCTGCCAGGTGAGTTGAACAGTCTAATTTTCAGTGGGGTCCTGCACAGATGGGACATGGCTTAGGAGGAATCTTGGGCTGTGGGCCTTCCTTGGCCTAGTGGCTAGATTTCCGGCACTTGTAGCAAGCTCCTGGGGGAGGAGGTTCTGGAGGAACCCCTGGCAGCTGTGGTTCAGGTATTTGGAGTTCTTGTTGTGCTGGAGATGTGGCTGGGGTTTGTCTCACCGTGGAGGCAAATAATTGCAACTTAGAAATACGTTGCTACTTGGCTGCCTCTACTCTATTATTGTACACCTTGAAGGTGAGGTTAATTAAGTCCTGTTGTGGGGTTTGAGGGCCAGAATTTAATTTTTGGAGTTTTATTTAATGTCGGGAGCAGATTGGGTAATAAAATGTATATTGAGAATAAGACGGCCTTTTGACCTTTTAGGGTCTAGGGCTGTAAAGCGTCTCAGGGTTGCTGCCGAATAAGCCATGAACTGGGCTGGGTTTTTCATATTTGATGAAACAGCCTAAATGCTCACTGATTTGGGAGAGGTCTGATAAAGAAAAAGGAGCATTAACTTTGACTATGCCTTTAGCTTTAGCCACCTTTTTAAGAGGAAATTGCTGGGCAGGTAGGGGAGGGCTACTCACGGAATTAAACTGTAAACTGGACCGGGTGTGAGGAGAGGAGGTGATAAAAAGATTACAGGGTGGAGGACTGGAGGCTGGGGAAGAATTGGGACCTAGCTTGGCCTGGCGAGGAGCAGCCTGGGGAGGAGGGGAGAGGTCAGATGGGTCTGTAGAAAAGGAAGATTAGAAAGACTCAGCGACGCTTGGGGTTGGGACAGAGGGGACAGGCGGGAGGGAAAGAAGGAAGATTTGGGATGAGTTGCACTGGGCACAGAGACTAGGAAGGGACTGATGTGTAAAAGAATGCCTGGACGTCAGGCACCTCAGACCGTTTGCCTATTTTACCACAAGAATTCTTTAGATCTTGCAGGATGGAAAAATTGAAAGTGCCGTTTTCTGGCTATTTGGAACTACTGTGAGTTTGTATTGGGGTCAAGCAGCATTGCAGAAGAAAATAAGACGCTTAGATTTTAGGTCAGGTGAGAGCTGAATAGGTTTTAAGTTCTTAAGAACACAGGCTAAGGGAGAAGGAGGAGGAATGGAGGGTGGAAGTTTGCCTATAGTGAAGGAGGCAAGCCTAGAAAAAAGAGAGAGTAGAGACACAGAGGGAAGGGGTTTGGGAGTTCTTACCTTCCAGAAAAGCAGAAAAGGGGTCAAGGCACAGAAATAAGGGGTTGGGGCACGGAGATAAGAGGTCGGGGTGTGGAAATAAGGGATGGGGGCACAGAGATAAGAGGTCGGGGTACTTGCCCCTCCTTTAGAAAAGCGGGACTTGCCGCTAAGGGTGAAAGAGAAGGGGTTGAGGGGTTCTTGCCTCTCCTTCAGAAAAGCAGAGAAGGGGTAGAGACACGGAGAGAAGGGGTTGGGGTACTTGCCCCTCCCCAAGAAAAGCAGGACTTGCTGCTAAGGGTGAAGGACCAAGGCAGGCATCCTTGCATGGTATGACACCTCTGAAACATGAGTGAATAATCAGAGGTGTCCCTGCAATGATTAAACACCAAGGGAAGGCTGCCTTCCCAGTCTGTGACAGGCGCTGGAGTTTTGGGTCCACGGATAAAATGTCTCCTTTGTCTCTACCAGAAAATGAAAGGAATTGAAATTAAGAGAAGGGAGAGGTTGAAGTGTGGCGCCAAGATTGAAAGGAGAACGAGGTTGAGGGATAGTGAGGGAGGTTGAAGAAGAGAGTAAAAATAGGCTGCTTACTGGATTTGAAATTGGTGAGATGTTTCTTGGGCTGGTCGGTCTGAGGACCTGAGGTCATAGGTGGACCTTTCTCATGGAGCAAAGAGCAGGAGGACAGGGGATTGATCTCCCAAGGGAGGTACCCTGATCCGAGTCATGGCACCAAATTTCACTTGCATCCATGGAAGAGACCACCAAACAGGCTTTGTGTGAGCAATAAAGCTGTTTATTTCACCTGGGTGCAGCTGGGCTGAGTCCGAAAAGAGGGTCAGCCAAGGGAGATAAGGGTGGGGACGTTTTATAGGATTTGGGTAAATAAAGGAAAATTACAGTCAAAGCGGGGTTGTTCTCTGGTGGCCAGAGTGGGGGTCACAAGATACTCAGTAGGGGAGCTTTCCAGCCAGGATGAGCCAGGAGAAGGAATTTCACAAGACAATGTCATCAGTTAAGGCAGGAACAGGCCATTTTCACTTCTTTTGTGGTGGAATGTCATCATTTAAGGCAGGAACCAACCATCTGGATGTGTACATGAAAGTCACAGTGGATATGATGGCTTAGCTTGGGCTCAGAGGCCTGACAAATTTTCCATGGATTTGTTTCAAGGTGCTTGACTGTATTGTATTGATCTGTTTGTCTCTTCTTTATATAAATAACATTGTGTTACATACAGTGTTAGAATAACGCTTGTATGTGGTCTTGTATGCTTTATTCCCTTCCTTCAAAGCTTTATTTCTTTATTCTTTCTTATGAAGAGTATAAATACTGGCTGGTCCATTTTAATGAAAACCTTATTATAATTAACTAAAATTGCAACAAATATGTAGATTATTTTGGTGGCAGAACAGGAACCTCTTTAATAATAAGTCTTCTGTTCCATAAATGTTTATTCAGGCTTTCTTCTATGTCTTTAAAGAGATTCTTAAAATTTTCTTCTAAAAGTTTATTTATTTTTTTGCTAGAATTATTCATAGGAGCCTGAAGTTTTTCTTGCTATTGTAAAAGTATCTTCAATTTCCATTACACTTTATAATTGGTATGGCTGAATTCTAGAATGAAAATAAATTTGCGTTGATCTAATAACTTGCTGAATTCTGTTATCTTTTGTAATATTTTATCCGTATTTTTTTAAGAGTTTCTAATCATATTGTTTGCAAGTGAATGTCATTGTATCTCTTTTTATCTATTTAAAAAATATTGTGTTTATTTTTCTTATTGCATTGGCCAGGGCTTATGTACAATTTTGAATGGTAGGAGTGATAGCGGGCATTTTTGGCTTTTTCCAGATTTTCAAGGGAATGTTTCTAATGTTCCATCATTATAGAGGCCACATAGCACACTGGTTAAAAATGCAAGATCAAGGAGGTTTGAATTTAGGCTCTGTCAGTTAAAAGTTGTGTGATTTGGGCCAGATAACTTAACCCCTCTGTGTTCGTGTTTTTCCATTAGTGAAATGAAAATAAACAAAAGCAACAACAACAATAATATTTATATCAGAAGAATGTTGTGAGGATTAAACATATATGTGTGTATATATACACATACATATATTAATATATGTATGTATGTATGCATATATATTTGTGTACTTAGAACAGTGCCTAGTACAAATTTAATGCTCAATAAGTATTTAATAATGATAAAAAGTGATATTTACTGAATACTTTTTATAAAGATTCCTTATATGTTTGAGGAAATTTCTTCATATTCCTACTTTTCCTAAAGTTGTCTTTATAGTTGAGAGTTAAATTGTATCAAATGCTTCTTCTTCACCTAATAAGATAAATGATATGCTTTTTTGTTAGTGTTCTAAAATGGTGGTTAATTTTAACAGATTTTCTGCCACTGAACTATATTTGCATTCTTGGGCTATCATTCATTGTTACTGTTGATGTTATTGGTACACTATATATTTGAAATTATTATTTTGCTTTCCATTTATAAGTGAGATTGGGCTTTTTTTTATTTTTGTACTGCCTTTTTACATTTTGAACAAGAAAAGGATTGTTTGTTCTTTGGTGATTAGTAAAATGTGACTGTATGAATTTATCTGGGTATTGTTTCTTTTTGGTATGAAAACTGCTTATCAATTAAAATTATCTGATATCTAATTTTGTGTAGGATTTTTGTTTGTATTGATGTCAATATTGATTGTTTCTATGGTTTCCATAAAGTATTTTATTTATGCTACATTTTCAAGTTTGCATATTTGGAAAAGCTATGAAATCTACAAATTGAAAAATCTACAAAAAATAGCATGAAAGTTGGTTTAATTTATAATGATTTAAAAAATTCTCTACTATAGCCCTAATTGTGGTCCCACTTTGTTACTATAGTTTAATTTGTGATCTCTTTTTTTTTTTGTTTTTGTTTAATAATCTCTTTTGCTTCTTTGTTTTCTTGTACATTAATATCAGTTGTTTACCTGTTTCTGTCAGAGGCATTTGAACCAGAACGACTCCATCTTGAGTAGGGGCTGGTAAAATAAGGCTGAGATCTGCTGAGCTGCATTCCCAGTAAATTAGGCATTCAAAGTCACAGGATGTGTTAGGAAGTCTGCACAAGATACTGGTCATAAAGACTTTGCTGGTAAAACAGTTTGCAGTAAAGAAGCCGGCCAAAATTACCAAAACCAAGATGGTGAGAGTGACCTCTGGTTGTTGTTATGGCTCATTGTAAGCTAATTGTAATGCACTAGCATGGTAGAAGGCACTCTCAGGAGCAGCATGACAGTTTTCAAATGCCATGGCAATGTCAGGAAGCTACCCTATAAGGTCTGAAAAGGGAAGGAGCCCTCAGCTCCTAGAATTCCCCAGCTCTTTCCAGGAAAACTCATGAATAATAACCCTTGTTAAGCATATAATCAAGAAATAACCATAAAAATGGGCAACCAGTGGCTGATGCCACTGCTCTGCCTGTGGAGTAACCATTCTTTTATTTCTTTACTTTCTCAATACATTTGCTTTCACTTTATGGACTTACCTTGAATTCTTTCTTGAGCAAGATCCAGGAACCCTCTTTCGGGGTCTGGATCGGGATCCCTTTCCAGTAACATTTCCCATTCTTTTAATTTTTATTGTTTTATTACCTTTACTTTCTTGAGTTGAATGCTGAACTTATTTTCAATCTTGCTTTTTTTTAAAAAAAAAACTAATAAATGTTTTTTAAGGAATACATTTTCTCCTGTTGACAAAAAGCATCAAACTCCGTAAAATATTTGAAGAGATTTATTCTGAACCAAATATGTGTGACCAATGGCCAGTGATATAGCCCTCAGGAGATCCTGAGAACATGTGCCCAAAATGATGGGCTACAGCTTGGTTTTATACATTTTAGGGTGACAGGAGACATCAATTAATACATGTGAGGTGTACGCTGGTTTGGTCCAGAAAGGTCCAGACAACCGGAAGTGGAGGCTTCCAAGTCCTAGGCAGATTCAAAGATATTCTGATTGGCAATTGACTGAAAGGGTTATTATCAATAGGAAGGAAAGTCTGTGTTGTGGTAATAAGGGGTTGTGGAGACCAAGGTTTTATCAGACAGATGAAGCCTCCAGGTAGCAGCCTTCAGAGAGAATAGATTGTAAATGTTGCTTGTCAGACTTAAAGAGTCTGCTCTATCAGTAATTCCAAAAGGGAGGAGGGTATAATGAGGCGTGTCTGGCTCCCCTTTCCCATTATGAATTGAAACTAGTTTTTCAGGCTAACTTTAGAATGTCCTTGGCCCAGAAGGGTCCATTTAGATGGTTGGGGAGGTGGGGTGGGCCTTAGAATTGTAAACCAAAAATAAAATTCTAAGGCCCCTCCCAACCAACTAAATGGACTTCCTTTTTAGTCAGGGTTCTTAAAATTTAACCTGAAAGACTGGTTTAGGCCATGAAAGGAAGTGGGGGTCAGACATGCCTCATTAATACCTCTCTGGCATTAACAACAACACAGACTTCAAGTCTGATAAGAAACATTTTACAGCCTGTTCTCTCTGAAGCCTGCTAGCTAAAAGCTTCATCTGCATGATAAAATTTTGGTCTCCACAACCTCTTATTGCAACCCAAACATTTCTTTCTATTAATCCCAGGTCTTAAGACAAACTCAACCAATTGTCAACTGTCAGCCAGAAAATGTTTAAATTTACCTATAGCTTGGAACCTACCCCCCTCCCCAACAGCCCCCTGCTTTGAGTTAACCAAACCAAATATTTCTTAAATGTGCTTGATTGATGTCTCATGACTCCCTAAAATGTATAAAACCAAGCTGCACCCCAACCACCTTGGGCACATGTTGTCAGGACTTCCTGAGGCTGTGTCACAGGTGTGCATTGCATCCTTAACCTTGGCAAAATAAACTTTCTAAATAAACTGGGACCTGTCTTACATGTTCTGGGTCTAGAGATTTTTATTTTTGGTTTACACTGGGTCTACAGAATTTTATTTTTAGTTTACACTTCTAATAAACTTTAGAAGTTTTTTTGGCAACTCAGAACTTTTGATATTTAGGAGTTTACTTTTACTTTTCCAAATATATATTTTAAAATCTATATCTTTTATTGTTGATTTTGCATTTAACTGTTTGTAGTTCAGAAGGACGTTGGCATAATTTCCTATTGTAACGAGTGGCAATAAAAGCAACATAAAGGAATTATGTTCTCTAAATATATCATGTGATGTATAATAAATAGTATATTAAAAACCCATAATTAAATCCAATTTCTCTGGTCTTCTCATGTCACATTAGTCACGTTTACAAAGGCAAAATCTTAAAGTATTAGCATTTGCTTGCCCTTTGGTGTTCTTAAACAGCAGAGCCCCCAAACAAAAGCCTATCCAGTGAAGACTCTTATTTTGCTAAACATCCAAGCACTTCATTTTCTGAGTGAGAGATGATTTATCCGCTCCACAACATCAGTCATTTGAACCTCAGTGCACAGTGTGTGAACCAGTGGCACTTTTAAAGAATAACTTTGAAGAATAACACACATGCAAAAAAGTGCACAGATATGTCTATAGCTCAAAGAATTTTCTGGAAGTAAGCACACTATGTGGCCTGCTTACAAATGAAGAAACAGAATATAAACAGCCCTCTCATGCTTCTTCCAGTGATAACTCCACCATCACCTGGGGTAACCTCTACCTTGAGTTATAGCAACACATATGCACTCTTCCTGTTATTGAACTAGATGCTCTTTTGTGTCTGTCTTCTTTGGCTCATCATTATGTTTATGGAATTCACCAATATTATTGCATTGTTATGTAGTATTGCCTTGTAAGAATATACCACAATTTATCCATTCTCCCTTTGGTGGACAGTGGACCAGGTTTCCAGTTTTGGGTTATTATGGATAATGCTACTACAAATATTGTTGTTATATTTTTGGATGAATATGTGTATGCGTTTTTGGGGGGTTGTATACATCTATAAGTGGAATTGCTGGGTCATGGGATATGCATATGTATGTTTAATTTTAGTAGATATGTGCAAAAAGTATTCCAAAGTGGTTAAATTGATACAATTTATTGAAAGTTCTGGTTGTTCTGTGTCTTTGTCAACACTTTGTATTTTCTGTCTTCAGTTTTATTCTGTACTTCAGTAGGTATGCAGTGATATTGCATTGGTATTTGATATTGGAAGTTACCTAATGACTGATGAGGTTGAGCATTCTTTCCTGTGCTATTGATCATTTGTGACTCAGTGTTTTGAAGAAATTTTTAGTCTTTTCTTCATTTTTCTATTGTGGGTGTCACTGACTCAGGCCAGTGTGTTGGATGGTAAAAGAATGTACCAAGACACTTGTGGGGAAAGAAAGGCAGATTTATTAAAGAAAATACAAAGATATATTGCAAGGTGCAATGGGCAGCACAGCAGAGAAGGGGCTGTCTGCAAAGATGTAGGCACTGCGGGGAAGTTTTATAGGGCCATAGTGGAAGGGGCTATGTGTGGAACGAGATAATTGGGAAGAGGATGTTGTGCCAAGGAGTTGTCTGTGATTAGCCATCTCTCAGAAAAATGATTCTCCCCCACCCTGGGAGCCCTTTTTCATTGTTGCTGACTTACCAGGACTCCATATTTTCTATGGGTTTATCATTTCTTCTTGATGTGTATAAATCTTTTACATATTTTTTTGATACATATCTTCTGTCAGATACAAGTATTGTAAATTTTTCATCCTAAATCTCGTTTTCAGTTTTTAATTTTTTTAGTAAACAGATGCTCTTAAACATAATATAGTCTAATTTATCATATTATTATTATTTTATAGCTGTTATTTTTAATGTCATCTTTAAGATGTTTTTGCCTACTGCAGGTTACTGAATATGTTGTCTTTTGTCCTACAAATTTTATCATTTTGCAGGTACAAAATATGTTTATCTTAATCTAACTGGAATTGATACTTGTGTATGGTGTCTTATGGGGTCAAGATCTATTTTTTTTCTCTGTATTTTATTTTACTTTTGCCATGTGGATATTTAGTTGTCACAGCACCATTTATTAATAAGGCATTCTTTCTTTTTCTGCACTATCATCTCACCTAATTTTACCACCAATCTGGTAACCACTATTCTACTTACTATTAGGTTGGTGCAAGTGTAATTACTTCTAATGGCAAAAACATACAGTAGGCAAAAATATCTTAAAGATAACATTAAAAGTAACAACTACAACAATTATAACATTAAAAGTAATGACAAAAACTGCAATTACATTTGCACCAACCTAATACCTCCATGAGATCAATTTTTTTTAGCTTCCATATGTGAGTGAGAACATGCCATATTTGTCTTTCTGTGCCTGGCTTACTTATTTTACTTAACATAATATCCTCCAGTTCCATCCATGTTGCTGCAAATGGCAGGATTTTATTCTTTTTATGGCTGAATAATATTCCATTGCGCATATATATATATATATATATATATATATATATCACATTTTCTTTATCCCTTCATTCTGTTTCTGTATGTATTTTTTATTTTTTAATTTTTGTGGGTAAATAGTAGGTATATATATTTATGGGGTGCTTGAAACATTTTGATATAGGCATGAAATGTGAAATAAGCACAGCATGGAGAATGAGGTATCTGTCTCCTCAAGGATTTATCCTTTGAATTACAAACAAACCAATTATACTCTTTAAGTTATTTAAAAATATATGGTTAAGTTATTATTGACTATAGTTATCCTATTGTGTTATTAAAAAATGTCTTATACATTCTTCTATTTTATTTTTGCACACATTAACCATCCCCACCTCCCCCACTGTACTTCTTAATGCTTCTTTTTATTTTTTTTTTAAATTTTGAGACAGAGTTTCCCTCTTGTCACTCAGGCTGGAGTGCAATGGTGCGATCTCAGCTCACTGCAGCTTCTGCTTCCTGGGTTCAAGTGATTCCCCTGCCTCCACCTCCTGAGTGGCTGGGATTACAAGTGCATACCACCACGCCCGGCTAATTTTTTTTTTTAAGTAAAGATGGGGTTTTGCCATGTTGGCCAGGCTGGTCTTGAACTCCAGACCTCGGGCAATCCACCTCCTTGGCCTCCCACACTGCTGGGATTATAGGTGTGAGCCACTGCGCCTGGCCAATGTTTCATTTTTAAAATTATCTTAATTACTATGGCTTTAGAATAGATTATGTAAATGCTCTTTTTCAAACAGAAAGTATCCGTATGTATTTCAGAATAAGCGGAAGCATTACATTTGAATCACATTTTCTTTATGCAAGTGAGAGAATTATTGGAATGCTTAGGCAGTGTTATAACCTGGGAACAAGAAACTAGTTTAAAGTAATCAAATTGTCAGTGACTAAGAAGTCAAAAGTCAGTGAAAAACATGCACATGCACTAACGTGTTAGAAGTGCCCATTTTGAAAATCAAACGTGTGACTGACTATTCGATCATCAATATAAGATAATACTCAGTTGACGTTTTAAATATTTTATCTTTGCTTATGGAATTTTTTTTACTGAATTTTTAAAAACTCAGCCTCATCGATAACTTTCAATAACTATGTTTGATTCATTACACTTATTGTGTTTTATTGATGTATTTGGAAATTCTACTTTGGGGGCTGTGTGTGTGTTCTCCATCTTACAGATTTTAGAGAGATTGTCAAATTTTTTCATATCCCATTGTTCCCTAAAATGATTTAAAAGACCTCAATTGTAGTTTCATTTGTTTTAGGACACAGTCTTAGATTTTAACATACATACTTATCTATTATATTTGTTAATAAAGTCTTAGGTTAGTGGATATTTCTATACTCTTTCTGAAAATGACATGCATCTTACAACCAGTTGGACTTTTAAGATAGTCTAGGCCAGGTGTCAGTTGTGATACAGCAGTCATATCTCAAATAATGCCCAGTTTTTGAGTGCTTCTTTTTTTTTTTTTTTTTTTTTTTGAGATGAAGTCTTGTTCTGTTGCCCAGGCTGGAGTGCAGTGGCATGATCTCGGCTCACTGCAACCTCTGCCTCCCGGGTTCAAGCCGTTCTTTTGCCTCAGCTTCCCAAGTAGCTGGGACTTCAGGCACCTGCCACCACGACTGGCTAATTTTTTTTTTTTTTTGTATTTTTAGTGGAGACGGGGGTTTCACCATGTTGGCCAGGCTGGTATCGAACACTTGACCTTGTGATCTGCCAGCCTCAACCTCCCAAAGTGCTGGGATTACAGGCGTGAGCCACTGCACCTGGCCTTGAGTGCTCCTTATCTCCATAATCATGTTTCTGCTGGTTAGAATTTTAGAAAAGTAGTCTTTTTGTCTTTTCGGTTGAGTGATTTATCTACCAATTTTTATCATTTTATGTGCTCATTATTGTATTCTACATCTCAGTCACTACTTTTTTATTCTTCAGAATTTCTGAACTCTGCTATGTGTCTAAAATATGTTTTATGTTTTGTGTCCTTCAAAGTGCATGTGTTGGAAACTTAATCCCCAATGCAATCATACTGGGAGGTGGGGCTGATGGCAGGTGTTTAGGTCGTGAAGGCACCACTCTCATGAATGGATTAATGCTGATTGCTAAAGAGCTTGAGGCTACAAGTTCGATCTCTTGTTCTGTCTTGCCCTTCCACCTTTATCGTGGAATAATACAGCAAGAAGGCTCTTGCTAGGTGCTGACTTTTCAATCTTGGACTTCCAAACTTCCAGAACCATGGGCCAATAAGTTTATATTCGTTATAAATTACTCAGGCTGTGGGTGTTCTGTTATAGCAGCACAAAATGGACAAAGACAATGTCTAAGTGTGGGTTTAGTTTTCTTTTTTCTGATCACTAATTAATGTTCATTTTCTTTTTCTTTTTTTTTTGTTTTGTTCATTCAGAGTCTTGCTCTGTTGCCCAGGCTAGAGTGCAGTGGAAAGCTATCTCAGTTCACTGCAACCTGCGCCTCCTGGATTCAAGCGATTCTTGTATCTCAGACTCCCAAGTATCTGGGATTACAGGTGTGTGCCACCACACCCAGCTAATTTTCCCTATTTTTAGTAGAGACAGAGTTTTGCCATGTTGCTCAGGCTGGTCTTGAACTCCTGAGCTCAGGTGCTCCACCTGCCTCGGCCTCCCAAAATACTAGGATTACAGGTGTGAGCCACTGTACCCAGCCCAATGTTCATTTTCAATCAGGTGACCGCCATTCTACTCACTACTTTAATGAGATCATTTTTTTTAGCTCTCACATGTGAGTGAGAACATGTGATATTTGTCTTTCTGTGCCTGGATTACTTATTTCACTTAACATAAAGTCCTCCAGTTCCATCCATGTTGCTGCAAATGGCAGGATTTTATTCTTTTTATGGCTAAATAATATTCCATTGTGCATATATACCACATTTTCTTTATCCATTCATCCACTGATGGACACTTAGGTTATTTTCATTTCTTGGCTATTATGGATAGTGCTTCAATGAACATGGGAGTACAGATGTCTCTTTGATATACTGATTTTCTTTCTTTTCATATATACCCAGCAGTGGAATTGTTGGATTATGTGGTAGTTCTATTTTTAAGTTTTTGAGGAACCTCTAAACTGTTTTTTTTTACCCTAATTTACATTTCCACCATCGGCGTTTGAGCATTCCTATTTCTCTACATCCTTGCCAGCATCTGTTATTTTCTGTCTTTTTGATAGTAGCCATTTTAACTGAGGTAAGATGATCTCATTGTGGTTTTGATTTGCATTTCCCTGATGATTAGTGATGTTGAGCATTTTTTCATATAGAGGTTGGCCATTTGTATGTTTTCTTTTGAGAAATAACTACAGATCTTTTGCTTATTTATAATTGGATTATAAAGGGTTTGTTTTTGCTATTCAATTATTTGAGTTTCTATATTCTGGCTATTAATCCATCAGAGAGATAGTTTGCAAATATTTTCTCCCATTCCATAGGTTGTCTCTTTACTTTGTTGATTGTTTTCTTTGCTGTGCAGAAGCTTTCACTTGCTACAATCGCATTTGTTAATTTTTTCTTTTCAAACCCACAGCTAATACAATACTAAATTAAAAAGAAAAATTGAAGGCTTTTCTCATAAGATCTAGAACAAGAAAAGGATGATTATTTTTATCACTTTTATGCAACATAGTACTAGAAGTCCCATCTGGAGCAATTAGATAAGAGAAATAAATAAAAGCTATCCAATTTGAAAAGGAAAAAAGGCAAATTGCCCTTGTTTGCAGATGACATTATCTAATATTCAGAAAAACTTAAGACTCCACCAAAGAACTGTTGTAACTCAAAAGCAAATTTAGTAAAGTTGCAGGATAGAAAATCAACATACAAAAATCAGTAGCAGTAGCATTTCTATATACCAACAGCAAACAATCTGAAAAAAAAAAAAAAAATCAAGGAAGCAATTTTATACCTAAGTATAAAAATAAAATACGTAGGAAAAAATATAGCTAAAGAAGTGAAGATTTCTACAATGAAAACTATAAAACATTTACAAAATAAATTGAAGAGGACACAAAGAAAATGGAAAAGTATTTCATGTTTATGAATAAGAAGAATTAATATTGTTAAAATGTTCACACTTTTAAATGATAAACAGATTCAATGCAGCCTCTATCAAAATATCAATGACAGAAATAGAAAAAACAATCTTAAATCTCATTTGGAGCCAGAAGACCCTGGATAGTCAATACAATCCTGAATGACAAGAACAAAGCTGGAGGCATCACTGTACCTGACTTCAAAATATACTGCAAAACTATAGTAATCAAAACAGCATGGTACTGGCATAAAAACAGATACCAATGGAACAAAATATAGAGATCCCTGGAATAAACCCATGCATTTACAGGCAATTCATTTTTGACAAAGGAGCCACAAACATACACTGGGGGAAAGGACAACCTCTTCAATAAAGGGTGATAGGAAAACTGAATATCCATATGCAGACGAATGAAACTAGAATTATTGAAACTCTCTCACCATATAAAAATCAACTCAAAAAGAATGAAAGACTTAAATGTAAGACCTGAAACTATAAAATGACTAGAAGAAAACACTGGAGAAATACTCGGGACATTTGTCTGGGCATAGAATTTTTTGAGTAAGACCTCAAAAGCACAGGCAATTATTTTACTCATTTTGGTTCACAATTTCCTGTTTTTTATGATCTCTGAAAATTGCAGCCCTACCTACTAAAAATCTTTTATTAGATTAGAAATTTGTTTTTGTTTGTAGTTGATTTATTGTTGATTATTAGTTGATTATAGTTGATTATTGTTTTTATCTTGATTTTTATGATTGTGATCTATTTTTTATGTTTATTGGGTTTTGGTTTTGCTGTTTGGATGTTGGGCTTTCATTTTCAGGATAGCTCTATCACATATTTCGTAATTTTGTTTTGTAGAATTATCTTATATTGAAGGAATGTTGTTTTGTGCTAATACATTTTCTCTTTCTTTAGAGCATATGTGATGTTTTCGTCCAATGGCCCCTGGATCTGCTATCCACAGTTGTGTTTTATGTCAACTGTTTGAGATTCCTTCTCCATGGACATAATGAGGCTGTTTTGATACCATTACTCAAGGGAGCATATAGCTTGGTTCAGCTTGACTTTTGACTGCAAGGCTGGGTTTGCATATACTGCCTTTTTTGTCAGGTGGCTGTAGCCCTAGACAGCCTCTTATTAACGGGGGATTTCCAGTCTCGCTTATTAACAGGGGATCTCAATCTCCCTCTTAATCCTCAGCAGGGAGCCTGACTGCAGTCTACAGCTTCAGCTTCATGTTGGCTGAACTTTTTCTCTGTTCTTCCCATAGAAGTAGAAAACCTGGATGCCTCTTCCTGTGTGGACTAGGAGCCCAGAAGCCTGTAGCTTCAGCCCATTTTACCTTTTACTTATTCTATTTCTCATCCACAGAGATGTTGCATATTTGAAGCCAGCTATGCATTTGAATGTTCTCTTTGGAACTGTTATCCGTTATCATTGTGAGTTTGGAGCAATGCCACTTGCCTGGATTTCTTCCTTTGTTTCCTACCTGGCAAACCTAATGGTATTCCCTAAACTCCAAATATCTGCACATCATTTCCCTGTTTATAACATTTCATTCTATCCCAATTGAACTTCGAACAAGTGTAAATGCATTACCAGACCTTTGAAGACCTTTAATCACAGGGCCTTTGCTCCTATTTATATGAAGCTGCTTTCAGTTTCCCGAATGCATTGCACTTCCTTCAACCACAAGGCCTTCACATGGGCTCTTTCTCCATCTGATAAACTCTCACTTCTCTGTCTTGTTTGTACTTAGTCTTCCTGATCTTTCTCATCTCCATTTAATGTCACTTCCTTCCCTTTTCTTCACTCCACGGACTTTCCTTCCTCCACTCCCACTTCCCATGTGATAACACTTGTCCCATTTCCTTGTAACCACTTTTTAATCACTCTTTCCTCATAGACTGAAGCTTTTTGTGAATAGAGAACATGTCTTGCTCATTCAATTCTTAATCACTGCACCTAGCATATCATAGACACCCAGTAAATATTACAGAATAAATAAATTAATGAAGAGGCAATTTACTCCTTCATCTTAGTTCTTCCTTGCTGTCCAGACATAGTCCTGACTTGCATGTGACATGGGGGAACAAACTGTTCTATCTGTACCACCAGTTAACTAAGGAGTCCTTCAGGCTCAGCTATGAATTCCATCAGGAAAATTCTGAGCTTTTTGGAGTAATGGAGGGAGAGGTGATGGGATTCTGTTGTGGAACTGAGAGGGTCCAGTGGAAGTGAGTCAGAATGTTCAGTGTTCTGCAACAAAGACTTCCCTTCACTACCCCTTCAAGCATCACACAGACTCTCCAGGTCTGGGGTGGCTTGTGGTCCCATGTGGTTATTACATGCACCTCTACGTACTGAATTTGTTGATCCTTGCAGACTAGCAGTGCAAGAGCTGATCTGAACTCAGGGGCCCTGGAGAAGCAAAGTCACTCCTCCCCATTCTGAAGCAGCTGTGGTTCCTTACATTTGGACACAGGCCTGAGACCTTGGCTACAGTGAGCTAGTGCTGGGGAATCTACTTATTGATCACCGGAGCAGCTGCTAAGCCTGGCTTTCAAGAACATCCCTCAGAGGGTGCTTTCACTGTGCCAAAATCTTTCATTCATTTTCCTCTACCATTTTAACATGCAATTTAGTTAAAACACTTTCCTTTCATGTGTGTGCCAAGATGGTGACTTCATAAAGGTCAGGAAATGAGGAAGCAAGAACTTCCTTGAAAGATTTAAAATAAATTATTTTTAGTAATAATAAATGACAAATTGGGAGATTTAAGACAAAGATTCCTGGTAGTTGAATGCGCTGAAATCTATGATGTTTGGGGATTGTTAACAATCTTCTTCCAGGATTTGATCGGTTTTGTACTTGTATTTTCTCAATCTACTATTCTTTACTTGCTCTCCTTCCTTTAGAATGGACAAATTTTTGTAAACTTTTAAGTTTTCTCTTTCCTTGAGGTAGTAAATTGGAGTTGAGCTACACAGGTTCCTCTTTCCTGATATCCCCTTTCTGCTATTTGATGTGAGATGGCTCTTGAGGCTAAAAGTGCAGTGAGGGAAAGAGAGTCACATTAGCAGAGCTATCCAGAATATCCTCTGGTTATTTTGGAGCCTATTTGTAAAATAAGCAGGGAAGTGTTTGGGGAAGAGTGTTGGCTTAGGTAGGAAAGAAACCCTCCTTGGTCTTTGCCCTGCTGTTTACCAGCCACGCGGCCTTGGGTAAGTCATTCAAGAAATGTAAGCCTACTAACTGTCAAAGCCTCAGTTCCTTTTACTTGTAAATGAGAGAGTTGAATTAAGTCAAAGTAGTCAGTTCAACGGCTTGCAAAGAATAAGGGAATTTAAGAAAGCAGAGAAGTTTCAGGGACCATGGAGAACAAATCGTGTGTAGCTAATATGTAACTCCAGAGGATGGTTACTGTACAAAAAAAGCAGATCAGGCATTGTCAGCACATCTGATTATTTCAAGGGAACCCCAGATCTGGATTTTTATGTGAAATATTCTAATTTCACATATAATTAGCAACTCATTAAGAAAAAAACTAAAAATGTCCTGCTTAGGGCAAAGGAGACATATCTGTGGGCTCATCACTGCCTGTGGACAATCTGTTTGCAACCTTGGGAATAGATGACCTCTGACACCAGATTAATCATCTGCCTTCAAAATTGACTAACTTCACTGGACCCAGTCCCAGGTGGAGAGTCTGAAAGCCTAGAAATTGCTGCAGCAGCATCAACTTCCTGTTGGAAGCTGGGGAGGCAAAGTCTTACCCTGAGAAAGGGCTGGATTTCTCTTAAAATTTTGAAAGGCCAAAGGTGGTGTCAGCATTTTTGTGATATGGCAGGAATAATACTGTGCAGTGGATAGGGAGCTCTGAATTCTTACCTTGGGTGTGCTAAAAACCTAGCCTGGACTTGGTTACATCCCCTCCTTTCTCCGGTGTTCTCTTGGTGGGTTTATAATTTTAGATTAAATCAGTATTTCTCAAACTTCAATGATTGGTGTATTACAGTGTGGTAGCCAGTCTCTGAGATGATTCTTATTCCTTGTTTTTGCTTCCTTGTGAAGTTCCCTCCCATATGGAATAGGAGTGATTTATGCAACTAATTAGAGATTGCAGAAGTGAGTGTGTGACTTCTCAGGATGTGTCATAACAGATATTGCCATTTTCACCTTGATCTCTCAGATCACTTGCTCTGGAAGTACACTAGCTGCTATGTCATGAGGACACTTAAGCAACACTGTGGAGAGGTCCACATGGTAAGGAACAGCCAGCACCAACTCACAGGTGAATGAACCACCTTGGAAGCAGATCCTCCAGCCCCAGTCAAGCCTTCAGATGACTGCTGTTGCAGCTCACATTTTGACTGCAACCTCATGAGGGACTTTGAGCCAGAATCATCCCCAATTCCTAACCTACAAAAACTGAGAGATAAAAACATTTATCACTGCTTAGGCAACCAAGTTTTGCATTATTTTATTATGCAGCAATAGATAACTAATACAAAATCATGATTATTGCTATATTGGCCTACCATTGATAATGTTACACATTAATGCATGTCAATGCATTTAAATGGTTTATTCTTTCAATTTAAATAGATTTATTTTAAGAGGAAAAGTTTTATGTTGTAAATAAAAAATAAGCATCACTAGCCACAAAATAAAAATAACTCAGAATTTAATTTCCTTTTCCTGTGACTCATTTTTTATTTTTATGTTTTAAAATAAATTTTATTGCATGTATTTAAGGTATACAACATGGTGTTATGGAATACATATAGATAGCAAAAAGGTTACTACAGTAAGGTAAATTAACACATCCATCATCTTACACAGTTATCTTTTTTTTGTTTTTGTTTTTGTGTCAAGAGCAGCTAAAATCTACTCATTTAGCATGAATTCCCAATATAGTACAATTTTATTACCTATAGGCCCACGTTGTACGTTAAATCTCTAAAGTTATTTATCCTACATATTTGTTACTTTCTCTCCTTTGACCTACATTTTCCTACTTCTTCCTTTTCTATCTCCTCCTTTGCCCCAGTAACCACTGTTTTGTTCTCTAACTCTGTATATTTGATTGTTTTTAAAAGATTCCACATATAAATGAGATCATGCAATAATTTTCTTTATTTTTCTGTCTATGTCTGGCTTATTTCACTAAGCTTAATGTCCTCCAGACACATTCATGTTGTGGTAAATGGTAAGATCTTGTTCTTTATTGGGCTGAATAATATTCCCTTGTATACATATACCACATTTTTGTATCCATTCATTCATCAATGGACACTTAGGTTGTTTCCATATCTTGGCTATTGTGAATAATGCTGCAATGAACATGGAAGTGCGGATATCTTTATGAGGTGTTGATTTCATTTCCTTTGGGTATATGCCCAGGAGAAAGATTGCATTGCTGGGTCATATGGTAGTTCTATTTTTAATCCCTTTAGAAATATCCATACTGTTTTTCATAATGGCTATCCCAATCTTCTCCAATCTAAATTCCATTTAGATAATGTTGCCTGCAGAAGACTCTGAGCCTAAGGCATCTCATGTCTTTGGAACAAAACTGGGACTTTATCCTTGAATTAAACAAAGTGACTGATACGCAATTGAGCAGGGAATAACTTTCTCACAGTGAAATTTGATGTTAAAATGCCCCCTCTCTCTACACCCCCAAACTGTCTTACAGTCTTCCAAAAAATGTTGGTGTTTTCTTTTCCCCCTTTTGGGAAAATTAGCTAAAGTTTATGTGTTTCTTCACATTCCAAAACATTCTAAGATAGCACATAATCTCTGTGTCAAGTAAGATTGCCTATAATAAAGTCCTGTAAAATAGCTCACCCCAGTTTTTTTGAAGTATTGCTACTAATATAACGCCTTGTGGTTATTTAAAGATGCACAGTTTCCAAAACCCTGCTCTGTTCACTGGGCTTTAGTAGCAACAAAGAGACTAGGTCTGCCTGAGGATTATCATCCTTAAATGTATAGATTAGGAAGTTGAAGCCTGGAGAAGTGAAATTAGATAAGATAATAAGATAATTCATCTAGTAATTAGTAGGGCTGGGGTTAGAACCTGGGTCCTCTGGGTCCTCCATCACTCTGTGTGGCCTGCACAGAATCCAGTCCATGGACTCTTCACATGTGAGGACTCTAGCTGCACATGTGGGGACTCCCAAGCAGGTATAGTATATCAGAGCTTGAAGGAAGGCTGGCATGGCAGGGTCTGGGGTGGTTTGGGGGCCTGATGCACGGTTATCAGAGGAGAATCTTTAAGGAATCTGAGAAGCTGAGAAGATAGCAATGTCAAGCTCGCCAAGCAGCTGCCATGGCAAATGAGATTACAGAAGCAGTCTTCCCTGCATCCCAGAGGCTGCCACAGCTGAGAGTTTAAATTTGCAGCTTCAGAAAGGAAAGCAGACACACAAATGTGCACACGAACACACACACACACACACACACACACACACTCACTCTCTCTCTCTCTCTAATGCCCATGTGATATCAAATGTAGCCTTGACAATGCTCCAGCCCCCACAGAGATGCTAGTCTCTCCCACTTCTCAGTCAACTCCCTGAACCCCATCTCCCTACATGGCTGTAGGATGTTTTTGAATTTCTACTAAAAAATATTTCTGAATCTTTGTGCATCTTGAATTTGTCCAGGACTAAAGAAAGAAAAGTATATTTTGATGTACAGGAATGCATGGAGCTTTGTGGTTCTCTACTCAAGTGGAGTAGTATTTTTATGTATATTGGGTGACAAAACATTCAGATTACATGGAAACCAAACATGTCAAAGCATTTTGGAGAAATAATTTGGTAGCTATTTCCAGATGCAAAAATACTTCTGTTTCTCAGTCAAGTTCTTTGTCCTATTTAAACACAGGCCACTAGAGCTAGTAATTGTCTTTTCTTAGGATATTTTAAAGGTCCTGGAACACAAGACTGGAACCCTGGAAGGATCAGATTGTCTCATTTTACCAGAAGAGAGACTGAGGCACAAGAGGAGACCAAGCATGGCTCCAGGGACGCTAGTGAGTCACCTGCAGATGAGATTATTCAACTGTATAAATGAAATCATGTTTCACCTGCAACGAAAGAAAGCACAAATCACCAGTTTTTACTTCTTTCTCTTCTTTTACTAGTTTTAAATGGCTAAATGGATCACCTCCCTTCCATTCCCCCACTCCATCTCCCTTAAATTTGGAAACCAATTACATTCCAGGGAGGTAGAGATCTGGTGATAAAGGACTCGTTTCAGGTTTCACACTTGAATACATTTTTACAGCTTGCTTATAAAATTCTGAAAGCTGGTCTCCTAGTAGAAGGGAAGATGCTGTCAAATGCTAAATGGTGCAGTTAGAGGGACATTCAGACCTCCTCTCTAGCCCTTCCTCTTTTTCTGGCACCCAAAGGCACGGGCCTTTCCTGTCAGCTGTGCAGGCTCCTCATTACTTTCTAGGATCAGCACATGGATCGGCTCTACGGGGTGTCAGACTCAGTGAGTCAGCAAAGCAAAGCAGCTGGGCTGAGACAGTGAGACAGTGGACAGTCACCCAGAACAGAGGCAGGGCTCATACACCAGCAGCCGGGGAGGAGAAGCTGTGCAGAATCCACATCAGAGACATAGACCCAGGGGCATCATTCTAATAGAGGGCTTCCACTTTTGATATTCTTCTTTGTTGTCTGGTATGATGCTTAATAAGTGGAAGGTTTAAAGGGAAGGTGTGGGGGTGAGTCTATTTATTCCTTGTAATATTTTTCCGCCAATTTGAAATAGACGAATTAGTTCAGACTATGACATTTTGGCTGATGCAACCTTATTTTATTACTTATTTTATTATAGATCAGAGTAAAGGGTTAAGTCATTTAATTCAGGTCAAATTCTAAAAGAAGGATATTACTCAACTCATAAACTATATAGTCTGCATCAAGAGAAATGGCTTTTATCAACAGCAATCAAACTCCCTTATCCAAAATAGTAAAATCTTGAGACTTCCAATTTTAATGTAATATTTTCCATTTTAAATATGGATAATTATTTGTGCTAAGTAGCTAAATATAACCAGAGACATTAATGGACAAATGATAACAACACAAATAATATATTTATAACAGTTAGCATTTTTAAGTACATCATTTACCATATTATAGCCACACTGCAGAGAAATTTATTTTTAATGGATGCTACCTTTGTAGCTCCCCTAATTCTGAAAAGATTTTGTTTAATCTTTTTAGCAACTCTAATTAATTATTATCATCTTCATATACATTTGTTAATTCAACAGATATTCAACAGATATAGCTATTATAGTATAAGAAATTAAAACAAAGTGATGCGAAAGACCAATCTCAGGGGAGTGGAGATCTTTGGTCAGGATATGAAGGGAAGGGCTCTCTTTCTAGATGATGGGTTTCCAGGTACAAAGAGATGTGAAGATGTGAAGATTGTTCCAGGGCAAGCTCCGAGGTGGGCAAAGTGACTGGTGATGGTGGGGAGAGGGACAGGAGGGAGGTTGATGAGGTTAGCAGGGGCTAGGTTATGTAAAGCCATGTGGGTTGCTGTGGGGAATTGAGATGAGAAAACAGAGACATTGAAAGGCATTAAGTCTCGTTTCCAAGGCCACACTGCTAACCGGGAGTGGTGGCAGGTGTCTGTAATCCCAGTTACTTGGGAGGCTGAGGCAGGAGAATTGCTTGAACCCAGGAGGTAGAGGTTGCAGTGAGCCGAGATCGCGCCACTACACTCCAGCCTGGGTGACAAGAGCAGAACTCTATCTCAAAACAAAACAAAACAAACAGAAAAGAACTGAAGCACAGCTAAGCCGGATAAGAATTTATCTCTATCTCTAAGTGTATCTCTCTGTCTTATGTGTATTTCCTGTATCTCAGTTTCTACATCTGTGTATTATCTATCTATCTATCTATCTATCTATCTATCTATCTATCTATCTATCATCTGTCTATCTTTCTATCTCTCTATTATCTATCAGCTACTATGTGCCAGGAATTGTAGGCTGAGGAGATGTGACAATAAACACAATTGCCAGAGTTCCTACTCTCATGGATTTTTAATAAGTGCAATAAAGCAAACTAAAATAGGGAAAAGGGATGTAAAGCAAACTAAAATAGGGAAAAGGGATGTAGAGTAAAAGGGTGCTTTTGTGGATAAGATGCTTTAAACAGAGAATATCTTTGAGTGGAGGCAGGAATCAAGTGTGGAGGCAGACATGCGCTCTGTGTCTGCAGCTAAGATAGCTTTGTAATTAGCATTTTCTAAATACAGGAAAACATGATTGTCTTTATTGGGTAGCGTGAAACATGCCATGACTATCTTGAGGTGTGTGTGTGGGGTGTGTGTGTGTGTGTTGATCAAATCCTTTCCCAGACCAGAAAGAGCAAGAAAAGGTCAGCCTAAGTTGTATAAACAAAGAGGATTTGGAGGCTTCAGGTTAATAAAGTTTTGTGGGGTTTAGAGAGCCATGGAGGCGGTGTTCATAAAAATAGAGAACCCAACCAGACAGAAGTTTGTGTGTGTTTGAGACATGAGTCTTTGGTGTCTACACACCAAAAATCAGTTATACCTGGAGAAATAATTATGACATTTTCAACAGAAAAGTATTTAGGCATGGTTAAGATCTGACCCCCACAAAAGATTGAGGAAAAATTGATGAGTTCAGCAACAGCCAATAAAAAGTCATGGGAAGACTGAATGTTGGAGTTTAGTTACCTTTGGGTCTGAGAAACTGCATTATATTCCCATAAAAGACTGAAGATTAAGCCATATTCCTCTCTCTGTGCATTATATTCCTTCTTTTTTCTTTTTTCCCTAACAGAATTTTAGTTGCTTGAAAAGAATTAACATAGAGCAGAATTTTGAATATGGCTAGGATTAGCTATTGTAGCATAAGGTAAGTGGAAAAGAACCCCTTGTCATGTTGAGTTTTTGGAATGTCTAGACATGAATAAAAATTAAAAGGTATCATTGATTGTTTCTGTTTTAATGAGTATAAAGTGAATTGGGCAATTCACAGGCTAACTCCAACCATTTTGGGCTTCCTGATGACTAGGGCCAAGATATTTCAAAGAGTACTAGGTGATTTATTGGGTCTTATGCAATTATTATTCCAAGAAGAGAGATGTCGTGTCCTTGGCTTATGGGTCTGGAACCTACTCATGCATCTGTCTATCCAGGCTTCTGTCCATGCATCCAAGAGGCTTTTATGGAGCTCTGTGAATGTCACAAAGATGAATCAGGCATGCCCTCTGTTCCCAAAAAGCTCACAGCACAGCCACAGATGAGGAAATAGAGAATTATGTTTTTTAAAGTAGGGTAAGTGTAGGATGGTGGCAAGGGTTAGATGTTTTGGGATTGGGGGTAATGATCCCAAATTGGATTAGAGCACCTGGTAACAGTTTCTCAGAAACGCTGATGATTATGTTCATCCTAGAGAAGAATGTGTGGAGGTTGTGCAGGCACAGAAGGAAGAAAGAGGTTTTCCAGGAAGAGGGAATTGTACAAGCCTGGGCAGAGGCACAAAGGGGTGGAAGAGCAAGATTCACTCAGGGAATTGCAGTAAATTGGCACGACTGGAGTCCAGACTACATGTTTGGTCAGGCAGTGGGGTAGGTATAGAAAAGGAAAGAATGGCCAAGAGTGAGAGACTCAGAGTATTTGGGATAGAGTTATGAGAGGCCTGGGGGACACTATAATGAACTTGGATTTGATGCTAGTAGCTCTGAGGAACCATGTATGTAATTTAAATTGAAGGTGTCTCACTAAGATGATGGAAGTTCCATTGGGCTCCTATGGGGTGAGTAGAATTCTATGGCAATTTTTTGCAATAATTATGGCACAAGAGTGAGGCCAAGAGTAAATGATCTGGAGTGTGAGAAGCCACTTAATTCTTTGTATGTTGGTCCTTAAGGTGTAAGCATCCCTTTCATGGACCTTTTGTAGGTCCAATGAATGACCTCAACATGAAACCTTGCAGATAATTTTGAAAGAAAAGGAAAAAAAACTCTTCAATCATGAAAAGGTCTCCATTATATTTCCAAGCTATGTGAAAATTTTTATTATATATCAATTACTTTGGAAACATGGCCATTGCATGACACTGTTTCTCATTCATGAAGGGAACACTTCTGTTTTGAATCCCCAGCGGTGCCTGGTGTAGTGCCTGAGACAGAGAAGAAGCTTAGTAAATGTTCAAGGTATTGGTTTGCTAATGATCCAAACCAAGCTGTGTTTGGGCCCATTTGAACATTTACCGAACCATGTTGTTAAATATAAGGAATGTCAGTAATAACCACAAAAGTAAGTCAGTAAAGACAATAGAGCAATGTCTTAGTAGTTATCATCTACTGAAGATCTGCTCTTAGCTAGGCATGGTCGCAGGCTCTTTATGCCTCATTTCACTAAATCCTTACCATCCCCACACTGTGTCTGTTTTATTATCCCCCTTTACAGTTGGGAACACTGAGGTTAACTGTGTTTACTCAACAATCTCAGGGTCACACAGATGCAGAGTAGAAAAGCAGGATGTGATCCTAGGACTAAAGGCAGACAAAGTCTATGCCTTTTCTCTCCTATTGCAGTTTCCACATATCAGCAGGTACTTCCTGTGAAAGAGGAAGCACATTTGTTCTCCTGGCTCCAGAGAAGAGAAAGCAGACTGGCAGCTCTCCCATGAGGGAAAGAGGAGAACTTTGACAGGAATTTACGACCACCAGGGAGAACAGAACTAACTTTTCTGTAAGGCTGTGGCCACCTACCCCTGAAGATGAGATGCTGATGTAGAAAATGGACAGCCATCTCTTAGAGGATCTGCAAAATAATTTCTATTCTGGTTAGAAAAATTAAATACATTCACTTTATCTTTATGATCTTGAGATATTCCTTGGATAGTAACAACAGCTCCTGACATCTGGAGACTATTTCATTTTAGACAAAACATTTGCATGGAGAATCTAATATGATCCCATGTGACATTCTTTTTGGGACAAGGTAGCTGTTGCTCAGAGAAGCAGCAGGAATTGTCCAAGGACACACAGGGTGAATGAAAGACTTGGCAGTGGGACCTGGGTCCAATAATTTCAAGACCAGTGCTCCTTCACCTATGCATGTTGTCTACTGGAGTGAAGCAAAAATATGGGTCTATAGGGCAGTATTATGCAGAATGAGTAGTTTCTTTCCATTATTAGCATAAGCCATACTCTGAAGCTATTTCTGAGACAGTCATCCTTTTCTATGTGGGTCAATGTTCCTGCAGCATGGACTTCCTTCTGGGAACAAAGCATCCTTTAGGATCTTCCTTAATCATCCTCATCAGTGTAATATGTTGCTTCCTGTCCAACTGTGCCCCATTTCCATAGGCAATTTATCTGTATCCATAGAGACACCAGAGATCTGCTTCTTACTTCAAATGTTTCATATCTAGGTTATTCTTCCTGACATGTGAGTCCAGGGCACAAGTCTAAAGCTCCCACTTACACAGCCCAGAGGGACTGAGCCCTGCTTTCCACAGTCAGGTCAGGAGCACACTGACTCCTGACTGTGGAAAATTTGTCTGTGTGCTAAGTGTAAACAGATGTCCCCAGCTGCCGGATCCTTTGGCCATATGAAACCAATCACCAACTCTACACAAACATGCATCATCAGGCTAAAATCTGAAGGTGCAATGAACTCACCCTGCTTCCCATAGGACAGTGGGTGAGTAGAGGCTGTGGGGAGTTTGGTCAGAGCAGTCCATCTAAGGGCAAAATTTGTGTGGTTTAATGAGATGAAAGTGGTGAAGCGGGGCCAAAGGAAGTGCAGCTCAGAGTTAGGATAGATACTGGTTCAATATCATCTGGACACTTTCAACCCTGTACACATGGGGGCACTAAGGTTTGGGGGTAGAAGTGACTTCCTCATGATCTCATAGCACTCTAGTGATTCCCTCAGGGTTTAATCACAGATCAGAATGCCCAGGCCAGTACTCATTCCATTATGTAAGGCTGCCTATGACACTGGCTTTCCCTTGAGCTTCTTCATGTGGAGTCCTTGCATCTCTTATGTTTTAAATCCTGGCAGTTTTGGATTGACTTTTCTAAGCCATGTGAACTTTCCTAAAGGATAAAAATGATGATGCCATTGATTGTGGGTTAATATTAGGTTAGCCTAGATGTTCTATGTACTTAATTGCATTAATAGCCCTAACGTACCATGAAGTAGGTCTTCTATTTTAAAGAAGAAGAAGCTGATACTCAGAAATGGAAAGAGGGTTGCCTAAGGACACAGCTTTTAGATGGCACAGCCTGAATTCACATCAAGACAAGTTCCAAAGACATAGTTTAAAGAATCAACGAAGTTATACTGAGGCATCTGATTGACAATATAAGATGGCTGCATGATTAATATTATTTATTCACTTAAAAGAATTTATTGAGCATTTATTATGTGTCTGGCAGTATATGTGGTTTCAAAGTTGAGCATGACATTATTCTATTAAGAAAACAGTGTAGTGGTGGAGTTGGAAATACAAACAAACCCCTCATTTATGTTGAAGCAATTGTTAAATGGATGATTGATCAGGTATAATTGGAATAGAGTAAAAGGAGTGCATCAGTTTGTCTAAAGGGTAAGAGATGGTTTGTCAGAAGAGGTGACACTTTTCTATCAAATAGGTGAGGATGGAATTCAAAGCAGAAGTTGACAGTCTGTTTAGAGAAGTGAAAACAGAACAAATTATGGAATTGTGGAATACTTAGGGAAATACAGGTCATTAGGTATTGTTAATTTGTTAAAATATAAGCAGGGAAGCTAAAAAGATGATATTAAATATACAGGTTACAAGGACCTTATAGGTTTTACTAAGGGAGTTAGAATTGTTCTCTGAGGGCAATTGGAAACCATGGATTGGTTTTAAACAAAAAACGCATGATGGACGTATTGTTTAGGATTGGATTTGATTGTTAGTAATGTGAAACTCTAAATTAATACTGGCCTAAAAACAGTAGGAGTTTGTTTTTCATCTAAAAGTCTGGCGTTACATAGTCGAGGATTAATATGATGGCTGTTTAGGAATTCAATATTTTTTCAACCATCCCCGTATGTGACCTTCAGACTCACATTCTAAACCTATAATCAGGGCAACAAGGTGGAAACAATGGTAAATAAGAAGAGAGTTACACAGAGGTACCAGTGTTCTTTTAAGGAAGGTCCTCAGAAGCTTGCACAAGACACTTCTGCTTTTATCTTATACATCAGAACTTAGTTACATGTCTACACTCAGCTGCATTAAAGGTTGGGAAATACAGTCTTTGCTCTGGATGGTCAAGAGCCCATATAAAAAATCAGGCTTTGTGGTTTTCTGCTAGAACTGAAGGATGGATATTGAGGCAAGTTATCAGTAAGTATTTTCATATTAAAGAGATCACTTTAATAACTCTGTGGAAGATGGACAAAGATATAGGGAAGACACTGAAGATATGAGACTGAGGCTGGTGATAACCATGAGGCTGGGGAATGCTTTCCCTTTCAAATGACCTAGGCTTTGCCCAATTAAGGAAATTACTGTCTTAGAGTTACTTCTTTTCTATTGAGTCAGAGGTAGATATATGTCTCCTTCAGCAAATGAGTCATACCCAAGGTTGGGTAAACTTGTTTAGATATGCAGAGTGAACCACGATATGAACCTGGTTTGGACTGTATCCTTCACAGACTTAAAACTCTGCTCATCATTCTTGTGTCCTCAAATAGCCAGATCAGATTTTTTATTCTGATTTTCTATAGAGCTAAGATAGGTAAGAGGAAGTTTCTATCCATTTCATTCTGGTTAGCTGAGTTAACATGTTTTGTCTGTTAAATATTCATGGAATTAGGATAAGAACATGAGTTTTAGAACCAAGAAAAATGGGAATGAAAAACTCAGCTCTGGTACTAATCCCAGGTTGTCTGGTTTGTGAGTTAGTCCTGATCATCACCACACCATATGGCATCCTCTGGCTCTTGGTTTACTTTTCCCTCTTCCTTAAGCTGTTCATTTTCAAGTAACATGGGGAAAGTCACACCAGTCTTACTGAGTATCCCTAAAAAATGGAGGCAGAAGAATGGACTTGATGATAGAAAAATTTATTCTTGGGCACTAAGCGTGCTCAGCTGGCTATGTCTACCTCCATACCTCCCCTTTAATATTTTTCTCCTGGCCCAACAAGTATGTCCAGGGCCCTATAAAGGAAATAATCCAGCATATGTCTAATGTTGGCTCACCCAGTCCTCATCAGCTTTGAGCCATCTCACTTTGCTTCTAATATTCCTAAAGCCCCTCTTCTTCAGAGTCCCTACTCCTCTATTTTACTCAGTTTCTCTTGATTCTATATCATGGCTTCATTCTTCTCTACAGTGTTTCTAGGAATACGAAAGAGTAGGGATGTTGTCTGAAAACTCCAAGGTTGAGATATAACATACTGTTTAATAACAGAGATGCTGAAATCAAACTGGTATGAATTTACATCTTTCCCTTACTACTATTAATTCTGGACCTTAAGTAAGTTGTGTACCTTTTTCAAGTTTCCTCATCTGTAAGAAGGAGGACAATAATAATTCCTATCTTGTATGTTATTGTCAGAATTTAATGAGTTAACAAATATATGTAATATATATGTTTTATATATATATACACATTTTGGTTTAGTGTTTGGCATATAGTTAAGTACAAAATAAATATTAGCTATTGATATTAATTTTGGGGTTGGAGGTCAAGAAATAAGGCTGGAAAGTTGGGAGGCTCCATTGTGAAGAGTGACTTAATGATTAAGAAGCTGGATTTTGGGCAAGAAAAAAGAGGGGCTTTGGACAGGAGAGTGCATTCATTTTCTATTGCTGCCGCACAACATGAAACTTAGTGGTCTGAAACAACACAGACTCACAGTTCTGGAGATCAGATGTGTAACATGGTAGGCAGATTGCATTCCTCTGGTTTTGGGGAAGCCGTACCTTTCTCAGCTTCTAGAGGTTCTCCATATTCCCTGGCTGGTGGCCAAGCATATTCCGAATTCTGCTTCCGTTGCCACATCTTCGTGTCTGCCTGACTCTACTGTGTCTCTCTCACAAGAACTTTTGTCCCAGATAGTCCAGGACTATCTCCCCATCTCAAGATCCTTAATTTAATTACATTGGCAAAGTCCCTTTTGCCATGTAAAGTAACAAATTTGCAAGTTCTGGGGATTAGAATTTGGGCTTTGATGGAGGACATTTCAGCCTACCACAGAAAGTAACATGGCTGTCTGGGGATTTTCCAGGATAGCTTGTGAGATTAGAGTTAGGAAGGCCAGTTAAGATGCTGTTGTGAGAATGTGAGAATGCTGTTGTGAGAATGTTGTGGGGAATGTGAATGTAAGCATTAGGGGCAATCAGGACACTGGGGAGGAATGGCTGCTGAAGAACTAAAATCACCAAGACTTGGCTAATGAGATTAGGAGAAGGGCTTCTTTCTAGATTTCTAGCTGCAGGGACTTTCAGCTAGGGGATGGTGGTGTCAGCAGGAGCTGGCAAATACCAGGGGAGGTGACCGACACATTGACTAAGGCTTTCTGAGAAATCTTGCTTCCTGTAGCCTGCAGCCATTCGTTATAAAACACAGAGAGCAGTCTGGCCCAGAACAGAGTTTCCCACATTTCACTCATTCTTAACAACTTTTTCCAAACCTGTCTTTTTAATGTTTCAATTTCTGAATATTTTTCTTTAAATAGACTCCAGTAAAAGTAGCTTCATCCTAAACAATTAGTTTCACAAAACCACAACTCTGATATGCCTGGATATTTGGATGCACATACTATTCATACATACTCATTAAAATGGAAATGTATTTTTCCATGCACCAGCTAAAATTATTTCTCAAACCATCAGTGCTAAGCAAACCACATATATGCAAATGTCGGGGAAATGACAAAAACACAGACTGAGAGATTCAAACCTAGACTTGAGTGTATCACTTGAGTCCCTGGACTTTTATTTCCTCATATGTGAAATAAAGATAATGTCTAACTTATAATAACTTAGTTAGATAATTAGTGTATGGAAAATGCAAGGTGCCATATCTTATAACAGGAACCCAGCCTATTATATGCATTTATATTGTTGAATCTTGTGATGTTTTTTCCTTATATATTAAATAAGTCAGTCTTTTCATAAGACCTGTCAGTTAATTTTGATAAACACACTAGGGAATTCATCGTCTTTGCAGTCTAGGTGGCAAAGCAATTTTACTTACTGTTTTTTATTACCTCATGAGTCTTCTTTACTTCCAGGGTACTTCTTTACTTCCAGAGGAGGTATGGAGGTATGGAGGTAGACATAGCCAGCTGAGCACACTTAGTGACCAAGAATAAATTCTTCTATCGTCAAGTCCATTCTCCTGCCTCCACTTTTTAGGGATACTCAATAAGACTGATGTGACTTTCCCCATGTTACTTGAAAATGAACAGTTTAAGGAAGAGGGAAAAGTAAACCAAGAGCCAGAGGATCAAGTGACCACGAGGGGCTTAGGGAAGGCATTCATTCCTGTTGACTGTGCTAGGAGAACCCTGGGTCAGGAGATGCTGGACTCCTGGGGTAGAAAACCTAGTTCTTTTCAAAGATTTAAAGTAAAGTTTTGAGGTGGAAAGCCCTACTGTTTTCTGGACTATATTAGAATCATTCCTCTCCTCATGGCTGTGGATCATATTGCTTATAAAATACCAGCCTCGTGACCCATTTGAGAACATCACTGAAGGTCCACAAGATAGGAACAAATGGGTTTTAAAAAACACCCCAGGGTCTCTCCCTACTGAATCCCTACCCAGTCTAACAGAATTAGACTCAAAGCAGCATTTGCAGAAGATAGCCCTCTTTGCATGAGCTTTCCAATGATACATCTGGTTTTCCTTTTGAAAAAGGCCCTCAAACCTCATAAAACTGAAGTCCTTTGATTCAAACCACAAATTCCTTATAGCTAACCTCAGCAAAACTCCTTACACACTCTGAGTACTTAGTCCCTGTAACCCTTATTCCTCTTTTCTCTTCCATCTTCATTAAGTTAGTGGGAGCCAAGCTTACAAGGATAAATCTGATTGTTTTGTTCAATTCACTTCATATTAATAAAAATTATGGGTCATTTTTCTGCCTTAGACCTTTGCTTTAGAATAGCTACTATTTATTAAACTCTAACTATGGCCAAGTACATTACATAGCATCCCACTTAAACTTACAACAGGCTTACAAAGTAGGTGGTATTTTTCCAGTCTTTCCAATGAGGAAAGAGAAACAAGCAAACAAACAAAAGTTATTGTTTCATTGTCTTCCTGCTGCTAGATGATAGATCTAGTAATTCAAATCCAGTCGGTATAACTCCAAAGCCCTCACTTCTCAAGTTTGTCTCTCTATATAACAGATTCCTAAGAGTTAATTTTCAAATACGATTTGATATTTTAACAATTCCTCATTTGCCTCAGGCAATTGTTATCCTGATTATTGACTTCATGGTGATGACAATTATTGCTACTATGAATAACAGCTCTTATCCTCTAAGTGTTATACTGTGCATTTTATATACCTTGAATACAATAACTTCTTGAGGCAAGTATTATTATCTCCTTTTATAAATTTGTAAACTGAGATGCAAAAGGTTTGTTAACATTTCCATGATCACAGAGCACTGAATTAATGGGAACTGCAAATACTAACAAAAAGGAAAACTTTGTACATGCCAGCACTTTTGAAATATATTTTACATGGTTAACTCATTTAATCCCCACAACAACCCTGTAAGGTAGATAGCATTATCATCTGCCTTGCACAAGTGAGGAAACTGAGGCACAGAGAAATAAAATGATTATTCAAGGCCACACAAGATAATCAGTGAAAGAGCTAGAGTGTGAATCAGTATGGCCTTGGGTCTGACTCAGAGCTTGTTATCACAGCACCATGCTGCCTAACTATCTGACTGCAAAGTTCCTCTTTGCTCTGGGCAGGTACCTATGTGAGTGAACTTGAAACTCTATCACTCATTCCAATTCTTTTATTCACTGGTGATCTCACTATGTTGAAAGGACAGGATTTGATGCATGCCGTGTCAGTGGTGATCACTGTTATTGAGATAGATTTGCACCGATGTCTGGGAGTTTGGACTGAATGTTAATAACATACAAAGGTGACCTGCAATAAATACACAGCTCTGTCAGAAAGCTAGAGGTCTGCTTGGCAGAGAGAGTCATCATGGATTGTGGCAGATTCTCCTTCTGTCAAGGCTTATCTGAAGGCTAAATAAATCATGCTGGAATCTTCTGGGATGTTGGAAGAGAGGAAAAAGTGTGTATTGGATGGGGGTAGGGATGTGGAGGAGGTTCAGATGGAAATGGAATATTGATTAGAACAAAGGTGAACTTGATGTCAGCCAGTGTTCTTTTTAGAAATGAAGGGCCAGGAATGGAAGTTAAAAAAGAGAAATATTTTCTTTAATTGCAGGCATAGAAATAGAGAAATCAACATCTGAAGAAATTCTAAGTGACACACTGGGCTCTAGATAGATGTTACTCTATGTTTGATTCTCAATTTTTTTGATCTAATGTTTCTGCAACTATGAAGATGTAGCTACACTACAGCATAAAGTGAACTCCTTCACAATGAAAATTTATTTGACACATATTAATTGATAACTGACAGCTATAAATTCACATTTAGATTGACTTCAATATAAAATATTCACTTAAATTGCTGTGTAGTCACATTTCTTAACTTTCCCAACTTTTCAAGTATAAATGATGCCTGATGTTTGGCATTAGTTTTGAGGATTCCCAAGAACAGCTATCTATACCAACGTTTAAGAAGCATCTTCATAGTGCAGATTTATAGAAAGATATCCTCCAGCAATACAGAGGCTATGTGAAAAGCAGTGTGAAGGTGACAGATATTTGTCACCTATGTTATGTCAGGCACTGTGCTAAGTATTATATATGTAGCATCTCATTTAATAATAACAACTGACATGCAGAGTTGTTATTATTAATCCCCATTTTATAGACAAACATTTCCAGGACTCTGAGTTATATTGCACAAGGCTCCTTGATGTTCTCATCATGCAGCAGAATTTGAAAACCAGTCTGTCTGATTTCAAAACTTGTGTTCTTTTACCAGAACACCATACACTGCCTCTCAGAGTAAAGGAGAGATAAATCAGTGAGGACAGCTAAGTTGGGAGGTCAGGAGACTCTCTCTCCTGGAAGAGAAACACCGAACTAAAACAAAACCATGAAGTTCAGTGTTCTAATTTAGAACACCAACCTTTGAAGTCCCATATTCTGGCCTTTGCTGGGTATAGAATACGAGCCATCTCATGCTCTAAGATGGCTGGTAACCTTTATCTCTTTCTTCCAGGTTAGAAAGTTAGCTGTTTCTGAAGGCATTAATCTTAGTGAGAAAATATATCATACATTGTAATTCATTATGCCACACAGTTCGTTCATTCATTCAAAAATGTTTTCTGGTAGATTGACTGAAAAAAGTAGCTCTGGTTTTATTTATTTATTTATTTATTTATTTATTTTACTCTTCCCATACCCATTGCAATGTGACATTGCAGATTTTATCAAGAGGTAGTCTATTTCACCATGATTTTAATCTGGGCTCTCCTTGTATCTTGTTTTGTCCAAAAGAAGGTGGCAGAAGTGACAATGTGCCACTTTTGATTGTAGATTATGAGAGGCTTTACATGCTTCTGTTTCTCTCCCCTGCTCTTGCATCCATCATGCTATGGGAACAAAATCAGGCCAGAATACAGGAGGTGAAGAGAGACACATGCACACAGCCACACACAGAAGCAGAGCTGCCTGATTGAACACAGCTAACCTCATGTTCATGAGGGAACCCAGCAGAAACCGAAAGAGCCACCTAGCTAAGCCTGCTTTAAGTTGCTGACCCACCGAATTGTGAGCTAAATAAATGGTTGTGGCTTCAGCCACTAGGTTTTGGGCTGGTTTGTTCTGCAGCACCAGATAACTGATATCTATTCACTAAAATGCACTTGGGTGCCAACATTGTGGCATGCTGTGGGGACATAGAGGTGATTAAGTTATGTTCCCTGTTCTGAAAGAGCCGGCACTCCAAATAGGAAGTCAGACATGTAAACAAATGACAACATAGCAAGTTATGGGATTAATCAAAGTAACTGGTGAACTCCTTTTAGTAGGAATAGTTCTATTTCCTCTGTAAAGAAACCACTATGATAGGGAGCACAGTACCAGTTGGTTCCAATAATTCTTGTGATAGTGTCATCCAAACCTCAGACTGCATCAGTGGTCACTCAGCAAGGAGCCTTGAAGATTACCCAATGCTATTTATATCTATTATATGATCCTCATTAAGTAACCTCAAAGGGGAGGCAGGAGCTTGGAACCAGAGCTTTTTGGAAGAATTTCTTTAAAGGGATAGTATTCTGTGATTAAATTAGAAATAGCAAGATACTTGGGAGTACTGATTAAAAATTTTAGTCTTTTGGACTTTTAATGACTGAAAAAATTAATAGAGCTCTAGGCTCCAGAAATCAGGAACTTGCTGAGTATCTCTTTTTTTTATTTTTCAGAGAGGAAACTATAGCAGCTGGCAGATAGATTAGTGTAAAGAAGCTACACTTGGGTTTGAATCCCAGCTGAGCCACTCAGTTACTTGATCTTTTGCTGGTTTCTGAATCTCCATACATTTTGTGGTGCTTATGTCTAAACAGGGATAAAGATATTTACTTTATAAGTTTATGATGAGGACTAAATGTACCAGGCACATAATTAATGTTAATACTTTCCCCATTCCTTCATTTTTAATTCTCCTTTGCTTTCTGTTGCCATTTTCTACTTTTTTCAAAAGAATCTGTTGGAGCCCCAATACATTAACCTTCATGAAATTGGGTCCTGACCATCCGTGAAATGGATGAGTTTGAACACTTCCCCAATGTCGGTCTGTAAAAGCACATTTTGAAAGTGGCTTTGAAGGACTGTTTGAATAATAAGATCTATTCATGATCACAGAGGGCCGAGACAAAAGGCTGAGACAAGTCTGTTTGGAGAAAACTCTGTGTGGAATGTCAATGCACATATTAGAACCCAGCCTGTCAATTTGGTCCACAGAGAGAATGGTGGTTTTATGACATTATTGGCACCACAATCTAACAACTCTCAACCGGCTGGGGCATTAAACATGACGAAGGACACAGATAGACTACCCTAGATTTTTTTTATTCAAAGGGAGCACATGTAATGTTCTCATGCAAACCAGAGAGGAAGTGAGAATTCTTTCATCTTCCTTTTCTTTGCTATTAACCTCAATCACATAACTCTTGGGTTAATTTTCCTTCTATAACGAGAACACCAAACAGAAAACACATGTGAGAATTAAATAAACACAGAGTAGAATGAAGGCTGAATCTATGGAATCTATCAGGACTTGTTTACAGAGAAGGTAAATTAACAATTTCTTGGAGGCACAGTTTTCTTACCTGTATGATAGGAAGAATCACTGTTGGAATAGGCATTAGTGTTAGGGATGCTTCTAGAAAGCCTCTCTACTAGCATACTTTCTAGTCTCAGGACCTTTGCACATACTGGCTCTCTATCTAGAGATCCCTTCCTTGCCGAGATGTTTTTAGGTTAACTCCTCAAATTTATTCTGGCCTTTTTCCAAATGTCATCTTCTCACAGGGAACTTCCTTAATTATCTTATCCAAAATTGTCATCCTATTACCGTCTACCTCCTCATTCTGGTTGATTTTTACATTGGAGCATCTATCTGATATTGTATCATATATTTACATGCTGCCTTATTAATTGTTCATCTCCTACAATCAAGTGACAGTCTCACAAGGTGGGGACTTTATCTGCTTTGTTCACTTCTGTGTCCCCAACACCTATAATAGTACCTGCTACATAGGAAACACTCAAGCATTTGCTAAATGAATGAATAAGTAAATAAACATGCAAGATTGTTTTGGCACCAAAAATTACAGCATATAGTAGGCATTCTATAACTGTTGGCAGAATTAACGAGTGTGCATATCCATCTGTGAGCAGAATTAGGGAATCACCACTCTCCAGCAAGCCAGTGTCTCTCTCACTTCACACCCCTGCAGATTGCATAAGGAATGTCCAGACACTTTCTGTTTCCAGAATGATGTAATGTGGAAGGAGAAGACCTGCAGAACATGTTGCTCACAGACGAGACAGATGATCTCATCCCCTTCCTGGGCATTCCCAGGCTTTGCTATTAAAAAAAAAAAAAAAAGAAAAGCTGCAATGTTCAATTCACAGGTGGCTGTTTAGTCCTCAGCCGTTTATTGGCAAAATACTTTAACTCATCTCTTAGCTCCCTGGTGGCTGGGAGGAGGAGAGGAAAGTCATGTCAGATATCATCTGGCCTATTTCTTCAGCCAAATGGAATAGATTTACCCTGAGAAACTAGGACATAAAGGGAGAGAAGTGCACTTTAGCATCAGCCACAGGGGACAAGCTGTGAGCAAGGGGTGATGGGGGAGTTTAAAAAACAAAGTAAGCCAAGTGTTTCATTGACACCAGAGAGCTGAGATTGTTCTTGGGATTATTTCAAAAGTCTAGAGCCTGAAGAAATGATGTACCCAATATCCCTCACGTGGCTCATTTTTATTTGAAAAATCCTTTAGTTTTGATGTCTGTGTATATATTAAACTGATCAGAATTTCAATTTATAGGTATTTATTACTCTACGGTTTATAACACATTTCAATACACAGATCTTCACAAAAGTCCTGAAAGTGAGGGGTATAGAATGATCCCCCTTTATAGTTGAGGAAGCTGAGTTTCAGAGAGGGGAGGTAAATTAGCCAAGATTGCACAGCTAGAGAGCAGCGGAGTTGCCATTGGAACTCAGATCTAGTTATCTTTAAGTGCAAATCTCCAACCAAATCTTCAATTCAAGACTTAAAAGGTGACCTGCTTGTCAGCTACAGTGTTTGTATGCCTCAAAGGTTTCCCACATCTCTTTTTTCCGTGGTTAGCTACTAGACACCTTATTTCAGATCTGGGGCAGTTTGGGATGGCAAGTCTGTGCACAAATCAAGCTGAAGTCCAGTTGGATGTCTCCTGAACAATTAGTAGTTTTGCACCGATTTATTAATAAGCCAAATAGTACTGTCGACTCCACCCTCCAAACTCGCCCCTCCTCTCTTTTCTATCCCCTTCCCACCAAGATGTTTTATTTATTTTTTTTCAGAAGTTGGTGTTAGCAGCTGGTCAAGTCCTAAATACAAAATCATCCTTTCCACAACCATGTTTCCCATCCAATCCATGATAAAATTATCCAATTTTCATTGCCAAAATGCACCTTGACTCTGTCCCTTTTTCTCCATCTTTATGGCCACCACCTTAGTTCAGGCCACCAATCCTGAGCCTTAGGTTATTATATCTGCCTCACAGCTGCTGACTCTCCTTCCACTCTTGCTTCTCTCATTCATCATATGCAATGAACACAAGAGCAGGTGTTTTTGCATACACCCATTTTTTTGTGTGCTTAACCTCTCAAGGCATTTTGATGCATTTACAAAATCCTGAAGCCTTAACGGGACCATAGGCTCGGCTTGATCTAGCCCTTGGCAACCTTGACAAACTTATTTGTGCCCATTTCACACTTGCTTATTTTATTCTATTCCAGAAGCTGCTGTGTAGAGAGAAAGCTGCTGCTGCTGCTTTTTTTTTTTTTTTTTTTTTTTTGAGATGGAGTCTCATTCTGTCACCAAGGCTGCAGTAGTGCAGTGACACAGTCTTGGCTCACTGCAATCTCTGCCTCCTGGGTTAAAGTGATTCTCCTGCCTCAGTCTTCCAAGTAGCTGGGATTACAGGCACGTGCCGCCATGCCCAGCTAATTTTTGTATTTTTAGTAGAGATGGGGTTTTGCCATGTTGGCCAGGCTGGTCTTGAGTTCCCGACCTTAGGTGATCTGCCTGCCTTGGCCTCCCAAAATGCTGGGATTACAGGCATGAGCCACCACAGGTAGCCAAGAGAGGTAGCTTCTTGAGAGTAAAACACACCAAGAAGAAAGTAGAGCTTGGATGCTATGAGAGCGTGAACACTGGCGATATTGTTTGAGGCCCTGAGTGCATTTATGCCTTAAGTGCTGCATTGAGTTATTGAGCCAATATATCTTTTCCTCTGTGTTTTTTTAAATCAAAATCAAGTTGATTTGAGTTTATTGTCACTTGCAACAAAATATTACTGGATTTCCACAAATTCACAATCAGTTGGGGAAAAGTCGATATGTGAACAGGTAAACACTGAAAATAGATGGTTTGTATGATACAGGTGAACACGAGGGCCTTTAACCAGTGTGGGTGTTGAGGTGGGGGAAAGTGTCCACTTCCCTCCAGGAGACAATATCTGGTCTGAATCTTGAAATATACTTAGCAGTTGTCATGATGTATCTATCAAACAGAGGATGGCAGAGAGACATTCCAGGGAGAAGAGAAGGCATGAGTCAAGGCATGGCGTGAAATGGGATGATAGTTTCTGGGAACTACAAGTCACTCATACTAGCTTTAATGCAGCCTGGATGGTGAAGGCAAAGGGAGAGATGCTACAGAGAAAGGCACAGGCCATACTGTGAAGTGTCCAATAGTTTGTCCTAACAAGATAATGTTATCCTGGGAATTTTGAGAGAGCATTGAGAAATTAATTTTTCCACTTTAAAAATGAACATTCTAATCCTTCCCCAGCCTATGTACCATAAAAGATGATGGTGAAGGTCTCTTAGTAAAATGTCTGTGAAAATGCTTTGAACCAGGTATAAATTGGCTAATTATACTATGGAAAACAGAAACTGGAATATGTTTGATGTCTTCTAGTTTCCAGGCCCTGGACAAGGAGAGAGAATCTGATATGGTTTGACTGTGTCCCCACCCAAATCTCTTCTTGAATTGTAGATCCCACAATTCCCATGTGTTATGGGAGGGATCTGGTGAGAAGTAATTGATTCATGGGGGCCGGTCTTTCCCATGCTGTTCCTGTGTTAGTGAATAAGTCTTATGAAATCTGATGGTTTTATAAAGGGGAGTTTACCTGCATAACTTCCCTTCTCTTGTCTGCTGCCATGTGAGACTTGCTTTTCACCTCCTTCCATGATTGTGAGGCCTCCCCAGCCACGTGGAACTGTGAGTCCATTAAAACTCTTTCTTTTGTAAATTGCACAGTCTCGGTTATATCTTTATCAGAAGCGTGAAACGGACTAATACGGACTCAACACAGAAAGGAGAAGTTGAGAGGATGTGTAGGTGGGTTTTGTGTCCCATGAGATTTCAGTTCCTGGCAGTGAAGACCTCAATGGTGGGGCACCCTTGGAAGTTGGGCCACATCCTTATAGTGAGAGGAGAAAACACTGCTTGTGTAGTTAGCCTATTTCACAACTGACCAGAGTAGGGCCTGCTCCCTACCCTTCTGTGCCTCCCCGTTGCATCCCAATAACATGATCCCAAAGTAGTGTTTCTGATTCTTAAGTTCAAACAACTTCAGTGGTCAGGAACTTTGTTCCCAGAAACTGTTTCCCCACGTCCCTTCTTATATTACTTCCTGTATGTGTTAACACTCTCCCCACCCAACCCTCGGTCATTATATAGTTGAACAAAGCCAAGAGTATGCCACAGTGGCAGGTTCGCACATAGTCAGCCCCAGCTTCAGTGTGGGGACATGATTGAATTCTCGGCGGCTTTGAAGCCTGGAAAGCAGGGTTGTAATTGACAATGCACCAGGACAAGCATTTGTTCTCATGGGGGGTCTCCCATCCGTGAGATCAAGAATCCTAAAGCCACATTTTTGGCATCAGCCTCCCTGGACCATTCAGTATGACCACTAAGTGTTAGATTGACTCTGGGCTGATTGCTTCTGCTATTTAGTGAGTTGAGATGATGAGCCTGAGCTCTGAGATGTTGCAATATGAGTCTGCCCAAATAAAACCACTTAGGATTGTCACAGGAAACAAAATAATGTGCCTCTTCAGTTTAAGGGACAACTTGGCTACATTTGGAATTTAAAGAGTCTCTCTTCCTTTTCTCAGTCAAGGGTACAAAGTGTGTTAAAGTAATATGAGATGCTTTGGCTAAGTATTCAATTATCTCATTCATTTACTTAACAGTTATTGAGAACCTGTTCTGTGTCAGAAATGGTGCTAGGACTTAGATAAGCTGAATAAGACACTGCCCTGCCCTCCCAAAACTTGCCATCCAACAGTGGTGTTGAGCAGTGGTGCTCACTCTCAACTAGAAGATGAAGGATTCCATTTCCTTTCCAGCTCTGCCACAGTGCTGGGAATACTTGACTGTAAGGGGAGAGCTTTCTGTTTACAAGCATTCTATTTCAGCAAACAGGGGAGTATCTTATAATCAAGGCATTATAAGTCCTGCAGATTTAAACTTAATCTCTCAATTGCTTTATTTTTAATGCCACAAATATTATTCAGAAAAAATATATGAACCCATTAAAAATCAGTGCAAGGTCTGGATATATAAAGAGGCCACCTGGCTGGGTGCAGTGGCTCAGGCCTGTAATCCCAGCACTTTAGGATGCCGAGGCGAGTGGATCATGAGGTCAGGAGTTTGAGGCCAGCCTGGCCAACATGGTGAAACCCCATCTCTACTAAAGACACAAAAAATTAGCCGGGCGTGGTGGTGGGCACCTGTAAAGAATCATTTGAACCTGAGAGGCGGAGGTTGCAGTGAGCCGAGATTGCGCCATTGCACTCTAGCCTGGGCAACAGGGTAAGACTCTGTCTCAAAAAAAAAAAAAAAAAAAAAAAAAAGAGGCCACCTGACCAAATGTTAAGGGAGGAGGCAAAAATATTTATTAAATTTTGTAATTATTCCTGATAGACTGCGTTGCAGAATTCAAGAATATATATGTCTACAAAATGAATTAAGCACACACAATGTTCAGTTGTTAGGCAAATTGGTATTTGTGGCTTGCCGATTAACAAAGAACTAGACCTCAAACAAATCAGATGCATCCAAAGTACTGGAGCTCTGCAAAGCTGTTAGATGACTTATAATGGCTGGAATCTGATATCAGAAGTTTGTATAAAATAGATTCATGAAAACTAAGAGTTGGAAGAAAATGCAATTATATTGCATTAATTGAAAATGCAATTAATATTTCTAATTTTATGACTTTTAATATGTGGTAATTTGATAAATATCATAAGTGGACATTTTATTATTTCATCCACATTTCTAATGTTTAACTATATAGGTTAAACAAAGAGACAAACAACTTGTTGTCTTGTGCTCGGGCACCCGTGGTAGGTGGCTGATATAGCTGGTTGGTTTTCACAAATGTAATTCCATCTCTGAATCTTGGTGCCTTCATCTAGGAAATGAAAGTGATGAAGTGCCTGCTTCCTCTCTCATTTTCAATCATGGTGCTGTTCAAGGCAGTATGCTATGGAAAATTGTACATCTACACATTGGCTTTGAGTTTATTTAATAGCATAAATATTATTCAGAGAAAATACATGAAACCATTAAAAATCAACCTTAGGGCTGGATATATAAAAAGGCATGTTTCCCCATTTTATTCCTGGCTCATTGAGTTGGAAAGCCTCCTTAAACAAACAGACCTCCAGAACTCAGCAAGGCCTGCCCCTGCTCCCAGATTCTAAATGCAAAAAATGAAGAATATTTTCTTTCTCCCATTTGTTGTATAGATTTAGAATTTAGAAGACATCTCAGAAGGAAGAAAATGATGGGTGGCATTCTGATAACATTATCTCCTCACTGATGTTTTGTTCTTGCTGCTGTTCATATGGAACACAGTAGTAAGTGTTGTGTGAGGAATGCAATTACGTTTAAAAAAGGAGGTGTAAGAAGCTATTATAGTTTTGAAACACATAAAGGTGTCTAAACTCACTTTTCTCTGAGTTGTGTTGATCTGCCACATTAGCCGTCCCCATGGATTGGACCATCCTATGTGGTCCATGAAATCTCCCAAGATATTTCCTGTCAAATGGCCTCTGCCACTGCTATATTTATTTATCTTATTCTACGAGACTAAAAACATAGTTCAGCTATTTAGGTGGGCTCTGACTAGCTATTACAGTCTACATATAACATGATTAGATACATCTGTGGAAAGGAACGCATGGTGAGAAAATGTTTTATTTTCTCTAATTAATGTATAGTCTTCAGAACAGAACTTTGGGTGTTCTGGATTTGTGTTTGGCCCATAGCTGCTGCTTTTCACTGGAGCAGGAAAATAATGTTTAATAGCTTTGTTTAAAGGTTTTCGCTTGTTCCAAACTTGTTGCTGTAGAGTCTATCTCAATCTGTGTGTATTTAAGAAAAAAGGGGAAACAGGCTGGAAGCAAAATTGTGTTCTGGTCTCCACCCAAAACACCCCCTATTTTTTTTCTTTTTTTTTTTTTGCAAACCATGAAAGCCTTTTAAAAGCTGCTTTGATTAGCTTCCACATCACTCCCCGCAACATAGAGTGAGATGCTGGTTTGTGGCCTAGGATGAGAGAAAGGGGAGCCGGGACTCTCACGGGACAGCTTGGCCACTTGAGTCTTCCAAACCCAATAGGCTTTACTTAAATCAGAGATGCACTGGAAGGAGACCAGGGGCCTTTTGAGCTCTTTACCCATCACTAATTCTGGCTCCAGCTGTACTCCGACTCGGGTGATGAAAGAGACTGAAAGCAGCAGGACTCAGCAAGCATTCTGGACTGGATCTATTCAGGCTGCGTTTACTCACTTTGCATTATGGGGTTTCCATGGCAACAGGCACATGTTTCAGCATGTTACATGTAAAGGGGATGTACCTGACAGTCTTCCTGGTCAGGAAAATCGGATCATGTGCCGCTTCTTCCCTGGTTGTCTAAATGGGCTCTACCATGAGTCAGTCTCCCTTCCTTCCATATGATACCCACAGAGAAAGATGCTGGAAGTCAGCGTCCAAGATCCTGAAACAACCATGGATCCCAGTGGAGACATCTGAGAATAGAGTCTGCTCCAAAGACAGCTGGCATGGTTGCAATACATCAGAAACTGAGGCTGAGTCTCCTTCCCTGCTCTTACTTGGCTCCTGGCCTTGGCTGGGCTTTGAGGGCCATGAAATGAAAATATTTTCTGGATATTGGCCATTGTGATTGTGTTCCAAGGACTGTGATCCATGAGGGAGCTGGTACCAAAGAAAACTCCATGCGTGAGCCTGGGATATTCCTCCCCTGCGATGTCTGTCTATTGCTCATATGACCAACCTGAGAGCTGAGTGTTTACAGTTTATAGGATCATGGAGTCATATTCAAAGTCAATCTGGTTTAGTATATTAGAGTATGAAAAAACATCCACTCTCTTTTTCTTCCATTTGCATTGACCATAGTCCATAAAATAGGACCCCGCATCATCTAAGAAGTTTTAGAAAGAAAGTATTGGTTCTAGCTGGGTGTGGTGGCTCACGCCTGTAATCCCAGCACTTTGGGAGGCTGAGATGGGCAGATTGCCTGAGCTCAGGAGTTCGAGACCAGACTGGGCAACATGGTGAAACCCTGTCTCTACTAAAATCCAAAAAAAATCAGCCAGGCATGGTGGTGCCTGCCTGTAATACCAGCTACTTGGGAGGCTGAGGCAGAAGAACCGCTTGAACCCAGGAGGTGGAGGTTGCAGTGAGCTGAGATTGTGCCATTGCATTCCAGCTTGGAAAACAAGAGTGAAACTCCTTCTCAGAAAAAAAAAAAAAAAAAAAAAAGAGAAAGCATTGGTTCTTTCTAGACTTCTCTTTTACTCATCCCCACAGGAGAAAGTTAGACTTCTCTGATAGTGACAAGAGTCTGATTTTCATCTGTGCTCATTTCTCTGAGGGTTGGAGAGAGTATGCTGAAGACTGTGTGACATGTGTCTCTCTTGACTTTGTATGTGTCTTTGTGCCTATCTTTCATACTAGACTGCACTTTTCATTTCTTTCTTTATGTAGTTCAGGAATATCATTTATGGATAGTTATAATAATTGAGAGTTTAAAAACCAGTAGCCCTGAAAACAGATCTGATCCAATGATGCATTTTTGTCTCACTCATAGAGTGATTGTAAGGTTTTGCTTTGAATATTAAACTTTATTGAGAAACTTTATAATAAAATCCTGAATTTTAAATTTATCTTGGAAGATCTGGCAACATGAGGTCTGCAGTAATTAGCAGGAAATGAGTGCAGGCTGCTACCCTGGGTGAGGGGCTCTCTGGTTTGCCAGACTGCCTTCTGTGCCCACATCATACATCTACCATCCTGGCCACTCCAGTGCACGCTGGAGTATGTGATTCCAAGAACAAGAGGATGTGTGGGTGACACTAAGCGAGATAATTCCTGATTCTCTGTTGAAAGAGGTTTGTATGTTAAGTTTGTGTGATGTATGACCTGTCCTTTTGGGTGGTTTTTGAAGGCTGTACAGGAAGCCAGGTTGCCCATAAGGCTGGCTAGGGTAATGCATAAGCTGCAAAACCAGCTTCCCCAAGTCAAGATGCTGAGGTCTCATTATAACACCAGATGTCTAGGCACTGCAGAGACGGCAGACAGGAGGGAGAGGGCAGCTTCACCTGGGAAGAACAGGGAGAATGGTACTGAGTTGGGCTCTTGAGTGTGAATGGGATTTCACCAGGCACAGACAGAGGAGAGGAAGCTTTCAGAGCAGAAGGATCAAGAGGTGAAAAAAAAGCAACTATGAAGCACATGAAACTCAAAAGACTATAAATGCTTTGGTATGCCTAAAATGTAGGATGTGTGATAGGGACCTGGGAGAGATGAGGCAGGTAACAAAAAGTCCTTTTCTGTCAATGGAAAACTACTGAAGGTTATTTTTTAATCACTTACTAATTACATCAGTGATGCACAATTACACTCTCTTTGAAAGGTCTAAAACATTATAGATAAACTTCTTCTTGACATCTACCTCCTAATCCTTATCACCTCTTTGTCTACCTAGAGTAGAGTTTCTCAGCCTCGGTACTGTTGGCATTTGGGGATGGGTAATTCTTTGCTGGAGGTCTCTCTCCTGTGCATTGCAGGATGTTTAGTAGCATCCCTGGCCTCCATCACTAAATGCCAGTAGTACCACCCACCCCCATGATCCACACACAGTTTCCATAGCCAAGAATGTTTGTAGATATTGGCAAATTTCCGGGGGGGCAAAATTTTCCCAAGTTGAGAACCACTGACCTAGCAGGAACTAGTGTTATCCATTTATTGATAACATGGGACCTATGTTTACATTTACCTGTAGATATATTTACTAAGGAAAGTGCTCTCTTTTCTTGTTCACATAGTTACTGTTATTCTATATGTATCTCTTAACTTGCTTATTCTCAAGCCCATGTATTTGGGATATCTAAAAATGCTAGTGCCTAGGAAGCTGTCGGGTTTTGTTTTATTTTTGAAATGTGGCATAGTATTCTGTGTAGGGATATATAACCATGTATTTATCTACATCCATGTTGTTGAACCTTTAGCTTGTTTGCTTCTTTCATTTTTCTTTTTTTTGTATTTCAAATAACTTTGCAATTAATGTCCTAATACATATTTCCTTATGTTGCATACAGAAGTTTGCATCAGGAATATGGGGTAGACTTGCTGTTATTCATCTTCAAAATGACTAAACCATTAACTAGATTCTTTGTGCTTCTCAGAGAAATGCTTCTTTCCTATTGAAAACAACCCTAAAGGGAAAGGAAAAAAGGGGGACAAAGAAGAGAAGGGCAGAGGAGAGAGTGGGAGCAAAGAAAACAAAAAGGGGTTTACCAGCCACTCCACTGATTCAAACTACAGTGTTGCTGAGCATTGGTTCAGAAAAAAAAGTTGAATAGCGCAACAGGGTATTTCAGATGTCAAAGGAGACATCCTGGCACAACAGGAGGGAGGGAGAAGGATGAAGCTTCCAAATTTGTTTCCCAAAGCTTCTCAAGACATTGCCCCCCACCCTCTGATTTGACGCAAAGCCAAAACCAGCTGCCTTCAACATTCTTTATCCCAAAGAAATGTGTCCCTTTAATTCCCTCTTAAGCCATTTATGTGAGACATAATTTATGTTCTGAAAAAAAAAATCATATACTTTCCACGGACCCCTACTTCCTGGGCTGATAGATCAGCACAGGGCTTAACTCTTTGATGGGAAATTAATAAATTACATCGCCCTTGTTCACCTCACTGCATTAGCAGGTGTTTGTATCTGTCAACCTTCCCCATGGTCTATCCATGGGGAGGAGACCCAGAGGTTTTGGGATTAATCAGCTCTGATCTGGAGGAAGATGAAACTGAAGCATCCTGTTATGGATGGGTCCTTGACAGGCATTCTGCCACCCAACCTGCAAGATCTGGCTTCCCCTGTGAAGTATTTTAACCTCCTTGCTCCCCTGATTCAATTCCCTGATGCTTCATCTCCTATATACTTGACTGTCCCTAAGGTCAAGACTGCAATGCCTTAAGGGCATGATGATGTCTAAAGCAGCCCCTTGCTCCTGACTGTGCTATGTTGCATTCAATTTATCTAAGTAAGTCACAAAGTCAGCCCAAACTCAAAAGATAGAGGAGCCACAAAGTCAAATAACAAAAGAGACTGGATACAGGGAGGAAATTATAGCAGTTATTTTTATAAACTATCTACACGAGGCAATTTATGAAGTTTATAAATTCATATACTCTGTGACCAACAATTTCAGTTTTCTTTTTCTGAGAAATAAGTACATATGTGTTAAGACATTCATTGCAATTTTATTTACAGTATCAAAACAACAACCACCTCACAAATAAACTAAAGTTTCAATAATATAGTTGTAGATAAACAGAATATATCCAAACTACAGAATACTATACCATATATATATATTTTTAAATGGCAGCTTCCTATATACTAGCATGTTTAGACATCCTATGTGAAGTAAGCAAATTACAAATTGGTACATATAACTAAGTATGTGAAAAAGGAAAAAAAGAACATTTTCTATTGCTAAATTTACCTACCAGTTAATACACAGAAATAGGTGCATGAGCATCTGTAGAAAATGGATAATACTAGTTATCACTAAATCTGTGATTCTCTACTGGGAGTGATTCTGCCATCAAGGAGCATTTGGCAATGTTCGAAGAAATTTTTGGTTTTGACACCCCGGGGGAGGGAATGGTGTGGCTGGCATCTAGTGGGTGGAGGCCAGGGATGTTGTTAAACATTTTACAATGTGCAGAGATGCTCCCCACAGCCAACCATTATCCAGTCCAAATTGCTAATCATGCTGATGTTGAGAATGACTGCCTTATATTCATAAGATGTGCTGAGCTCCAGACATCTGGAGTATCCATTGTACATTTCCAGTTGAATGCTCAATAAGTAAGACAAACTTAACCTGTATAAAACACTCCTTTAATGTCTACACCCCTGAACTTGCCCCTCCTCCACCCTGCCATCTTACCTGGCCACTCACCTGCCTCACTTCCCACATTGACTCCGTCAAAGGACCTGTTGGCTCTACCTTCAAACCATAACCTGACTGTTTCTTACTCCCTTCGGTTACTTTCCTATCACCTAAGTCAGGCCACCTTTGTATCTTCCCTAAGCCACAGAAAGGGGATAGGGAGGATGAGGAAGGCTGGCACCATGTGGCCAGGAAAACCACTGTTTAGAGAACGAACTGATCTCAGTAAAGTGTAGTCTCTGAGGGAGTGTTGGTGAGAATTGGAATATGGAAATCTGCCCTTTTTTGGTAATAGAAGAAAATGCTAAATTAGAAGGGGAAAAAAGCTTCACTCATGAAAACAGCCCACTGATTTTCAGGGAGGCTGTCCAAGCTGGGTTTGCATGTGGTAATCAGACATTGTGAGTGGGATTTAGTCAGAGGGCACAGTAGCCCTTTGTCAGGGTGGCTACATGGCCCACAGTTTGCCATGGCAACAGGAGACTGCCCAGTGTTCTTAGGGAGGAGAAGAGTGAAAATGGTGCTTCTGGGTGAGTAGAATGGGGAGCCTGTGAGGTTTGGGGCTGGCGGTTGCAATCTCAGCCATTTGTGGAATTGAAGTGAATAGCTGATCAAGTTCAATAAGCCCTGGAGTTTGAATCAGAGAGACCAGTTTCAACACATCCTAACTGTCTGACCTTATTAAACATTTGAGGGTCTCAGTTTATTTATCTGTAAAATGGGTTTAACAACCCTGGCTGTCAGGGCTCTTATTAAGACCAGTACTTTCTTCCCGCGGTGACACCATCCTGTGCAGTCTGTTAAGAAGGCTTCTTGAGCTCATATGCACTTGGCAGGACTTGGGATCAGGTACTGCCACAGTGGGATTTAGAGGGCAGCAGAATTTCATGTTCTCATTGTAAAAACAAGGTCGCTATTTACTGCCTTAGAGACTTCCTTAACATCGCCACAGCAAGTAACCTAAGGGACCAGTCCCAAAAGGGTGGCTAAATTAGAATTACCCACCTTTACATAAAAGACCAGGAAATCAATCCCTCCAATCTTACATTCCCATTTTAATCAATTGCTACAATAAATAGAGAACATCAGCCATTCATTATCACCTAGATTCATCGCTAGGTGGCTCTGTGTAGCTCCTAAATTGAACTATTTTCATTCGTTCCTCATCTCCCCAATTTTTTCACTCTGTCCTCTCAAATTCATCATCTCTCATCTATATCCTCAAATTCTTCCTTTGATGCTTCTCTTTATCTTTCTTTTCCAAAGGGAAAAATGGTAGACCAGAGGCTCTAAGGCATACTGCAGCCCTCACAAATGGTAGGTTTTCCTTCCACATCTCTAGTTCCCTAAGGTAGGCATTTTCTTTACTATTTCCCAACAATTCTCTCCTTTCTCAAAAATTAATAACTGCATTGAAAAGCATACCATCAGGCTATTCTTCCCACTTTTGTTTTGGTCATCAGCCATCTCCCAAGTTGCTTCTCCAGATGGATTGAACAGTCCAGCTCCTACATTACTGCCTTTCTTTTCAAGACTACTTCTGTCATTATAGTGACCTCTTAAACATCTACTCACGTAGTTTAACCTTGAACTTTGTCATTGCTGGTAATTGTGCGTTTTCAAGATTTTGATTTCAAGCTTTCTACCTCTGACCATCTCCTTTTGTTACACAGGAATTTTGTTTGCTTAGGAACATTGTAGGATAAAAACGCAATGTTGCTGAAGATCTCACTTTAAATATAAGACAAACATCTGAAATGTACCCTCATCATCTTCAGGCATTTCCTCTACATTTCCCCAAGTAATCCCTGCTCCAATTTTCTAGCATGACTTTGTCACATTTTATCCTCTGTTTTCAAACTCCCATACCCTTATCCCACCTCTCACCCTCATGGGTGGCCTCTACAGTGACAAATTCAATGATCAATTTTTTTTATTTTCACTTATTCAACCTCTAAGGACCACTTGGTCCTATTAATCATAGATTTCTTTTTGAAACACTTTCTTAATTTTGTTATAGGGACAGCACTCCTTCCTCATTCTCTCCTGGCATATTAGTCAGGATTCTCTAGAGGGACACAACTAACAGAATATATGTATATATGAAAGGGAATTTATTAGAAGAATTGACTCACATAATCACAAGTTAAAGTCCCATGATAGGGTGTCTGCAAGTTGAGGAGAAAGGAAGCCAGTGGTGGATCTGTCCCAAGACCTCAAAAGTAGGGAAGCCAAAGGTGCAGCCTTCATTCTGTGGCCAAAGGCCTGAGAGCCCTTGGCAAACCAGTGGTGTAAGTCCAAGAGTCCAAAAGCTGAAGAACTTGGAGTCTGATGTTCAAGGGCAGGAAGCATCTAGCATGAGAGAAAGATGAAGGCTGGAAGATCCAGCAAGTCTGCTCTTCCATCTTCTCCTGTCTGCTTTGTTCTAGCCACACTAGCAGTTAATTAGGTGGTGCCCACCCAGATTGAGGGTGGTTCTGCCTCTCCCAGTCCACTGACTCAAATGTTAATCTCCTTTGGCAACACCTCACAGACATACCCAGGAACAATACTTTGCATCCTTCAATCCAATGAAGTTGACACTCAGTATTAACCATCACACCTGGTATTCCAGTATTTCCTATTTCCTTCTAAATCTCCTTTCCTGGTCTTTTGTCTTCTGCTTGAGCACTGAGTCATAGAGTTTCCAAGGGTTTGATCCTCCTCTCCCATTGTTTTCCATTCCTTTTCCTCTTTGCTTTCTTCTCTTCTCTCTGGTTTCTTAGGTATTCCCAACCAGTCCCCTGACTTGAAATATTACCTATATGTTGCTGAGCCCCAGATTTATTCTCTAGCATGGGTGTCTTCTCTGAGCACCACACCTGTATCTATATCTCCTTTTCATCCCACTTGGATGTCTATAAGAGGTTGATCTACACACAACAGACCTCCAGATTTCTACCACCCCAAACTTACTTCTTCTCCAGTTTTCCCCTTAATAGGACATGTTCAACTGATAATCTGGTTGCTCACTTTCTTCACTTTGCATATCCACTCCATGGATAAGACCCATCAGCTCTCTCTTTGCACCATATCCAGAGCTATCTTCTTTCACTCTCCTATCACCCCAAGTCAAGCCATTTTTATATAATCCTTAAACCACAGACATTTTCTCCCAAATTGATATCTTCTTCTTACTTCCCTGTGGTCTTCTCACCAGTGTCCTAAGAGTAATCCTTTGAAAAGATAAATCAAGTCATAATACTGCTCTCTTAGCCCTTTAATAGAATTCCTTCAAAAGTGGGATAGAATCCCAAGCCATGGTCACATCTTGTAAGCCCCTAAACAGCATCTGACCTGGTCCCTCTTTCTGAGCTTACCTTCTGCCACTCTCTCCTTGCCTTCTCTGCTCTAGACATGCAGACTTTCTTGCTGTTACTCAAATATGCCAAACTCACCCCCATCCCTGAACTTTATCGTTCTTTCTGTTGGAACATTCATTTACAGACCTTCACATGGCTAATTCCCTTGCTTCATTAAAGTCTTTGCTCCTATATTAATCCTCAGAGATTATTTCCTTGACCAACTCATAAAACATAAGACTCCTCACCTCCCCAGCCTTCATCACTTTGTGAGCCCTGATTCGATTTCATTTTTCTTCATTACACCCTCAGTCTGTCACCCTTTCCTTATTAGAATACAGTCTCCATTAGAGCAGAGACCTTGGTTTTTGTTAAGAGTGATATACTCAGTGCCTAGATCAGTGCCTGACACATTAATTGTCCCCCCAACCCCAATAATTGCTGAAGAATGAATGAATGAGTGAGTGCTATTTTTAAGATCAAAGGAGAGAAGATAAACCATTAATTTAGTACCATATAAAGCACATAAACATATAATAGGCTGTCAATAAAATGAGAGTTGAATTCATAGCACAACAGCACCCTACAGCCTTTCTACCATGACACTTATGTTTTAAAAATTTTATTAACATGTTTTTGTTGAGATACAGTTCACACATTATCAAAGTCTTCTTTCTAAAACATACAATTAAGTGATTTTTAGTTGTTTCACAAAGCTGCTCAATCATCACTGCTATCTAAGTCTAGAATATTTATGTTACCCCAAAAGAAAATTTAGTGTCCATTAGCAGTCACTTGTGGCAGTCTGCCACAGTTACTACTTGAGGCCATCACTATGACAGTTACTGCTGTTACTACTTGAGATCATCATTACAAGACTGAACGAAGGAGGACAAACATAGAAATGAAAACTTAAAACAAAAGAAACTGTTTTAAAGAAGGGGTCCGGGGAAGAAGAAGAGGGCTCCTTGCTTCTAGTGAGCAAAGGCAGCAGCAGCCCTGAGCTTCTACAACCCTTCATATTTATTGAGGAGAAAGAGCAGGGAGGAGGAAGTAATGATTGGTCAGTTGCTTGATTGATCACAGGTTCCCATTATTGCTAACAGGCCTCAGATGTGCGTAATCACAAGAAACACTTGTGACTGGGTCGTGACAGCCCTCAGCATTCCTTCTGGGTGACAGATGCAGTTTGTCAGTTTGCCAGCATTCTGCATTTATGAGAACAGTTTGCTGTTTACTCATATAGCCTCCAGTGGTATACTGAGTTGATCATGACCCTCACTCTTTTGGTCTCCAACAGTCACTCCCATAGTACCTCTTCTCAGCCCTTGATAATCTAATAAGCCACTTTCTGTTTCTATGGAGTTTGCCTATTCTGGCTATTTTATATAAGTATAATAGAATCATAGAATATGTGCCTGTTTGTATCTGGCTTCTTTCACTTACCATGATGTTTTAAAGGTTCATTCACATTGTAGAATGTATCAGTACTTTGGACTTTTTTATAGCTGAATAGTATTCCATTATATGAAAACATATGTCCACACATAAACTTGTACACAAATGTTTATCACATAGCATTACCCATAATAGCCAAAAGGTGAAACAAACCAATGTTTATCAATTAATGAATGAATTTTTTATTTAGGGAGCTGGGAGCTCCCTAATGGCAGGAACTGTGTCTTATTCACAGTTTTGTACATAAGAGATGTTAGGTAAATGTTTATGTAATGAATAAATAAATGCATAGCTATGACTACTATAATAATATGCAATAATTAACTATTATATTGACAATAATGATAATAACAATATTCAGAATGATGGAAATTACTGCTTGATTGACCTTGTTAGGTTTCTGATTCTTTAGATTTCAGTCCATTTATCAATAAAATTGGGCTTATAGTGATGGTTAACATGAGATCAGGGATATAATCATTATTCCTATGCATAAGGTTAGTTCCCCATTGCAATCCACTTTGCCAGAACTGCCATATGTGTCATAACAACAGGCGATCGCTGGGCATTTAAGATATGTATTACTAACCAAGAGTAAAGTTTCCACCGCTTGAGAATTCTGTGTATCAAAGTTCCAGTTCTTTAGGATGAAAATTATACTTATTCTCTTGGATAGTATAAAGTTAGTTACAAAATGTTATGAATCTCTGAGGAAAAGTTGAGGTAATACATATTTTAGAATTTTAATGTTTGTTCTATGTTTTTCTAATTTCAATAAAATCACTAAATCACAAGATTCCTAAGTTGAGGCTATATCTTTATTGTTGTGACTTTAGTGACAAGCAGAGTGGTTAGCACTTAGTAGGTACCCTTTTAATGTTTTACAGATGACTAAAGAGACAGTATTTGATATAAAAAGGTGTGAACCCAATGCTCCACAGATTTTGTTCAAAGAAATACCAGCAGCAGTGAATTGAGGCAGAGCCATTGAAGGAAATTACATCTCTGGGACAAGAGCTTTTTCCCAGCTGGACTTCTTTTTGAAAAAGGGGTATGACCTCACACACACAGGCAGACCCTCTTCCACTGCACCATGGCGAGGCAGGCAGAGACTCATCCACCCAGGCTCTGGGTGACTAGCTTGCTGCAGGAGCAAGCCCTATCGTGGGACATCAATTATATAAGCCACAGCATTTCAGACTGAGGGACAAAAGTAGATTATTTGTGGTGGGGACAGAGACAGTCATTTTAAGCAATATCTTAAATGAAAAGCCAGTCTTCGTGGCTGAGCTTTGGGGAGACTAACCTCAGAGCCATATGGCTGTTGGGAATGGGGAGGCTAATTTCATCTGTAAAATGATAGGCCTGGATGAGATAATAATCACTTTTGTCTCTCCCAGCCCTGAATACTCTGTGGCTTCTCCAAGAAACTCTAATGAGGGGAATGTAGAATCCCAGAACACCCATGGCCTTAGGAGAGCCTTGAGAGATCTATGCACTGCCCTCAGGGTACTGCTGAGGGTTTTTTGACTTTTTCTGTAGCTGTGTACATCCAGTTTCTCTCTCTGTGTGAGTTCAGAGCCCCTCCTCTGCTCACTCATGCTCACCTATGCGCACCTCTGTGTACACACATGTTACCTACACAACAGAGCTGTGGTCCCTGAGGGAGGAAGATTTTCAGTTAAGCTCTAGTTTCCGAAGCTATCTCTGTCACTGCTGTCACTGGTGTGCTTCTAAAGCAGAACTCTAACTTCCATCTGTAAAATTTTCTATAGCATCCATTGCCGTTGGGTTGAAGTCGAAATCCTTGTCACTGCACCCAAGTCCCTTCAGGCAGAGGGCAGCCAACATCTTCAGGACCATCCCTAGCACCCATTTCCTCAGAATTTCTTCTCCAGCTGAAATGAATGATTCTTTCCTTCCTTCCTTCCTTCCTTCCTTCCTTCCTTCCTTCCTCCCTCCCTCCTTTCCTCCCTCCCTTCCTTCCTTTTTCCCTCCCTTTCCCTCCTCTTTTCTGCCCTTCCTCCCCACTCATGTCCCCTCCCCTCTCCTCCCCTCCCCTCCTCTCCCCTCCTCTCCCCTCCTCTCCCCTCCCCTTCCATCCCCTCCCTTCCCCTCCCCTTCCTTCTCTCCTTCTCTCCTCTCCTTTCCTTCCTTTCCTTACCTTCTTTCCTTTCTCTTCTTCCATCCCTCCTTTCTTTTCTTTTTTTCTTTGTTTCTTCCTTCCTACCTACCTTCCTTTCTTCCCTTTTTCTTCACATAGATTATGTCTTCTCTCATCTGGAGCCTTTGCAAATATTGCTTGTTTTATGCTTTCACAAGAACATGAGTGATTTTTAAATATGTAAATCTGACCACAACTCTCTCCTGCTAAACCCTGAATGGCTCCACATCATAGTTAGAATAAAATTCAAACATCTCACCCTCCCTATGTGGCCTTATGGAAGCTGGCCTTGCCTTCCTTCTTCACACAGTTTTATGTCCTCTTTGGCCTCCCTGTAACAGCCATAGTCACCTTCTTTTTGTGCCAAGAACCTGCTACACCTGCTCTGAAAGTCAGAATTTCATGCTAGCACTTCTCTTTGTCTGCAGGTTATTGGTTCCCATCACTGCCTGGCTGGTTTCTTTTCCTCTCTGGTTTCAACTGAAAAGGAACTTCCTTAGAGAGGACTTTTTTGTCCACAGAATCTCAAGTAGCTTATTTCCCCTGAAGTCTGCTTTATTTCCTTCATGGCACAAATAACTTGTTGATATTTTGTTAATAATTTATTTTTGGTCAGCTGGCTGAAGAGTTGACACTATAAGATCAAAAATCTTGTCTATCTCATTCAAGACTCTATCCCCAGTGTCTCAAACAGTTGTTCCTAGAACATACTAGGTACTTAGGACTTGTTTGTTGAATGAATTAATGAATTAATTAATGAACAAATGCTTGAACATCTATTACTCAGCTTTTCCTTTCTTTCACATGAATAACTTCTATGTATCTTTTAGCTGCTTATTTAAACATCACTTCCTCCTGGAAGCCTTTCCGGACCCTGGAGGATGAGCTAGATGATCCTCACCTGTGTTCCCTTAGCAGCCAAATAGATGACGGGATTGGGGAGATTAATTGCACCTGTAAAATGATAGGCCTGGATGAGATAACAATCACTCTTATCTCTCCCAGCCCTGAACACTCTGCGGCTTCTCTGAGAAACCCTATCGAAGGGGATGTGGAATCCCAGAGCTACTCTTGCTATCAACTCGCCGCATGACCTTGGGAAAATCATTTCACCTGGTTCAGCAATGATTTACTGAGCTATTGAAGGCCTTACTTTCCAGATCCAGGTAAGATTGATGATGCTGAAGTCTTATTTCCTCTCAACTTCTCGTTTTCCCCTTGACGATATTCTTTTCAGGAGCAAAAACTGTAACCTGTACATTGTTACATTCCTGGTGCTTAGCTCAGTTGTGAGCAGTTGAGTGATTTTAGAAACTCAGAATAAATTATTTATTCTCTTGCTAAAAATATGACGTGCTTTCTAGGTAGTCACTGTACTGGCCTCTATGTTAAATTCTCTCAAGGAGGAGAATGGAGAACCATTAATCAAATGCCTACTAAGTGTTAGTGTTTTACACAAATATTCTTCTTGTATTCTCACAAAAGGCCTTAATAGGAGTAAACGCTGACTCCATTTTATAAACGTAGGAATTGAGGCTCAGAGGATAATTATCTGGTCGAGCTAGAAAATAGGAGTAGTGTCCTAACTCTACAATTTCTGCTCTTTCCACTAAACCACGGCTGTACTCCCAATGGTAGGGAATGAACAACAGGGCTCTCCTAATAATTTTATTAGCCATTCTCAAATTAATAGCTCCTCTGCTGGCCCCTCAGAAAGGGGGCTTCATTTAGAAGTCTAGCCTCACAAGTAAGAACAACTCTGGTTCCAGGTACCTATTGGGAAGTGGCTGATTGAAGCCAGTGTCACTCCTTGTCAGGCCCCAATTGGCTTGCCCCTTCCAGTAGGTCACTCAACGTCTGACCCCAGCAGTGTTTTCTAGCAACTCTATTCTGCCCATAGATAAGGGAAATAAATGGAGAGGCATTCATAGCTGGCTGGTGATGATTTGTTTGTTGAAAGAAAGGGTATTGGATGCAATTCTGAGTGTACTGGTGCCAGGTTCTTTCCTCCTTGGCATTTAGGTAACTGCCAGGGCTTGTGTCTGATCTTCATATTCTCCAGTCTAGGCAGGAACCAGCTTGGTCAGGTTGTTCCCTCTGCTGCTTGACACCCTGCTTGACCTCTGCTGACTCATCTACCACCCTCTCTTAGCATCCTCATAAGTTACTAATGGAGTTCAGGGGGAAGAACAGCTGCCAGAAATATGTGGGCAAATGAAAGTCCTACATTTTAAAGACAAGTTAAAGCTGAACTGTTCCGGATAAACCAGCAGCTTTGTCTTCCTGTCGGTCCTCTCTAAATACTCAGTGTAAAAACTGCTGCCTTAGTGAGAACTCTTCCTCACTCTGGAAGGAGCTTTCTCTCCTTCCACAGAGTCTCGCCCTTGGATAGTTACACGTAGTCGTCCTTTCTTTTTCATTGTTGATGGGGACAGATGTCAGAGAACCGGGGTACAAGTCAAGACACCCGACTGGAGGACCTACTCTAGTTACCAACTCGTGGCATAACCTTGGGAAAGTCATTTCATCTCTTTCAACATTGATTTACTGAGCCATTGAGTGGTTCAAATATGTAGTGGTACGCATTGTAATCTTAAGACGTTTCTGACTCTCTCTCTCTTTTTCTTTTTTCCTTGGGAAGGTTCTTGCTCTGTCACCCAGGCTGGAGTGCAGTGGCATGACCATGGCTCACTGCAACCTTCACCTTTCCTGCTCTTGAACTCCTGGGCTCAAGCAATCCTTCCACCTTGAGCTCCCAAAGTGCTGAGATTACAGGTGTGAGCCACTGCGCCCAGCTGACTTTTTAATTTTGCTATTTTAAAGCTATATGAAAAGACAGAGAAAAGTGCCCACAGTATATTAAGTAGGAAAAGCAAGTTGCAGTATAGTCATTAGAATATCATACATTTGTTCAAATGCATGTTTTCATATCATGTATTGTTTTCATAATTTAAAATAACTACCAATACATCATAAGCAATCTTTAGTAAGTTTATCATTTGATTGCTCAATTTATTCCAAAGCCTGTATGACTGTCTATTTAATATTAGATGTTTGAGACACAGAAAACACAAAAAAACTCATTGTCCTAGAGGAGCCTAAAGTTTATAGAATTTATGAGGACTTATGTTTCATTTCTAAAAGATTTTGGGAAGTTTTTCTGTTGAGGTTGGGCTGCCTCTGTGTCTGATAACTAGGAAGAACACCAACAGCTCCTTTTCTACAAGAGGTGTATTGTTCCCATTCTCTTCAGTGCCACATCCTTGCTTTAGTGCTTCCACTGACCTTGTGCTTCCTGAACTCCTACGTAACCTTAGTTTGTGTCAGTAATGTAGTACTTAACAATACAGCATCTTCTCTCCTTAGCCCACCTCCTCACCATCAGCTCACCTCCTCACCATCCTTTCTTTCCCTAGCCCACCCCAATCAGTTTCTGTCTGCTCTGTTCCACTGAAAATTTTCTTGTTAAGGTTACAATGTTGAAGATGTTTTGCTAAAAAAAACCAAAAGGCCAAAATCCATGCTTGCAACAATTCCAAGAAATTGGTGAATTGCTGAGGATGCTGCCTTTCATTCTCTGGTCCCTGCTTACACCTGCAGTCTCACCTCCACTTTGCAGCTTTATTGTGTCTTTCTCACCACCAAACCTTCATTCATGCTGCTCTCTCCCTGCCTGGAATGCCCAGCTTCTTCATCTCCAATTAGAAAATTCTCGCTCACTTTTGCAGTAAATGCCTTTCTGTTTTATTTCTCCCAAGCCTTTTTTTTTTTTTTCCAGTTTAGGTATCATCTATTTCTTCTTTCCAGAGGACCCTAATTTCTCTTTGGGGAATTTTATCTCCCCTATTGTTGGCAGGGATACCCTGCTGATCTTTAATCTAACTCATTTGGTACAGTCGTAGAATGGGCATTGACCCATGCTAGGCCAACTGGGCTTTTTCCCAGGAGAATGCATAAAATGTATGGATTCATTCATTTCAGCAGGCCATCTGGGTCCAGATATCAGGCCATTTTTGCCTCCAACACCGTCTAGTGTTACCTCTTTTCTATTTCAAGTCTCTTTTTTCGACATTGTCTCGTGGCCCTCAGAGCTGACCCTCCGAGCTTGTTCATAAGCTCCCAACACATGGCTTTTTTTCAAGTTATCCAAAGTTGGTTTCTGCTCCTTGCAATTGAACAACAATAACAACAACAAGAACAAGAAAAGACTGATACATTCTTCTAGACTCAGATAAGGGAATACCTTCTCTGCAACTTTTTCAGGCTTCCTCTTTTGTCCCTTCATTGGCCTCTAGTTGCTCTAATAGATTCCTCCACTGTGGCATTATAACTGACCTCTTCTCTCCTAATTATAGTCTCCTTTTGGGGGTTAGAGATCATGTCTCATTCCAAGTTTTGTTCCTAGAGCCTAAGACATCTTTATCTTGCTGGGGCCCGGATCACATTCATTCAGGAGTGAATGAAGAACCTGAAATTTTGTACCTATGGGGTTAGTATATTCTTTCTTGTTGACAGAGATAGCAACCTAATAGGATAGTTTTCTCTTTTTAGGAGCTAAAATTTTATTTCTGTGTAATTATCCTTGTAAGAGATTTGACAAGACCTCACTAAAGGTATGAATGTCCTGTTCCAGCAGGTTCTAGTCAGGAACATGGAAAGCAAATCAGAAATTTCAAATAGAGGGGATTTAGTATAGGGAATAGACCGCATGTATTTTAGAAAGTTGATGTAGCAAACGGGATGTTGAGGTAATCCAGACATCAGTAACTGCAGGAAGTGGCTGCTTCTGTCAGACAGGGAGAAAAAGGAGAGAAAGGTGGTGTTATGAGAACTTACACAAGTGCAAAGGAGAAACCCTGCATGGCTGAGCCTCATACTTCTGGAAGGTTCCTGTGTCTTGTGACTGGTGCTTCAGCCTCTGAGTGGGGGCACCCTGTGGCCAGGCTTAGACATCTTAAAGAGTGCTCAAAGACTGGAACTCAGGCCTCAGGGAGGGCAAATGCTTGCCAGTGCTAAGAATTCGGAGATGGGAACTGAAAACTTGAGTTCAGACTTGGTGAGCCGCTCGTGTTGGTCTCTAATGAGGAATCCTGTGGCAGGTGCTGGGAGTGCGTAAGGAAGCTAAAGAACGGAACCATAGCTTTCTTTTCCTCTGGAAGCATCTAACAGGGTCTGAAATAGGAAGAGAGTCCTCTTCATCCTGCCAGCTTCTAGTCTCCTGTCAATGTCCCCTGTTGCAGGGCTCGAATGGGAAGTGGGCTGGCAAGGAGTCTGGGAAGTGTAGTTTTCAGAATCTCAGCTTCGGTGTCACTGAGCGTGGATGGGGGTGGGAAACTTTGAGGCTGAGAGACACTGGGTAAATAACAGACATATGCTCTTCCAGGAAAAAAAAAAAAAAAAGTAGACTTGGCCTCCAAGGCCATGTGATGAAATACAGTCTCCTTGTTTTGTAACCTGTTTCCAACATGATTCCCAATAACTCTCGAGTAAGAAATTACAGCTTGGGATAGGACTTCTGTGGAAAAACCCTGGTGCCAGTGTAAAAAGTGCCTCCAAAGTCAAAGCATTCCTGTTAGTCCCGACACATAGAGCCCATGATTTATTGTAATTTTTACTTAATTCTGCCTCCTTCTGTAGGCCCTGGTTCCAAGAACGTCTTTTGGGCCCGATGCCTCCATGGCTCAGATACTTGGGAACAGCAATTTGCCATAATGTCTGCTGCTCCTCAGGCCTCCCTGCCAACCCCCTGGCTGTGTGCAGCCAGCCACACCCTATTCCTCCAGATTGCATTGCTCCATGTGTTTTTTCTTCCTTGGAAACAGAATGCCATGTCTTAACCTATCCCATCAGCAGACTCTATTTCTTTTTTTCTTCATTTTTCACTACTTTTTGCTCATCCCTTAATTCTGATGCTTGGCCTATGTCCCTGGATTTTTTTTTTTTTTAATAACGATAATGCTCTTTTCCTAGAATCTTACTATATAAAGAGCATCTTGTAATAACAGTGACAGTGAAATTTTTTGGCTCCACGAAGCTTTAGATTACTCAAGAGCTTTTAAAAATCTACAACTTCACTGATTCAATATTGGGGGGAAACAGGTCATTTGGATTCAATTAATGATATTTAAATCCTGAATCTAATTTAATTAGACCACCTTTATCTACTTAATTCCTCTGAGCCTTAGTTTCCTCTACTTTAATAGAGGGCTAAGACCTACCTCTGAAGATTGCTAGGAGGATTAACATAAGCTCTGTGCTACATCTGGCACATAGTAGGACAGAATAATCTTAGTTCTCTTTCTTCAAGTGAGAGTGGGTGTGGTGCTCTTATGCATATGGAGAAAGGAGGCCATATAAATCTGTCCTGAGCTGTATAATGGATTTCACAATAAGAACAATGAGAAATATCTGAGCAATGCTATTTGGAGGATAATTTTTTTTTCTCTGTTCCTATAGAAAAATGGGAGTGATATTATCATCAGATGAATTTCAATTATGGACTGACTTCCCCAATGTAACTTTACCCCTGTACTTATCTATTATTTTTGTATGTGTGAGAGAGAAAATTCGGAACAAAAGCACCAGACTGGGACAATATGGCGCTGTTCCTAGGGAGAGAATGGTGGATTGTAAGACTTGAAAGTTAGTCTTGTGTCAGACTATGCAGATTCCTGAATGCCTGGCTAAGTAGTTTCCATTTTATTTCTTAGGCAATAGAAAGTTGAAACCAAAAAGGGTAAAATAAATAAATGAATAAATAAATAAAGAACCTTGTAAAATGAATTTGACATTTTATATAATAGCTCTTACTTGAGGAATGACAGGTAACAAGATTCAGAAAAATGTAAGATCCAAGGAGATTCATCTTTGGTGAGACCTTTTTTTTCTTTAAAGGACTTTAGGAAAGACATACTTAAAGTAAGTGCTAGTAGATGAGGTGTTCCTTTCATTTTATTTTCCATTTTTTCATTCACATAAATCATGACTTGTCATTGTTTGCTTCAAACACAGGAGAGATTTTACCTGTGGGTTTATTCTGTTAGAATTTGTCTATTTGTTGTAGAGCAGGATCATTGCTGCATTTGCTAACATTCTGGGTGAGGAGAAAGATGCATAAAGAGATCAGGGTAACCAACATGGTAAGCCTAATGACAACCACAGGCAGATATGAGTCCCTCAAGGGGGGAATTTAGGGCTTCAGGAAAAGCTTTCTGAAAACACGCACACAACAACAGAAAAAGATGAGCGAGCCAAGTCTTAGGGAATGAGGAGTCATCATCCATGTGGAGGAAGAACAGAGGGCACCACAATCCACATGGAGGAACAATCTGAGCAAGTGCACAGAGATAAGACACACCACACTACCTGAGGACACTACAAGCAATTTGTGATTCTGGAGGGTAGCAAAGCAGAGAGAGTGAGGAGAGAGGAGCTGAGGAGTAAGGCAGGACCAGGAGGAAGAAGTTCTTGTGTGCTCAGCCAAGAAGGTTACACTTTATCCTGCCAGTGATGTGGAGATGTTAAAGGTCTCTGAGCAGGTGAGTGACACTGTAGAATTTGTTTTATTCTGTTCTGGTGGCTGCATAAAAGAAGGAAAAAGATGATAGGAGAGAGACCAGATTGGAGGCATTGACAATAACCTATGTAGGCATGGGAGGCAAGGACTACTGGGGGCCACCATGGAGTATGAAACTAGGGTCTGTGGGAGTTGATGACTGAGTGAAACAGGGAGGTAAGACATACTGAATGACGATGAGTCTGGCCATGATGACTGGTGAACGAGGTTACCAACACCAAAACAAGGAACACAAAAGGAGGTTCCATTTGGGGAGAAAGACAATATGTTAGGCTTAGGAAAGGATGGGTTTGAGGTGCCTTGAGAATGTAGAAAACTATACTCCTAAATCAACAGGCAGTAATTGGTAGACCTTGGGTAACTCATTTTATCCTCTGAGCCTCAATGGACTCATCCTTTTAGAAGGACACAATAATATCTAGTTTCCAGGGAAAGATCAATTTGCCCAGTGAACTCAAAGGGTTGCTTTTATCAAACTCTTTTCATTAGCACCATCTTTACATTAATTTATAAGGAAGAAACAAACAAACTTCTCTTTCTAAAATTGACCACTTCTCCCTTCTGAGCCAAGGATGCTCTGTTAGTCATCTTAAGCTTCAGAAGTTTTTCTACCCTTTAGGACTGGCCTTTGAGCTTTATATGTGTCCATGTGTAATATTCTTTCTGTTTAGTCTTCATATCAAGGTGACAGGTTACAGCATGAAGGTCCTGGGGTGGATATATCCTTTTTGAGAATACATATCAACAAATTCAAAAGTCTGGAGAAGTAAAGGTGATTCAGAAAGTATTTTGAAATTTGTGAAAGTTTTCCAAATAATCTTCATATTTATTTATCCCATATCATATTTCCAAAAGTTGTAAAATGAATTTTACTGTTAAATATTTTGTCCTTCTTTTCCAAAATAATGATAAATAGCTTTCTCATCTCTGTAAAAGCCATCTATTTTGGACTCAAAGCTTCCTTGGACTCAAAGTTTCCTTTTTATTTATTTTTTCAGTGGCAGGACATGAAGGGGACAGAGCGAAAACCCTCAGCCCACATTTACTACTAGTAAGCCATGAAATAAACAAGTCCTGACCATCCTTACCACATGTTTTCTTGGAACAAAAGGGATGTGGGTATGACAGATCCAACTTTTGCTATGAACTGTGAACTAGCATATTTTTAACTTGGCTTCTGAGGTTGGTGAAGGAAACTTTCTTGTCCTTTGCTAATAAAATGCAGATGGTTCTTCTTCCAAAGTTCCTAAATCCCCAAAGTCTGAATCTCATCTTCTTCAAGGATAAGAATAGATTTGTAATTCAGTAAGCCTCAATGGGCATCATCACCATTCTTCCTTCCAGATAGCTTTTTAAAGTGCTTGACATATAATAAGTATTCACTAAATATGTATTGAATGAGTATATAAGAAGACATTGCCAGGCGCGGTGGGTCACGCCTGTAATCTCAGCACTTTGGGAGGCCGAGGTGGATGGATCATGAGGTCAGGAGCTCAAGACCACCCTGGCCAACACAGTGAAACCCCATTTCTACTAAAAATACAAAAAATTAGCTGGGCGTGGTGGCAGGCGACTGTAATCCCAACTACTCAGGAGGCTGTGGCAGGAGAATCACTTGAACCTGAAGCAGGGCGGAGGTTGCAGTGAGCGGAGATCACGCTACAGCACTCCAGCCTGGGCGACAGTGTGAGACTCGGTCTCAACAAGAAACAAAACAAACAAACAAAAAAAGCCACATTATCAGTAAGCTTAGAGTCTGAGCTCTTAGTGTAAATCCTGGCATTGCAGGCCATTATCAAGAATGGGAGAAATTACCGGGCACCATATTAGAAGAAAGACCTTGAAGTCAGTTAGGTCAGGATTAGGATCCTGGTTCCACCTGTCCTAGGCACATGTAGGGAGGAGTTGGGTCAAAAAACATAGCTGCTCTGAGACTCCATATGGTGTAGTGGTTAAACATCAGGGCTTTTAATTTGAATACTGGTTCTGTCATAAATTATCTAGAGGACCTTGGGCCATTTACTCAAACGTCTTTGTTTTTTGACCTTTAAGTGGAGAGAATAATTGTACCTATTGTTATAAGTTTGCTGTGAGGATTTATGAGTTAATATACACAAAGCACTTCAGTAGAGCATGGGACACAGTAAGGACTTTGTATGAGTTAACTATTATTCTGTTATTTTTATTCTACTACCTCGTGCTACTACAGAGTGCTACTCTGTGAGAATGTACACTTCTTTTCCTATGGACAGGTTCCATAGTTTTCAACATCATGATAGTGGTATTGAGGCAGTCATTTAACCTCAGCCACTTCGGGTTTTAGTTTTCAGACATGCCAATGAGACAATGCTTCCTATCCCTGCTGGATAGATAAAGCATAGGCTTTTTGTGAGGCGCAAATAAGATTGCAAATGTGAAAACACTTAGCTGACTCTCAAATGCTCTATAAATGTGAGTTTATTAGTTGGAACTCTTTCTACTACAAGTGACAAAAATTCAACTCAAATCAGCTTATGCCAAAAAAATAATTTATTGGTTCTTGCAGCTGGATTCTAGGGTAGCTCAAAGACTTGAAGGAAGAACTTTAAGAACTAGGACATTGGGAACCCAAATTGATGGCCATTGTAACTGGAATACACAGTTTATACCTATCTGTTATCTCTGATGGCTGCATTCTCCTCTACACAGCCCTCTTTGCACGTAATGAGGAAGATAGCACCAGAAACCTCGCTTCATATTACTTTAAGATTCCAAGCCAGCAATATATATATATAGCAATATATATATATAGCAATATATATATATATATAGCAATATATATATATATATGATTAATTTAATCTCCCTTCTAACCTTGGATTGATTGTTGGGTACATATTAAATGGAAAGGATTGTGGCCCAACTTTTTTAGCCCTTGGTCACAACTCTTTCCATTTAATATGCAAAGAGGAATATATTACCAGAAGAAGAAATAAAGAGGAAAAAAGGTACTGGGAAGATTTTTTTTAAAAATTACTCTCATAGATTATCACTACTAACATTGGTTTCTTTAACTTCTGTAGAGATGACTACAATGAACCTCTCTGTGTAAGTGAAAGACTAGATTAAATATACTCCAAGCCCTTGAGTGTTTTCAAATTTCTGGCCGAGACAGGTTATCAAAATATTGATCCCATTAGAAGTTGTCTTTGTAAAAGAGGAATCCTACCCACAGAGTGGTCTTAACCTTTGAACTATTGACCTTTTGGGCTGGAAAGTTCTTTGTTGTGGAGGACTGTCCTGCACATCCTAGGATATTTACAGCATTCCTGGCCTGAAGATGCCAGTAGTAACTTCTCCCTCTCTATGATAACCCAAAATGTTTTTAAACATTGACAATATCCCCTAAGGGACACGCCTTCCCACCCCTGCCTTTGAGAATAATTGTACTAGTGGAACACAGCTAAGCAGTAATTCATACTTCTCTATTCTCCACTCTTATTCCAAAATGATGGGTGTAATGCTGGCCAGCTAGACTGGTTTTATAACTTTTTAACCTTCCTTTGTTCCCTCTCTACACATTTCATTACACTGAACTACCCCACCAATGGACATTTGAAAGGTCATATTGTTGAAAAAGACTGCAGGGCACGTGACTCAGGATATTTTGGGTACTAGTCCTTCTTCTGCCACTGACTTGGGGTGTGTAGCTGGGCATCTCTTTCCTCTCTGGGCCTTGGATTTCCATATTGGCAAAAACTGAAAGATGTCCTGTAATTTTTCGTGTTACTCTAGCATTTATGATACAATTGGATGAGATATGAACTATGAAATGGGAAATCACCCTACATATTTCATTAGTTGAATAGTTTGTGATTAAGAGTCTAAGTTTCTCACAAGCATCTCTTTTGTTTCTTGGAAGTTAAGATCGCACCTGGTTGCTTGGGATGTACAGGGAGTCTGGGCAAAAGCAAGGATAGGTGTATTAGTCTCTTATCATGCTGCTAATAAAGACATACTTAAGACTGGGTAATTTATAAAGGAAAGGAGGTTTAATTGACTCACAGTTCAGCATGGCTGGGAGGCCTCAGGAAACTTACAATCATGGCTGAAGGGGAAGCAAACACATCCTTCTTCACATGGTGGCAGGAAGAGAAGTGAGTGAGTAAAAGGGAGAAAAGCCCCTTATAACCCCATCAGACCTTGTGAGAACTCATTATCATGAGAATGTCATGGAGGGTAACCACCTCCATGATAAAATTACCTTCTATTGGTTCCTTCCATGACATGTGGAGATTATGGAAACTACAATTCAAGATGAGATTTGGGTGGGGACACAGCCAAACAATATCAATGTGCTTATAGCAGGGTCTTTGCTGCTACTTGATGTTTTGTCTCTGAAGATTCCATCTGTGGCTAGAAAAAACAGTATGAAGTGGAAAACCATTCACTGATACTGAAGCATAATGTATGAGGGGCTGGAATAGTAAGAAATACAGTAGAGGACTGTGCAGGGCCTTGGATGCCAGGGTAATGGACACAACACTGATACCCAAAGAGGGGGGTAAGGTAGAATGCATAATGGAACAAATATCCATGTAACTGGGTGAATTATTTCTCATCTTTATGTTTAAAGTTCAGAAAGATGGTAGAGTAGAATTAGCCAGATGCATTTTGGAGTAGATAATAGTTTGCTGCCTCTTTATTTTTCCCATCAAAATTAAATGGCTTCCAATATTCACATAATTGAGAAAACTGAGGCTCAAAAAGGAGGAGTTTACAACTCCACAGTGATCACATTGTGAGTTAGTGGCAGAGTGGAGACAGCCAGCCAGGCCTCAGAACACCCTCCTCTTGCCTTATATAATTAATTCAATAAAAGGAGACACATTGATGCTGGTTTTTCCATCTTGCTTTCCTATACCTCCCCATTCTTGGGAGGGTTTTTCACTAAGATTTCAGTATTATTGTTGCCATTTACTCCTAGCTAGAGGCATCAGAACTAATAAGGTCTAGAACAGAGTTCATGGAGCAAATGTCTCCTCTCTACTTGGCTGAAAAAAAAAACAAAAGGAAAGGAATGAAGATGTCAGTTGTGTTTTCAGAATGAGCTTTCCAGCAGATGGAGATGGGAACCTATATATATTTTTCTAACACTATCTTCTAGTTTCTAGTTCCTGTATTAGTTTCCAGTGCCCACCATAACAAATTACTACAAATTTCATGGCTTAAAACAAGAGAAATTTATTATCTCAGGTCCTGGAGGCCAGAAGTGTGAAATTACTGTTCCTTGTCTCTCCCAGCTTCCAGTGGTTCCCAGGTGTTCCTTGGCTTTGGCCAGATCATTCCAATCTATACCTCTATGGTCATCCTTCCTCCTTTTTTTCTCTGTGTGTCTTTTATAAAGACACTTGTCACTGTATTAAGCGTCCAGTCAGATAATCTAGAATGATCTCTTAATCTTGACAGCTTCAATTTAATTACATCTGCAAAGAACCTTCCCCAAATAAGGTAACAATCACAGATTTTGAGTATTAGGACATAGATATATGCTTCTGGACACCACCATTTAATCCACTACACACAGGAACTGTATGTACAGTGTCTCATCAGCTCCTCACAAGTCTGTGAGTTGTGGATATATATAAGCATTGGCTTTTGTTGTTAAATTCATTTTAGGATGAAAACATGCAGAAAAGAAGGGTTTTTTTTTTTTTTTTTTTTTTTGAGACAGAGTTTTCCTCTGTCACCCAGGCTGGAGTGTAATGGCTTGATCTCAGCTCACTGCAACCTCCACCTCCCTGGATCAAGTGATTCTCCTGACTCAGCTTCCCAAGTAGCTGAAATTACAGGTGCCCACCACCCCACCCAGCTAATTTTTGTATTTTAGTAGAGATGACATTTCACAATGTTGACCAGGCTGGTCTCCAACTCTCGGCCTCCTAGGAGGCCCTATCTTTAGAGGACATATATACAGATACACTATGTTGAATAGGGGATTCCCATTAGGGTATTGAGTTTGACCCAATTATTATTCTCTTAACGGTTTAAAGGAACCTTGACTCAACTCTGACCCCGTCTCTATTTAGCTGTGAATAATTTTTAATGAGTCTGTTTGCCTCTTGCTCCTCAGATTTTCCAAGTGTGAAACGAGCAATCTGAACTATGAGCTCTCACTTAGTTTATGAGTCAAACCTTCCATCAAAATCAGTCCTGAAGACCAAGGTTTTGAAGGAATAATGCCATCTTTACAAGTGTAACTTTTGCTGAAAATATTCAAACTCTTCCCACTACGACTCAACTAGTGATACAAAATCCAATTGCTAGGAAGCTTTAGGATTCACCCTGGTGAGGACCATCTTCCCTGAAATACTCTTTTCTTCTAGGCTATACCTCTTATTTCACCTTCAAAACCCATCTTAAGTATTCCTCCTTCCCTGATCTTCCTAGGCAAAATTCACTAATCTTACCATCCCCTTTCCCCTCCCCTCAATACTTTATGTTGTGCATGCTTGAATAGTGACACTTATCTTTATATATAATTATTCCTTTTTCTTATCTCACTCTTCTAAAGTGTGAGTAAATGCATGAGGTACTCTTAATATTCTTTGAGAAGATGTCAAGATGAGGAACCTACACTCTCACTTTTCTTCTTGATAGTTGATTGGAAGAGTGCCAGAGCTGTTAGAGGAAGAAAGTCTGAGTTAGTGAAATACAGAAGACATTTTTTAAAAGAAGTCTAGTGCTGTTTTTCCTTTGTGAAAGAAATTGCTTCTTTGTTTTTTTCCTCTTGTCTTTGCTTTCCCTCATCCTTTTCTTTCTGTTTTTTACCGTTTATTTTCATCCTCTATCAAACATGCATGCTGAGCTCTAACTAATTTGCAGTTACTCCTACGCCTAAAGATAAAGAGATAAATAAGCCACTGTCCTGCCATCGAATAGCTCATAGTCTCATGGCCAAGATAGTTGAGGAAATAATTACAGCACATCATACTATATCATATCATTTCATATATGACATATATACTAGTTAACATGGTACAATCATTGTATTACATATTTTTACATATAATTTTAATCTATAATATGTACCATATTATACACTACAAGGAGGATGTGCCAATGCTTTAGCAGTCCTCCTCCTGGCTTTAGGAGAAGCCATATAGAAAATGTGTTAGAAAATGAATGTCTTCATCAGACAAAAAAAGGAAATTTAGAATGGAGCACACTCAAAATCTCAGAGACTGTGAACTTGAAAAGCAAACCCAGGCAGATATATGATAATCAAATAAAATTTTCTATGTCCACTTTTTTCATGGAAGAGCTATTTTTAAGGCTTACTTGGGGGTTCCAGTTCCCACGGTAGATGTTGTACCTCCACTAGCTCTGCAAGACAGTGGGCTGTGCCAACATCATCATCTGCCTACCATTCAGATCTCCATCCAAAGCAGACAGCAGGATACTAGCAAGCTGAGACTGAGCATATCACCCTTCTCCCTGAACACTCAGCCTAGTTTGCATTAGTCCCCTTCTCTGCTACTTCAGACTCCACAGAAACCATGTGTCTTTCCATTGCAAAGTTAATTTGCAAAACACTCAATAAACTTCTAATTTTATTTTATTTTCCTGGGATCTGATGTTGCAAATAAAAGAAAATTATAAAATGGGGGCAATTACTGATTGGGCTGTTATTGATTACTGTGTTATTTTAATACCACCAATAGCCATTAATTATCAGGTCATAAAGGTACAAAGCATAAGCTGATTTATCATAATATCCCTGTATCTTTGACTGTGCTTGGCATAAATTAGGTAACCAGTAAATGAGAATTAAATTCAGTTGAGCAAGTTTGAAGGATTAAATGAAGCAGGCATTATTCATTTTCTTTATATATCAGAAATGGATCAGAATTTAACCAAGAAGGGAGCTGACATTCCCCTTGTGGTGTGCTAGTTAGTCCAGGAGCTATTTCTTATGGTACGAAACACACATACTCTCCTGTTGGGGTGTTTCTGTGGCTGACTTGATGGAGGTCTGCGTGCATGACCTTTCTCTTTTCAGCCCTCCTCTCCTGCATTGCATCTTACTTCATGCTACTGACTATAAAATCTTTCTGAAATGCAGATTAGATCACCTGTCCAAGATTCTGTTTATTTTCATACCATTTGTGATGGTTAATACTGAGTGTCAACTTGATTGGATTGAAGGATGTAAAGTATTGTTGCTGGGGGGGTGTCTGTGAGGGTGTTGACAAAGGAGATTAACATTTGAGTCAGTAGGGTGGGAAAGGCAGACCCATCCTTAATCTGGGTGGGTACCATCTAATTAGCTGCCAGCATGGCTAGAATATAAAGCAGGCAGAAAAATGTGAAAAGACTGGCCTGGCCTAGCCTCCCAGCCTACATCTTTCTCCCATGCTGTATGCTTCCTGTTCTCAAACACTGGACTTCACGTTCTTCAGCTTTGGGGCTTGGACTGGCTTCCTTGCTCCTCAGCTTGCAGACAGACGGCCTATTGTGGGACCTTGTAATCGTGTGAGTTAATGCTACTTAATAAACTCCCATATATATAGGATATATATATATATATAAAATAGAATATATATATATCCTATTATATATAGATATATATATAAAATGGGATATATGTATATAGGATATATGTGTATATCCTATTAGTTTATAGGATATATGTGTATATATATAGATACATCTATATAAAATGGGATATATGTATATAGGATATATGTGTATATCCTATATATATATACATAAATATATCCTATTAGTCTGTCCCTCTAGAGGACCCTGACTAATACACGATTTAAGAAAATTGTAGTGAGAACACTTAACATGAGATCTATCCTTATACGAAATCTTTAAGTGCACAGTACAGTATTGTTAATTATAGGCATAATGTTTACAGCAGATATCTAGAACATTTGTCTTACATAGCTGAAACCCTATACTCACTGAACACAACTCATTTCTCCTCTCTGGCCCCTCACAGCCACCATTTGGTTGTCTGTTTCTATGAGTTTTACTATTTTAGATCTCTCACAGAATTAGAATCATGCAGTATTTGTCCATTTGTGACTGGATTATTTTACTTAGCTTCAGTGACTGGATTATTTTACTTGGCTTTACAGAGTTTATTCATGTTATTGTATATGGCAGGATTTATTTCTTTTTTTAAGGCTGAATAATATTCCGGTGTGTGTGTGTGTGTGTATGCAAATATACGTATTTTTAAGGCTGAATATTTCATTGTGTCTGTGAACACACACACACATACACATATATAGACATTTAGGCTATTTCTTGGCTACTGAATAATGGCTTGAATAACATATATTAGCTTGAATAAATGCTGCAATAGATATGGAAGTGTATATATTTCTTTCAGATCTTAATTTTAATTCTTTTGGATATATACCTAGAAGTGAGAGGGCTAGGCCACATAGTAATTCCATGTTTAATTTTTTGAGGGAACTTCACACTATTTTCCACAGCAACTGCACCATTTTTACATTCCCAACAGTGTACAAGGGTTCCAATTTCTCTATATTCTTGCCAACATTTATCTTTTTTCTGATAATAGACATTCTAATAGTTGATATTTTATTGTACTTTTGATTGCATTCTCTGATGATTAATGATAGTGAGCATGTTTTCATATACCTATTGGCCATTTGTATGTCATCTTTGGAGAAATGTCTACTCAAGTCCTTTGCCCATTTTTAAATCGTTATTTATTTATTTATTTTGCTATTGAGTTGTTTGAGTTTCTTACATATCTTAGATATAAATACCTTGTCAGATCTTTGGTTTGCAAATATTTTCTCCCATTCTGTATGTTGCCTTTTTACTCTGTTGATTGTTTCTTTCGCTGTGCAGAAGATTTTAGTTCAGTCTCACTTGTTTGATTTTGCTTTTGTTGCTTGCGCTTTTGATGTCACGTCCAAAAAATTATTGCCAAGTCCAAGGTCATGAAGCTTTTCCCCTTCATGTTTTCTTTTAGGCATTTTATGGCTCCAGGTCTTAGGTTTCAATCTTTAATGCATGTTTAGTTGATTTTATGGTCTCACTTCTGCCTGGGCCTAAGCCCCACCCCTCAGACATAAGCATACTCTACACCTGCATGGCTGGGCAGCCCTCAAATATGCCTTGGGTTTTCTCGATCCTTCATGGCTGCACATGTACCGTGTTCCAGGAAGATACCTGTTCACCATTTCTCCATTTGTTTGACTTTTTTTTTTTTAAAGCCCATCTCAGACCTGACTACCTCATGGAGGCTTTCCCTGAAAGCCCATGGCTTGATTAGGGAATCACTCTTCCTTTTTTCATAGCCTGTGTTTTCTCTATTGGTCATGTGTGTGCTGTTTTCTTCAATTCAACTCTGAGTTCCATGAGGATAAAGATAATGTCCTTGTTCTTGGTAACATTCTCATTTCTAATCATAGGACCTAGCATCTACTAGTTGCTCAATTCATAGGAAGGAAGGAAGAAGGAAGGAAGGAAAGAAGAAAGGAGAAAGGAAGAAGGAAGGAAGGAAAGAAGAAAGGAGAAAGGAGGAAAGGAAGGAAGAGAGAACATAGAGGGACAGTTATCACCAAATGGCAGCAGAAGACCATTTGGTGATATGACCATCCTAGAGGAAAAAAAGTGGGCACAGGGATTGCTACACTCTGAATGTTTGTGTCCCCCTAAAGTTGATATGTTGAAAGCTAATCCCCAGTGTGATGGTATTTGGAAGTGGGGCTTCTGGGAGGCGATTAGATCATTAAGGTGGAGCCCTCATAAATGAGATTAATGTCCTTTTTCATGGTGATATGGTTAAGTTCAGCAAGAATTATTTTATGTATAAGCTCTTCAGAAAGAATTTGCAACAGCTGCCCACTATCTGGCTTTGGAGGATCAAGGATGTGTGGCTACTCAGCTACTCCATAAACATTCTAGGGAGCTAAAGAGGAATTTGCTGTTCACCCTGGAAGCCAGTGGGTTGCTTTTGTTTGTTGTGTCTCTGCTGCCATGACTCCCAGATGACACCCCATCTACATAAATGTTGCAGCAAACAGAGATGGAGCCACCAGGTGGATTTTTTCAACCCCAAGAACCTCAGCAAACCAGCAGCTGACAATGACTGAGAGTGGGCCCCAAACACAGGGGAAGGAATGTGGATCTGTCTCGATCTGCCTCATGTGAGGGGAAATGATAAAGAAGGAGTCATAACAGACTGGCAGCAACTCAAGTATTTGGCACTAAAGGCCTCTTCCAAAGAATCATTTTCAAAGATGGGTCTGCACCCCTGCAGAAGTTCTCATGTTTCTATAAATGCTATGCTTGTCTTTCTTTCTTTTTTCTTTATCTTTCTTTCTTTTTCTCTTTTAAAAAATTTTCTGGTCTTTCAGTGTAAAGAATTAGAAGGGCCAGGTCTCAGGCATCAGGTAAAGACTGGAAAAAAATATATAAGGATGTGAAGCAAGCACCCCTTTGGAGAAACAGCAGGTCTGTCTGGAAGGTGTCCTTCTGCCCTCAGGGACCTTCTCTTTATGCCAGCAATGCCAGGCCCACTGAGTTCTTCCCACTTACCTTGGTGTTGACCCGATGCCTGAATTCCCCATCACTTTTTCCAAATGGCTTTCCATCTCTTCTCTTCTCTTGACTATACCCTGGGGAAAAGATGCTCTTTGGGCTTCTCTTTCTACTTTATAAAGTAATTCCCTGCTGACAACAGAGTATAACCATACATTCTTGCCTGACTTTCCTTCAAAGTCATGTCTACCTTCCTCTCATGCTCTTGACTTTTTATTCATTAATTTCCTCATTTCTTCTGTGTCTGTCTCCACCTGTTCCCTGGATCTTCAGCTTGCAGGGATCCCCTTGTTTATCACAATTAAGGTATACATTGGCTTAAAACCCTATTCTACAGATGGTGGGATCTCAATGTCCTATAATGTTCTATGAGGACTCCAGGGATTCCGGCCCTGGTTCAGGTCTCTCTTATTCTCCATCTCTTCACTTCTCCCACTGCCATTCATCAATGATTGGCAAACATTTCCTTTTAATTTATTTTCCCCAAACTCAAAGATAATAATTGTGGATAGCAGACTTTTACTGACAATCCAACATCAGAGTATGCATGTAAAAGTGTGCAACTTTACAGCTGATCATGGAAATTATTTCAGCTCAGCCTGCATTCTTACTATTTCTCTTCCTCCTTCTCTCTTTTCTAGTACTTTAAACCTCCTTCTCCAATATTGTGGTTTATTTCCTGGGTAAAACTGTTTAACTGTTTTATCCTAGCCCTCGCCAGTGCCACTTTTAAATAACAAAATAACCCATGAGAGATTTTTGCTACTTAAAGGCCATTCTCTCCCTTAAGTACAGTTTAATCACTAGATATTAGTCTAACAGCTTTCTGTACTATACATTTGCTCAGTCGACAAATGGCCTTAGTGACTATGGATGTGAAAAAGGAAAGATTCCCACTTTTCTCCTGTAGTTCGATGCTTTACATTATAGCTTCTTTCAAGTCTTGAGAGCAGGTGCCACATTTCATTTGTTTTTATATTGCTGGTGCCTAGTATCATACCTAGTATGCATTGACAATATGCAGTAAATGTTTTATGGCAAAGTGGTTTCAGGTATTGTCATTAGGCACCTTTAAGAGGTGGGAAGATGAGACTCAGAAAACTTATGTCGTGAAGTCTTAATCATAGAGTAAATGGCAGAGATAGGTCTGGAAACACCCAAATGTTCAGACACCAAATATCAAACTTTTTCTTCTCTATCATATTAGTGGCATGTTTCCCATGAATAATAATTTATTTTTTCAGATTTTACACATATGCAAAATTGTTCCTTTCAGGCTGATTACCCATCCCTACAGGTTCATCCCCCACTGCATTTGTGTGAGAATGGGTGGTGGGCAATTGTTGAGGGAGGGCACATGCAGAGCCCATTCTTGGCCCTCACTCAGGTACCAGGTGCTCCAGCCATCGTTACAGCTGACTGCTGAAGAAGCTACTGTAAGTCAGTTCAAAGAGTTTCTGGGCTCTTTTTTACACAGTCAGTCCTTGAAGGCACAAACTGGGCCATAGCAGCAGAAAATGACCATCCTAAAGGAAAAACAAATGGGCACAAGGGATTGCTACAGTCTGAATGTCTGTGTCCTCCTAAAATTTGTATGTTGAAACCTAATCCCCAATGTGATGGTATTTGGAAGTGGGGCGTCTGGGAAGTGACTAGATCATTAAGGTGGAGCCCTTATAAAAGGGATTAGTGCCCTTATAAAAGAGATCCCAAAGAACTTCTTCATCCCCACTACTATGTGAGGACTCAGGGAGAAATTGTTATTTCTAGGAACCAGAAAGTGGGTTCTCACCAAACACCAAATCTTCTGGCACCTTGATCTTGAACTTGCCAGCCTCCAGAACTGTAATAAATAAATTTCTATTGTTTATAAGCTACCTTGTTTATGGTATTTTGTTAAGCAACCCAAACTGAGACAATAATGTTGCCCAGTATATCAGTTTTCTATTGTTATGTTACAAATCACCACAAATTTAACAGCTAACATATAACACAATTATCTCATAGTTTCTGTGGATTAGAAGTGTAAGCAAAGACTTAGTTAGTTCTCTGCTTAAGGTCTAGATCTTAAGCCAACAGCTTTTTGCACCATACATTTACTCAGTAAACAAAAACTGACTACCCTTGAGTATGATATCCTAGGCCCTACTGACTATAGAGGTGCAAAAGGAAAGATTCCCACTCTGCAATCAAAGTGTCGGCTGGGCTGTGTTTTCATCTGAAAGTTTGACTGGAGAAGAATCAATGTCCAACCCCATTCAGGTTGTTAGCAGTATTCCTTTCTTTGTGGCTGTTCAGCTGAGGGTTTTAGCATTGTGGCAGCTATCAGTATATTTAAATTTCTTCTTTCTGGATTATTTTAACTTCCATTTCAATGAAAACAATATAAAAATATTCCTTAAGTATAAGTAGTAAAAATTACTCAAAAATCATATGGGCATTAATTTTGAAGTAGGTATTTTACTATGAAATTCAATCTGAATAAGAATGTTGGAAATCTTTCCTGTGGAAATAATGATCAAAATAGTATCAAGATGAATTGATATTTTTTTTCTTTAGCATACGAACCCATAAATTGAACTGAATTCAGGAGAATTGCTTGGGCTTAATTAGAAAATCCCAGGTCTTCAGTAAGTGCTACTTTATGACTTCATGTACTTCCCTAACAATACCCTTCTCTCCTCTCCTGTAACCCCTATGTCTTCTCTTTCCCCCATTTATGGGACTTCTACTGCTCTGTATCATTCACCAAATCTCTTGTATGGCCTGAATTAATTATTTGAGAAGTCCTGAAGACTTGGTTGGGGACTAGGTCCCAAATATTCCAACTCCTAAAGGCTCAATTCAGCTCAAAGCATGCTTACTTGGAATTGGGTATATCAGAATTCCAGAAACTTAATGTAATTTTTAAGATGAAAAGGCTGTATTTAAATAGTTGTAAATAGTTTGCTCTTTTCTGGAGTAGAGATGTGGACTTGCTTTAGGAGGAGCAGACTGTGCCTTTTGCTTCTGTTTGCAGAGGGACTTCATTGTAGGCTCTTGCAGTCATCTAGGTCATGAGTCAACAAACTTTCTATAAAGGACCAGATAGAAAATATGTTATGTTAGGCTTTGCAGTCCAGGTGGTCTCTGTCACAACTACTCAGCACTTCATTATAGCATGAAAGTAGACCTAGACAATATGTAAACCAAAAAGCATGGCTGTTATTACAACAAAACTTTATGGACACTGCCATTTGAATTTTATATGATTTTCATAGGTCATGAAATTTTATTATTTTTTTGACCTTTGTTCAATGATTGAAAAATGCTTAAACTTTTCTTGGCTTGCAGACCATAAAAAATCAGGCAGCAGGCTGGATTTAGTCCCTGGGGTATAGTTAGTCAACTTCTGTTATAAATACAAAGCAAGCACCTACCCCTTGTTTTTTGGGAAAAAAAAAAAAAGTCTCTCCCCCATCCCGTTGGAAGTCATTTAGGGCTGCATTCAGAGTTACAGGGATCTCAGGAGAGCTGGGGAGAAGAGAACTGTCTCTGAGGTTGGGCTTTCAAAATAACTGCTTGCTATATTTGGAGGCAGCAGCCAAAAGAAGAGCCTTATAGACTCCCAGCCCATTGCAGCCACGTGGAGGACAGCTGGGCCCAGCCAATCTAGGATTGCAGTGATCTCATGGGCAGGTGAGGGGGCTGTACAGGAAGATTACGAAGGGTAACAGCTGCCACTTGAGTGAAATCATCTCAGTAGAGCAAGGGGCGACCTGTAGAAGAACAGATGGCTGTCTGGAGATACATGCCTGGTTTATACAAAAGGCGACAACCAAGAGAGAGTTGTGGAAAATTTTAAAGTGTCATGAAGATTCCCAGGGATATTTTGTGAAGTGTGGTGCAGCACTGGTAAAAGAATGAATTTTCATTGAGTAGCTTGAGGAATAATGCACCTATAATTTGGACGCCCAAAGAAGTGTAGGGTCTGACTTCTGAGGTCTGAGATGTATGTTATCATAAACACTTTTGGTTTCCAAGCAACATCTGTATCTCTATTCTTCATTCTGTTTTTTTTTTTTTAACTTTCTACTTTGAAAAAATTTAAACTCTTCAGAAAAGTTGAAAAATAATCCAAAAACCTCCCATATTCCCTTCATCCAGATTCCTCAATTGTTAACAATTTTCCACTTCTTTTTCTAGCATTCTCTCTGTTTTGTACATACCCAACTGCACATATACTATTTTTTCTGAGCCATTTGCAAATAAGTTACATCAGTTTATAGTTCTTAAAAACAAGGATATTCTCCTGCATAACGCCAGTACAACCATCAAAATCAGGAAGTTAGCATTGACCCAATAATGCTGCCTGATGCATACATCCAGTTGAAATTTCTGTTGTCCCCATAATGTCCTTTATATGTCTTGGATCCATTCCAGTAACGTGTTGATTTAGTTGCCATGTCTTTTTACTCTCTTTTAGTCTGAAAGAATTCTTTAGTCTTTCCTTTTCTTTCATGACTGACATTTTTAAACAGAGCAGAATTGTTACTTTGTTAAATGTTTCTCAGTATAGGTTTGTATAATGATTCTTCAAGATCTATGAGCTTTTTATAGAAATATTAGCCAAATATTCTTCTCATGGCATCATATTGTTAAGTACCAAATGCTAATTTGTACCATTACTGGAGATATTAACTTTTATCACTTGGTTAAAAGGTGTCTATAAGGTTTCTCTACTATGAGGTTAGCTAATAGGTATTTTGTACTCATCAATTAATGATTAATAAGATTGCATTTTGTGGGTAAATTCATGTCTTCTACTGTAAGTTGGAGCTTTTCCTTCTATCCTATGTATTTATACTGGTATAGATGAATGGATTTCTTTTTTAACTCAATGGATTATAGCCTGTAAATATCGTTCCTCATTTTGATACTCAAATTGTTCTAGACTTGACCAGTGGTGCCTTTCAAACTGGCTCCAGTGGCGTCTCCACCTGTTACCATCATTCATTCAGCAATTCCTTGGTTTATCATACAACAGAACATTCCAGGTGTCTTGTATTAGTCTGTTCTCGCACTTCTATAAAGAAATACCCGAGACTGGGTAATTGATAAAGAAACGAGGTTTAATTGGCTCCCAGTTCTGCAGGCTGTACAGGAAGCATGAGGCTGGCATTTGCTCAGGAAGTGTATAATCATGGTAGAAGGCAAACGGGGAGCCAGCACTTCATATGGCCGGAGCAGGAGGAAGAGAAGCAGGGAGGTGCTACACACGTTTGAACCACCAGATATCGTGAGAACTCTGTCACTATACAGTACCAAGAGGGGATGGTGCTAAACCATTGATAAGAACTCTACCCCATGATCCAATCACCTCCCACCAGGCTGCACCTCCAACAGTGGGGATACAATTGAACATGAGATTTGGGTGGGGACACAGATCCAAACCATATCACTTATCTTGATAAGTGACTTTCCTTTCTTCAGCTCTGGAACCATCAATACTCTTTAGTTGTTCCTCTACTTTATGTAATCTTTATTTTATGTATTATTTTACATATTACTTTATGTAATATGTAAAATTATTTTACATATTACTTTATGTAATATGTAAAATTATTTTACATTTTACATTATTTTACATATTACTTTATGTAATCATTATTTTAGTAGAGAAGCATATACAGAAAGCAAGAACCAAGACTGCCCATTGGGTGAGGGGTGCCAGTGTTTCTAGGTACTTTTAATAAGCAGATCTAGAACACCCACACACAGAGCACATACAGACACACACACACAGGCATACAGTTACAGATACAGATACACAGACACATACACAGACAGGCAGAGAACACACAGACAGGCAGAGCACACATAGACACATATACAGACATACATAGATACAGACACACACACAGACCCACAGACCCACAAACATGCACAGACACACACACAGGCACAGACACATACAAACATACACACAGATGTACACATACACAGACACACAGATACACACACCTGAGCCAGAACTGTAGCATTGAATCAAAGATAGAGCCTGTTCTATCTTTTGACCCTCAATTATTTGTATCAGTACATTTTCTTTTTAATGAAGCCAATTTGAATGGGGTTTTCTGTTATTTGCTGATGAAAGCAACCTAACTGATAAACACAGATAATGGTTATATGCACCAGGCTCAGTTCTCAGAAGCTGGAATACAGAGATAAATAAGCCTAATGAGATCAAATTAAATATTATAATAAATTCTATGATAAGGAAGACACAAGACACAGTATAAGCTCAGAGGAAGTCTGCGTGAGGTATTGCCTAAACTAGCCAGAAGTTTGCTATACATAGACATCACAGAAGAAGGAGAAGCCATTATAGACAAAGAATTCGGTGCAAAGACTTGGAATGCCAAAAGCTGAAGGAGGGTGGTGATAGAGGTGTTCATGTTTGAATAAAAAGTATGAGTCGTTAATTTAATAATGATACATATGTTGGTCATATATGGGTGCTGTAAAGATATCTCTGCTGACTGTATGGGGATAAATATGTCCAGAGGTTATGGGGAATTGAAGATAAAAGGCTAAATTCTTCCAGGGCAGGAGGAATTCAAAGTTATAAATTCATTCCTCTGAAATGCCTCTTCTTGTGAGAATGGATTGTGGTGTGCGCCCTACTTCTCTGAAGAGTATGCTGAGTTTGATTCATGAACCTGAATAATTTTCTTAATTTTACTGACAACACTGTGTATTGGACATGATAGCAGAGGCCAGGAAGCTGTCTGTCTCAAGACCTGAGGCTGTTTACTCCTTTAATCCAAGATGGCAGATATGCCTACACATGAGTTCTCTTCAACTAAGTCGTAGAACACAATCTCCTGGGCCAAAACTCAATCATTCTCTGAAATAGCATCTCTGCTCTGTGGATTCTTTCTGCCACTCCAGAATTGGTCTCTTCCCAGTGACACAGATCTGGTGCAGTTTTGATATGATGTTGGCAGTTGCAACTTTTGGGAAAAGGCAATAAGAATCTGTCTGCTTAGTGATCTCCATAAAAACCTAGAGCACCAGTCATGTCACTATATTGCTTAACTAATTTTAAAGAAAATTTAGCTTGTATCATTTTAATTAAAATCCAACAAGAGGACAAGACCCAATAAAAGAAAGAAAAGGGGCAAATTTTGGAAAGAAAGGCATAATCATTATTTTAGGTTATAAGATATATCTACAAAATCAGAAAGAACTAACAAAAATAATATTGAAATAGAGAAGGCAATTTAGAAAGTAGTCTACATACAAGATAAGTAGAGTAAGAACCAATTAAGTATCAGCATTAAGAAGATAGAACATTTAATAATATACTGTACATCAAAAAACAAAATAAAATTATTGATGAAGAGATATAAACTGTCCAGCAACCTTACCTTCCTTCAGACAACCAAATGTCATTGTCAACTGAACTGAATTGAGCATGAAGGCTAACAATTATTTAGCATACACTGTAACTCTTTTTGTTGCCAAGTACTCTTAGAACTTGTACCATGATTCTCCCAGGAATCCTTATGGTATATACTACAAGCCCTGCTATGGCTTGAATGTGTCTTCCAAAGTTGGAATTTAATCTCCAAGTTGTTGTAAACTTAATCTCCAATGCAACAGTGTTGGGAGGTGCAGCCTACTAAGAGGTGGTTAGGATATGAGGTCTCTGGCTTCGTGAATAGATTGATTTTATCATTGCAGCAGTGAGTTTGTTATGGTCCCAGTAGGTTGTTGTGAAAGTGAGTCCAGCCCCTTTTTACTTTCTCACTCTCTTGCAAGCTCTTACCATTTCACCTTCCACCATGAGATAATGTACCAAAAAGGCCCTCACCAGATACTGGACCCTCAAATATGGACATCCCAGCCTCCAGAAATAGGAGAAATAAATGGATTTTCTTTATAAAATATACAGTCTGTGATATTCTGTTATAGCAACAAAAACTGGACTAAGACAAGTCCCATTCCGCATATAAGAAAATTGAGACACAAGAGAGTCTCGAGATCATACAGCTAGTAAATGGCAGCATGGAATTAAAATCCTGTCTGCTTAACTCAAAATTCATAGTATTTTTTTATAATAACATGCTCTAGATTGAGTTTTCAGTTGTCAAATTATCTCCTTAAGTGAAAGTTGTTCTTTTTTTATGAGAAAACACAAACTGCTATCTTCCACCCTGGCTCTTTTATATTTGTAGGTCAACATTTTTTATATTTGGCTTCCATGCAGTTTTCTCTCTAGTCCCACAGGTGAAACACTCCAATCCATAGTCAGTACTCTATATCTAGTTTGATTTAGAATAGCTGATACTTGTAGCCCGGGTGTGGTGGCTGATGCCTGTAATCCCAGCAATTTGGGAGGCCAAGGTGTGTGGATTACTTGAAGTCAGGAGTTCGAGACCAGCCTGGCCAATATAGTAAAACCCCATTTCTACTAAAAACACAAAAAATTAGCCAGGTATGGTGGTGCACAGCTGCAATCTCAGCTACTCGGGAGGCTGAGGCACTCGGGAGGCTGAGGCACAAGAATTGCTTGAACCTGGGAGGTGGAGGTTGTAGTGAGCCTAGATCAGGTCACTGCACTTCAGCCTGGGTGACAGAGCAAGACTCTGTCTCAAAAAGAAAAAAAAAGAATAGATGATACATTAGATGATACATGTATAGCGAAAACAAAAATGTAGCAATATTATTTTAAAATTAGTTCCTTTGTTTTAAAAGTTAAATGTAGAGAATTTGTGGCATTTTGTCTTGGTTGTTCAAATTAAAACTTGAAAGAGACGGAGGAGGAATTGTGGAGGTCCTGTTGATTGGATTAAATGTCCTTACTAGAGTGAAGTTCTCATAGAGCATTCCCCAGCTGTGACTTTCCAAATGTTACGGCCTTATTAATCAATGTCATCTTCCATATCAAAAGTCCAAATGCTTCCTTCCTGCTTTGTATTAAAATTTTCTCCAGGGATTGGATCTTTCCATTATCCTTCCTTCTGAAGAATGTGTCTATGTATAACTGGCAAGAGAACATGGGGGAGTCTTTCTGAAACTTTGTGGCTTCTGCCTAAAATAATTTATTCAAAATGTTTTGGGAAATTATTCTACAGATTCTTTTAAATGGAGAAATAATACAAAGTCCAAAAATTGCCTTGGTTTGGGGATACCGGCTTTTAAAAAGATCTCATTATTCCTTCTTTTGGTGATTAGTATTTCGTGCTTGGTGGGTTAAGAATAAATGAGCTGGAAATACCGTTGTTTTAGTCCATTTTGTGCTGCTATAACAAAATACCTGAGAAAGGATAATTTATAAAGTAAAGGAATTCGTCATAATTCTGGAGGCTGGGAAGTCCAAGACTGAGGGGCTGCATCTGGTGAGGGCCATCTTATTGCATCATAACGTGATGGAAAGCATCACACAGTGAGTGAACTCATGTAAGAGAGAAAGGGAGGTCTGAACTAACTTTTATAACAAATCCATTTTGGTGATAATGAACCCACTTCCACAATAACAACATTAATCCCTTCATGAAGGCAGATCCTTCATGACCTGATACCTCTTAGAGGTCTCACCCTGAAACACTGTTACATTTGGGCTAGTTTCCAACATGCGAATTTTATAGGACACATTCAAACCATAGCAACCATTAATGGGTATATATTGGTGAGGTTTCTGATATGAATAGCAAATATGATATGTGTATTAGTCCATTCTCACATTGCTATAAAGAACTACCCGAAACTGGGTAATTTATAAAGGAGAGAGGTTTAATTGACTCACAGTTCTGCATGGCTGGGGAGGCCTCAGGAAACTTACAATCATGGTGGAAGGAGAAGCAAACATGTCCTTCTTCACGTAATGGCAGGAAGAAATGCTGAGCAAAAGGGGAAAAATCCCCTTATAAAACCATCAGATCTAATAAGAAGTCACTCACTATCATGAGAAAAGCAGCATGGGGGTAACCACCCCTATGATTCAATTACCTCCCCACCAGGTTCCTCCCACAACATGTAGAAATTATGGAAACTGCAATTCAACATGAGATTTGGGTGGGTACACAGCCAAACCATATCAATATGATATAGTAGAAAGAACATAGGGTTGGAATTGCATATAACTTTATTCAATATCTGGATCTCTCACTTATGAAATGTACAAAACAGTTACATAGATGCTTTTGTTTGCAAATGATATATAGAGTAAGAAAAAATAATTTTTCCATTAGATTTGCTGTTCAACACTTCACATGCTTTTATTTCTCCCTTGAAGGTCTTCCCCTTCTTATATACTCAGATAATGTTTGCTTAGTCTTTTAAGCTTAATTCAATATTTATTTCCTCTGTGATGACTTCAACTATTCCTCTCCCCCAGGAAGAATGGGTATTCTCTCTCTGACTCCCAGATTACTTCACACTATTGTAAATATCACACTAAACTGGAATAATTTATCTTCCCAGATGTATCCCTAGTTAGACTCTGCCAAGATTGGTCTTCATATCCACAATGCCCAGCCTAGTGCCTGATATCCTGTAAGTGTTCAAAAGTGTTTGTTTTGATATACTGGGCCTATATAAATAGAGTCATTTTCAGAATAAATTTACTATTGCCTGAATTTTCTGGATAATTTTGCCAATTAGTCATTGGTGATTGAATCACAGAGTCAAATGCTAGAATGCCAGATCTGACTCATCCAACTCATCATTTCTGTTCCATCTTTATAGTTATCATCATATCCACCTATCCCCTCCATTGGTATTAATATTTTCTTATGTTGAGAAAATAACATAAAAACTTAAGAACAACTGTAAAAACTGAATTACTTTACATTCATTCTAAGAACTTATGTGACATCAAGTGTATGAGATGATAATTATCTTCTAGTGCACATTACAATAATTTATAACTGCTGAAATGTTTAGAAGTTTGTCCATGTAGTACCCATAAACATTTTACATATTGCCAGTGAAACACAGAGTGTTTCCCAAAGAAACACTTAGCTTTGGGTCTTTCTTACTTACAAGTGAGGACTTTACATGTTCAGAGAAATAAATGTCTAACCTGTGGTCTCACAGCTGCAGATCCTGGACAAAAATCTTCGTCTTCTTAGCTGGCCTTCAATGACAGTTTTATGAATTAAGCCAAATATGTACATTTCCTTGGTTCCTCAGCACTTTGAACAGCCTTTGTCATTGCTTCAGGCTTTTGAGGGTAGGGTGAAAGCAAGACACTACACAGCTCCCTGCCTGTGCCCTAGCAACCAAGCACAACACAGATGGCCAGCCTGGCAATCTGCCCAGCAGACACTGATTGCATACCTGGTGGTAAGACACAATGGTGTTTGCACAGTGTGGTTGGCATTTATAGTGATAGGCAATGAAGACTGCATCCTGTGCCTTCAGGCCAGTTTGCTGGTTTCCAGACCAGAGGCAATAACTTTCCACTAGTGTAATGACAACTTGTCTCTTGCAGCTGGATCATGTTAGGAGAGTAGGAATTTTATTTTTGCTCCCTTTTCAATGGTGCCTTGTAATAATAGGGTAGTATTTTCCCAATATGTTTCTTGCCAGTTGTACACATGTATTGGCTCCTGAAGCCCTGAACATTCATTGGCATCAAAGAATGGGAATGGTCCCTATTTATAGGAGAGCAGTCCCCATTCTACAGGTGAAGAGAATACACCTTATACCAATCCAAGAAGCATTTATTATATGCCTGTTATTATTTGTTAAATTGAGTGAATGACTATTGTGTATAAGCCATTCTACCAGGCCTTGGGCATAGAAAGATACATAACATAAGCATGACTCAAGAGGCACTCAGACCAGTAGATGTGACAGACATTTAAACTAATAACATGATGAGTGGTCTAATAGAGGGGTGTACCTAGCACTGTGGGAACACAAAGGAGGGGGCTGTTAATCCTTCCTAGAGGTTAAAAATGAAAGCTAAATTGATGCTGAACACTGCATCCAGGGATATGCATTATGGCAAGTTGGTGAGAGCTCTTGTTCTGCTGCCTCACGAATCTGTGTTCAAGTTCCCACTTTGCTAATTACTCCTTTTGTAGTTTTAGGCAAGTCTCAAAGCTTTCCAGATCTCATTGTATATATAATGGAGACAGAGTTCATGCCTTATATATGTATATAAAGTGAGAACAAAATGAAATACTCATTATAAAGTGCTTAGCATTTTTTTCTGGCATCTAGTATGTGTTTAATAAATATTAGCTCCAGTTGTCATTCTTATCATTATTGTTATTATGTGATGATGATGTGGGTTGCCTTGCAGGCAGACTTATGATGTGGTATTATCATTGGCATCAGAATATGCTGGCTACAGATTCACCCTTGAGTTTGACTACCTATGTGTCTTTGAGCAGAGTCTTCACTGTTCTGAAGTGATTTACTTTACATGACCAAGATGGATAAGTAGGCCACTTATCATCATCTCCTAAGATTCCTTCTAAAAACAAATCTTTTGAACAAGGTTGGGCATTTCCAGAATTTTGGTTCTTTTAGAATGTCTCATTAAGCTTTCAGAGGCATTACTCATTAGGTTTCAGATATAACATGTTTTTGGAGAAATAACACAATATGATGTGGCACATTGCATTTTCTGGCGTATGAGCCAAATTTGGACTAGTTGCACAATCTCAAGATGCATGTAAGACTCGGAACTTGTGTTCTGATGAAGCAGGAAAAATGGACAGATGTTGAGCTAATGTCCAGGAAATGACAAAAGTTATGTTTGAAGAAAATAGCTTCAGACAGGGGAATGCTCACGGTTAATGGGAATCCAATGTAATGGATGTTGTACAGGAGGGAGATGTGGAGTGGTGGTGGTGCACAGTGTGCTGTGGATGCGCAGAAGTGAGTTCTTCATCCTTTCTGGGGTGTTGGAAGGTGAGTTTGGCAGAGCCATAAAAAGATGAATCAGAGTCACCAAGTGGAGCAGATGAGAAAGGATAGCCCAGGCAAAGGGAAGAGAATTGCAGCTACCTGGAAGAATTGGCATATGTTTGGGGAATGGTGAGATGCAACTAGTTTGGTGTATCTGGGGAAAATTGTGTCAGAATAGACTGGAGAAATTGACTGGAGTCAGATTGCAGGAAGGGATGGAAAACTACTCTCAGTTGAGTCCCCTCATGTGCTTCTCTACTCCCACCCCATCACTCTCTCTACATAACTGAAGTGGTCAGTAATGAATGCCAAGTATGTGCTATGCATCATACAAAGTGGTTTACATATTTAATCTCTTAATCTTCACAAAAATGGAAAAATTTGTGTCTTAACTAGAAGCAAATTTGGCTGAGAGTAATATTGTCATTTCCTTGCTTTCAAATAACGAGGCATAAACAAGATATAAATTTGTTTTTCTCTTATGTACAACTCTGGCATTCAGGGTTATCCTGAGGGCTCTGGTCCAGGAGAGTTTTTCAGGTACATAGGTGCTTCTGTTTTGTTGCTCTTCTATCTTAATTCCCCAGGCCATGTCATAGCCCAAATTTGGCTTCTCTGGTTCTAGATATCTTGTTTGTATTCTTGTCAGCAGCAGGGAGGAAGAGAAGAGAGTCATGGGAGCATACTAGGTGTGTTCTAAGAAAGCTTTCTGGAAGCTTCCTCACAGTGTTTTTGCTAGCATCTTGTCCAGAAGTTAGTCAAATTGCTGCAACTAGTTGCAGAAGATACTAGAACATGTAATATTTATTATGGGTAGCCATGTGCTCAGCTAGTAATGGGAGTTCTTTCACTGTGGAAAAGGGGTGAAAGAATAGTTGTATCTACTAAAGGTGGATTTTTATCCAATTTTCCAGATAAAGAAATTGAGGATTAGAGAAGCAGGATAACTTGTCCTTGGTGGCACAGTTGATGAATGCCTAAGATTTCCACTGATGCCAGTTCTAGTGGTTCTAACCACAGGACTTGCTCTTCAACACTACTCATATGTTCTAGTTTGGGGTTCCTCCCAAAAGCAGAACCAAAGACAAGTACCTGGGTGAGAATATTTGTAATGGAATCATAGGATTACCAACAATTCTGGTTTTCTGACAGCTGAAGGTGGTCCTGGGATGCAGGACTTTCAGTTTTAAAACTGAAATGTTCTGGAAAACTGTCCTGAGGATGAGATGATTCAGAAACAAGGGATAAGCACCAGGCCAAAAAAAAAAAAAAAAAAAAAAGCATCATGAAGGTGCATTATGAGGCAATGGGACTCCATCTCATTGGGGCCTCTGTGAATCATGCAGGATGCCCTTTAGAATTGTTCTCCTGAAATATGGGTACCTGAAGCATGTACCCAGTAGCTCGTTTCATCATGAGTTGAGGGTTCATCCCAGAGGCTTTGACTCCAGAAGCACTTCTGGGTTTCGTCTGCCTGCACCATGAGCCAACTTGGGATGAGTGAAGAAAGTTCTGGGGCAAAACTTAGAAAGACAAATTGCAGTCCTAGATGAGGGGTCTTGGCCTTATCAGGTGAGTGGGAATGGTCTACCATAGGGAGAACTCCAATTACAGGTGAGTTGAGGGAATAAAGTGAGTATCAGAGAAATCTGCTGCATCTTATTTAAGAACTTTAAAAGCTCAGATATTATTTTCACAGGGTAGTGATTTTTAAACCATGCTTCTTTAATTCTCTGAAGGTTCCAAGAGTTTTTTCTGGACCAAACTTTCATTCTCTCTCTCTCTCTCTCTCTCTCTCTCTCTCTCTCTCTCTCTCTGTGTGTGTGTGTGTGTGTGTGTGTGTGTATGTTTATATTGCAGGAGTGCTCATTGTTTTGACTCTTTAACTTAAGCCAGAGTGGTTCTAATTTTATCTTTTACATCTTATCACTTGAATAAAAGTTTCCACAGTTTAAAAAGTTTGTAAAGCACTGGATTGAGTAATAGGCAGTTATTGTGGCACTTATGCAGGGGAATAAATTATCAAGTAATGCTTGAAACATCCCATTCTGGCTACAGCCTGGGGAATGTGTAGGAAGATCATGCCTGCAGGCAAAGAAAACAGCTTGAAGCTGCAATCACTCAGTCAATGAAGGACATTGGAAAAGCCAGGGAGAGAATGGAGAACAAAGTACTAACAGCAAGACTTACTCTCCAGCATAACTCATACATCTTAGTTTGGGTTGCCTCCCCAAGCAGAGCCCAAGACAAGAACTTGGGTGAGAATATTTGGAAGGGAATTATAGAGTAACCAACTATTCCTGCTTGCTCACAACTGAAGGAAGAATCTATATGTTAGAGTTCCTGGACTAGACAAGAAATTGGATTTGGATGGTAGAGACTGAGGAGGCTCAGTCTGCTGCAGAGTTTTGATTTGTCTAGCTTAGGATCAAAATGGTGCTATTTGTTGAAAAATTGATACACAGTGGAAGAAGCTGATTTGGGGAGATAATGATTCATCTGTCTAATGAGTAAATGGCCGGCAACTGAGGTCCTTCTTTCTATAATATGTGGAAGCTTTTATTTGGGGAGGATTGTGATAATTTAGAGAAGACCCCCTGGCTCCTACCTCCTCTTGAGAACCCTCCAAGAGAGAATTATCCAGCCAGAGTGTTTGTTTTTCTCAGGGCGCAGGTAGAAAGAAATCAATTCTTCCTTCTCCGAATAAACAGATCAAGGTATGCTGTTGGTGATGCCTGAGACTCTTACCTTTCCATTCCTTAAAGAATCACTGAACATTGAATTCATTAATGGCACTTTGGATATAATGTCACATGATGTGAAATTGGTTGTCATTAATTCATTTATACACGGGACATTCACAAAGTAACTTGGTTGACAAAACTCCCTGAAAAAGATTGACAACTTAAGAATGATGTGGTTTCAGCCTTGACGAGCTCTTTGTGGATTTCTACTCATTTGGCCATTTAAGACTCTTCATTGTCCTTCACTCATGGCAACACACTGATAAAATTAGTGAAAAAAATAAAACAGTAACAACAAACACCAAAAAACCTCATCTTACTAAAATAGAATAACATCCACAATCTTTAAAGCTTACTTGAAAACTATCACACATGAAAGGAAGAAAGAATGGATTTCTCAAAATCTGAACCTTAGGCAGGTGTATATGGTGACCATTTTGGCTTCTTAAGATATAATATGAGACATAAATGACCTGCAATGATGACGGGCTGCTTTAGAAATACCCCTTCATTCCTTTTGCTTTTTTTTTTTTTTTGAGAAAGGGTCTCGCTCTGTCACCCAGACTGGAGTGCAGTGGCACAATCATGGCTCACTGCAGGTTCAGGTGATCCTCCCACCTCAGCCTCCCAAGTAACTGAAACTACGAGTGCACGCCAACACACCCAGTTAATTTTTTTTGTATTTTTTGTAGAGATGGGGTTTCACCATGTTGCTCAGGCTGTTGCTTAATCCTTTAAAGCCATCAGCTGCCCCAGGATTCATCCTTATTCTCTTTTTAAATAAATGGGTATTTTGGGTGGAAATTTCAAGAAATACGGAAGTATATGAAAGCACTTTTAAATTATGTGTGTGTTAAAAAAAGAATACTACATATGAATATTATAAGGATGATGTATTATAACTCGTATCAACTGCATACACTAGCAAGTCCTGCCAACCAAGCAACTTTGGAGTACAAATTGTCTTTTCCTTGATTAGACTTAGGTCTCCTGGATCTTAGCTGCAGGGCTGCTGTTCACAAACAGAGTGCTGAAACTCTCAGGTTGTTTAGCACCCAGCTGAGGGGGTAGAGATTTTCATACATGAGTTATTCTAAGATCCCCCAATTGAAAAGAATCTCCCTCTTAAATACCAACATAAATAGGGCAAGATGTCATACAAGTTATATGAAAATGAACGTGATGCAAGATATGGTCCTTCTCCATCCCTGCAGGATTCCCACTTTACCCCAACTGTGCCAGAATCCATGGCTCAGTCTTCCATCCAATGAAGCATGCTGTATCCAGACTGAGGATTACTGAATGCTTATTGGCCCTAAAAGTACTTTATTCAAGTGAGATATTTTGTTACAATTTTATATATAAAATGAATAGGAGCAGTTCTGCTGAAATGGGCATGAGGACCCTAGGACCCGTCTTTCTTAGGTTATTCCTCACCATGTTTGGAGGCTTCCAGGGATCTACAGAATATAACTTGCAAATACGTGATGTAGATAATTCCAGCTTTTGAGTGCCTATGGGAAAGTTGACTGAGTTAATCCTCTGGGATTTGAATCCTGGCTCAAATTTTCATGCTTTTTATGTTTTTGGAAGACATTATTTAATTTCTCTATGCCTCAACCTTCTAAACTTTTAAGGAAATAACATCTTGTTCACAACCAAATAGAGTTTCTTTGAGGATTACATGATGTAAGACATGTAAAAGAACTTAGAATTATAACTGTTACAGATTAAGCACCCCATAAATATTACACAGTATTGTTTTATTAATAAGGCTCTAAGTTAAATAATTATAACTTAGTTTGAGAAGTCAGTCCATGTCAGTGAGCCTATGTTCTCATTTTTTTTCTGGAATAAAAGTAATAAATAACAACAAAAACAAAAAGAATAACATCATCAGTAACAACCACCATGAAACTCACCAATAATCACTGCTTTCTAGTAATTATCTACTCTGTTTAGCCACTGTTTTATAATTTTTCTGGACCTCACAGTAGCCCTACAGGGTAAATGCCTCTTAGACCCATTTTACAGATGAGAAAATCAAGATTCATAAAAGGTAAGCCACTTCCCCATAGTCAGACAGGTAATCCATGGCAGAGCCAAAGATGGTTCCAAGGATGAAGGCTTCAGATCCCGATGTCTACATACATGAATGATACTCAAAAGTAAGAGCCACCTTTTTTACTGATGCTCTGTAAACTCTTTTTTCGGCGAAGTATCCGTCACATCAATCATTTATCGTTTCTTTGTGTTACAAATGATCTAATTATGCTCATTTAGTTATTTAAAAATGTAAAATAAATTATTGTTGAGTGTAGTCACCCTACTGTGCTATCATATGCTAGATCTTACTCACTCTATCTATCTAACTATATTTTTGTACCCATGAATCATCCCCACTGCCTCCCAACCCAACTACCTTTCCTAGACTCTGGTAACCAGTGGTCTACTCTCTTATCTCCATAAGTACAATTGTTTTAATTTTTAGCTCCCACAAATAAGCGAGAACATGCAGCTTATCTTTCTGTCCCTGGTTTATTTCACTTAACACAAAGACCTACAGTTCCATTCATGTTGTTGCAAAGACAGAATGTCATTCTTTTTTATGGCTTAAGAATATTACTCCACTGTGTAAATGTACCCTATTGTTTTTATCCGTTCATCTGCTGATGGACACATAGGTTGTTTCCAAATAGTAGCTATTATGTATAATGCTGTAATAAACATGTGAGTGCAGATAACTCCTTGATACACTGATTTTCTTTCTTTTGGGTGTATACCCAGCAGTGGGATTGCTAAATCATATGGTAGTTTTAACTTTAGTTTCCTGAGGAATTTTCAAACTGTTCTCTATAGTGGTTGTACTATTTTACATTCCCACCAAGAATGTATAAGGGTTTCTTTTTCCCTACATCCTCACCAGCATTTAATATTTTCTGTCTTTGGATAAAAGCCTTTTTAACTGGGTGAGATGACACCTCATTGTAGTTTTGATTTGCATTTCTCTGTTGATTAATGATGCTGAACCTCTTTTCATACACCTGTTTGCCATTTGTATGTCTTCTTTTGAGAAACGTCTATTCAGACCTTCTGCCCATTTTTAATGGGCTTATTAGTTTTTTTCCTATTGAGTTGTTTGGGGTCTTTATATATTCTGGTTATTAATTGCTGGTCAGTTGGATAGTTGCAAATATTTTCTTCCATTCTATGGGTTGTCTCTTCACTTTGTTGATTGTTTTCTTTCCTGTGGAGGTTTTTTAATTTGATGTGATCACATTTGTCCACTTTTGCTTTCGTTGTCTGTGCTTGTAGAGTATTACCCAAGAAATCTTAGTTTCAGATATTTGGTGCTTACATACAAAAATGCTACTGATTTTTTTACATTGATTTTGTATCCTGCAACCTTACTAAATTTTATCAGTTCTAATAGTTTTTCAGTGAAGTCTTTAGGTCTTTTCAAATACAAGGCAATATCATTTGCAACCAGAGATTAATTTGACTTCTTCCTTTTCAATTTGGTTGTTCTTTATTTCTTTTGTCAGATTGCTCTAGCTAGGACTTCCAGTACTATGTCAAATAACAGTGACAAAAATAGGCATCCTTGTTATCTTCCAGATCTCAGAGGAAAGGCTTTCAGTCTTTTCCCATTTAGTATGAAACTAGCTGTGGGTCTGTAATATATGGTTTTTATTGTGCTGAGGTATGTTCCTTCTATACCCAGTTTTTTGAAGGTTTTTATTATGAAGGAATGTTGAATTTTATCAAATTCAAATGCCTTTTCAGCAGCAATGTAAATGATCGTATTTTTTCTTGTTACCCCTTATTCTGTTGATATGATGTACCACATTAATTGATTTGTGTATGTTGAACCACTCTTGCATCCTTGGGATGAATCCCACTTGGTCATGATAAATGATATTTTTTAACATGTTGTTGAATTTGGTTGGCTAGTATTTTGTTAAGGATTTTTGCATCAGTGTTCACCAGGGATACTGGACTGTAGATTTCTTTTTTTCATGTGTGTTTGGTTTTGATATCAGAGTAATATTGGCTTTGTAGAGTTAGTCTGGAAATATCCCCTCCTCTCTATTTTTCAGAATAGTTTGAGTAGGATTGGTATTGGTTCTTCTTTAAATCTTTGATGAAATTCAGCAGTGAAGCAATTGGGTCCCAGGCTTTTCTTTGCTGGGAGAATTTTCATTACAGCTTCAATCTCATTACTTGTTATTGGTTTGTTCATCTTTTGAATTTCTTCATGGTTCAATCTTGGTAGCTTGTATATGTCTAAGAATGTATCAATTTTTTTCTAGGTTTTTGAATGTCTTGGCATATAGTTGCTCATTGTAGCCTCTAATGATCTTTTGAATTTCTGTGGTATTGGTTGTAATGTCTCCTTTTTCATCTCTAATTTTATTTATTTGGGTCTTCTTTCTCTTTTTTTTTTTGTTAGTCTGACTTAAGATTTGTCAATTTTATCTTTTCAAAAAAACCTTTTTATTTTATTGATCTTTTGTATTGCTCTCTTCATTTCAATTTTATTTATTTGTGCTCTGATCTTTATTATTAATTTTTTTCTACTAATTGTGGGATTGGTTTGCTCTTACTTTTATACTACTTAAAGATGCATCTGCCAAAAGGGGTGGCTCATGTCTGTAATCCCAACACCTGGGGAGGCTGAGGAGGGCAGATCACAAGGTCAGGAGATCCAGACCATCCTGGCCAATATGGTGAAACACTCTTTCTACTGAAAATACAAAAATTAGCTGGGCGTGATGCCACACGCCTGTAGTCCCAGCTACTCAGGAGGCTGAGGCAGGAGAATCACTTGAACCTGGGAGGCGGAGGTTGCAGTGAGCTGAGATCATGCCACTGCACTACAGCCTGGTGACATAGCGAGACTCCATCTCAAAAAAAAAAAATGCATAATTAGTTTGTTCATTGAAAGTTTTTCTGCCTTTTTTTTTTTTTTTTTCTGAGGTGGAGTCTCGTGCTCTCACCCAGGCTGGAGTGCAGTGGTGCGATCTTGGCTCACTGCACTGCAACCTCTGCCTCCGGGTTCAAGTGATTCCTCTGCCTCAGCCTCCCAAGTAGCTGGGACTACAGGCATGCACCACCATGCCCGGCTAATTTTTATATTTTTAGTACAGATGCAGTTTCACCATGTTGGTCAGGATTGTCTCGAACTCCTGACCTCGTGATCTGCCTGCCTCGGCCTCCCAAAGTGCTGAGATTACAGGCATGACCCATGGTGCCTGGCCTATATTTTTGATGTAGACAATTATACTATAAACTTTTCTCTGAGTATTGCTTTGACTGTACTCCATAGGTTTTGGTATGTTGTATTTCCGTTATCATTTGTTTAAAAAATATTTTCAATTTCTTTTCTAATTTCTTCATTCACCCACCGGTCATTCTGGAGCATATTTTTTAATTTCCATGTGTTTCTATAATTTACAAATTTTCTCTTGTTATTCATTTCTAATTTTATTCCATTATGGTCAGAGAAGATACTTGATATAATTTCTTTTTTTAAATTTTTTAAGGCTTGTTTTGTGGCCTGATGTATGGCCTACTGTTGAGAATAATCCATGTGCTGAGAAGAAGAATGTGTATTCTGCAGCCATTAGAAGAAATGTTCCGTAAATATGTTTTAGGTCTATTTTTGGTCTATAGTGCAGACTAAGTCTAATTTTTTTTTTTTTTTTGGGGGGGGTGGATGGAGTCTCGCTCTGTCACCCAGGGTGGAGTGCAGTGGTGCGATCTCGGCTCACTGCAAGCTCCGCCTCCCAGGTTCACGCCATTCTCCTGCCTCAGCCTCCCGAGTATCTGGGACTACAGGCGCCTGCCACCACGCCCAGCTAATTTTTTGTATTTTTAGGAGAGACAGGGTTTCACCACGTTAGCCAGGATGGTCTCGATCTCCTGACCTTGTGATCGGCCCGCCTCGGCCTCCAAAGTGCTGGGATTATAGGCCTGAGCCACCACACCCGTCCAAGTCTAATGTTTTTATTGATTTTCTGTCTGGCTAATTTGTCCAATGCTGAAACTGGGGTGTTGCAGTCTGCAATTCTTATGGTTCTGGGATCTATCTCTCTCTTTAGCTCTAATAACATTTGTTTTATAAATCAGGATGCTCCAGTGTTGGGTGCATATATGTTTACAATTGTCATATCCTCTTGCTTAATCGACCCCTTTATCATTATATAATGACCTTCTTTTTCCCTTTTTTATAGTTGTTGTCCTGAAATTTATTTTGCCTTATGTAAGTATAGCTACTCCTACACTTTTTTTGGCTTCTGTTTGCATGGAATATCTTTTACTATTTTTTAATTTTTATTCTATTTATGTATGTATAGGTAAAGTGTGTTTTTTGTAGGCAATAGATCAGTAGGCCTTTTTTTTTTAATCCATTCGCCTTCTCTTTTTCTTTTGATTGGAGAGTTTAGTGCATTTACATTCAATGTTATTATTGATAAGTAAGGACTTAATTCTGCCATTTTATCATTTGTTTTCTGGTTGTTTTGTTGTCTTATCATCCTTCTTTTCTTCCTCCCTGTCTTTTAGTGAAGGTGATTTTCTCTGATGGTATGTTTTAATTTCTTCCTTTTTATTTTTTGTGGATCTGTTGTATTTTTTTATTTGAAATTACCATAAGGCTAGCAAATAATATCTTAAAACCCATTATTTTAAACTGATGACAACTTAATATTGATTGAATAAACAAACTAACAAGCAAAGAGACAATTAATAAAAACGCTACACTTTAACTTTGTCCCCCCACTTTTGAACTTTTTGCTGTTTCTTTTTGTGCCTTACTGTATTGTCTATGTCTTGAAATGTTGTTTTAGTTATTAATTTTGATCAATTCATCTGTTAGTGTTTCTACACAAGATATGAGTAGTTTACACAACACAATTACAGTGTTACACATTTTGTGTTTTTCTGTGTATCTATTATTACCAGCAAGTACTGTACCTTCAGATGATTTTTTGCTGTTCATTAATAGCTTTTTCTAGGCCAGGCATGGTGGCTCACACCTGTAATCCCAGCACTTTGGGAAATTGAGGCAGGCGGATCACGAGGTCAGGAGTTCAAGATCAGCCTGGCCAACATGGTGAAAGCCCATCTCTACTAAAAATACAAAAATTAGCTGGGCATGGTGGCATGTTCCTGTAATCCCAGCTACTCGGGAGGCTGAGGCAGGAGAATTGCTTGAACTGGGACCCAGGAGGCTGAGGTTGCAGTGAGCTGAGATCACACTACTGCACACCAGCCTGGGCTACAGAGCAAGACTCTGTCTCAAAGAAAAAAAAAAAAAGGAAGCTTTTTCTTTTCGCCTGGAGAATTCCCTTTAGTATTTCTTGTAGGTCAGGTCTGGTGTTGATAAAATCCCTCAGCTTTTGTTTGTCTCAGAAAGCCTTTATTTTTCCTTCATGTTTGAAGCTATTTTCACTGGATGATATTCTGGAATACAAGTGTGGTGCTTTTTTTCCCCACCTTTAGCACTTCAAATATGTCATGCCACTCTCTCCTGGCCTATAAGATTTCCACTGAAAAATCTGCTGCCAGATATATTGCAGTTTCATTGTATGTTATTTGTTTCTTTTCTCTTGCTGCTTATAGAATCTTTTCTTTATCTTTGATCTTTGGGAGTGTGATTATTAAATGTCTTGAGGTAGTCTTATTTGGGTTAAATATGCTTGGTGTTCTATAGCCCTCTTGTATTTGAATATTGATATTGTTCTCTAGGTCTGGGAAGCTTTCTGTTATTACTCCTTTGAATAAACTTTCTACCCCTATCTCTCTCTCTGTACTGCCTCGTTAAGGCCAATAACTCTTAGATTTGTCCTTTCAAGGTTATTTTCTAAATATTGTAGGCATGCTTCATTCTTTTTTATTCTTGTTTCTTTTGTCTTCTCTGACTTTATATTTTCAAGTAGCCTGTCATTAAGCTCACAGATTCTCTCTTCTGCTTGATCCATTCTGCTGTAAAAGACTCTGATGCATTCTCTAATATGTGAATTTCATTTTCCAACTGCAGAATTTCTGTTTGATTCTTTTCAGTTATTTCAATCTCTTTGCTAAATTTGCCTGATAGTATTCTGAATACTTTTTCTGTATTATCTTGAATTTCATTGAGTTTCCTCAACAAACTATTTTGAATTCTCTGTCTGAAAGGTTAATTATCTCTATCTCTTCATGATTGGTCCCTGGTGTTGTATTTAATTTGTTTGGTGAGGTCATGTTTTTCTGGATAGTCTTCATGCTTGTGGGTATTAGTAGGTGTCTGAGCATTAAAGAGTTAGGTATTTATCGTAGTCTTTACAGTCTAGGTTTGCTTGTACTTGTTCTCTCTGGGAAGGTTTTCCAGGTATTCTAAGGGATTTGGGTATTGTAATCTAAGCTTTTGGTCACTGCAGCTATGTCTGTGTTAGGGGGGCACCCCAAGCCCAGTAACTCTGTGGCTCTTACAAACTTATAGAGATACCGCCTTGGTGGTCTTGGTAAAGGTCCAGAGGAATTCCCTGGATTACCAGGTGGAAACTCTTGTTCTCTTCTTGTACTTTCTCTCAAACAAATGGAGTCTGTGTCTCTGTGCTGGGCTGTGTGAAGCTGGGGGAAGGGGGATACAAGTGCCCCTGTGGCCACCACCACTGGAACTGTCCTGGATCAGACCCGAAGCCAGCAGAGCACTGTGTCTCAACCATGGCCTATGGTAAACACTTTCTGGCTACTGTGTGTATTAGCTCAAGGCCCTAGGGCTCTACCATCAGCCTGTGACAAAGCCAGCCAGGCTGTGTCCTTCCTTTCAGAGCAGCAAGTTTCCCCCACCTCTAGGCTGGTTCACAGATGCCATCTGGGAGCCACGACCTACAGTCAGAAGCATTAGGAATCTACCTGGTATTCTATTGTGGTAGAGTTGGCACCCAGCCCACAAGACAAAGTCTTTCCCACTCTTCCCTCCCCGCCACGACCTACAGTCAGAAGCATTAGGAATCTACCTGGTACTCTATTGTGGTAGAGTTGGCACCCAGCCCACAAGACAAAGTCTTTCCCACTCTTCCCTCCCCTTTCTACAAGCAGAGGAGTTGCTCCCAGTGGCAACCGCCATCCCAGGCCCGTGGCAAGTACTGCCTGGCCACTGCTGATGTTCACTCAAGTTCCAGGGGCTCTTCAGCCAGCTTGTGGTGAATGCTGGCATGCATGGGACTCTGCCTTCAGGGAAGTGGGCTGTCCTCTGACCCAGAGCACATCCAGAAAGGCCATCCACGAGCCAAGTCCTGGAATCAGGAACCCCAAGAGCCATTTTAGTGCTCTACCCCTCCGTGGCCAATTTGGTACCAAAGTGTGGGACTAAGTTATCTTTTTTTTTTTTTTTTTTTTTTCCTAAAGCAGAAGGAGGCTTTCCTTGTAGTCACCACAGCTAGGAAATACGCTGGGTCACACCTGAAGCCAGCACATCTCTGAGTCTTACTTGAGGCCCACAGTGAGTACTGTCTGGCTACTGCAGCTGATTATTCAGGGTCCAAGAGCTCTTTAGTAAGCAGGTGATAAATTTTGCTAGGACTGAGTTTTTCCCTTCAAGCAGTGGGTGCCTTTCTGGCCCAGGGTGTGTCTAAAAATTTCTAGGAGCTATGGCCTGGAATGGGGACCTCAGGACTCTGCCTGGTGCTGTATCAAACTGTGGCTGAACTGGTATCCAAGTTCCAAGACAAAGTCCTTTTTACTCATCCCTCTCTTCTCCTCAAGTGGAAGGCAGGGGCTTCCCCCAGAGCTGTGAGCTGAGTTGCCTGGGGTTAGGAGAGGACTGGAGCAAGCCCTCCCTTGGCTGCCCCAGCTAGTGTCTCACTAGGTTGCATCCCACCCACTGACCAAAACCACGGGCTCCAAGCCAAGAACAGCACCAGGACTTGCCCAGGAATTTTAGTTGTTGTGGCTTAGACTGCCTTTCAAGCTTATTTAGGACCCCATACCCCTTTAGCTCATGATAGAAAGGCTTGCTGGAACTCAGGTTCTGATTTCTGGAGCGCTTGATTCCTTTCTCACTAGGCCTGGTCTAAATGCTCCCTCTGTGGGTGCTGGTGCTGGCTGAGTTCTGCCTGGTATTGCTTTCTGCTGTGACAGGGCAACAATGGGTTCCAGTGCAAAGTCCCACAATCACTGCACTCTCCCTTTCCTAAGCACATAGGTTCCCTTTCCATGCCACATGGCCGCTGCCAGGGTATGGGTGAGGGGTGGTGACAGCAATTCAAGACTGTCTTTCCTACCCTCTTCAGTGCCTCTTTCAGTGATATCAAGTTAAAACCAGGTACTGTGATCGCTCAACTGATTTTTGTTCTTATGAAAGTGTTTTTTGTGTGTGCAGAGTTGTTTAGTTTGGTGTTCCTATGGGGAAGATGATTGGTGGAGCTTCTATTTGGCCATTTTGCTCTGCCTTCTCCCTATAAACTCATACATGGGAATGGCAGTAGTTATGTACTCAAGAGCTCAAGGTCCTTCCTTTTCACTGATAAAACGAAGTAAGCTCGTGGTTGTGATATGTGAAATTCTAAATCAAGGCAGTACTCCTTCACTTTCTCCATCCTGCGTACACCTTGGCTTCTAATTAGCCTAGCAGATCTAGAGCTCCCTTTACTCAGACCCTGAAAGTGAAACAGTGTAATGTGAACTTTGGTGTTAGACTGGGGTTCAAATAATGCCTTGGCCATGTCCTAACTGTGATATTTTCAAGTTTTTTCTTTTCTTTCTTTCTTTTTTTTTTTTTTTTTTTTGAGACAGGGTCTCACTCTGTGGCCCAGGCTGGAGTAGAGTGGCATGATCTCAGCTCACTGCCACCTCTGCATCCTGGGCTTGGGTGATCCTTCCACCTCAGCCTCCAGAGTAGCTAGGACTACAGGCGCACACCACCACACCCAGCTAATTTTTCTATTTTTAGAGAAAGAGTTTCTGCATGTTGCCTGGGCTGGTCTCAAACTCGTGAACTCAAGGGATCTGCTCGTCTTGGCCTCCCAAAGTGCTGAGATTACAGGCATTATCCACCATGCCCAACCTTTGCAAGTTTTTCCTATTTTCTGATCTTATTATTTTTTTCCTTTATAAAGGTAGTGACATCTACCCACAGGGTGGCTATGAGGTTAAATAAGAGAGAAAGCTTTTAGCCCAGTGCCTGGAGTTCTCAAGATATAGGAGCTATTACTATAATTATTAAGTTCATTATCCCCATCAGTCCCAGGAATCTATTTCCAGCCACATTTCACCCAAATGTGAGATCCTTTCCCAGGAGTCTGTGTGTTCTGCATGGCTGAGAAGGCACCAGGCTATTCTCTGCTCCCTTAGAAAAGGCATTTTCACCATCAAATGGCTCTACTGAATCAACCTAACATTTTCCCCTCCCCTGCCCCCTCCGTGCTAACTACATTTTGGCACTTCTTCAAGGGGCTTTCTGTAATGAGCAGGTTCCCAGAGAAAGCTGTTTCCTGAAAGGCTTATAGCATTTAAAAGAAAACAAGTTTAGGGTCTCAGCATTCTTGCTTTTGAAGAAAGAAAGAAAGAAGCTTAATCTGTAGGCCTGGCAGCTGTAGCAGGAGCCTCAGGCTTTCCTGATCACAAACCTAAAGAACCACCATCTCATCATGCATGCTATTTCTCAGCTCCTTTGCAACTTCATTCTGGCTTGCCGATTTGCCTGGGGAGGGTTTGGTGGGAAACCCAACCTCTCCCCTAATTCTTTGTTCTTCAAATTAGAGCTGGGTACTGTTGCCATCCCAATCAACACAAATAAACCCTTTTCTTACAGTAGCATGAAATATAGTGGCATGAGTGTGGGCGTTGTTTCTCTGACAGGTTTAGAGACTTGTGGTGTAGTGAGGGGATGTACATATATGGGGGCTAAACAGACTTGGGTGCTGGTCTCCCACACCACAACACAGCTGCGGCACTTTGAACAAATTATTTATTCTCTCTTAGCTCCATTGTCTTTCTTAGTTCAACTGAAATCACTGTGTCTACTCTGATTGTGCTATGAATACTACATATGGCAATGAACATTAAGTGCCTAGCATAGTGCCTTGAATAGTCTATGTACTTAATTAATTTTAATCCATTTATGAGCTATATATTCATTCATTTGATGAAATGTCTCCTGAGCTCTTTGAATGTCACACAGTGTTAGGCATTGAAAATAAAGAAAGTAAGCAAGTTGGACATGGTGTCACTGCTTTCATGGTGGGTACAGTCAGTGAATCTATGTTTTATACATTGGGTAAGGAGAGTTGAAGATAAATGACCAGAATGACATAGTTAGTCATAAAACTGTTAAAGTTGTATGGGACCTCGGGGACTAAATAATCTCTGTGCAAATTAGAATACATTGTATAGCAAAGGGGAATAGTGATATATTTAAAATCACATGGAAAGCCACCGAGAAAACTGGAGCTTAACTCATAATTAAGTACTTTTCTGCATTCTCTGCTCTCAGGAAGGTTATAGTTTCACTGACAGATGAAATAATTTGTGAAGAGAATGCATCAGTATGTATTATTTTGCAAAACAAAACAAAAAAACCCCAAAACCAAAAACAAAATAACCTAGAAGGATCTCTACTTTTAGGGAGTTATTGAAGGGCAATTTGTATAAAAAGGGAGACCTAGATCTAGGCCTTGATGGATGATGAGTTGGGATTGAACTTTCTGGGCAGAGAGAAATGCATGAAAAACACTGCCATTTGGGGAATTCTTCCTAAGATGCTAGAATTTTTTTAAAATACAGTTTTAGTGCCACAGGTATTTTCTCTTAGAAGAAGCTCTGCTTAACATAGATATTTGTCTCAATGGGTAATAAATTACAAAGAAATGGCACTACATGCATAGATCTGTCTTTCCATGGCTTTCTGGATTATGAAAACATTACCCCACAGGAAGATTATATTACATCTCTGATCTTTTTCTGAGGGGTATTGTAGATTGAGTTTGCTCCAGCCCCAACATGAATATCTCATTTAAGAGCCATTAAAATTGTTTTCTATCTCTAAAATCTGTAAATTTCAAGTCAGTCACACCTTTTTTTCCAATGGGACCTCACACAGACTTTTCACGAGAAGCCTTTTCATGCTTTCAGAAATCATCATTTGCCAGAAAGAATATTAGCTACTCAGCCTAAATCTACAAAGGGAGGCAAAAGTCAATATTCAGTATGATTCATAGGTATCAGCCTCATAAGAAAAATTCATAAATATTAGGAAGGTTAACTTAGATATGACACATGTTGATTCTTATTAAGTTTCCCACTGACCCTAGGACTTTCTTGGGGCAAGGAATTCTGTCAAGTGTAATGATATCCAAATAGATTTGTAGGATGGCTTTTTCCTTACAAACTGGAGTCCAAATTATTTTGAATATAGTAAAAGCAACTGTAATTTTTTCCCTGCTTGCCAAATGGGGACCATTGCCTCTCTTTTGGAAAGCTCTGTGTCCAGGTGGACTGAGCCAAGATGTTTTGGGCATCTGTAATGTTTTGCAGGGTTGGTTTGTAAGAGCAACTCAACAGCCTCAGTTGATTCTACCAACTGCTCGCCACCAAATGGTGAAAGTGGTGTGTTGGAACTGACCTAGGTTGGAGCCCTCACAGCTTTCTATTCAGATGGAAAAATAACTTTTGACAGGTTGTTGAGCTGGGTGAGACTGGCTGGGAGGCCACTTCTTATGATTGGGTGGGTATAGATTTTCTATAGCCCAGAGTTAAGAAAACAGTTTGCATAGCTTACAAAATTTCTTCTCCCTTCCTGCCAAAGAAACAATCCAGGGAAGTAATTCATCTAGGTACAGCGGACGTGAGATTGTGTGTTGGCTTTGTCTTTTTATCAGCTTAGCTCTTAGAAAACTTACTTGATCTGTTGGCTGCCTCACCTATAAACAGAGGCACTGATATCTAATTTGTAGGTTTGTTGTAATGCTCAAATGAGAGGTAACACATAAAACACTTGGCAAACAAAAAAAAAATCTTAATAATAGTAGTAATTTTTTTAAAAATCAAATTTTAAAAGAATTTCAGGGGAATTTAATGGAAGAGGTTCCTAAGGAGTGAACACACTGAAATTCAGAAAGAAGCCCATTAGAATGAAACAACAGATTTCTGGATCTTATCCCAGCTTTTCTATGCCTGTTTCATTTTGTCAGGGAACCTGGAAGTGACCAACAGAAAGCACTCACACTTAAACAAGTCTGCATGTGACGAAAGTCTAAAGCAGAACAGCACTTGATGCATTTATACCTAGAGAGAACCATGATTACCCCATGGGCTTCAGTATGCCTGATTATCTAATTCTTTGCTCTCTACAAAGAAATGTCAACAAGGAGAGTTAAATCTCTACTAGGGAGAGAGTTATTAGAAAATATAGAGTGAAAAATGAGTCAACTAAGGACTTTATTGGCTAGTGTGAAAAACCATGAATTCCTGGTTGGCCTTTTCCATGGTAGGAATAAAATTCTAAAAAATCCCCAAAACCCCAAACAAACAAACAAACAAACAAAAACATGGTATGTTCATGCCAATGAGACAATGTCTATCCTGAAACACTTTCTCTCCCTCCCTTCCTTTCTCCCCGTTTAAGTATACTGAATGAGCAGAATAGGTGGGGGTGGGGGGATCAGAAAAAGGCTATTTTTCATTAAAGCTGCTCCTATGGACCCCATGTCAAATCCTCCATTCCTGCCCCCTCAGATGAAAATCTTTGGCAGCCCAACAGCAGATCTGCTCACTCTTAGAGAAAATCTGTCTTCCATCCATTTCAAACCGCAATGCAATTTCATTTCAATAATCAAAATATCCAGTCCCCTTTATTAAGTCAAAATGTTAAACTTCATTACAATTTAAGTTTCCCTCCTTCTTAGCTCAGAAAGCCTATTGTTGGTAAGGGGTGTGGGTGTAGGTGTCCTTTGATCAGTTGCTTTTATCCTTTTTCTGCAATTTATACTTTTAATTCTTCCTCTCAGTTGTAGAAAATTATGTTCAAGTCAAGGGTGGGGAGGTGAGCTGGGCAGAGAAAGGTTTAGAGACTAGCGTTATCGCGAGCAGGCATCAGTGCTGTCTGGCCTGGGCAGTTTTTTAAGGTGGATTCTCTTTTGGAGTTCTCTGTGCATAGGTGGAGACTCCGCTTTGCCTTTGTCTTATTTCTGGGGGTTTTCTGTATTAGTTTGTTCTCACACTGCTATAAAGAACTACTTGAGATGGGGTTATGTATAAAGTAGAGAGGTTTAATTGACTCACAGTTCTTCATGACTGGGGAGGCTCAGGAAACTTACAATCATGGCAGAAGGTGAAAGGGAAAAAAAGACACATCTTACATGGTGGCAGGAGAGAGATAGAGAGGCGGTGGGGGGAACCACCACTTTTAAACTATCAGATCTCGTGAGAACCCACTCGCTGTCATGAGAACAACATGGGGGAAACCACCTCCATGACCCAATCACCTCCTACCAGGTCCCTCCCTCATCACATGGGGATTACAATTCAAGATAAGATTTGGATGGGGACACAGAGCCCAACTATATCAGCTCTCCTGTATCATGTCAGTGAATACATCTCCTATGGCTGGTTGCTTAAGAGGCTGCACAACCTCTGCTGAGTTTTCATCAGCCCTCCTGGTTCCTCTCTTAAATAAAGCCTGTTCAGACGGCTCCTGCATGGCTAGCTTGCTCTGTCACTTGGATCCATTATCAGTGACATGCAGTGACTTCCCAATCTGTTCTACTCAGCTGCTACAGGCTGCTTCAGTCTACCATCTCCTCTTTAGGTTTTATAGGCATGTCAGTCTGGTCGGTCATGAGTCTCCTGAGCATCCTCCAAACTCTAGGAAATACATGTAGCCTCTTTTATTCATCTCTTTGAAACTCATTTAGATCAAAATGAGGGGAAAATAAGTCTGTCATGGGATGGAAGTGGAGGTAGGACTTAAAGCATGCTTCAGTGACAATCCATCTCTAATGTCCAGCTTAAATTATGTATTCCTTTAATGTATTAGGCTAACACTTGCAAAATCAGTTGTAAGCCATCTCCTTTGTCATTTCTGCATAGATGGACAAGCAGCTTACTTTGATATGTTAATTATTGTTTGGGGCATGTAGCTGAAAATGAGGCTGCATGCCATCAAAACCTCCTGTTACTCTTTATTTCTTTCTACCTTCCTATGTTTATCATTTCACCAGAAAATGTTGCATGCTCTTTAGTTATATACTAGGCACTCTGTTAGATGCTGGGGATATAAAAGAAAGTAACAATGGATATGACAAACAAATAAATGTACTATTATAATACAAGGTAATAAATGCCATTATGGAAGAAAGAGAAGAGTTCTATACCTAGGAAGGTAGAGAGGATAGATCTAACTCTAATCTGTAGGATTGGATAAGCTTTCTATTCTAGTGGGAGGCATTGTCTAAGCTGAAACTTGAAAAACTAATAGAAGTGTTAAGACCAATAATTTGGTTTGAGGGGAAGTATCAAGTAGAATGGAGAATATGTGTGCATAAGCTAGAAGAAAGTAAGAATCTGGTACATTCCAGACAATAAAATCCAATTTGCATGAAATATTTACAGAGAGTGTGGGTGCTGGAGTATGGGATGAGATTAGAAAGGAAATTGCAGTAAAATAATAAAAGTTTAAGACTTTTATGATGAGTACAAATGAAAACGCCTATACTTTTGAGGAAGTGAATCTGTTTATAAATTGTGTTCTTTTAGGTATATTTGGTTACTTTCCATTTCAGAGGATCTATCCTGTTTGTAGTGATTAGAATTGGAAGCTGTTTAAGTCTCCTTAACCATATTTGTCACATACCATCTCATTCTTCCATTAATTTGGCAAGCATATACAGAGTCCCACTCTAGCCAAGTCCTCTATAAGACCCTTTGAACTGGTGGCTCAAGCCTGTAATCCTAGCACTTTGGGACGCCAAGGCGGGCAGATCCCTGAGGTCAGGAGTTCAAGACCAGCCTGGCCAACATGGTGGAACCCCCGTCTCTACTAAAGTGCAAAAATTAGCCGAGCATGATGGCGGGTGCCTGTAATCCCAGCTACTCGGGAGGCTGAGACAGGAGAATTGCTTGAACCCGGGAGACGGTGGTTGCAGTGAGCCAAGATTGCTTCACTGCATTCCAGCCTGGATGGCTGAGCAAGACTCTGTCTCAAAAAATAAAATAAAATAAAATAAAATAAAAAAATGTTCTGTCCATCAAGTCTTGCAGAGGAGACAGAGAAAGAAATCAATGGTGAAAGTTTTAAATTCTATAATACAGGGTCAGCTAGTCTAAATTTTGTAATAGATGTTTTCCATGGGATGATAGAGGAAGAAAATGAAAGAACATGGAAGAATCAAGACGAAGCCAATTTGGAGGTAGGTGTGTGTGGAATAAAAAATACTTCCAAGAGTAGATGATACACCTGAGCCAAGGGCTGAAAAGGTACAGATGTTAGCCAAGTGAGTGATGGGCAGGGAGACCCACTCTAGGCAGAGGAACATCTGTGAAGAGACAGGAAGCACGTGAAGGCATAACATATTCAGGAAAATATCAGTTGCCCAGATTGGCTGGAAGACAGAATGGGTATATGTGGGAATTACAAGAGATGTATTTGGAAAGATAAGTGTAGGTATGTGAGGGAGCAGATCAGGAAAGCCTTGTGTGCCTTATTAAAAAGTGTAGGTTTTCTTACTTTAATTTTGGGAAGGTAATGGAGTCTCTGAGTCATAAAGGCCTCTTTCTGTATCTTTTCTATACTGACAAAGCTTGTTATTACTCTTAATACTTATATGAAGTGTCTAGCTTATGGAAGGTGGGCAGTGACTCTGGGATTCACAAGAGAACTCTAAACTTAAAACCCTTTAGCAATAGCTTGCTGGGGTTGTTATGTAGAGGAATGCAGCAGGAAAACACAGCTTGTCACCAACAGGAGAAGTTCATAGAACTTGCAGTTAAGTGCCCTGGGAAGGTGTGGAGCTCATAAAAACAGGCCAAAACCAGTCTGTCTAAAATGATGCTGAGTGGCCAATGTTCTTCTCTATGTAAGAATTTGGAAGCCCAGGTTACCTTACAAGAGGCTGATATTCTGAGATGCAAACACGATGGGTTTATTGTCTTTTTGTTTTGTTTTGAGACAGGATCTCGCTCTATCACCAAGGCTGGATACAATGGCGCAATCTCAGCTCACTGCAACCTCCATCCACTGGGTTCAAGTGATCCTCCCACCTCAGTCTCTCAACTAGCTGGGACCACACGCATGCACCAACCACCAGGCCTGGCAATTTTTTGTATTTTCAGTTGAGACGGGGTCTCACCATGTTGCCTAGGATGGTCTCAAACTCCTGTGCTCAAGCAATCTGCCTGCCTCAGCCTCCCAAAGTGCTAGGATTATAGGTGTGAGCCACCATGCCCAGACAGCCTTATTTTCTAAATCTCAGCGTTCTCCAAACATTCTAATATGGCTTATTGTTGCTGCGGTGGAAGTTTTGTCACTGGGTTTTTTCCCCCACTCTTTTTCTTCCCCTCTGCCCCAAAACTCTTTGGATACCAGAGCATTGCCTGCTGCCCTTAAAGGGAGGAACCTAGCTGATCTGACTCTGATCCTTTTAGCAGTATGTACTTTAGCATATATATGTGTGTGTGTGTGTGTGTGTGTGTGTGTGTGTGTATGAATACATGCATATAAATATATGTGTATATTTTTTCATATGCATTTATATAGATACATAGCAGGGAGGTAGATGGATGGATGGATGGATAGATAGATACATACATACATACATATATTTGCATGATACCTAAAAGAGGGAAAATAATTACATTTGTCTCTTTTCAAATATGTACAGGAAGTGTAGCCCAGTAAAGGAATCACTTGAGTGTCATTTTTGTTTGTTAAATTTAAATTTTATTATTCCATCTTTTCAACTATGATTCATAGGTTACTAAAAATATCTAAAGTGAATTAAATTTTGGACATTAGGATCTAAAATTTTCACAATACCAGATTTATCCTGGAATGAAATTAAATACAGCTGTTATTTTAGTGGAGGGATGACAGAGTTCTTGTAATCTTCCTATTCTTATTTCAATTTTCTAATTTAGTGTAGATCTTCTTATATTTCTTTCTTTGTGTCTTTTCTCTCAAGAGGCTTACAGTAAGCCTCCATATTAGGAGGCAAGAAAATGAAATTGGGTGGATGGTTCATTGTCACCTCTGGTAATGATGACAAGACTGTCCATGACAACCATCCCTGAAAGTATTCTCCTCTTCCATGGAGTTGGCCAAACTTACCTGACCAGTATGTGAAAAATTTGGTTGAAAAGTTTGGTCAATTTTGGAGGCTCAGTTCTGTCCTTAAAAACGTGTCAGGACTACTAAGATCCATGTTGCCAGAATCTGACAAGAACCTCTTTTCCAACCTGATCACCTCTTTTTACCTCTATCCACCTTACACTTAGCTTCCCAACCTGTGTCTGAATTCCCTGGATTCTTCTCTTTTGTACAAGAAGCCTATGCCCCAGAGAGCTTATCTATGCTTTTCTCTGATTTTCTTCTTTAGTGAAACTCCACACTGTTCCAAGGAATAAATGAGATAATGCATGTAAATGTCTTAGCACAGGCCAAGTGCTCAGTACCCAGAAGAATAAAAGTATTAATAACTGCTGCAAGCCCTATGATGGATTTTAGGAAAATATGAGTCTACCTTAAACCATTTATCACTCCACCTAAGAACATGTATTACTGTAAATCTCTATTAACTGGGTTTCTAATTGGCAATCTATTTTCTTAACGCCTCCACTCCTGGCTCCTCCATTCTCAGTGGGTCACTGTGTTGCAGAAGACAGTTCGTCTTTTCCCAGCAAGAAGGTCCATCACGATGTCTGAGTTCGAATCCAGGTTTTGCTACTTACCAGCTGTGTGACCTTGGACAATTTACCTCCATGGGTCTTAGTTTACACCTCTGTAGAGTGGGGATAATAATAGTGCTTGCCTCATAAGGTAGGGGAAGGATTAATCGGGTTAAAATGTGCAAAGTATTTGCAAACTATCTGGCCCAAGCGATGATCATATGAAGATATATCACTACTATCATGAATCTCCCTGCATTTAGTCCATGACTAACATGAAGCTCCCCAAGAAAGGAAAAACACACACATATAAATGGCTTTCTTAGAAAGGAAACTAATCTACAGAGCTGCACATCTACCCACAAGGAGGACCAATCGTATGCTATTATGCAGAGAATAGTTTATCTTCACATTATCTTGAAATAAAATATAACAGAATCTTGGAATTTTGTTTTTCTCTGAGAAACAAAGTTTCATTAAAGTTTTGGACTTTGCTCCCCCACACAAAGGCACAACAAGCCCTGAAAGATCCATTTGAGTACCCACTCCTACAGAAGCTAGAAAAGTAATTTGTTTATCATTAAAATTAAAAATATCTTGCCAAAACTACTGGAGGACAGTTTCAGCTAGGTTCTCTGATGACATATTAAGTGCACGTGAGATTGTGTAAATTTTCAGTAGCAAGCTCTCAAATCATATTTGTAATGGTAATAATAACTTGCATTACTGTTACATAAATGTTAAGGATTAGAATATATTACTTTTTTTTAGACAGAGTCTCACTCTGTCACTCAGGCTGTAGTGTAGTGGCATTATCTTGGCTCACTGCAACCTCCACCACCTGGGTTCAAATGACTCTCATGCCTCAGCCTTTCAAGCAGCTGGGACTACAGGTGCGTGCCACCATGCTTGGCTAATTTTTTTTAATTTTTATTTTTAGTAGAGATGGGATTTTACCATGTTGGCCAGGCTAGTCTCAAACTCTTGGCTTCAAGTGATCCTCCTGCCTCAGCCTCCCAAAGTGCTGGAATTACAGGCATGAGCCACCACGCCCGGCCTATTACTCTTATGAGTTGAATTTTTGTGTTGCCTAAAATTCATCTGCAAAATGCTAATTCCCTGTGTAATGGTGTTTGGAGGTGAGGCCTTTGGGAGGCAATTAGGATTAGATTATGTTATGAGGACAGGGCCTTCCTGATGGAATTAATGCCCTCCTAAAAACAGGGAGTCATGAGATCCATCTCTGCCTTCCATGTGAGGATACAAGAAGACAGCTGTTTGCAAACTAGGAAGAGATCCCTCACTGGACACCAGATCTGCTGGCACCTTGATGTACTTTCCAGCCTCCAATACTGTGAGAAATAAATGTTTGTTGTTTAAGCCACCCAGTCTATGGTATTCTGTTATATCAGCTCAAACTAAGATAATTACATTAAGCCTAATACAATAACTATATATTTTATACTAATATAACTACCTTCATCACTTTTATTTGATAGTGAAGGAAAGTCTTCTATGAAATTTTCACCTGGGGATCTCATTTGCACTTAAATGATTCCATAATTAAGTTATAAGAGCAGCCTTGCCAGCTTTCTAAAAATCTGCATTTAAATTTCACAGGCTGCTTTTACAACAGGATGGATAATGTACTTTGCTCCTGTCTCATCTCAAGTCTCTCTCTCTCCTCTCTGTCCCTTTCTTTCTGTCTAACATCCATCTGTGCTTTGAAACCTCCTGAATAGGATGTGACAGTATCTGGAAAAGTGTGAGGTCTGTCTGCATTAAGTTGTTGGCACATTTCAATTTTAGGAAAGTCATAAAGCCCTTATAAACTTTCATAATAAAATTATCAAACAACCGCCGGGCGCGGTGGGATTACGCCTGTAATCCCAGCTCTTTGGGAGGCCGAGACAGGTGGATCATGAGGTCAGGAGATCGAGACCATCCTGGCTAACACGGTGAAACCCGATCTCTACTAAAAATACAAAAAAAAAATAGCCGGGCGTGGTGGCGGGCGCCTGTAGTCCCAGCTACTCAGGAGACTGAGGCAGGAGAATGGCGTGAACCCAGGAGGTGGAGCTTGCAGTGAGCCGAGATGGCGCCGCTGCACTCCAGCCTGGGCGACAGAGCAAGACTCCACATATTAAAAAAAAAAAAAAAATCATACAACCAATCTCTACGTATTTTAAGTCACATTATTTCAAGGAAAGAAAAATTACTTTGTGAGTATGTACACTAAAGAATCTAATTTTATTTTTGTGACAAAATTAGTGTGAGATGGTTGTGATACTCTGAGGCTAGCAGAAATGGAGACTCTCTACTGTGAGAATCACATTAAGTTTGTATTTAAAGCACAATTATTAAACCTTCTGAATTATCTGCAGTTAAAATTATTTACATTATACAATGTATATGACTATCAACCATATGAGAATAACATGTGGAATCTGCATGAATTTATATAATAGAAATGTAATGATTTATGATCATTTTGCTCCATTAGAAGATATAAGAAGAAAAAAAATCAATAGATCTCATTCATTCATCAGCTCACAGTGATTAAGGATACTATTGCATAACAGATCAGGTGCTAAGTGCTGGGACACAAAGATAAATTAGACGTGTTCCTCTACATTGTAAAGGACCCTAAAGTTCATCTAATAGTCAGTGATGGAACAGACTCAGAGAGTGGTCTATTTGCTCAAGATCCCAGAACTAGTTCATAGCAGAACTAGGTAAAAATTCAAGTCTCTTGACTCTTAACTTTAGCCTGATATTGAGGCCAAATGACAGCTTTAATTACGACAGAGAAGTATTAAGAATGTCATTTTGGAAAATTCAAAGTCCACTAGAGGAAAACTCATTTCAGTTAGAGGCTGTTTCTTGCAATCTATTTCTAATTCTTGGTCTTAGGCCTCCCATGTGTACTGACAGCTGGTAATATATTTGGGTCTTTGAAGAAAGCAACAGGACCTGTTTCTTTCTACGCACTAACTGTGGCTAAGCAACAAGACCTACTCTCTACTGGCAACAGAATTGGAACCCTTAACTTCCTGTCAGCCACAGCCCACACTGGATTTCCCTAGAATTTTCTAGAAGCAAATGGCTACCACAGGAAGAAAACCATAGAATTCAGCTGGAAACCATCCAAATTTCCTCATCCTAAGCTTCATCTCCAGCAAGCCTCAGTCAAGGAGACCCACACCACAAGGCTATGACATAATTCTTGGTTGCCTGCCAAAATAGAGAAAAAAGGATGAAAAGGAAGAGTTTTTATTGCAAAAAGACAGCTTAGGGAATTTTTTCTTAACTTAGTGAGATGGAATCCTGAGACAAAGATTTGTTAGAGATAACTTGTGTAGGGGTATTAAACTCAACAGAGATAAAGGGAGATGGGTGAGTAATAAGAAAAATAAATTAACCCTTGGTGTTTTCTTCAGGCAATGCTGAAAACACACACACACACACACACACACACACACACACACACACACACACACAAAAAAAAAAAAAAAAAAAAAAAAAAAAAAAAAAAACCTTATGCCCACCACATCATCATTTGTATCTTAAGTAAATGCTTGGGGAAAGGGGTTGAGCCAGGAAGGAAGAACAGGTGTTGTACATCGAACCAAGCCTAAATATTTGGTATGGAACAGTTGAAGATTTAAGATTGTAACTCCAGAACTTCTGATCACTTTTTTTGTATTGTTAAGGGTAGCAACTGAGATTAGATAACTCACTTGCTGAAGGAAGCACATTCTTGGCTCTGTGCGACATTCACTGTGCCATGAGCTGCTAGTGCTTACTGATACCCATGTGCTCTTTGGCATTTCCCAGTCTCCCTTGCACTTGAGCTGACCATGTGACTATTTCTGACCAATGGACTGAGAGTAGAAGTAATGTGGTCACTTCTGAGGGAGGTAGTTAAGTATCAAGTGTGACTCCCCTCAACTCTTCGACTCCTTCCTGCACCCCTGCAGCTGGAAGAGGAGGCTTGGAGATGGTAGAAACATAAGATGGAAGGGGTCTAGATGGCTGGATGACTGCTTGAGGAGAGTTATTCAAGACTGCTACTTAGCTGATGTCAGACTCTGAGTAAGTAAGAAACTTTTGTAAGATACATAAAAGTTTAACTGTAGGAAGAAAAGTCATTTTTATCCATGAAAATAAAAGATGCCTAAGATGTATGTTTTCAAATTATATTGGGATTTATATATTTCACTTTATATAAACTCAAAATCATCAACATATGCCTTTGTTCACTTGCTTCTCTGAACTTAGAAAGTCTGTAAATAAATGTAATGTCAAAAGCTGAAAACACCCAAAGCTACTGTGATTTGTGGATTGTTACAACAGTTAACGAGAAATATACATACACTAAATGTGTTCTCCTCATTTTCTTGTGTGTACTGCTCCAATCTTTTTCAGATGTAACTGCTTCCCCAGGTTAAGGGGAGAGTAACTCTGCTCCCTGTTCTGGGATAAAATCCTCTTTGGTCTCTTGGCCATTCCCTTTGCCAGTGACTGGTTTAGGAGTAGAGATGGGACTCAATAGTTACACTTTCTGGGGGCCTCTGAAAAAGATTTTCTTGTTCTTACAGAAAAGTCACAGATTGAAATTGCTCATTTCTGAATAGAAATGGAGATTTGGAGGGAGAGGTAATGCGGCAAAAAACTCTAAAGTGGTTGCTTAATAAAGTGAGGTAATTTTCATTGTCTAGTCAAAATGCCAACATACCAAATATGGTTGATTGGGGCCCTGAAACTGAGGACGAGAAGCAAGGGGAAAGAGAAGGTCCCAAGAACACTGTGGTAAGCAGGGATTGACAGAGAAATATCTCCCTAAGGAGGGCAATGGCCCCTGACCTATTAGAATAATAATACCTGCCCCCTAATTTTAAATTGTTTCATGTGTCATAATGTCCTTTTGTTATTGCAGATCCTTGTGCATACAACTGACTTGTGTGGGTGAGGCTTGCAGAAAAAATCAGCTAGAACAGCCTTGGGGGTAGTGGCAAGGTGGCCAGAGCAATTGACTGGGAGCTGGGAACAGGAATGAAGAGGAAGAGCTGATAAGAAACATGCCCAGAGCAGGTAAGCACCTCTATCCCTCCAATCTTCAAAAGCATGCCGGGCGGGCGGATCACACATTAAGTTGGAATGTAAACAGAAGTAAAGGAGTATGAAGAACACTATAGCAAGGAGGAAAAAAAGCCACACATTTTGTGCCAGACAGACTTAGTTTGAAATCCTATTTATAGATTTTGTTTCATTAGGCAATTTATTTCATTCTCTGAGCTTCAGGGGAATCTTAGTCATTGCAGTTCTATTACTTAACAAAGTCTTTAACAGTTTTCCACTTACTATGTAACATATATATTTATAACATCTTGTCTAGGATGCAGAAGAGCTGTATCTTGTATTTCCTTTGCTACATTCAGATGTTCTCATAGGTTGCTTCATGTGTAAAATGAGGACAATGCCATTGTTATACTCTGAACCAAGTTATTGGAGGAAGCAGTGTGACAAGCACCTCGTAAACCCTGTTAAATGTGCAGATAAGCTATTAATAGAAATTATTGCACCAATTTGATCTGAAGACTCTTCCAGCTTTGCATGATAGATGCATTGTCATGTCTTATGTTTTGTAAACAGCCACACTTCACCACTATTTAGATAAAATGTGACTAAGTCAACCTTAGTTTCCAGACAACCCTGGATAGTTTTTACTTTATCTTGTATTTGGACTGGCGTTGGGACCTCTTTAGCTGAGAATTCCCCTCCCCTCTGTGAGCCATTAGCTGAGAAGCACCATTGTCAGAAATTCTGAGGATGACCTGTCACCCCCACAGCCTTGCCCTTTCTGACTTTTCAGCCACCCGCCCACCATCCCCATCTGGTTGAGGCCTTGGTCAGTGTGGGAGAACAGGAGGAATCTACTTAGCTGAGTCATGACCCAGGTCTAGCTTATGGTATAAAACCAATTAAAGCCCCTTTATCTGTGGCCTGATCCATCACATGGGGGTATTGAGGGAGGTGAAATTCCAGCCTCATTTCTCTTGGCAGCTTCTGTGAAGGGGTAGGGTTCCTGGTGGTCATGGAAAAATAAAGCACACAGAAAAGGGGGCTGATTGCTTTCACTTCATTCCTGCTGCCTCCCCCAGAAATGTTCTCTGGCCAAACCAAATCCCAGGGCTCCCAGAAGACCCAATGTACCCAAAGCCAAGAGCAACTCCTACCTCGCTGCCGCTACTTACTGTCCCCAAAGGGCCTATCTAGAGGATCTGGTCAGGAAGCTTAAAAATAGTTGAGTGTGTGGTGACAAGCCTTGTGGATTTCCTTTGTAAAAATATTCCAAGCAGGGAAATAAACCTTTCAGCAACTTATTTTTCCATTGCTCTGTGGAGCAGCTCCCACTCTCTGCTGCTATAAGTACTTCAGGTAGCTTGTGGGTGGTAGTGGTGGTAGGGATGCCAGAGGGGAAGTGGAGGGGAGATGTGTCTTGCTCAGAGAACCAGGTTTAGGGGGCCAGCAACTATTAGGATCTAGAGGCAACATAACATTTCTGCACATTCTGTATACAGAAGGAAATGTAATTCCAAGCTGCTGAGTTTGGCACATGAGGCCTTTCCAGATCTAGCTGTGTCCACTGCCCCAGCATCATAAAGTGTCAGTATCAGCAGTTGCCCCATCACATTATGATGCTTGATTCCTATATGGCTTCCCATCCTCTGTTCCTTCCACTGGGAACCTGGACCCTCACCATCATCCCCAGTCATCATCCAACCTGCCAGTCATTAAAATCCAGCCCAGAAGTCTGCCTTCTCAGTGAAGTCTTCTCTGGCCTAAGAGTTAATCACTGTTTTCTGAACAACAATTCTGTCATCATTGCATTTATCATATGGTGGGGTGTTCCCTCATGGGGTTTGTTTTCTATGCATCTTCATGTTTTTGCAGCTGCGTACAGGATCTGGCAATGATCACTACTGCCGAACAGGTTAATCGAGCAATTTGAAGATGGCAGTATTTCTGCCAAAGAAGACAAAAAGACAGAACGACCAGTTTACAGGCAGCTTAGATAAATGCAGGTTTCCATGAGGTTAAAATTTTGTGGAATGCTCATGTCCACTTCACATTTCTGTCAGTAAATTACTGTGTTAGAAGTTGTCCCAAATAACACTGCGAAGAACTTTGAGAACTTTTGAGTTAACAAAGAACCTTATCATCTTTTTCGTTTTCAGCACTCCCTTGAGTTAAGATGTTATGACCCCATTTTTACAAATGTGAAAACAATTTCCACAGAGGAGGTAGAAGAGGAGAGATAGAGCTGAGACTCAACTCTGATTGCCTGTATCCAGTTTTTTCTTTCCACAAATGACCAAAAAGTACCAAAAAACAAAGAAACTATGAGAAAAATGCTTTCTAATAGTTGTTTACTATTATGATTATAACTACTAGAAAATATAAAGCCCACATAAGATTTTATGTCTCCAAATTCAAGAAAATCACCAAAGGGCAAGGCATAGAGTAGCAGACAATAGGCTGCATCCTCACCTGGATCCCGGAAGGGCTTGGCCATCCTCACTGATGCTATGGCAGCACTGATACCTGCCAACTACTCTCAAGGGACAGGACAGCATGGTGGTTCAGAGATCAGGCTCTGGAGCCAGATTGTCCAGGCTTCAATCTCAGCACCCCACCTATTTCTATGGGGTCTGGTACATGTTAATCTCTCTATACCACAGTTTCTCCATCTTTAAACTGGTGGTAGTAATTAGACCTGACTCACAGAATTTTGTAAGTTAATAGTATGTAAAAGATTAAATGGCCCAGATACAGTGGCTCATGCCTGTAACCTCAACACTTTGGGAGGCTAAGGCAGGAGGACTGCTTGAGTCCAGGAGTTCGAGACCTGCTTGGGCAACATGGCGAAACTCTGTTTCTACAAAAAAAGAAAAAAAATTAAAAATTATCCAAGTGTGGTGGCATGTGCCTGTAGTTCCAGCTCCTTGGGAGGCTGAGGTAGGAGGATCACTTTAGCCCAGGAGGTTGAGGCTGCAGTGAGCCATGATGGAGATATTGCATTGTAGCTTGAGTGACAGAGAACCTGTCTCAAAAAAAAAAAAAAAAATTAAAAGATCAATCAGTGTTATCTACTATGTGCCAGTTATTTACCATGACACCATCAGATTCTTTATCTTTCATTCTCATAAGAACTAATTTAGGTATTATTATCTCTATTTTATCTATGAAATACCTGGGGCTACAAGGTTAGATATTTTTCCCAGTGGGAGTTCTGGGTTTTGGATCACAATTATTGTGAATTTAAAATTCTATATACGTCATCTCTTACAATAACAAAATACTCAATTAATTTTCTTTTCATGGATCCTGGAAACAGCCCTCCTTTGGGACCTTACTGAAGGCTTAGATACATGGCTTAGACAATCTGTGGAGGTCCAAGCGGCAAGCTTGATAAACTGGGATTTCCTGAGCTCTTGTCAGCTTCTCAAGTCAGAGTTAATGCTGAAAGTTCTACATGGGGCATGGGTGTAGCTTAGATAAATACCCAGAGGCTTGGGAGGTAGAGTGAAAATATTTTGAGCTGGCAAGTCTGTTCAATTAATATGTACTTGGGAGACATTTTCAAAGCTGACAGATCTTTTGTAAGTGCCAAGTGATATTAATTATTAGTATAAAAGCAGATCCCACCAGTGGAGTCAGAGACACCCAAATTTATGTGTGTTCGGGTGTATCATCGGGTTGTGAGGTTGAGGATGCCAACGCTTCTAGCTGTGAGGGCAAAATTTAGCAAATGAGTGTACCCTAGGAATGAGGCAAGAAGAGTCTGAACCTCTTCTTTGTGTAGTGCAGAAATCTGGTCTTGTAGGAAAGAGTTGCTCTCAGTCTTGCCAGAGTCCTGCTCAGAAGGTAAAAGTCTAGTGGGCTGCCCAAAGGGAAGGTGTGCAATATATAGCCTTATAGCCTGGGTTGAATCAGGCAAAACAAGAGAAATATGGCTAATGTTTTACCAGAGGATAAAGCAGGGCCATAAATGAGAGAAAAATGAACCCTGAGCTCAGAGGTGGAAACAATATACAACCTGTCAGGAAGTCAAGTCCAGTGTAGGTCTGGAAAGTGCTTCAGAAGGGAGTAATGAATAGTGTGAGGTCCTGGCAGCTCTGAGAGTGCAGGCTGCCTGCCGCTTGGTGGAGGATGACCTGGTCTCTTACAGCCTTTTCAGAGAGTCAGGTAGTTCCCCTCCGTGAACCTAACAGCTTCTGTGTCTTCTCCAGGTGAATTTCACTTTACATCTTCAGGCATGTTTCTGATTTTTTGCGGGGGACAGAGGGGAGGAGGGAAAGAAGAATTTATTCTTGGAGGTAGATGATCCATTCTTGGATCCATACTCTTTGTGGTAGATGATCCATTCATGAGCTCTCTATGACTGTGGGTGAGGTATTTCTTTTCTTTTGTAATCAGTTCCTGATCCGAAAAATTAGGAATGGGCTCAGAATGTTCCCTGTTTTCTTCCATTGCCAACTTTCCATAATGTACAGAACTGGCAATTCCTTTCTTTTGCTAATTCTGCAAAACCTAAGGGTCTTTCTGAGATGTCCCGTGGGCTAGTTGAGTAAATCTGGGAATACCTAGTAACTAGGGCTGTGTTAAAAAGGACATTTTTGGTTTTATCTGTTTTAGGGTTCATTAAAGTTTAATAAGCTATCCTTGGGGGAAAATAATGCATACATATACAATTATTTATATATGTGGTTTATCCCTTTTGTGGAATACGGTTTTGTGTGGGCTTAATTATTTAAAAGAAATTTATGGCAGGTTATAAAGCCAATTTTTGCAATGTAAACAACTCCCACTCATTGTTTTGAAATTATTGAATTTTATTAACAATAATTATACCTTGTATCTATGAAGCACATTCGATTTTATTAAATCTAGTTGTTTGTGTAATAACGGGTTCAGAAAACACCTGTGAACTAGGCTTTTTTCTTTTGAAATTGCTTTATTGTTTTCTTTCAGTCATAAAATGAATACATAACAGCAGGGTGCTATATTAAATATTTACTTATTTTCTTCTAGTGAAGAGAGAGCCAGACACTACACTACCATGGTCATTCTTGGGAGAATGATTCACTTTTGAGGCAAGAATGTGGCTCTCTTTCCCAAAACGGATGTAGAGGTCTATCACCAGAGGCAATTGGTTCTCCTTGTTAGGGAAATAAGCTTCACAATTCTTATGCCTCTGTTGTAGTGAACCACATTCTCTCAAAGAGTTCAGGGAAGAAGAGAAAAGTATTCAGGGTGGAGGAGAAGATTCATTACTGGCAGGAGGTGATTGAGCCACTGCCTCTGGCACAGCACTCCTTGGTGGGCTTGCCTTTTGGCTCTGGATGGAGCTGAGCAAGCTAAGCTTGTAGGTCTCTGGCCTGAAAACCTAGGAACATTGCAGCCACAAGCTTGGCATTGAGGGAGTGGAAGCCCTATCCTCTGAGAAAGCACATGGATGGCCCATGCAAGGAACCTGAATCAGCAGTAGCCAAGTGACATTTGCATAACTCTTTGTCATGGATAAGCAAACTTTGTGGAAAGATGCAGATTAAATAAACATTTTGGGCTTTGTGGGCCACATAATCTCTATTGTAACTACACAGCTTTGCCACTGCCATGTACATTGAGCAACAGCATGGATGTTACTATGTTTCAAACAAAAACTCTGTTTACAAAAAGTTAGCGGGCTGCATTCAGTCTGTGGGCCATGGTTTGCTGACACCTGGCTTGGGATATTCCCAGAAGTAGAGTTGCCATGTCAAAGTGTACACTCTTTTCTAGATTTTTCTAGATGTTTTCAAGTCACCCTCCAGAAGGGTAACTGAATTGAATCCTTACCATCTGCATGAACGTACTTGTTTCTCTCTATCATCCTCAATACTAGGTATTTTCATTTTTTTAAAAAAGGCTTGGCCAGGAGGCTCATGCCTATAATTCTAGCACTTTGGGAGGCCAAGGCAGGCAGGTCACTTGAGGTCAGGAGTTTGAGACCAGCCTGGCCAACATGGTGAAACCCTGTCTCTACTAAAAATACAAAAATTAGCTGGAAATTGCTTGAACCTGGGAAGTGGAGGTTGCAGTGAGTGGAGATCGTGCCATTGCACTCCAGCCTGGGCGACAGAGTGAGACTCCGTCTCAAAAAAAAAAAAAAACAAAAAAAAAAAAACAAAAAAAAAAACAGGAAAGCATCTGTACTTTAATTTTGCATATGGAAAATGGAAAACATTAACCAAAGTGTTAATTTTCTTTTTCTCACTGAAGTCCACAAAGCAAGAAATTGACAAATTTGGGGTTACTACATGGAACTTGTAAAATCAAATCATATTAATATATTTGGTGTGGAGAGTCTCTGCAACAGGAGGATGGTGTGTGTGGGGGAGAGTACCTACAGTGGAGGGAGAGGTTGGAGAGTGTGTCACAAGGATTGTGGTGGAAAAGATCGTTTGGCTGCTTCATGATTGAATGGGCATGCGGCTGATCAAGGTAATCCCAGCAGATGAGCTGCTTGGGATCCTTCATTACCAATGGCCCACCTAAGGTGAATCTTCTAGGATGTTATATGACCTATGTAGGATAACCCTTGCAAGAGAAATATGTTGGCTTAAATTTATGTGTCCCTTCCCTCTACTGTATATCTTCCCAATAGGACCCAGGCATCAGAAAAAAGAAAACTCATTGGAGATTTTAGGCTGAACTCTTTGGACTCTTCAAGGATGGGAGAACTGTTGACTCACTTGTCAAGATTCTCTTTTGTTTTCTGATTTTTTTCTATGACCAGCCATACACTAGCCAAAGAGGTGAACTAATAGAGTACTCTCTTTGGAGACACACATCTGATTTGAATCCTAGCTCAACCCTATAGTGGCTGTGTAGACTCAGACCTAGTCTCTCTAAGCCCATTTGTTTTAATGTAAAATAGGCACAATAACGTCTCCCTCTTAAGGTGTTTGTAAGAATTCAATCATCACATGTCTGGAGAGTGTCTAGGCAAATGGGAGGTATTATGTGTCCAACTCCAGGACATTGCTCATAAACCTGTGATTTAGCTCATAGAGCACTGGGCACCTAAGGAGATCAAAAGATCTGGATTGCACTGACTACATCAGGTGGCCAAGGATTGGTTGGATTAGTGGGGCCTCTCAAATCACATTTCACAGGGAACAATCCTATGGAGAGTGATTAGGAATTAGGTTCACCAATCTATTTTGAGAGGATTTGGTTTGGTCCAGCCAATATTTTGAAGTACTCACAATGCCAGGTTCTTTGCTTCGTTCTTGAAATGTAGATATGAACCAGGAATTAATTCTGGTGCCAAGGAACTTCACACTGTAGAGATGGATATGAGCAATTACCAAAAAATATTCTAAATATTATCTGATAAAGTTTTTAATGGAGGAAATCATAGGATGTTACCAAGGCAAAGAGGAAAAAATCCCTAACTTAGATCATTGGGATTAGGGATGGTTTCTCCTAGGGGACAAAAGAGCTTAAGTCTTCTTGATGAAGGTGTGGTATATATTTGAATGTGAAGGCATTAAATTGAATGATGCATATAAGAGAATAGAATAAGTATTGTGTTGTAGGAGACATAAGATGAAACTTGGGGGATAGCAAGAGATGTCAGTTATGAAAGGCTGATCAAAGTCTTCATTCTTTGAAAGCCATTGAAACGTTTTATACAACAGAGTGACAAGATCAGATTCATGTTTCACAAATATCTTTTTGGTTTCAGGGTGGAGGATGAATAGAATGGTGAAACCAGAGGCAGAGATACTAGTTAGGAAGCTAGTTCAGTAATTCACATGAGAGATGGTGGTGGCTGAATTAGGGAAGTGGCAGTGCAGAAGGGGAAAGGGATCTATGCAATCAATATTAATTGGTAAATTTGGCAAGATTGGGCATGGGTTGCATATGGAAAATGAAAGAGAGTGAGAATAATTCCCAAGAGTCTGATTTGAGCATTGGGTGGTTGGGGCGGGAAGTGAGGGTGGGGGCATTCCTTGATACCTGAACAATGGAGGGGGTAGAGATGATGAGTTTAGAAAGCAGAAGAGAGACTTCAACCAGGAACTTCTGGGCTTGGAATCAGGTTCCATGGCTTCTGACAAACTGTGCTGACTATGGGCAAATCACTCTCCCTCTTTAGCTTTAGTTTCTCATTTTATCATGCAAGTAAATATTAGACTGAAGAGAGACTCCCAAACATGTATCTGTGGTCACACAACTGTAGACTCTGATTTACTAAGTCTGGTGTGCAGTCCAAGAATCAGTATTTTCAAAAGTTTCCCAGGTGATGCTGTTGTCCAACAGGTTTCAAGCCCTTTGGAGCAGGAGATCCTTGAGGATTCTTACAGCTCAAGCATCTCTTAATGCAGTTTCCTCCTAGCTCTTGCTCCTTCCTGCTGACTCTGCAGATATGAGCTGGCATCTAATATCCAGTGTGGCCTTCACAGACACTACCATGCATGCCAGTATCCACAGTGTGTCTCACTTTCTCTGTCCCTGCACCCCTTCCTCCACTCATCACACGGATTGGGCAGGCAGAAAAAGCCAAGAGTATTACCCTTCACATAATTGGCACCAAGGCAACTCCCTGCCATGTTTTTCCTTCCCAAAGACATATGGTTGATTTCCCACCAGGATATTGTATAATAAACCACTTCTGTAGCTCATTGGGATGGAGGGTTAGTGATTTTGTTCCAAGTGTGGTGGTAAATGCATTTTTTAAAAGGCCTTCCCTAAACTTAAAGTTTTAGTAGACAGAACACATCCAAGAATTGAGCATTTATCTTCCACATGTGCCGGGAGGACATGTTACTTATCTTCTCTCTTGGTACTTCCACTGATCCCACTTCCTGCTATGGATGAGCTCAGCAGACATGGCATGTAGACACATGGGGAAAAGTCATCAACACATCTGAAAAATTAGTAATGGCTTGGCCATCAACAGAGAGGCTTAGGTGTTACTTCTTACAACCTACAAACAGCATTAATTACACTGAAATCTCCAGGCTGGACCAAGAAGAGGATCCCCTTACACCACACATAAGTGCATTTGCCTGGAGTGAAACAGCACAGGTCTTCCTCTCACTGCAAGGCTGTGATCAATTCTTGGCTCCCAAACCCAAAAGGGATGTGGAAATCTGGTGGGAACTGTAAAGGCCTGGAATATAAGACTTATGTGCACAGATGAAAGGCAGCAGGCTTGTTCAGCTGGGAGGAACTGTAGGATGGCTTAATTATAACCTCCTGGTCTATAGCGAGTTCTTAGATCACTGATGAGGTAAACCCGCTGCTGGATCCCAAGCTGGGAGCTACAGCAAGGACTCAAACCTATTTATCTTTTATTTTTCTATGGTGTTTGGGATGCAGCTCTGAATAAAGTGGTGGCTGAGGAAACTGATTCAGCAACTGCATTTCCAGATCCTTTTACAGCAGAAAGAGCTTAACTTTGGGGTAATTCAAACCTGAGTTTGAATTCCAATTACACAAATTACAAACTGTAACTTTGGATATTTCAACTGCGTACATTGTAATTTTCTTAACTATAAAATAAGGTTAAAATATTGACCACATAGGGCTATTTTGGGGAATGAGAGAGAGAGAGAGAGTAGGAGTAGTCTCTTATCTAGTACAGAGCCTGGTAAGTTCTTTAAGTATTTTCAGAGTGAAGGATTAGATAAAGCTATGGAGAACGTTTAGACAGACTATGGTAGACAAGCTAGTAGGGTGATTTGACGTCTCAATTTGCCTTGGATGGTGCTAGCTTAAAAATTCAGCAGGCATGCAAAAGGGTCTCAGATTGAAGGGACAAAGTGATTTCCCTGTAGCCTCTGAATAACTTAAGCTCTGTGGTTTGCAGGAACTTAGTGATGTGGTCATGCATAGTGTGCGTGTGTGTGTGTGCGTGCGCATGTGTGCATGTATGTAATATCTTATGTCTACTACTCTGATGTCTTTTGAGCTTCTTGGAAACTTGGATAATATCTAATTTATCTCTTCATTTCTCTTTATCCCTAAATCAGCAAATGTGTGAGGAGAACCAATGGTAATTATATGCCTTGTATAATATGAGAACAGATGGAAAAATAAACAAACACCAAATCTCACTTCCTCCTGTTGCTTACCTTTTAGTGGCAGTGTCAGATTTTTCTCCTGGACTCCTTCTCCTAACTATAATTTAAAAAATGTATTTCATCATGCAACTTATTTATTTTAAAAATCTAAAGTATTACAGATAACATGGAAGCTCTTATCCCTAATATCATTCCCCCTTCTCTAAAGGCAATCACCAATATGAATTTTATTGTGTATCATTGCAGCCCCCATTTTCTATGTTTATTATGAGATATATCCACTAATAATACATATGGTTGCTATTTCTTACCTATTTACAGAACTATTTCATACTACAGTTTTTAACAACTTGTTTCCCCTTTGTTACTCAAGATTGCATTTTTGATATCCATTCATGTCTTTACACATAGATCTAATTAATTCATTTTGATTTTTGTTATTGTAAATTCCATGAATATATTACAATTTATTTACTCATTCTTTCTCCACTGAAGGACATAAAGATTGTTTCCAATTTTTCTTCATTGTAAACAGACACTGCTATAATGAACATTCTGGTTTATGTGCAGGCATTTCTCTGAAGTAGAATGAGAAGTCATTGGGCATGCACATTTTAACAATTTCACGATCTACAGTCAAATTGCTCTCCAAAGTGATTGTACTAATTTAGACTCCCACCAGCAGGGTAGGAAAGTTCAGTTTTCTCATGTCTTTACCAACAGTTGCTATTGACAGACTCTTTAATGCTTGTCAAACTATTTGGTGTAAAATGCTTCACTGTTGTTTTAATTTGCATTTCCTTTATTTCTAGTGAGGATAATAATCTATTCATATGTTCACTGGCTCTTCTGAATTGCCTGTTCCCATCAATTGCCAACTTCTGTGTTATATTGTTGGTTCGTTTAAACTGATACATAATTTCTCTACCTATTCAAGATAATCTGTGTTTGTTTTACACGTGTGTTTGTTTTACACGTTACAGACATATTTTCTAAGCCTGCCATTTTTTTAAGTATGTTTCATGGTGTGCTTCGTAATGGGGAAAATCTTAATTTTGATGCACTTGGTTTTATCAATGCTTTCCTATAAATTGCTAGTGTTTGAGAGTTTTCTAAGAAATTTGATTTTTATCTCTTAGTCAAAAATTGTTATCCTACATTCTCTTCTAATTAAAAAATCCCATTTGCAGTTTTATTTAGTTATTTTTGTCTATAAAGTGAGTTCCGAATGGGAAACCAGGTCATTTACTGCACTTTTTTCCTTCCCACTGATTTATAATGCCACCTCTGTCATACACCAGGCTCATATGTGTTTCAGCTTATTTAAGGGCTTCAAATTTTATTTCATTAACTTGACTTTTTCTCTGCTCCAATATCATTCTTTTAATTTTATGACTTTAAACTGTTTTCATGGATAGGTAGTCAAGTTCTAGCTCATTTTTTCCCCTCCCCTCAGAATTATCTTTGCTGATCTTTGTTGTTTGCATATTCAAATGGAGTTTAGAATAAGTGCGTAGAGTTCTGAGAGAGAAATCTTGTTGAGATTTTATCTGAAACCTCATTAATTAAATATATTGATGATTTGGATCAAGTTAATAGCTTTGTGATTTTAAATATCTCCACTCATGGAAATGGCACAACTCTCCATATATTTTGTTTCCCTTATGCTGCTTATTTCATAATTTTGTATACAAATTTTTGCATATATGTATTTTTAAATTTATTCATAAACACCTTTTTTTGCTTTTATGCCTGTACTTATATTGCATTATTACTGATATGTATATATTCTTCCACCCTTGTGAGATCTTAGAGTGACTTTGCTAGTTTAGTCAGTTTTTCTTAGATTTATTATATTGAGGACCTTATATATGATCTCTAAATATATACTGATAAGCTTAAATTCTTAAGTATCATTTATTTTTCTTGCCTTATTACGTAATTAGGGCATCCAGTTGACTAGTAAAAGTAATTATAAAGACTCTACTATTTTCTTTTCTTGACTTTAATAGAAATGCTTTTAAAGCTTCATCATTCATTATTATATCTATAGTAGTTTTTCGCTAGATGTTTATTTTTAAAGAAAGTTTCTTGTTACTGATAGATTGCTAAGAATTTTGTCATGGATTCATTTTGAATTTTATTCCTTAATTTTATGTATCTATTGATAAATCTATTTTTTCTTTTAGTTTGCTCATATATTGAATTAGCCTACTTTGATAGATTTTTTTTCCTAGTTAACCATACCTGCCTCTTTTTTGATGAATTTTAATAGGCCATTATATTTGTTTGTTAGTTTTAGTGAAGGGTTAGGTTTATTATGCTTGGATTTTACTTAAGATGTTTAATGAATTTTAATAGGCCATTATATTTGTTTGTTTGTTTTAGTGAAGGGTTAAGTTTATTATGCTTGGATTTTACTTAAGATGTTTAAAATTAAGATTTTTTTGCCATCTGTAACTTTATTTTATTGTACATTTTTTGGAGTGGGGATCTTATGTTAATATCTCTTCTGACCATTCTATTAGGTTGGTGCAAAAGTAATTGCAGTTTTTACCAATTTCAATCTAATAATCTATTAGTCTATAATAATTTCAATCTATAGTCTATTAGATGACTACTATTATCTACTAGATTATTCCACCTACTATTTTTATTGTACATGCTAGAGCTTAAGAAAATTTTTCATCTTAGACTATGCTCTAATTATATCACCTGTGTGCATTTTTCCCATTGTAAAACAAATTGTTTTTCTTTTTGATATATATTGGCTGGTGCCAATTGTTCTCTCAGAGAAGTAAATGGGATCTTTAAGGAAAAAAATATCTAGGTTTCCCACATTTAACTTACTAATCTTAGCAATGGCTAATAGGGAAATTCCCAGATGAATCAAGGAAATATCTCACCTTCCACAACAATAATTTATTAATTATAATTAATCAGATTGGTAGCTAACTGTGTGTTGGGCACTGGGCTAAGTACTTTATTTATATACATGATGTTATGTATTTGCAAAAATCATATGGTATAAGCAGTGCTAGTCTCAGTTTAGAGATAATAAAATTTGGATTAATGGGGTTTAAGTTACTTGCTCAAGTGTGCATAGGTGGTAAAGTGGTGATTTTTATCCATTCCTTTCTGACTCCAAATCACATACCCTTGACCACTTTGCTACATTGTGTCTACACCAATGTTTGGAGAACCTAAAGCCACCTGTGTTAACTCCATTCCAGCACTTAAGGGAGTTTAACTCAACAATGTCTCCTGGTTAGTATATCCCTTATATCTCAGTTCTCTCTGCTTAACATATACAGATTTCTTTTCAAGAAATGCAAATTATATTTCTCTTGTTCTGTCTTATTTATGTTTTATTTTTTCTTCTTACACTGCGTCCAAGAAACACCTCCTCATGCTTTGGTGTCTTCTTTCTTCTTTTTCCTCTTGTCTGTGTTTAGTTTCCTCGTTTTCTAGTTAGTCCTATAATTCTTACTGATCCTTCTTTACTTTTACATTAGAAAAAAGGAGGGTTTAAAAAGCGTTTTTTAAATGAAAGAAAATAAATTGTCCTTCATTGGACTATTGTTCCTCCAAGCTAGGAAGTTGATGCTTGATTCTCTGATACCCTGGGGGCCTGGGTGGTGTTTTAAGCTGGGAGAAGATCGGCACTCTCCTGAACTGCCTTAGATGCTTCCTTATCCTGGGCCTCTCTGACAGGCAACATGCCTCAACTTTGTCAACAAGTTGTGGTTTGTTTCACTGGCCAAGCATAAGACAGAGCATGAAGGCCGAGCTGCGTGCCTGGTGCTGCATGTTTCCTGTTTCTGTAAGCTATTTGTTGTCAACTCTCTTTTTTCCTTTATGATATTTAATTGAAATCACAGCTTAATGAGGCCTGACCAGTATTTTTCCTTTGGTCACAGATTTGATGCTACTGCCAATGTACCTGAATAAGAAGACAACTCTTTCTGGAAAAAGGGAAAACTTGAAGGGCTATTGAAGGCCGCTAGAAAGGTATTGTTTACATGATGCATTTTCCCCTTATCTTCAACAGGTAAAATTGTTACTAAACTGATGTTTCCTTTAACAATGATAATTTTTATTTGGTAGTCTTGGGATGTCCCTGGGAGCTCAAGTTCAGACAATGAATCTAGATTTTTGCCAGTTGAAGTTCAGGTTTTGTGACCTCACCTAAAATTTGCTCCTGGGGCTTGGAAAGTTTAAAATTGTGCTTTTTTATTTTCCCCTTCTTTTTTTTAGCACAGTTCAGATGCCATGTCCCTAGGAATTTTTCCTTAATTCCCAAATTGCAATAATATATCCATCATCTGCACATCTACATTACTTGTATTTAAACTGTTTCATGGCATTAACCATGTTTTACCCTGATGCAATGAGATACAATGCAGTTAGATGAGAGAATATGAGTACTGGAGCTGGACAGGAATGGATGTGAAGCCCGTGGCAGTTATTTACTGGGTGATCTTAACATCTCAATATTTTCTTCTTCATAAAATGATAATATTAAAAATAATAGACTGTTAATATGACCTACCTTATCTTGTTGTTGGGATAATTTAAGGAAATTACACATTGTATTAGTCTGTTCTCATACTGCTGATGAAGACATACCAAAGACTGGGTAATTTATAAAGGAAAGAGGTTTAATTGACTCACAGTTCCACATGGCTAGGGAGGCCTCACAATCACGGTGGAAGGCAAAGGAGAAGCAAGGACATTTCTTACATGGTGACAGGCAAGACAGCTTGTGCAGGGGAACAAACTCTGATTTATAAAACTATCAGATCTTGTGAGACTTATTCACTACCACGAGAACAGTATGGGGGAAACCACCCCCATGATTCCATTATCTTCACCTGGACCCACCCTTGACATGTGGGGATTATTGCAATTCAAGGTGAGATTTGGGTGGGGACACAGCCAAACCGTATCACACATGTAATAACCTTGGTGCACAGGAGAAGCAATAGATGACTATGATTTTACCATCCTTTGAGTTAATACCCACTATCACTGGTGCCTGTAAAGGGCTGCACTTGTAGAAAGTATGACTCTGTCTTTCCATAACACTAAACATGAAACCTAAGAGCTTTTCATCACGGGGATTTGTCTCATCATCTGGCATGCTTTCTTTGACACCTAGCCAACCCAGTAGGCTTTATCTGAGTTAACCTCATAAAGTATCATATTGTTTCACACAGGGGTTTATTCCTGAAAGTTACTTAATGGTAGTTTTTAAGAAAATTAAATCTTATTTTATAGGCACCTGGGAAAATCATTATTAAAGTGAGTCATATGGCTAATCGTTTTGCGTAAAGGATCCCTTTGGAAAGTGAATAATCTCTTGTTAGTTACCATGCGTATGTTCAGATACCAGCGCTTCTTAGAGAGGTGCTTAATCCATGTATATAAAGTACTCTATACAATCTTATACTTCTGCTAAGAACATTTGCCATGGAATCCAGGGATAGATATACACGAATGATGTTGTGTTACTTTGTAAAATTTGTCTCTGCATTTTTAATAAATTGGTACGTAAATGGATTGGTATGTATTTGGATTCTCTACAACACAAACTTCTAAGATTTTTAGTTTTAGGAATCCTCCAAAAGCCAAGGAAAAACTAGAAGGAAAATGATATTTATTGAGCATCTTTTTGCTAAGCATTATGTGAATCATCTTCACTAACATATTATAGTTATTCCTCATCATAATGCTATGAAAAGTATTGCTTACCTTTTATTGGAGAGAAAAAAAATGAGGCTCAGATAAGTAAATTACACTATGCCAGGTAATTCAGCTAGAAAATAGCAAAGTACAGGATTTGAAATCAGATCTTCTGGATGCCAAATCCCTTACTTATTCCAGTAAAGTACTCTTTCTTGAGAACAATATACTGAATTTCAACGGGAAATAAAATTTAAGATGTGGGTGGTATTTATCTTACTATTCGGGTACTTAAAAAATATCGTACATTATCTTCGGGCCTTATTTTTTAACCTGCCTATGGAACGTGGCTCTAAACCTTTGCACTGAGGCTAGCTTCAGTGAAATTTTGAAGGAGTTAATGCCTTCCTCTTTTTGATACAAGATTAAACATGGATTGCAACTAGAAACCACAAAGCTGAGTGTTTATTAAATATACTAATTTTCCTTTCATCCAGTTGGCCAATGTTTTCAACCATAATCTACTTTTCTCTAAATTTTTCCATGGAGCAGGATGATGATTCCAAATCCTAAAATTCTGAAAAAAAAAAAATCACTTAATGACCACTGGTGAACTCCTGTAAACTCATCCCAGAATCAGTAATGAGTATTTGGAAAAGATTCATGGGTAAGCTCCAATTCTCACCAAAATGGCCCTTTGAGTAGCAATCAAGGATTCTCTGAGGGAACTGGGAAGTTCCAGATGGCTTTTAAGGGAGGCTATTTGGTTTAGTTTAATAGAACTTGGTGCTATTAAGGCCAATGGTTGGAGTCCTTTGTCCTATTCTAGTATATATATACATATACATACGTACATACATATATACTCCTTACTCTATTAATGTATTTAGAAAGTAAATAGTATAGGTTATAAATAGGCAGAAAAAAAAACAGTGGGAATGGCTTAGTGTGAACCATTAACTCTATATATTCATTCAACATGAATTTGCTAAAAGCCCATTAGGTACTAGTCTCTGGAGACACATGGTCAACTTGAACAAGAATTGGCTTTGAGGAAATAATGGACTAAGGGGGATATATAAACAGATAATTGTGATGTGTGTTTTTTGTTTTTTTTTTTTTAATTATACTTTAAGTTTTAGGGTACATGTGCACATCGTGCAGGTTAGTTACATATGTATACATGTGCCATGCTGGTGCACTGCACCCACTAACTCATCATCTAGCATTAGGTATATCTCCCGATGCTATCCCTCCCCCTTCCCCCCACCCCACAACAGTCCCCAGAGTGTGATATTCCCCTTCCTGTGTCCATGTGACCTCATTGTTCAATTCCCACCTATGAGTGAGAATATGCGGTGTTTGGTTTTTTGTTCTTGCGATAGTTTACTGAGAATGATGATTTCCAATTTCATCCATGTCCCTACAAAGGACATGAACTCATCATTTTTTATGGCTGCATAGTATTCCATGGTGTATATGTGCCACATTTTCTTAATCCAGTCTATCATTGTTGGACATTTGGGTTGGTTCCAAGTCTTTGCTATTGTGAATAATGCCGCAATAAACACACTTGTGCATGTGTCTTTATAGCAGCATGATTTATAGGCCTTTGGGTATATACCCAGTAATGGGATGGCTGGGTCAAATGGTATTTCTAGTTCTAGATCCCTGAGGAATCGCCACACTGACTTCCACAATGGTTGAATTAGTTTACAGTCCCACCAACAGTGTAAAAGTGTTCCTATTTCTCTCTCCACATCCTCTCCAGCACCTGTTGTTTCCTGACTTTTTAATGATTGCCATTCTAACTGGTGTGAGATGGTATCTCATTGTGGTTTTGATTTGCATTTCTCTGATGGCCAGTGATGATGAGCATTTTTTCATGTGTGTGTTTTTTGGCTGCATAAATGTCTTCTTTTGAGAAGTGTGTGTTCATGTCCTTCGCCCACTTTTTGATGGGGTTGTTTTTTTCTTGTAAATTTGTTTGAATTCATTGTAGATTCTGGATATTAGCCCTTTGTCAGATGAGTAGGTTGCGAAAATTTTCTCCCATTTTGTAGGTTGCCTGTTCACTCTGATGGTAGTTTCTTTTGCTGTGGAGAAGCTCTTTAGTTTAATTAGATCCCATTTGTCAATTTTGTCTTTTGTTTCCATTGCTTTTGGTGTTTTAAACATGAAGTCCTTGCCCATGCCTATGTCCTGAATGGTAATGCCTAGGTTTTCTTCTACAGTTTTTATGGTTTTAGGTCTAACATTTAAGTCTTTAATCCATCTTGAATTGATTTTTTGTATAAGGTGTAAGGAAGGGATCCAGTTTCAGCTTTCTCCATATGGCTAGCCAGTTTTCCCAGCACCATTTATTAAATAGGGAATCCTTTCCCCATTGCTTGTTTTTCTCAGGTTTGTCAAAGATCAGATAGTTGTAGATATGTGGCGTTATTTCTGAGGGCTCTGTTCTGTTCCATTGATTTATATCTCTGTTTTGGTACCAGTACCATGCTGTTTTGGTTACTGTAGCCTTGTAGTATAGTTTGAAGTCAGGTAGTGTGATGCCTCCAGCTTTGTTCTTTTGGCTTAGGATTGACTTGGCAATGCGGGCTCTTTTTTGGTTCCATATGAACTTTAAAGTAGTTTTTTCCAATTCAGTGAAGAAAGTCATTGGTAGCTTGATGGGGATGGCATTGAATCTGTAAATTATCTTGGGCAGTATGGCCATTTTCACGATATTGATTCTTCCTACCCATGAGCATGAAATGTTCTTCCATTTGTTTGTATCCTCTTTTATTTCCTTGAGCAGTGGTTTGTAGTTCTCCTTGAAGAGGTCCTTCACATCCCTTGTAAGTTGGATTCCTAGGTATTTTATTCCCTTTGAGGCAATTGTGAATGGGAGTTCACTCATGATTTGGCTGTTTGTCTGTTGTTGGTGTATAAGAATGCTTGTGATTTTTGTACATTGATTTTGTATGCTGAGACTTTGCTGAAGTTACTTATCAGCTTAAGGAGATTTTGGGCTGAGACAATGGGGTTTTCTAGATATACAATCATGTCGTCTGCAAACAGGGCTTATGATGCGTATCATAGTCTTACAGATTTATATCTACCTTTACTAAAAGAAGAAGAATGTTGATTAGTAAGTGGCGTTTATTAAGTTTATTAAGTTTAGTAGTAATGAGAATTATTATAATGGTGGTTGCAATTACCATAATTCATTGATCTTTTAATGCTAATCCCAGCACTATGGCCTGTACGTGAATTATTCTATTCAATCTAACAAACTTGTGATATTGGTGATGATGATTATGATTATAGTAACAGAAATAATGGGGAATATAAGGCACATGTATTAAACGTTATTTTCAAGTTACTGTATTGGGTCTTTCAAGGTATTATTTTATTAAATCATGCCAGCAACTCTCTGCAGTTGGTATTATTATCACCATGTTGAAGAACAGTCTGATGCCAAGAGAGTGTCCACAAATTTTCCAAGAATGTACAATGATTAGGTTTATGATTTAAAATCTGGGCTAGATGACCCCACAGTTCATACCCCTAAGTACAGGTCTACCTTGTTTCATTGTGCTTCACTTCACATATACTGTATTTTTTAAAAATATTGAAGGTTTATGGCAACCATGCATTGAGCAAGTCTATAGGTACCATTTCTCCAACAGCATGTGCTCACTCTGTGTTTCTGTTTCACATTTTGGTAATTCTCACAATATTCCAAACATTTTTTGTTATCATTATATCCATTTTGATGGTTCATGATAGTGAGTTTTTGTTTGTTTGTTTTTTGTTTTTTTAGAGAGAGTTGGTGTCTCAGCCTACGGAGTAGCTGGGATTACATGCATGCGCCACCACACCTGCCTGATTTTTGTATTTTTAGTAGAGATGAAGTTTTGCCATGTTGGCCAGACTGGTCTTGAACTCCTGGCCTCAAGTGATCCGCCCACTTTGGCTTCCCAAAGTGCTGAGATTACAGGCAAGAACCACCACACCCGGCCTGATTAGTAATTTTTGATGTCAATATTGTAATTGTTTTGGGGGGCCATGAATCAAGCTCATATAAGACTGTAAACTTAATAAATATTGCGGTCAGCTCCAATGACTGGCCATTTTGCCTCTCTCTTTTTTGGCCTGCCTATTTTCTAGGATACAACAATAATGAAATTAGGCCAATTGATAACCTTACAGTGGCCTGAAAGTGCCCAGGTGAAAGGAATAGTTGTACATCTCACTTCAAATCAAAAGCAAGAAATGATTAAACTCAGTGAGGAAGGCATGTTGAAAGTCAAGATAGGCCAAGAGCTAGGCCTCTTGTGCCAAAGAATTTGGCAAGTTGTGAATGCCAAGGAAAAGTTCTTGAAGCAAATTAAAAGTACTATTCCAATGAACACACTAATGATAAGAAAGCAAAACAGCCTTATTGCTGGTATGAAGACAGTTTTAGTGCTCCACATAGAAAATCAAATCAGCCACAATATTTGCTTAAGCTAAAACCTAACCCTGAGCAACACCTTACCTCTCTTTAATTCTAGGAAGGCTGAGAGAGGTGGCAAAGCTGCAGAAGAAAAGTTTGAAGCTAGCAGAGATTGGTTCATGAGGTTTAAAGAAAGAAGCCATCTTTATATCACAAAAGTTCAAGGTAAAGCAGAAAATATTGATATAGAAGCTGCAACAAGTTATCCAGAAGATCTAGCTAAGATAATTGATGAAGGTGGCTATAATAAACAATAGATTTAGAGTGTAGACAAAACAGCTTTATATTGGAAGAAGATGCCATCTAGGACTTTCATAGCTACAGAGAAGTTAATGCCTGGCTTCAAAGCCTCAAAGAATATGCTGACTCTTGTTATGGGCTAATGCAGCTGTTGACTTTAAGTTAAAGCCAATGTTCATATACCATTCCTAAAAATCCTAAGATTTATGCTAAATGACTCTGCCTGTGCTCTATAAATGGAAGAACAAAGCCTGGATGACTGCACGTCTGTTTACATAATGCTTCACTGAAGATTTTAAGCCCACTGTTGAGACCCACTGCTCAGAAACAAAGATTTCTTTCACAGTATTACTGCTTATAGACCATTCACCTGGTCACCCAAGAGTTCTGATAATATACAAGAAGATTAACCTTACTTTTATGCCCTACGAACACAATATTCATTCTGCAGCTCATGGTTCAAGAAGTAATTTTGACTTTCACATTTCATTACTGAAAAAAATACATTTTGTAAGGCTGTAACTGCCATAGAAAGTGATTCTTCTGATGAATCTGAGCAAAGTAAATAAAAAACCTGGAAAGAATTCACCATTCTAGATGTCACTAGGAGCATTTGTGATTCATGGGAGGATATCAAAATGACAACATTAGCAGAACTTTGGAAGAAGTTGATTCCAACTCTCACATATAAATAACTTTGTTCAAGACGTCAGTGGTGGAAGTAACTGCAGAGGTGGCTTAAATAGGAAGAACACTAGAATTAGAAGTGGATTCTGAAGGCATGGCTGAATTGCTGCTGTCTCATGATAAAACTTGAATGAAAAGGAGTTGCTTTTATGGATGAGCAAAGAGTGGTTGCTTGAGAGGGAATCTACTCTTTGTGAGGATGCTGTGAACATTGCTGAAATGGCAACAAATGATTTAAAATATTGCATAAATTTAGTTCATCAAACAGCATCAGGTTTGAAAGAATTGTCTCCAATTTTGAAGGAAGTTATACTGTGAGCAATATGCTATCAAACAGCATCACATGCCAAAGAGAAATATTTTGTGAAAGGAAGAGTCAATCAACATAGCAAACTTCATTGTTATCTTAAGTAATTTCCATAGCCACCAAACCTTCAGCAACCACCACCCTCACCAGTCAGCAGCCATCAATACTGGGGCAGAATCTCCACTGGCAAAAAGATTAGGACTTGCTGAAGGCTTAGATGACCATTAGCATTTTTAAACAAGAAAGCATTTTTTTAGTTAAGCTATGTGCATTTTTAGATTTGAAAGACATTTCTCAAAAGAAGACATACAAGTGGCAAGCAGGCATATGAAAAGATGCTACACATCATCCATCATCAGATAAATGCAAATCAAAACTACAAGGAGATATCATCTCACACCAGTTAGAATGGCTTATATCCAAAACACAGGCAATAACAAATGCTGATGAGGAAGTGGAGAAAAGAGGACAGTCAATGGGAATGTAAATTAGCACAACTATGGAGTACAGTTTAGAGGTTTCACAAAAAACTAAAAATGAGCTACCATATGATCCAGCAATCCCACTGATGAGTATATATTGAAAAGAAGGTATATCAGTATATTGAAGAGATATCTGCACTCTTATGTTTGTTGCAGCACTGTTTACAGCAACTAAGATTTGGAAGCAACCTAAGTGTTCAACAGATGAATGGTTAAAGAAAATGCGGTACATACAGACAATGGAGTACTACTCAGCCATAAAAAAAATGATATCCAGTCATTTGCAGCAACGTGGATGGAACTGGAGACCATTATGTTAAGTGAAATAAACCAGGCACAGAAAGACAAACATCGCATGTTCTCCCTTATTTGTGGGATCCAAACAACAAAACAATTGAACTCATGCTCATAGAGAGGAGAAGGATGGTTACCAGAGGCTGGGAAAGGTAGTGGGAAGGTGGAAAGGGAGGTGGGGATCGGTAATGTATAAAAAAATACTGGAAAGAGTGAATAAGACCTACTATTTGATAGTACAATGGATGATTATAGTCAATAATAACCTAATTGTATATTTTCAAATAACATAAAGAGTGTAATTGGATTGTTTGTAACTCAAAGGATAAATGCTTGAGGGGACAGATACACCATTCTCCATGATGTGTTTATTTCACATTTCATGACTGTATTAAAACATTTTATGTACCCCATAAATATATATACCTACTACATACCCACAAAAATTAAACATTAAAAAAAGATATGTACATTTTTAAGACACAATGCTATGCACTTAATAGTCCACAGTATAGTGTAAAAGTAACTTTTATATTTACTGGGAGAGCAAAAAAAATTGTGTGACTTGCTTTATTGGTATACTTGCTGTATTTCAGTGGTGTGTAATCAAACCCATAATATTTCAGAGGTTTGCCTGTACACTAAGCCAAGCTGTCTTCTGAGCAGGGTAAACACTGAAGGGTGTCAGGTAGAAAAATAAAAGGAACACATTCTAAGAAAAGGAAGTTTTTTAAAAAATAGTTTTGTAAAACAGTATGTTAGAGAGGTCACTTAATGAGAATGTATAGTGCATGAAGGAAAACAGTGGTAAATAAAGCCCAAAATATAAATTAGTTTCAAATTATAAAGGAATGTGTATTTGCATTTTATCCTATAAGTTGAGAATCAAAGGATAGTCTTCCAAGCAAGGAAGATAAAGATTCACATCTACATTTTTTTTTTTTGAGACAGAGTCTCGCTCTGTCGCCCAGGCTGGAGTGCAGTGGCACGATCTCGGCTCACTGCAAGCTCCGCCTCCCAGGTTCACGCCATTCTCCTGCCTCAGCCTCCCGAGTAGCTGGGACCACAGGCGCACGCCACCATGCCTGGCTAATTTTTTTGTATTTTTAGTAGAGACGGAGTTTCACCGTGTTAGCCAGGATGGTCTCAATCTCCTGACCTCGTGATCCACCCACCTCGGCCTCACATCTACATTTTTAAAGAAAACACCAGATCAAACAAAAAATAAAAATAGTTGACGTGAGTGGGTAACCCAAAGTATGCTAAGGTTACTCAGAATTTTTGAAAATCTGGTTTAAGAATTCTCCTGTATCTGAATATCCCAAATGGTTCATAAATATAAGTAAATAGCTTCTGTCACACAGTATTCTTGAGGTTCTTTATCTCTCTGGTTTGGATTGGTTCCCATGTTGGTTATGTATTGAGAGATAACATCCAGAGGTGAAAACATACTCTACTGAGTAGTGTTGACATAAAATTAACGAAAATTGTTGGAGAAAATCAGCTTTTGGTGAATGTCTGAGCAGAAAATCTGGGCTTTGAGCCCTAGGTAAACTTACTTTCCCACACCCCACTTCCATAGAGTAGACATATTGGAATAGCCTAAAATATCTATCTCTAAAATGGTACCTTTGAAACATTCTAAATTTATTATTTCATTCTTTCATCCTCACCCTTAAAATTTTCATTCCAACTCTGCATCACTGGCTTTTAAAAGTTCTCCAATGCCGGCCAGGTGCGGTGGCTCATGCCTGTAATCCCAGCACTCTGGGAGGCTAAAGCGGGTTGATCACAAGGTCAAGAGATCAAGACCGTCCTGGCCAACGTGGTGAAACCCTATCTCTACTAAAAATACAAAAATTAGCTGGGCGTGGTGGTGCATGCCTGTAGTCCCAGCTACTCAGGAGGCTGAGGCAGGAGAATCGCTTGAACCTGGGAGGCAGAGGTTGCAGTGAGATGAGATTCCGCCACTGCACTCCAGCCTGGGTGACAGAGTGAGACTCTGTCTCAAAAAAAAAAAAAAAAAAAAAAAGTTTTCCAATGCCTCAAGAAACTCCTAATGGTATTCTCAACTTATAAAGAAGGACCAATCTCTAGAACTATAGACTTCTGAAAAGGAAAATGAAAGAACAATCTTTCTTCCTTCTTTCTTCTCTCTTTTCCTTTTTCTTACTCTTCTTTCTGTCCTTTCCTTTCTTCTCTCCCTCCTTCCCTTCCTTTCTGGTATACTTCCTTTCTCCCTTCCTTCCTCCTTTCTTCTTTTATTCATTTTTCTTTATTTCCTCTCTCTTTTTGAACTTTTCTACTCATTTCTTTTCTACCTTTATGTAGTGAAAATGCAAATTTGCTCACATCACAATTCAGACATGCAATAAAAATGTAGCCTGCTTATTTCATCATCATAATCTCCCCTCCTGTTACTTTTCAAAAAAGATTTAAACTAAACTTAATCTACAAGTTTGAAACTTACTTTGATCTAATAATTTAAAAACCTTTTGATTTTTTTTTACCCTATGATATTTACTTTTAGATTCCTCCATTTTCTCCAGTCTCTTTTCTGATTTAGGTGCATGAGGAAAAAGCTAATGGCTTTGGAAGGAAATTTTCTCCTGGCCTCATAGTGCTTTTTGGTAGTGTTCTGGCTAGTAGCCACTGAAGTACAGTTGGTCCGTCATGTTTTAGGCACTCTACTGGGTTTTCTGCTTGCTCCTGAATTACTCCTATGTCCAATTATCCTCTCCTGACTCAGAGTCACATAAATTCTTCCTGCTGACCCAGCCACCCTTAGCTCTCACTGGGATGAATATCTCTCTGAAATTCTCTCATAGTCTCCATTTGGACTGAAGCTTCTGCTTTGGGAGCATCTTACCTATACCACTGGCATAATAACAGGTCTGTTGACTTTCAATTCAGTGTTCATGCCACAAAGAAAGGAGGGGAATTGGGTACTACATAATCTTTCATTCTACAGAGCAAAGACTTGGGGATATATATAAGCTACTTCCTCTTTCTTACTCCTTCTCTCCTTCTTTTACTAACCTTTGGCCCAAAAGAAGCAGATTTTGTTTTCCTCTCTGGTCTAGATGAAACATCTCCCTAAATCATTCATACTTCATGAAGTAGCATCTACGTAAATCATACTGATACATCATGAAGTAGCAACTACCTTCCCATTTCCTCCTATTGTCTTTATTTAGAATGTAGTGCTAGGAGAAATAAAAATGTCTTACTATCAAGGAACTTAAATTTAGAAGTAGTTAGAAATATATTATCACTTCTGTTTCTGGCTATTAGAAAGTAGTGGTGGCTAGAATTATTCCCTTATCATAAATGCTAGAAGACTGGACAAAAGATAGAAAACAAACATTTTTAATCATTGGCTAATATGCAGTAGGACTGTGGTTCCTGTAAAAAGGGAAACAAATGAAGTAAGCCCTGGAATCACGCAGGCTTTCTACTGGGAGGCAATTTCTAGAATGCTTCATAGGGAAGGGCAGCTCAAGGATTAAGAGTAATCTTGCTGAGTAGCTAAGACAGAGATTGCAGTTTATGAGGCCAAAGTGGTTAAAATGTATATAGTTAAGAGAGTACCTGAGAGGAGTGAACTTAACAAAGAACAAGTACCAGAAATCTGCAAAGGGTTTCCTTAAAATTCTTGACTGATCTAGGCTTAGAGTGAAAACTTCAGGCTTATATAAAGAACTTCTGGACAAAGAAGTTACTGGGGAATTTCATGCCAGATGATTCCTGAACACATCATTTTAGTTCCCACCAGCCATAGTGGAGGGGCTTTATTGAATACTGGAGGCATTCACTAGAGATCCCAGAATTTTCATATCTTAGAAGTTAGGCTAAATTAGCTCTGAAGAAAATACTACTCCAGAGTCACCCTGAAAAGCATAAAAACAACTTCAAAGGGACCAAACAAATCTGCAAATAGTCTAACTTCCTGCCACAAGAAAAGGTAGCACTCTTCAAAGAAGTATAAAAAATACACTACTTACAAATGTAACATTCTCAAAAAATACTATATGTACAAAGAAGTAGAAAATGGGGACTCATAACTGGGTGAATATCAGCCAATATAAACAGATCCAGAGATTAAAAAGATGATAAAATTAGCAGACAAAGACATTAAGTATACTTTTGTAAATAAGCTTCATAAGTTCAAGTATTGAAAATAAAGCATAAATATAATGAGGAGAGAAATGAAATATAAGATAAAAAAGAAAAGCAAATGGAACTTCTAGTTGTAAAAACATATCTGAAATTAAATCCCATAGGATGAGAACAATAATACTTCAGAAAAAATAGTAGTGAAAATGAAGATATAACAATAGAAACTATCTAAAATGAAGCAGAGAAAGAAAAGGAGACTGAAAAATATGAACAGAACTTTATTGACCTTTTGGAAAGCATCAAGGAGTTTAAAATTCATGTGACTGAAATCTAAGAAAGGGATCTGAAGAGGCAATGGCTGAAAAAATTTTAAGTTTGATGAAAACCATCAACCCATCAATCTAAAAAGTTCAGTGAGCTCAAAAGAAGATAAATATAAAGCCACATAAGGAAATATCATGATCAAATTTTTAAAAGCAAATATTATAGAAACAGTGAAATAAACTAAACAACAACAACAACAAAAACTTATTATTCTATACCCAGATAAACTATCTTTCAAAATTGAGGGTAAAATAAAACCATCTTTAGACAAAACAAAAAGCTGAGAATATTTGTTACTAGCAAACCTATGCTATAAGTAATGTGACAGGCTGGATACAGTGGTTCGTGCCTATAATCCCAGTACTTTGGGAGGTTGAGGTGAGAAGATCACTTGAGCCCAGGAGTTTGAGATCAGACTGGGCAACATAGTGAGACCCTGTTTCTAAAATAAGGAAAGTAAGAAAGAATGAAAGGAAGAAAAGAAAGAAATGTTATAGGAAGTTCTTTAGGCCTAAGGAAAATGAGCCCCAACTACTGGTATTCACATCTTTGTGTAGTTTCTTCCCACATTGTATCATGTTTGGTCTGTCTAACCAAGGAAATATGGCTGATGTGATGGTATGTCACTTCCGAGATTAGGTTATAAAAGACAAGTCTTTCTATGCCTCTGTTTCTGCCTGTCTCTTCTCATTAATCACTCTGCGAGAAGCCAATTGTGATGTTATAAGAAGACTCAGGCAACCTACGAAAAGGCCCACATTGTAAGAAACTGTGGTTTCAGCCAACAGGCATGTGAATGAGCTTGGAAATGAATTCTCCAGCCACAGATGACTTCATCCCTAATGGGCTGATATGGTTTGGCTCTGTGTTCTCACCCAAATTTCACCTTGTAGCTTCCATAATTCCCACATGTTGTAGAAGGGACCTGATGGGAGATGACTGAATCATGAGGGTGGGTCTTTTCCATGCTGTTCTTGTGATAGTGAATGGGTCTCATGACATATGATGGTTTTAAAAACAGGAGTTTCTCTACACAAGAACTCTTTTTGCCTGCTGCCATCCACATAAGATGTGACTTTCTCCTCCTTGCTTCCCACCATAATTGTGAGGCCTTCCCACCCATGTGGAACTACAAGTCCAATAAACCTCTTTCTTCAGTAAATTGTCCAGTCTCGGGTATGTCTTTATCAGCAGTGTGAAAACGGACTAATAAATGGGCAGTATGACTACAACCTCTTGAGACACCCTGACCAGTACATCCATCTAAGCTCTCTTGGATCTCTGACTGAAAAAAAAAAACAAAACTGTAAGATAGTAAGTATTTGTTGCTATAAGATGCTATGTTTTGGGGGCATTTGTTATGCAGCTATAGATAACTAACATACTTTCAAATTAATTCTACAAGGCAACATTATCCAGAAATAAAATACACCCAATATTCTTATAAAAAAGATTCAAAATATTTAATAAATACTAGCAAATCAAATAGAGCAATATATAAAATGTATTACAGTATGACTAAGTGAGTTCTACCCCAGAAATGTAATGTTTATCTATTAATCAAAATGACACAACAAAATTTACTGTATTTACAGGGTAAAAAACAAACACCAAAACTAAAGGATTACCTCAATAGAGGCAGAGTAAGCATTTGAATAAAATCAATATGTATTAAGATACAAACCTCTCAGAGCCCTAGAAGTAGAGGGAGCTTTTAACCTGATAAAAAGCAAGCAAGCAAGTGACAATAACAACAAAAACTTTTGTTAACTCATATTTAATTGTGAAGGACTGACTGCATTTTCCATGAAATCAGAGAGAAGGCAAGGTTCTTTACTTCTTCACTTTTTTTTTTTGAAATGGAGTTTCACTGTTGTTGCCCAAGCTACAGTGCAATGGCATGATCTTGGCTCACTGCAACCCCTGCCTCCCAGGTTCAAGCGATTCTCCTGCCTCAGCCTCCTGAGTAGCTGGGATTATAGGTGTGCACCAGCATGCCCGGTCAATTTTTTGTATTTTTAGTAGAAACAGGGTTTCACCATGTTAGCCAGGCTGGTCTAGAACTCCTGACCTCAGGTGATCCGCCCGCCTTGGCCTCCCAAAGTGCTGGGATTACAGGCATGAGCCACCGCATCCAGCCCTGGTTCTTTGCTTTCATAATTTCTATTCAGCATTATACTGGAAGTCCTATGCAATGAAATAACACAAGAATTCAAACTTATAAAAAAATAAAAATTGCCTTTATTTTCAGGCAAGATTTAGAAGAAACCATAGGAGTAAATATTTGCTATTGGGAATAGTGAAAAAAAGTTCTTAAATAAGACACAAAAAAGTATAAACCATGAAAGTAAATATTAGTAAATATACTTCATGGAATTTAAACATTTCTGCTCTTCACAATATATTCTTACAAATTTGAAGGGCAAGCTATGGACTATGAGAAAATATTTTCAATAGGTACGTCTAACAAAGGACTTGTATCTAGAATATATATATAAGAACATTTACAGCTTAAAAATAAGAAGATAAACTGCTCAATAAATATTGGCAAAAAATTTTAGCAGACACTTTACAAAAGAAGACACAAATGACCAATAAGCTTATGGAAACATGTTAAGCATCATTAGACATCATGAAAATACAAATTAAAACCATAGTGAGATGCCACTGCACAACCATTACAACGGCTATGATTTTAAAAAATGATTTTAAGTTTTGGTGAGAAGTGCAACAACTGGAAACTCAAATGTTGCTAATGGGAATGCACAATATTTTGGAAAAGTTTGGCAATTTCTTATAATGTTCAACAAATGCTTACAATATGATCCAGAAATTCCACTCCTACGTGGTTACCCTAGAGAAATGTAAACGTCTGTCCACACAAAGATTTTTACTTGAATGGTCCCAGCAGCTTTATTCATAATAACTGATAACATAAGTGAAATGACCTAAATATTCATTAATTGGTGAATGGATAAGAAAAGTGTGGCATATTAATACAATAGAATATTATTCTGCAAATAAAAATGAACCAACTACTGATATGCACAACATAATGAATGCATTATTCTAAGTGAAAGAAGCCAGAGTCAGAAGACTACACACTATGATTAAAATTTTGTGAAATTTTAGAAAAGGCAAAACTATAGTGACAGAAACAGATAAATCACTGCCAAGAGCCTGAGGGAGTGGAGAAGGAATTTATTGCAGAGACAAGGGTATTTTTTGCAGTGATAGAAATGCTCTATATTATTACTATTGTAGTTGTGGTTACATACATTTGTCTAAACTCATTGAAATATGCACTCAATCTTGGTAGGTTTTATTGCATGTAAACATACCTCAGTGAAGCTGACTTTTAAACGTTATACACTTGTTGAGTGATACAATTTTGAACGTCACTGTACAACTAATAGAAAACAAAGTTATGGCCTAAAATGGGCCATTTTTTCAACCAATATAGATTTATCACTTATTATGTGCCAAAGGCTAGTCTAGTTATTCAAGACAAAGTGATGAACTAGACAGTGAGTGAAATAGGTGAGTAAACAGGAAATTTAAAAAATAAAGAAACAGTGTAACTGATATGATAATGGTAATCACAATGCTATGGATTCAGAGAGAAGAGGTACCCAACTCAGCCTTGGGGCCAGGAAAGGTAGTATTAGAGTGGAAAACAGATGGAAGAATATGTAAAAGGGATGGGGGTGTGGGAAATGATACAAGGAGTGGGTAATGTATACCTTGAACTTGGAGTGAGAGAGCAGAGGGTGGCCTGTGAGTAAACCTGAAGTTAGACATGAGTAGGCTTATTCAACGTACAGTTGAGAAACGGAATTTGGAGAATTTAATAATTGTTACATGTGAAAACTGAGGCAAAGAAGGAGGACAAGGATGTTATTACTTTTCTAAATTGATTAACTGGGAAAATTATGGCACTATTCATTGAAATTGAAATACATGAGCAAAGAAATGGGCTTAGTGAAAGGCTGGGGGAGAAGAAGGGAGACGTTATAAATATTGAATATAAAGTACCTTTGAGATATCCCAGCGCAGTCTGTAAAAGACCATTGAAATAAAGCCTGGAGCACAGAAAACTGACTTGAGATAGAGATACAGGTTTGGGTAAATGAACTCATTGAAATCATCACAAAAGAGCATGAGATCAACCGGAGAGATGGGGAAACACGAAACAGGAAGGCCCAAGATGGTCGAAGTTTGTGACCGTCAAACATCATGGTGTAGCCATAAAATAAGTACTTAGTAAAAAGTATTGTTATTACCATTACAATTCTGGCTGTAGGTGACGTTAAAGCCCCAAAACAAAGCATCATGCTACCTCTACATGCTAATGGGATGTAGCCACTAGAGAAGGGATATAAGTGGAGTGACATTCTTCTGAACATCAAAAAGGATGAGATCCAGAGTATGGGATCCAGTTTTTGGTAAGATAAAGGACATTCCTTTCGGTCTATCAGGAGCGTGGAAGGAAGTAATGAGTGAAGATGCAAATACGTGTGTAACTTTTATGACACAAAGTTGAGGGAGCTTTGACTGATGGCTTTTGTTTTTTTCTGTGGAGTCAAGGTCATACGGAGACTAAGCGAGAGAGGTGGGAGTCATAGGTTTGAGAGCAAAGAAGACAGTTTGAAATATGCTGCCTCAGAAAAGGGGAAAGTACTTCCCATAGAAACATAATAGATCCCTGGGCATTATTAAGGACCTAGTTAAGGTTGAGGACCATGAATTAAGAGCATTTCCAATTGAGAGCGATTTTTTTTTTCTTTCCACAATTACTCAGCAACCCAACTGCAAGGTTGAGAAAATAGCAAGTTGAGTTTATTCAGGTTTGAAGTTTTACAGATGACTCATAATAAGATAATTACAACTTAAGAAATTAAAGATTTTGAAGACAGTAATTAATGTGATTATCAATAAAATCTTAGCTAGATAATGAGAGAAGTGGAAACAGGGGAGTCCTGAGAAGTAAGGAGAAAGTAAAGGAGTCGGTAAACTGGAAGTTCCTAGAAGGCCTATAAAATAGTATATTGTGGATCAGTGAATTGGGATAATGTGGCCAAAGTGAAGAAATTGAGACCATAGGGGATGAAGAGGGCAAGGAATCTGCAAAGCTAGGTTGTTGAAAGGATCACCCAATGCCGAAATCACCAATAATAGCAATGCCTGTGGTGGGAGAAGATGGAAAGGCAGAGGCCAATCTTCAGAGAATTTAGAGGATTGGCCAGGACATAAAGTCTTTTGATCAAGTGCTAGGAGTACCCCAAGGTGGAATCACAGGCAAACACTTTCAGTAAGTGGGAACTGTATGGAAGGAGTGAGGAAATCTAATCCAGAAGTGGTGATACAAGCCGGGAGAACACGGACTCCCAACCTTCAGTGACATGGGAGGTGGGAGGAGGAACATCCTCCCCATGAGTGGTCTATTGTGTGGCTTGAATAAGTGGGGTTTATGGAGAGTTTCCTGGCTCAATGTTGCTGATATGCATAGGAGGAATAGAGTCTTTTTGGTGATTGGAGACCCTTCAGGATGGATGAGGGAGCAGACAGCCTGGTGGTGAAGGTGATGAGCTCTGCTGCATTCTCCACCAATGTCAGTGGCCATTCTCTCAGTCTGAGCAGTAGTGAAGTAATTAAAGCTCTAGCATCAGTCAGGCCTGGGTGGAGCCCAGGTTCTGCTCATCACTCACTGCATGTGGGACCTTCTTTGAATTCCAGGTTCTTCAACTGCAAAATGAGGATAATATTATTTACCTCAGGATTGTTTTAAAACTCCAATAAAGTGTTCAAAAAAAAAGTTTATGGCTGGGCGCAGTGGCTCACGCCTGTAATCCCAGCACTTTGGGAAGCCAAGACGGGTGGATCACGAGGTCAGGAGATCGAGACCATCCTGGCTAACACGGTGCAAACCCATCTCTACTAACAATACAAAAAATTAGCTGGGCATAGTGGTGGGCTCCTGTAATCCCAGCTACTCAGGAGGCTGAGGCAGGAGAATGGCGTGAACCCGGGAGGCGGAGGCTGCAGTGAACCAAGATCGCACCACTGTACTCCAGCCTGGGCGACTGACCAAGACTCCATCTCAAAAAAAAAAAAAAAAAAAAAAAAAAAGTTTATGATAGGTCAGACAGCATTGTGTAGTTATAAAATGTTTATTAAGGGGTATTGTTGTTACTACTATTTCAACTCTGAGTACAGATGATTTTGGAGCCCAAAAATAAAGTATTATGCTTAATGAGATAAACTTTCACTTAATCTGGATGATGAAGGTAAAAGTATACTAGTTTGCCAAATGAAAAAGATGAAATTCTTTAGATAATGAGACCTTTATTTCTCAAGATAGATCTTTAAACAATGTAAAATGTCAAAGAACCTAATCATCAGAGTTATTTTTCTACCTTCTTCAATAATGGGTCTGGAAATACAGAATGATTTAACTTTTCCTGTGTTGACAAGAGCAAAGTGTTTGGAAAGGGGAGCTGGGGGAGAGAATTGTAAGGCCCTGAACTCTTTACAATGCCCCAGCCCTGGTTATGCAGTCTGCCGAATTTTGATGAGAGAGCTGTATTCCTGTAAGAGACATCATCGTCCAGATGTAGATGCACTGCCGTGATGTCCAAATAGGAAACAAAGACCACTTGGAAGTGGATACTTTCCTGAACTTACTGCTCTGATGAGGGGCCCTTCTTTTGAAGCAAAATGAGTCTTCATGTAGCTGAGAACTCTCTTCTCCTATCACTTTACAAACTCTATCTTCCCCCAAAGGCCTTTCCAAAGGAAGCAGCCAGGCTCAGTGGCCATGATGTTTTCCTGAAGGTATGGGAGATAGATTATCCAGTTAAAAACACAGTTATTTCCCTAAACCTGACTTAACCTCTGCATATAACTGCCTGGAGCCTATTCAACGCAGTTGACAATTGCCTGCCCCGGGGCCTCCCTCTGTCCTGAAATTACCCATTTAAATCTTCCTATTTTTTTTAATCCCTAATAGTCTGTGGCCTACTTTTTGTTGTTTACGTTTTGTATGTTTTTCAAAACCCCAAAGATTTGCTTCAAATTCTACTCATTCATTTATTTTGTAAATAAATGCATTCATTCAATGTTGTCGTGAGTTGGGAGGGAGAAATGTCTGACTGTTCATTTTTCTGCCAAATGATTATATAGAACTTAATAGTATGAATTATGAATCAGACTGCTTGGGATTGAATCACAGGTCTGCCACTATCTATGTGACCTTGAGTAAGTTGTTTAACCTCTCTGCACCTCAGTTCCCATCTGTGAAATGGGGATATAATAATAACTTCATGGAGTTGTTGTGAGGATTAAATTAATTCATAAATACAAAGTACTTAAAACGGTGCCTGGTGCAGCTTAAGAGCTATAGACAACTTTGCTATTATTTATCTAGTGATCTTAGCATGCCCCATTAGAATGGAAAGGGGTGGAGCTTCATAAATCTTTTTGAAGTGAGATCTTCAAGACATGGATGCTGATAGATGCCAGACTATCATGGATGCGAGTCTCAGCATCTGATGGGATAAGAACATGGTTTATCATTTTTGATCCTGAATTTGAATAGGTAAGAGATGAGTAATGAGAAAAAAGAAGGGAGGAAAAGAAGTCTGCAAAATAGAGACTGAGACCGGGCAATATAAAGGGTTTGTAAAGCATCTTGATAGTGAGATGTCTGGAGGAGATTTCTAAACGGGTTCTGTTCTGCTCTTTGATAGTTGTTTTGTTGGTGGCTATAGAGATTTTTTTTTCCCCCTGAAGCTCCTCTCCCCATTATTGTGTGAAGTTCACTCTTCTTGCAAATGTGAGTGGAGTTTTTAGAAATTCAAAGCAATAGTTGAATTTTTTCTCCAGCTAAGTCTTCTAGACTAAAACAGAGATACCCATCTAGAAACAAATATTGAGAGACAAGAGGTGCTGGGTTTTCTGAAAATTTGCCAAAGTACTGGAGAAGATGTCTACAGGCTGCACAGTTGGGGAGGATAAGAAGCTAATTTTGCTGAGATCTCAAAGGTCAGCGAGACCCTAGATAAAATATAAACCAACATTTACTAGAAGCAGCTGTGTAGTAGTCATTTCCCAGAGGTCTGAGAATTAAGACCTATCACTAGCCCTTCTGTGTTATGTTAGCGAGTAACCATGTTACGTGCCTAGTTTAGGGTAGGATGATATTGATGGGTGGAGAAGTCAGAGAAGGGTCTGCTCCTCTCCTTGATTCATCCACTCACCCTCTTGCTTTGAACTTCTCCAAATGGCTGAGGTTTTAGACTTTACACTGGTGGAATTTCATATACAATCACATAATAGGCACATAAAATATATTTCATCTAATCTTTCTAACAGCCCCAAGAGGCAGATCATACTGTCTTTTCAAAAAAAAAATAACAGTAAGGTGAGGAGATTCATAGTTATAGGTGTGAACGGGCTTTAGGATCTGATAAGCCGAAACTGGATTGATTGATAGCTTTGCCTGGTCCTATCTGTAGGTCCTTGAGCAAAGTATCTAACTTCTAGGAGCTTATATTTTCTCTGAACAAGGAGATCTTGAAGGATTGTGTAACAGTTACAACAGAGTGCCAGTTGTTGGAAAATACCTACAAAATGGTGGTGTTACTATTTTCTTATTCTTTTGCACTTTTTTTTATATCCATAGATAGTAAATGCTCAACAATTCAGTGATGAAATTAAGTGAAATTATCTTCCTAAACTAGGCTACTATAGTCCTGTTAACTCCTGCGTGTAGTTTACAATGAATCCTTGTGTCCCTTGTATGGAAAAATCTGCTTAATTTATCAGCTCTGCCAAGTTCTTACAAAAACAAAAGAAAAGGTGAAGAAGCAGAAAAACAAATGGAAGATATCCTTTCTGTAGTCTTTTACTGTTGACATAGATTTCCTCTGCAGAAGAGAAAACTATGGCTTTAAAACTGGGATGGTTCATACTCAAAAAGAATCAGAGCTGGTCTGGTATGAGTTGGTTATGGACTGAAAGGGTTAGGTTATGTCAAAACTTTTCATGAGCTAGTACAAGCAGGATTCTCTTGTTTATTGTTATATTTTAAAAGACATTCCAGGCAATAAAGAAAGAAACTCCCTCAGCATGTTCTGGCTTTGGGCCCCTGTCTCGGTCATGTTGGTGCGGCAATGGAGTGGGTGTCTATCTCCCAGATGTGTAAGTGCAGAATGGGTTGCAACCTGGATTCTTGATTGAGAAACCTTCTGTTCCTCTATAGATGAAGGTCTATTTCCTTCCTCCTGAGGCTTAAATGGGGAGGCATGGAAAGCCTCACACAGGACTGACCTGGATAAAAGGGTCTTTGTGAAGAGAAGGCAATTTATCAACTGCAGGGCCATTTCAGGGAATGATTTAACTGTGGTCACTGTGCTGTTCACAGCAACTTTACATCCACACCTATAGCCCCAACTTTGCCATCAATTTGCAAACACATACCTGATGGACACCTATGCTGATCTGATGTTTTGGGGGGCTTTCTCTTGGGTTCCAAGTATTTAATTTTATTGCATTTGAGGAACTAGGAAGGAGGGAGGAAAACGTTTAAAAAGAGAGACATTTTTAGGGAATTTAGCCAATGTTCCAAAGAGCCATGTTGATGAAATGGAGCAGTTTAAGTGAAAACAAATTGAGTTTGGAAAAAAAAAAAAAATTTCCTCCACCCAGTGGCATTTGGAGCTTCCATTCTGAGTTACTTCTAACTTCCTGGAGCCACGTTTACTTTGCTGAGCAGACTAAATCATTTAAGTTGTCAGCTTCTCCCTGTCCTTGCCAGACCTCACTCAAGGAATGCTTCCAGGGCCATGGGAGCTCACAAAGGCCTCAGTCTGCCTGAGTCACTCTCTGGGGACCACATATCCACAGGGCAAGTTTCTCTGTCCTAATTTAAGGCTTCTCAAAGTCAGGGGAGAGCCTTTCTGTTTCCATCCACAAAATAGGTCAGAAGGATATGATAATAGCGATAGGTAGAATTTTATTTAGCGTTCCTTGTGTGTAGCAAGTACCATGTTGAGAGCTTTATATTCATTAATTAATAAACTCTTCACAACCATCTGATATGGGAAGCTAATAATCTTCTGGTTTTATAGACATTCTTTTTTCTGAGAATCAGAACAAACAACTTGATCAAGATTATGCAGCAGCATTGGGCTTCAAAACCAGGTGGTTTGTCTTAAACTTAGCTCCTAATACTCAGCTCTATTTCTCTGGGGACATTGGATGTTATTGCAGTTCCCCACCATGCAGCTCACTCAGCACCAGGGTATGTGCTGTATGGGGTGAGGAGAGGGGGAGGAGAAGGGACAGCTGTGATTCAATTAGCACAGGTCTCTGCTAATTGCAGAGAAGGAGCCTAAATTCTAGAGGGGAGACAAGTGTATGAACAAAATCATCAGAGCAGAGTGACAGAGTGTCTAGAAGTACTAAAGAGGGCTTAGTACAAAGTCTAGATGTACTAAGGAGGAATGAGCAATTAGGTCTTTCTCTGAGTAAGGAAGGGGCTTTGTAAAGGAAGACTTGAAGAGAAGATCATCCTTGGACAAGAACTTCAGCATAGAAGAAGTTTATCTAAAACATGATTGACAACGAGACCAGCAGGGGCAAAAACACAGAGAGAGGTGGACGAGAATGGTGTGGCAGATAAATAGAAGGAGCCTAGAATTGCTCTAGTGTCAACTGAAAGGTAATAGAATGCTAATCAGTATCTATTTTTTTTGCCTCCTTTGTAATTAGGTGAAGCAGTATTCTGATTTCATTTCTGGATGATAGAATAGGACAGGAAATTATATGCCCATCTACCAAGTCTGGCTCATCAACCCTTCAATAACTGATCCTTTTCCTTTCTCCCCATATTCTGGCAGACAAAGAGAACTCAGAACCCAAAGGACCCAGAAGACCAAAGAAAACAAGGTCTCTGAATTATTGCCCCAGGCAATCACCCCTCTCTCAGTGGACACACTTTTATTGTGTTATGCTGATAAAATTTGGGGATTATTCATTCTAGTGCTTAGTCTACCTTTACTAATCATGGTGGTTGGGAAAGGAAAATGATCACTCAGAGCCTTATACATGGAATGAAGAGGTTAGGATTTATCTTTAAGGAGATTGAGAGCTATTGCACAGTTTTAAGCAACAGAGTGGTTCAGATCTGTGGCTCAGGATGTTTGTTCTGAATGCTGTGTTGTCTGAATGGGTTGGCGCTAGATGGTGGGAATGGGAGACATGAGTGGCTAATGGTCTATCTGCGCTGCTCTCAAGGGTATGCCTAACTCCTACTCCATCTGCGCTGCTCTCAAGGGTATGCCTAACTCCATCATTTTATTCAATTTTTGTACACTGTGGACATTGCATACAGTGGCATAAATGGATAAATGACTTCATCACTACCAATGATTTTATGCCAGTCATGGAGCTTGGCATTGACGTGCATCATCTCCTTTAAAACTTGCCAGAACTCAGGAGATAAATATCATGATTCTCCTCTAACAGGTGAGGAAACAGAAGCTTGGTCAGTTTGGGCAACTTCCTCAAAGACCTGCAGTCTTTAAATTCTTGAGCTGAGGCTTGTACTCAGGCTTCTGATTCCAGAGTTTATACTCTTTTCATTAACCTGCTTGCTGAGTAACTTTTTTGTTTGTTTGTTTGTTTGTTTTCAGATGGAGTTTCACTCTTGTCGCCCAGGATGGAGTACAATGGCATGATCTTGGCTCACTGCAACCTCTGCTTCCAGGGTTCAAGTGATTCTCCTGCCTCAGCCTCCTGAGTAGGTGGGCTTATAGGTGCCCGCCATGATGCCCAGCTAATTTTTGTTTCATTAGTACAAATAGGGTTTCACTATGTCGGCCAGGCTTGTCTCGAATTCCTGACCTCAGGTGATCTGCCCGCCTCGGCCTCCCAAAGTGCTGGGATTACAGGTGTGAACCACCGTGCCCGGTTTGAGTAACCTTTAAGTAAGAAAGTGCCTTTTGGGTTGAGTTTAACAATTTCCATGGTAGAGAGTCTCTTCTGCTATATGCTGTTTACTTAGCTTCTGCCTAGTATATGCAGCAGCAGAAAATGGTTTCCCTTGTTGTAGGTCTAATGAGATTTAGAACACTTTGGGTCCTCAGATATAGTGAGCAAGATTTTCACTTCATAGATGAAGGAACTGCAGCCTAAAGAATTGGGAAGAAAAGGTTTATCCAGGCTTGCTGTGCATTCCTTCCTTTCTCTGGGAATTCCCTTGGAGAAGAAATCTGGCTGATCAAATCTCCTTGTAAACATGCTGTGAAGACTCTGGGGAAAACCACTAATGATATTTGTTAGTGGCAGTCTTTATCTTTGAGAGACTTTTAGCAGCATGAACCTTACCCCCGTAGTAGAATTGTATATGGTAAACAAACCTGGAATCTAAGGATTCATGGGTAATGGCTTCTTGAAAAGTGTCAAGTAAGCTATGTAACTATGGCAGGAGATGGAACTACTTCAGGGTTAAAAAAGCTGGCTTTCATTTCGTGCAAGTAATGTACTTGTGTACATCTTTTGGAGAACCATATGTTAAATCCGAATCAGACCAAGTCCTAATGTGGTAAGAAAAGGGCTGTGGAGTAGTATTGGCAGTCCTGGGCTTTTCCCTATGTTCCCTGTACCTTGTGATTACTTATAGCTTTGACATTATTAGTAAAGTTTGATACTTGGTAAAATATTTTATTCTTGTGGGTCTAATTTGAAAATCTAGCCCTTGTGTTATCTCCAACAGATACTGCCTGATCCAAGATCACAAAGTTGGGCAGCAATGAAAGATCTAATCTCAGACCTCTTCTCTCCTGTATCCCAAACCAGTGCAACAATGAGGTTTCCTCTGTTCCTACATATTTATTTCTACATCTTCTTACGTGGTTTAGAATGATGATGATGATGATGATGATGATAATGATAAAATCAGCAACTACCTTTAATTTACCTTACTATGTGTCAGACATAGTGCTTCTCATTATATAAAAACAGTATAAGCAACACATCTATATGTAAAAACTCTCACGTCGTGAAACATATGTATAGAGACCCTATCGGGTTAAACCTTATGAAACTTCTAATATGTATTTAACCTACAAAACAGGAATGTCATTTGGCTCAATCCAATATAATATGCCAGGTAGTTTAAATTAGGTGGACAAGAAAGGCCTCTGAAGATCTGAGATCGAACAACGGGAACTTGGCATATAAAAGTTCAGAAAAGAGAAGAACCTATGCAAAGGGAATCTTCTGCTTCAAGGACTCTGAGGATGGGACCAGGTGCAGTTTGAGCACTGAGAGTCCTGTTATGGCTGAAGTAGAGTGAGTAAGACAGAGTGGTACAGGTTGAGTTGGGATGGGTAGACAGAAATAAGACCATTGAGCTTTGGAAGTAGGAGTAAAGAGTTTGAGTTTTATACTAAATGGGTTTTGACTGGGGACAGAGAGGAAAAAATGAGATGTGATTGATTGATTGATAATTTATTATTTTTATAGATTTAGGGGGTGCAAGTGCAAATTTGCTACATGGATGTACTGCATTGTGGTGAAGTCTGGGCTTTTCGTGTACTCATCACCCAAATTGTGAACACTGTACCATATAGGTAATTTTTCAACCCTCATCCTCCTCTTGCCCTCCCACATTCTGGAGTCTCCAATGTCTAGTCTTCCACACTGTACGTCCATATTTACCCATTGTTTAGCTCCCATGTACTCATCACCCAATTAGTGAACACTGTACCATATAGGTAATTTTTCAACCCTTATCCCCTTCTTGCCCTCCCACCTTCCGGAGTCTCCAGTGTCTAGTCTTCCACACTGTATGTCCATGTGTACCCATTGTTTAGCTCCCACATACTCATCGCCCAATTAATGAACACTGTACCATATAGGTAGTTTTTCAACCTTCATCCCCCTCTTGCCCTCCCACCTTCTGGAGTCTCCAATGTCTTGTCTTCCACACTGTATGTCCATGGGTACCCATTGTTTAGCTCCCACGTATAAGTGAGAACATATAGTACCTGACTTTTTGTTTCTGAGTCATTTCACTTAGGATAATGACCTCTAGCTCCATAATTTTATTTTTAAAGAGTTTCTCTAGCTGCCAAGTGGAGAATGGGCTATAGGGCTATAAAAGCGGCAGCAAGGAGACTATGTGGGCTGTTACTGTAGTGGGCAAGGCAACAGCCAGTGAAGGCCCAGACTAGAGTGATAGCAATTGGATGGAGATAACTCTGCAGATGAGGGGTTTATTTTTGTTGCTTGTGACAGGCAAGTTCCCATGCTCCCTGGTAGCCACCTTATGAAAGGTCTTGTTGATGTTTCAGAGAACATTTACAAACAACATCTCAGACAAGGCTGTGGAAACAAGGGGTTTCACTCACTTACTTTGATGTCTGACTTGTGGATACAATACTGTAAGTTAATCCTCTCCTTTGTCTCAGAGAAGGGTTTGCTTTGGGTAGCTTAGAGCACTTGACAGGAGGCATTTTGTAGCAGCCCTATTACCCAAGGGGTATAGGAAAAGCTACAGACCAGAACTGATATGCTCTTCTCTAGAAAATGAAACTGCTTCCAGATCCAGAGATAATTAGACAAATGTCTCACTGCTGCAGGGAGCAAGAAAGAAGGGCTACGATGGGCAGATTCTTGGCATAGCTCTTCAGGATGTACAAGGACTTGCCCAGTGACCAGGAGAGTAGGGGCCACTGAGGAAAACAGGCTAAATTAATTGAATGATGGGGAGAAGGATGAGGAGGAGAGGAAAGGGAGATTGGAATCTGGGACTGCGCCCAGGCTGCCTTTGTATGCGAGTTCCCTAACAACGCTTTCTGAGGGAAGTCAGGGACTGACTGAAGCTTAATTCAGATTCTCTGAATGTGCCTTAAGGAGACAGACTGAGGAATGGTCTGATGAAATGCAGGGGAAGCAAAACTTGGCAAGGGCACAGTGGCAAATGAGCTGAGAATATGGGGGGAGATCCTGCCAAGACCCCCTTCCCCCCAGGACCACCCTTGGTGTATCCGGAGAAATCAATCAATTGGACGGGACTGGATGGCTCCCACAGAACAGCAGTGGGGGACCCCTGTGAGAGCTGGGGGTCTTCCATTTACAGACAGGATTTGGGCCTCAACAGAGCATTAAGATGGGTCAGTGCAGGCATAGGGGACGCCCTGAAAGTCTTGTCATATCCTGTGGATGACTCAATGGTGCCAAAAGCTATGCCCATTCCTGGACTGTGCCCAGGGAATTATAGTCTTGCCTCCCACTTCGTGTGAAGGCCCTGGGGCAGGAAGCGTGACATGGTTCCAATATCCCTACACTGGGGGCATTTGTAAGAGCCTTGTAGAGAGTTCACAAAAATCATTAAGTCTACAAAACATCCCTTCCTGATGCCACCTCTTTCCTCTCTTGGGTATTTGTAGTATTCTTCTCTAAATATCTAGCTGGATACATTCGTGCCCCCACTTAGGCAGCCAAATCTTCATTCACTCCCTTCTGGGGTCGTCTGCCAGATTTGTTGAAATTAAAAGTTGGAAATAACTTGATATATGTAAACTTCCTCCTGCACCTCCTATCAATTTTATAACCAAATGTAAGAAAAGCTTTTATAATATCCAAAGAGCTTTACCCAATATATCTCTGCATCTCACTCAAAGTTTGTGAAGTAGCTATTATTATCCCCAACTGACTTGTGAAAAACAGGCTCAGAGAAGCAGAGGCCTGCCCAAAGTCACACTGTAAATGTCCTGAAACAGAGGGGCCTGGAACCCAGGTCTCCTAGTTTCTATCCAGCCTACTCACCCCTGTACAATGCTACCTTCATTATCTTACTTTTTATTCCACTATGTCAATGGGTAAAACAGAATAAAATAATATTCCCTTGTTCCCATGTCTACCTAAATGTGGATGCAGTCTCTAGTATGCTTTCCTTGAACTCAGTGGAGACAATCTTTCATCTGGAAAAAATTCATTTTTTAAGGTTTCCAGTCTCATTGACTGCCCTCTCCAACCTCATACTTTCTGATCCAACACTACTACTCATAATGATTTAAATAAACCCCAAACTGTTATTTCACACTACTGCATGTTTCTTTGTTAAGGCTCTTTTCCCTATTCCAATTGTCCTTCTCTTTGAATAGAAAACTTCTATCCTTCCTCAAGCCCTAGAAATCTACCCTTGACCTCCAAGTAAGTCAAATGGGTTGTCTGATCCCATATCCCCTCTCTATATGTACCTCATCATAGCACTCACTGGGCTCTCTTAGAATTGTCTCTTTAAATGCCTGGCCTCTTCCTCTGGCCCAGAAGCCACTTGGGGACAGGGACTTTCTATCTCCAGCATCTAATGCAGAATTTGACCAATAATTGCAGGTGCTTGGGAAACATTTATTGCCTTGATCAGAAATCACAAACTGACAAATAGTTTCTAGTTATTAAATAATCATTTATCACTCCCAGAAATAATGCCATTGGAACTTTCTTATAATCTTGCATACAATAAAATATACAGATTCTAAGTATTCAGTTAGATGAGTTTTCACATTTATATGCATCTGGGGAACCACCACCTCAAAGAAGTTATAGACATGTTTTTTTTGTTGTTGTTTGTTTTCCTTGCTTCCAGCCCACAAGAGCAGTCTGTTAAACACCTTGGCCAAGGCTAAGAATGTCAGTTTTAAATTAATATCTGAATATGAGCTGCCTCCTACAAGTATAAACCTTGGCCCAAGGGCCCACAAGGGCCACAGCCAATTGGCAGGGTCATGGTAAATGATGCAAAGGATGGCATCACTCTTTTCAGGAGAAATAGCATGGTTGGCGATGTATCATTAACTGAATGACATTTTGTATCTCTTTCATTCGTGGTCACTGATCTGTGCAAAACCCTCCTTCCCTTGCTCTAAGCAGAGAAGCCCCAAAGAATCTAAATCAGCCAGGGACAGGTAAGTAAGCCCAGGGTCTTAAATCACCCATAAGTTTGTGGCCAGGTTTGCATTTGGTCCTGAAGGATGTATTTTCCTTTCATGGGTTGTGGGCCAATGTTTCTTTTCCTGCTGATTTATAGCCTCCTATAAATTAACAGGAGCCTTTCAACTGGGAACGCCACATCCCAAAGGCATGAATCTTCCGTAGGTAATTCCTCCCTGAGGAAGAAAGAGTTAGCTCTCAATTACATACAGCGATGGGGGTGCATGGTGGCTGAAATGATACAAATGCCACTTATATTCAAGTTGGAGCCTTTTCACAAAGTCACAGAAAGACACAGTGAGATTTGAGTCCCAGAAGCATAAAAGTCCCAGAGAAAGGGGCCTTGACATAGCTTTACTTGCATTGAATACAGATTTGTTCAACCCCCATGAGAGGAGAAATACTGAAACACCGGAAAACATTGTCTCCTCTCATAACATTTTCAGCTCATGGTGAAGACGGACACATCCATAACTATACTACCAGCTAACATTTCCCACTCATTTGGAAATTATTTTTACCAATATTTTAGTGACTCAAGCATTCAGGGTCATAATAAAAGGGGAAAATGTACTAAATCACAATTTTTACTGAGTCTGATATTCAATTTCTTTGATTCATTTCTTCTTTATTTAATCAAATATTCACCAAGTATTACTAGGTACCAGACATCATGCCAGGGACTAGAAATAATGTGAAAAAAAAGGATGTTTTCTGCTCTCACGGGGTTCACAGCTGTGGTGGCTGAGGAACTGTGGTCTCTGCTCCCCACCAATTATACATCAGCTGGACATAAGTAAGTGTGCAGTAAAACAGAAATTTAAATTTTGAGGTAGAAAATTTACTTATGAATTCTATCACTCTTAAATATATATATTTTGTATTGAGGGAGGAGAAAGTGGATTACAGTTTCAAAGAGGCATAACTAGGAGTCAGGAAGCCTGGCGTCTATTCCCAAATCCTTTTCTCATTAGCTGGTGATTTATAAAAGTCATTTAAACTCAGTCCCAGTTCTGTCATATGTACAATTGTGTAAGGCTTACCCTGGAAGTTATAAATTCTATGTGTTTTTGATCGGAATCCTTCACTGTACAATTTATTTGTTCTCTTATACATTCACCACTTATTCATTCATTCTGCTAAATAAACATTCATTTGTCCCATGTGTTAATTTTAATGGCTACTATAACAAATTACACAAATTTGGTGGCCTAAAACATGAGAAATGTATCCTTTCCCAATTATTGGAGACCAAGAGTCCAAAATCAGTATTACTGGGCTGAAATCAAGTTGTCAGTAGGATGTGTTACTTTAGGGTGCTCTAGGGGATAGTGTGTTCCTTGCCCCTTTGATTTTTTAGTGGCTGTCTTTATTTTTTGGCTGGTGGCTGCATTACTCCAATCTCTGCCCCTGTAATCACATTGCTTCCTCTTCTGAGTGTGAAATCTCCCTTTGCCTCCTTCTTATAAGGATATATGTGATTACATTTAGGGTCTACCTAGATAATCCAGGATAAACTTTTCATCTGAAAAATTTTAATTAATCATTCCTGCAAAATCTCATTTTTGCAACATGAGATAATGAATAGCCACAGAATCCAAGCATGAGGATGTCTTGTGCAGGGACATTATTCAGCCTACCACTTCCTTTATTTATGTGTATGCCACTTTCTCCTCCCTCAACATGAAATATATATATATATATATATATATATATATAATTTAAGAATGATATAATTTATAAGTAAATTTTCTACCTCAAAATTTAATTTTCTATTTTACTCCACATTTTGAGAATGAGTAAAGTATACCGGTTAATAATACAGACTTTGGAATCAAAAGAGTTTTGTCCTGAGTACTGTCTCTGCCACTTCTTATCTGTGATCTTGGGAAAAGTACTTGCATTATAATAATATGTGTCACATTAAATTACATATGTAAATTATTTAGTACAGTTAGTTCATAATATTAACTAATCAGTGGATATCAGAAAATATCAATATTAGGTATATATGTGGTCTAGATTTGGAGGAACTTGTCCACGCCCCTGGCAAATTCAAGATATGGTTAAGAAATTGTGAAATAAACAGTTCCAATGAAATTCAGTAACTTTTTTTTTTAAGAGATGGAACCTCGCTCTGTCACTCAGGCTGAAGTGTGGTGGATTATCATATGTGGCTTACTGCAGCTTCGAACTTGCAGACTCAAGCAATCCTTCTGCCTCAGTCTCTGGAGTACCTGGGACTACAGGCATACACAACCACACCTGGCTAATTTTTTTTTAATTTTTATTTTTGTAGAGACAGGATCTTGTTATTTTGCCTAGGCAAGTTTCAAACACCTGGCCTCAAGCAAACCTCCCCCACTTGGCATCTCAAACTGTGGGAATTATAGATGTGAGCCACCATGCCTAGCCTAAGTTCAGTAACTTCTATTAGCAAGGAAATGTCAGGGATTTTCTTTGTTTTCTTTCTTTTTTTAATTTTTATTTTATTTTTTGGAGTGGAGGTTTAAAAAGCAGAAGAAAGAGAAAGAAAAACAGTTCTCTATTGAGAGAGATGGGATTTCTGAGAGGAAAGACGGCTGGTGGCAGATGCGCCAGATTTACAGTCAGGTTTGAGGAGGTGGTGTCTGATTTACATAGGGCTCACAGGCTTCCCTGAACTATAAAATTTCCTGCACATTTTATAGAATGTGAGGGTAGAGAGGGTAGGAGATATGACGGTCACGGACAGGAAAGGAGGAAATTAGGATAGAAAAGTTGAAGACCCTGTTGCTGACACCCATCGGGTGGTCAAAGGCTGGGGTCAGTCCAGAAGCCTTTGGATAGCACCAGGGGGTAGCCTCAGCCAGAAATCCTCGTTTGCTACAGGACCTCTTCCAGCCCCAGATGATGGCTAAGTACTCTGTGAAAGGAAGCTGGTTCAAACATGGCCAATATGCCCAGGAACCCATGGGCACCGGGGGATTCTCCATGTTGTCCTCAGCAAGCCTGTCCCCCAGATTTGAAGATTCTGTGGGTAGAAACAGTGGTAATTGGATGCTGAATGTGAAGAAAAGAGAGAAGTTCTAGATAATCCCTATCATTTTTCCCAAATGGTGGAGTGAAATGAGGTCACTCGTTAGACAGAGAACCCAGGCAGAATGGCAAAAATTCCATAAAGAATAATTATATTTCCTCTTTCCTTTTAAAGAAATCCAAAAGTCCTCTTCCTTCTCCCCTTCCACATTTCCCTTCTCCTTTCCTTCTCCTCCTCTCTCTCCTCCTTCTCTTTCTTCTTTTCTTCTGTGTAGCTGGCAGCATTGGTATAAGCCAACAGGAAAAAGTGAGACAAATCTCAGACTCGACAGAATGTGTCTTTTCCTGTCTCTTCCCCAAACAGCTTTCTAGATGCCAAGCTCTTTCCTACCTGGTGGTCATCTTGCTGCCAATTGATCTCTTTCTGAAAGGCTTGTGTCTAACTACCCCCACCCATGAACACCCTCTGCACACACAAGACACAGACATTTAACCTGCTGATGTCCTACTCATTATTTAGGCTGTGTTTAATTGACATGTTCTAAGGAAAGTATTCACTATTTTTAAGCATTGACTCTCCACCTCACTACCATGAAAATACACACACACACACACACACACACACACACACACAGTTTATGCTCTGTTATATACTGCTCTGATTTTCTGTATCTTTCACTTTTTGCACTATCACAACTATAATAAAATATTTGAATTACTATCTATATAATGCCCTTCTCTCCCATTAGTCCATAAGCACCAAGAGACAAAATCCATGTCTGCTTTCCTCACTGTGGTATCTTTTGAACTTATCACAGAACCTGGAAAATACCAAGTTATAAACATATTCTGAATGAAATAATACAAACGAATCAATGAATGAATGATGGATAAATGCAGTGTACTATAATAATGATGTAAGGAACCACTTCTAAGCACACAGAAAGCATAAGACAAATGTTCAAGACACACATGCACCTGTAAAATGAGTCTCTGATCAGGATAGCTGCTCCAATCATGGGACATTAGACACTTGGTCTTCCTGAGAATTACTCATTGGTAAGCACTTTACAGTTTATGAGCTTCTCTCACTTGCATTATCTCACATGATCCACCCAGCAGTATTGAATTGGAAGAATTATCAGTTCCAATTGCAAATGAAAAAAAAAAGAAAAAGGCCCATGGAGACATTGTAATGACCCAAGGTGTCACAGAGACTGAGTGGGAGGGTTAGCATTTTTTTTTTTTCTTTTTGAGATGGAGTCTCGCTCTGTCACCCAGGCTGGAGTGCAGTGGCACGATCTCGGCTCACTGCAAGCTGCGCCTTCTGGGTTCACGCCATTCTCCTGCCTCAGCCTCCCGAGTAGTTGGGACTCCAGGCGCCCGCCACCACGCCTGGCTAATTTTTTTGTATTTTTAGTAGGGACAGAGTTTCACCATGTTAGCCAGGAGGGTCTCGATCTCCTGACCTCATGATCTGCCCACCTCAGCCTCCCAAAGTGCTGGGATTACAGGTGTGAGCCACCGCGCCTGGCCAGGGTTAGCATTTAAATCCATGTTTTTAATTCTGAAGACATTTTTCTCCATACCTTGATGTCCTTCAGACAGATAGGCATTTACTAAGCACCGACTCTGCTATGTGCCAGGGATATGCAGATAAAATTGATTCTCTGTATGGACGCAAATAGATAAATAGACAGAATGGGTCCATACCTAGTGTGGAAGGAGTTGCAAGGAGTGGGCAACTTAGTCGGTTCTAGGACTGGCTCGAAGTCTGGAACCAGAGGACACAGAGCCAGGCAGGGGCAGCACCTCCCTTACAGACAGGGCTAATCCCTGGCAAGTCAGGGCTGTGGAGTGCTTGGGGAATGACCTCAGAGACAGACAGGGAGGGCCCTGGTCTTGCCTGCTTAGCTGCCGACAGTCCCAGATCCTAAGGTGGCCCAGTAACAGCAGGGGGACAGGGGGACCTGCCCTCGGTCCTCAATTTTTTCATGGTCCTTGCCTCCCTTCCAAGCCCCTCTACTATCCTGGCACCATTTCTTCCTGGGCACCTAACGCAGACCTCATCCTCTGTCCTCTTTAGTTTTTATTAAAGAGACAGCTGATGAGGACTTAGAGTGCTACCCCTGCAGAGGAACAGAGAAGGGAGGTGTGTGGTGAGAAGAGGTTTGGTCAATGTGTGATTTTTCTTGCAATGCCCCTTTATCAACCTGAGGTAAGGGCACTTTGGGTACTTTGGTTTGGGTTGAGAAGATAATTTGGGATATGTTGGGTGAATGATTTGAAATGAAGCAGTCAGACCATTTAAGAACACGGGCTTTGGAATCAGAGATCTGAGTTCAAATATGAGTTTCACTGCTTCACTTCCTGATTATGCCACCTCAGGCAGGTTACTTGACATTGCTGTGTCTCACTTTTATCATTTGCATCTGCAAAATAATTGTCCTAAAAACCAATTCATAGAGTTGGCTCAAGGACACAGCTGGTACCAAGTGAATGATGGTCATACATGTATGTGTGTGTGCATGTGTGTGTGTGTGTGTGTGAGAGAGAGAGAGACAGAGAAAGGGAGGGAGGAAGAGAGTGTGTGTTTTTGCATATGACTTAGCATTTATTGAGTACTTCTTTGGTAGAAACTATGCTAATTGTCATGTGTATATGATTATCTGATACAGATTTTATTAAACCCATTTTACAGATGAGAAAAATGGAAGCTCAGACAACTTAAGTAATTTGACTCAGGTCAAATGGCTAGAAAGTGCAGACCCAGGATTTGAGATTTAAATCAGGTTTCTTGATGCCAAAGCACCTGCGTATGGGTAGTCTTTCTAATACACAGCAAAGTGGAAGCTGTCTCTCTTGACCTTGAGCCACTCCTTGCGGCAAAGTTTCCAGTTAACATGAAACCCAATCAGATTCCCCAAAATAGCAGCCTGTTCCTCTAGGGAGAAGAGGAGCCCCACCCAAAGCTTGCTCCAGAGTCTTGGAGGAAAGAAAAAGGAGGGAGCAGAGAGTCTTGCTTAAAAATGTGACACATATTTTCCAGGAGCTGCCTCCAGGCCTGGGATGGAGATTCTGAGCATCATGATTTTAAACTTTTTACTTAATTTTTCATTCTTGCTTCAGGCCTGGGCAAGCTGGACTCTCGAGTCTTGAACAAAAATGGAAAAATAAGGGCTGCAGTTGAAATCATTTCACTGTGCCTATTTCACATGATGCTGCCTGCAAAAAATATAGCAAACAAGATTCCTCTGTTCAGTTTATCTCCAGAAAGAGGGAACCTGCATGGAGAAACTGTAAGGAGTGAGAGAGAGGTTTCGGAGAAAGATGAGCTTTAGCTTTGCAAAGGTGGGATTTGTTTTGCACAGTAAATTTCTGGAATTATTTCATTTGATTTCCCATTGTTTGAGTGTACTGGGTGGTACACCTTGTGCTAGGCACTGGAGGAGCTCTTAGAGGATTTAAAGAGTCATAATCTCTAAGTGATATGAGTAGTGGGGTTTGTTCAAAGAAGAGAACTAGCAAAGAGCAGGGCATAATGAACTAACTATAGGTCAATTTTCTCCTCTTTCAAGTCCTAGTTTAAACACAGAATACAAAATATGTCTTTCAAAATGATCATCTTTCACTAAAGGAAGCTGATTAAATGTACAGGTGCAGCCTCTAGACCTTCCTCACATGCTTTTCTCTAGCTGGAAGCAGAGCAATGCAATTTACATGGGCACTGTGATCAATTCTTAACATGGGGATTGTGAAGCACTCAAAGAGACTTGATTGGATTAAAGACTGATAAATCTTTCCTTTAAGTTTTCTGAAAATGATAAAAAGAAAACAAACAAACAAAAAAAAGAAATAAAATCTACTCCATCTTCCGTGAACGTGGAAATAGCTATAACCCTGAACCACAGACTTTGATATATTCCTACTTAGCACCACGAAATCTTGTTATGGACCTGAAACTGGGTGCAGATTTTCCTAGAAGTGCCACAATCCTCAAAAGACCATTCAGTGGTCCTTTGATTAAAGTAGAAGAATTTAAAATTGTGGCAAGCCATGGAAGAAGAGAGATAATGCTATAAAAAACCACTGGTCTGGAGATGGACGCTATATCATGATATTTGTAACTGATTGTGATTTAGCCCACCTAGATGGTCACTGCATCTCTGGGGAAAAGAAAGGTGGAGGATGACATGAAAATAGCGTTCACCGAATGACAAGCCAGAAGGCTTGTGTATACAGAGATAGCATGGAAGCCAAACTGATCTTCCAAATACCTAAACCAGAAAGAATTGACAGCTGCATGCAGGAATGGAAGGGTTAAATTTGATAAAAGTGTTCTGGAAAACAAACTTGCAATAAAAATGAATACTGCCTTTAAAGAACTTCCCTCCATCTTTGACTTCTGCACTCCTCACTCTGCACAATATTGTTTAGTAAATACTTTGTCATGTTAAAAAGAATTATGAGCAAGAAATAAGAACAGAAGTTTATGCATAGACACTGAATAAGCAAAGCAATGAAAAGCAAACAAAAGAACACACATCACTGGAGGAAGAGTTCTAGCAAATAGTTTTCCAGTTCCTGACAGCTTCAAGAACATTAGGTCACCCTGATATCTCTTTTGCATAAAAAAGGGAGCTCTGAGCTAAAAAGCAAGAGTTCTAGTTTAAAAAAAAGGAAAAAAAAAAAAAAAAAAAGAAGGTGAGAAGAGCTCAAGAAATAATCAAAGAAGAAATTTTAAGTAATATTGAAGTGGAAGACACATGAAAATTCCAGAAGTAGAATGAACTCAACTGAAAACATAGTCAAGGACAAAGCTGTGCTTGAGAACAATCACATTAGAAAATGTTTTATGAGATGAAAATAATTTAACAGAAAGAAACATCATCATATTACATGCCAAGAAATTTTTATATAGAATCAACAGCACAGATCCCAGTAAATTTAATACATTTCAGATGTGATAATAATAATGTAATAATAATAATAAAGTAATTTAGAAGGAAAAAATTCAGAGTTGCCTTATACTCCTCCACAGCAACATGTAATAGCAGAAGACAGTGGCATAATATCCATAATGTTTAAAGGGAAGAAAACTAGACCCATTATACCCAGCATAGCTTGTCTTTAGAAGATGAAGACAAAGGATCTACAACCTCAGACATACAGATATTCATCCTATGGCATGCATAAATCTTCCTTAGAATTAAAAAAACAGACACAAGACAAAGAAATGCACCCAATGAAGAAATGAAAAAGGAAAAAAAAAAACTTAGAGAAGTCTAGGAAAAAGATTGATTGGTAGTGAACATTAAATCCATTTAAGTATATAACTAAGATTACTAGCTCTGAGTATTACTATTACCTAGTAGAATAAAATATTATAAAACTTGACAATAAAAATAATACTGTAAATAAGAAAACAGGGAAATCAAGAATTCAAGAGATACTATGTGCATGGTGCGATCTTGGCTCACTGCAACCTCTGCCTCCTGGGTTCAAGCGATTCTCCTGCCTCAGCCTCCTGGGTAGCTGGGATTACAGGTGTGTGCCACCATGCCTGGCTAATTTTTTTTTTTTTTTTTTTTTTGTATTTTTAGTAGAGATGGGGTTTCACCATGTTGGTCAGGCTGGTCTCGAACTCCTGACCTCGTGATCTGCCCACCTCAGCCTCCAAAATGCTGGGATTACAGGCGTGAGCCACCATGCCTGGCCTATAATTTTTAAAAATATCTTCAATCTAATTTTTTAAAATAACATTTTCTGCCTTGAACTTTAGAGGAGATTTTCATAAGTGAAATCTATTTGTGTAAGGAAACTTAAATAAATTTTTCAGTTACTCCTTTAGTTTCATGTTAGGCTCTACTTTATAATACATTCAAGACAAGTGAAAATAATCCTTTACATTTTAAGTGGGCTGCATTGGACGACTCTGCTTTCATTGAGGGGATATGTATAGGTAATGATTAGTTTAAAGAAGACATATCTGTGATTTTTTTTCTTAATCAAATTTGTATCTGTTTTAAGAAGTGCACATGATGGAATCAAGTGGGCAATCTCTCAGAAGCCATAGGAGATGTGTTAATAAAATAGTAGAATAGGGATCAAATAGAATTAGATTGAAATTAAAATCTATGAAGGTGAAGAAGAAAAAAGAATAATGAATAAAAGATGAGGAAATGAGGAAAGATGTACTGTGCCTTAGGACTACTGAATACCATAATAAGCCATGCTCAGTAGTAAAAGAGAATGTCATAGGAAGTGTGTATTACAACTGTGAGCCCTACACAGCTCAACACTTATACTTGGTAGGTTTCTTATAACATCTGATACTAATACGCCCTTTGCATTAAAAATAAAAGTTTTTTGTACAATTAACCTTCTCAAATGTCATCAACAAGTCATCAGGACTGATGTTTAACCAAATCTGCTTCTACCTTTTGAAATTAAGATCAGCTATATTATTCTCTCAAGAGTTTTATCATTAGACTCTGGACTTGGATGTCTATCCCACTCATGGTTATAGACTCTGTGAAGAATATATATTGTGTAATTTTTGCATGTTTATTTACTATCCTTCAGAATCTGGCATAGTACTTGGCATGTAGTAGTGCTTAATAAGTGTTTGTGAATTGAGTTAACAAGTATTTGTGAATGATATGTGTATGAAGATTAAGCCCTCTTCCCAAGGTGCACCTAGGAAGGGGAACATCACACACCAGGGCCTGTCATGGGGTGGGGGAGCAGGGGAGGGATAACATTAGGAGATATACCTAATGTAAATGATGAGTTAATGGGTGCAGCACACCAACATGGCACATGTATACATATATAACAAACCTGCGCATTGTGCACATGTACCCTAGAACTTAAAGTATAATAAAAAAAGGAAAAAAAAATAAAAAAATATATAGTGCCAACTACTGTTATATTCTAGAGTGACCCATGCAGAATATGCAGAGGATGAGCTTAAAGATTATGTGACCAATAGCCCAATATTCACCTGGAGGATATAAAATGAACGAAAAGAAGATTTCACTCACTTCAGTGAGTGAGTGAAGCTTTAAGGAGACTGGAAACTGTAGGCAGTGGCTGACGCTGGCTTCCTCTCTGTTAAAGCCTAATAAGAAAAACTGTGCCTGGTATTTGCTCTGGTAATAGATGATGAGGGAGAGTTCTACTGAAAAATACCTGCTCTTCCAGAGTGCATTGGAGCATAGGATATATACTTCTAATGGGTCAGATGGTGGTCACTTGGAAAGAGCTGCCCAGGAGTCATCCAAAAGAGGTTGTAATTTTTCCCAAGAGAGATTTCTGGATGGGTGATGAGACCCCAGTAGAAAGTATCAATGAGGTCACCAGAGGCCAAAGGGAAATTGTAGGGAGTCCACCACAGGATACTGGAAGTGGGACACCCTGAGGTGATGGAGGAATGTCCATGAAGGACTTATAAACACATCTTCAAAAAGCTTCAGATTTGAACATCCATGGAACCCAGACTCAGATTTTAGATCCCATTATGCCCAATGGAAACCAATACTAGATGATTATATTAGCATTGAAAAAGGAACACTGTGATGGTTAATAATGAGTGTCAACTTGATTGAATTGAAGGATGCAAAGTATTGTTCCTAAGTGTGTCTGTGAGGGTGTTGCCAAAGGAGATTAATATTTGAGTCAGTGGACTGGGAGAGGCAGACCCACCCTCAATCTGAGTGGCCATCATCTAATCAGCTGCCTGCGAGGATAGAATAAAGCAGGCAGAAGAACGTGGAAGGATTTGACTTGCTAAGTCTTCCAGCTTTCATCTTTCTCCTGTGCTGGATGCTTCCTGCCCTTGAACGTTGGCCTCGATGTTCTTCAGCTTTTGGACTCTTAGAGTTACACCAGTGGTTTGCCAGGGGCTCCTGGGCCTTTGGCCACACATTGAAGGGTGCTCTGTTGGCTTTCATACTTTGAGGTTTTGGGACTTGGACTGGCTTCCTTTCCCCTCAGCTTGCAGATGGCCCTATTGTGGGACCTCACCTTGTGATTGTGTGAGAAAATACTCCTTAATAAACTCCCCTTCATATATACTATCTATCCTATTACTTCTGTACTTCTAGAGAACCCTGACTAATACAGAGACCTTTCCTGCCCTTTATTTCCCCTCAGTGTTCCAGTGAAATCCTGAGGAGCCAGAGGCAGCTTCCTGAATGGGTGAAGGGATAACAGCCCTCACAAGGAAAAAGAGAGAAAGGCAGCCATGTCCCTGTGTTTCTCCCATTTTTAAAACCATCAGATCTCATGAGACTCACTCACTATCATGAGAACAGCACAGAAAAGACCCGCCCCCATGGTTTAATCATCTTTCACTGGGTCCCTCCCACAACACATGAGAATTATGTGAGCTACAAGATGAGATTTGGGTGGGGACATACAGCCAAACCATATCATTCTCCCCTGACACCTCCCAAATATCATGTCTTCAGATTTCAAAACCAATTATGCCTTCCCAACAGTCCCTCAAAGTCTTAACTCATTTCAGCATTAACTCAAAAGTCCACAGTCCAAAGTCTTATCTACGACAAGGCAAGTCTCTTTGGCCTATGAGCCCGTAAAATCAAAAGCAAGTTAGTTACTTCCTAGATGCAATGGGGGTACAGGCATTGGGTAAATACAGCCATTCCAAATGGGGAAAATTGGCCAAAACAAAGAGGCTACTGGCCCCATGCAAGTTTGAAAACCAGCAGGGCAATCAAATCTTTTTTTTTTTTTTTTTTTTTTTTTTTTTTTTTTTTTTTTTTTTTTTTTTTGAGACGGAGTCTTGCTCTGTGGCCCAGGTGGGAGTGCAGTGGCGCAATCTCGGCTCACTGCAAGCTCCGCCTCCCGGGTTCACGCCATTCTCCTGCCTCAGCCTCCCGAGTAGCTGGGACTACAGGCGCCCGCCACCACGCCCGGCTAATTTTTTTGTATTTTTAGTAGAGACGGGGTTTCACCGTGTTAGCCAGGATGGTCTCGATCTCCTGACCTCGTGATCCGCCCGCCTCGGCCTCCCAAAGTGCTGGGATTACAAGCGTGAGCCACCGCGCCCGGCCGGCAATCAAATCTTAAAGCTCCCAAATGATCTCTTTTAGCTCCATGTCTCACATCCAGGTCACACTGATGCAACAGGTAGGCTCCCATGGTCTTGGGCAGCTCTGCCCCTGTGGCTTTTCAGGGTACAGCCTCCCTCCCAGCTGCTTTCATGGGCTGGTGTTGAGTGTCTGTGGCTTTTCCAGGCAAACGGTGCAAGCTGTCAGTGGATCTGCCATTCTGGGGTCTGGAGGATGGTGACCTTCTCCTCAAGGCTCCACTAGGTGGTGCCCCAGTAGGGACTCTGTGTGGGGGCTCCAACCCCACACTTCCCTTCCGCACTGCCCTAGCAGAGGTTCTCCATGAGCTCCCTGCTTCTGCAGCAAACTTCTGCCTGGACATCCAGGCATTTCCATACATCCTGAAATTTAGATGGAGGTTCCCAAACCTCAGTTCTTCACTTCTGTGCACTGACAGGCTCAGCACCACTTGGAAGCTGCCAAGGCTTGAGGCTTACACACTCTGAAGCCATAGCCCAAGCTCTACATTGGCCCCTTTCAGCTGTGGCTGGGGTGGCTGGGATGCAGGGCACCAAGTCCCAAGGTTGCACACAGCACTGGGACCCTGGGTCCAGCCCATGAGACCATGTTTTTCTCCTAGGCTTCCGGGTCTGTGATGGGATGGGCTGCCATGAAGACCTCTGACATGCCCTGGATGCATTTTACCCATGGTCTTGGGGATTAACATTCAGCTCCTCATTACTTATGCAAATTTCTGCAGCTGGCTTGAATTTCTCCTTAGAAAAATGGGATTTTCTTTTCTATCGCATTGTCTGGCTGCAAAATTTCCAAACTTTTATGCTCTGTTTCCCTTATAAAACTGAATGCCTTTAACAGCACCCAAGTGACCTCTTGCATGCTTTTCTGCTTAGAGATTTCTTCTGCCAGATACTCTAAATCATCTCTCTCAAGTTCAAAGTTCTACAAATCTCTAGGGTAGGGGCAAAATGCCACCAGTCTCTTTGCTAAAACATAGCAAGATTCACCTTTGCTCCGGTTCCCAACAAGTTCCTTATTTCCATCTGAGACCACCTCAGTGTGGCCCTTATTGTTCACATCACTATCAGCATTTTTGTCAAAGCCATTGAACAAGTTTCTAGGAGGTTCCAACCTTTCCCATATTTCCCTGTCTTCTTCTGAGCCTTCCAAACTGTTCCAACCTCTGCCTGTTACCTATTTCCAAAGTCGCTTCCGCATTTCAGGTCTCTTTTCAGCAGTGCTCCACTCTACTGGTACCAATTTAGTGTATTAGTCCATTTTTGTGCTGCTGATAAAGACATACCCAAGACTGGGCAATTTACATAAGAAAGAGGTTTAACTGGACTTACAGTTTCATGTGGCTGGGGAAGTCTCTGAATCATGGCAGAAGGCAAGAAGGAGCAAGTCCCATCTTATGTGGATGGCAGCAAGCAAAAGATAACTTGCGCAGGGAAACTCCCATTTTTAAAACCATCAGATCTCCTGAGACCCACTCACTATCATGAGAACAGCATGGGAAAGATCCAACCTCATGATTTACTCATCTTCCATTGGGTCCCTCCCACAACACGTGGGAATTATGGGAGCTACAAGATGAGATTTGGGTGGGGACACAGAGCCAAACCATATCATCATCTTTAAGGAGACATTATTAAGTTTATGATAAAGGCTCTGATAAAATGCCCATGCTTGGAGATGAAGTAGCCTTAAAAAATTGATTGCAACTTAATTCGCTCACTAGCACAAGAGTGTCCTTTGTAAAACTGAGCAGAAATCAGCTCCTAGAAATAATGAATGTTTATCAATTAATTGGATTGATGATTTCTTATCAGACCTTTCTCTGGTTGGATTATTTACTCTAGACACTCCACTGTTTGTTTATGTATTGCTAAGATTGCTATGATCATATTAAATCCCAAGTTTATTCCTCAAGGGATTTTATATCTGTTTTGTTTGTCTAAGAACTGTGACCTCACTTGAGTCATTTAAACAATTCATATTTCTGCCTTTCCTTTAATAATCTTTCTCTTAGTCATCCCTGATAAATTTGGGCTTGTTTGCTTTTCAACATTCTGCTTTTGATGCATCCCATGACACTCAAGCAGAGCAGTTTTCTAGAAATTTAGAACAGAGGGCTAGACTTCATGGGCAATGTTAGTAATACAGCAATTTTCTGTATGTTATTAATTTAGAGATAGATATATTTTAAGATAGTAAGTGAATAGAGAAGGAAAAAGGAGCACGGAAGGAAGACTAAACTTGAAAAAGAGGAATGAAGCAGCTAAACAGATGATCAATAATAATGATTCCAGTTAATGGCAAGTTTCATTAATTAAGTAATTACTAGGTTCCAGGCCCTGCAAATTGTTTTATCCACATTATATTATGTAATTCTCAATACAACAGTAAGGTATATTCTTTTCCTCATGTTACCAAGGAAACTGAGGCTTGGAGATGTTAAATCACTTGCTACAGGTCATACAGCTTTTAAATCACAAAGAAAATTAATCGCAAAGAAACTTAGTTTCTTTTCAACTTCGCAGTCTATTACATCTTTAACCACTGTGCTCTGTTGCCTCTTAAGTATGAGAATAAACCAGTAGTTCTTCACTTGGAGTGATTTTACCCCCAGAAGATATTTGGCAATGTCTGGAGACATTTTGGTTGTCACAGCTTCTGGGTGGGAGGAAAAAGGGGTGCTACTGGCGTCTACTGGGTAAAGGCCAAGGATGCTGTGAAACATCCTACAATGCACAAGACAGCCCCTACAACAAAGACATACTTGGCTCAAAATATCAATAATGCTGAGATCAAGAATGGAATGAAGTTACTGATCTTTTTAAAAATTATATTTTTATCTCATTAATATTAACACTAGTATGTCTAGAGGGACTGAAATTATACAAGGAAATGAGTTTGCTGTGCAGAAAGAAGAGGAAAAGGAATATACTTTGGAGTGGGACTTAGAGCCTTGGGAGGAATTTGCTGACCACAAACACGTCATTGTTAATAGTAAGTTCTGAGTTACCACTGCATGCCAGCCATCCTTTGCATGGGTGGTTTGGGGCCTACATAGAAAGAATTGGCCTTTGAATCAATACTCAATGATTGTAACAGATTTGCCTGTCTCCTGTGTTTTTGCTATTCTTTCTTTATGAAAAAAATTAGTGTCCATTTTAAAAGGAGGATCTGTTACCTGCTATATTTAGCGTCATGAAGGAGGAGAACTGCAATATTTGCTTTCCATAAATTTGCAAAAAGAAAGATATTTTCCACCCACCCCCACCCATGCAATGGTTTTCCACTGACAGCTGTATATATGGGTATCCTGCCATATATCTCTGGAGTGAAGAAGACCTGGGAGGCGTGGGCAGGCCAATGAATGGAGCCATTGACTCAGATGTTCCTCGATGGGCAGGCGTGATTATTTCAGGGGGCCAGTTCTTCCACTGTGACCGCATAGCTGAGGGCACAGCCAATGAATGAGCTTCACCCAATAATTTCTGGTTGATTCACATTTGGGTCAGTGATGTGGTGGGCAATGCCAGCTGCAGCCCCAGGCTCCAAGGGCAACTTTCCAAGCTGGGACTCCTTACAATTCTGCCCTGTTAATGGAGGTTGGGGCAAAATCTAGGGTGGGTCCCTCCAGGCATGAGTGAGTGAGGCGAGGGAAAAGAAGGAAATGGTTTTCATAAATTATTGCTAGAGTTTTTAGAGAAATAAAAGCATGGGTTTGAGAAGGAGGTGGAGGACTCTCAGCATCATGCCACTCCTATTGCTCTTCGGATAAAGTTCAAATTGCCTCATGTGGCCTACTAGGCCTGTCATGAGCAGGTTGCCATGCTATCTTTCTCTCTAGCCTCCCCTTAGGCTGCCGTTATCTTCAATATCTACCCTCCAGTCAGGCTGACCACGTTTTAGTATCTCTAACACGGCATTGTTCTCTCCTCAAAGTCTTTGCAAATGCTATTACTTTATCCTGGAAGGGCTTACTCTTCAACCCCCAACCTGATTAAATCCTTCTCATCATTAGGATATAGTTGGGATGTAACTTTCTTGACCTCCCAGACTAGATCAGATTGTGGTTACATGTTTCCATAGTAACTTGATCTTCATTGCAGTTATTTCAATAGCTGTGTTTTCCATCTGTCTTCCTCATGAGTCTGTGAGCTATAGGAGGGCCAGAAAATATCTACCTTAGTTTATCTTCCATACCTAGTACCTAGTCCAGCGCCTGGCCCGTAGCAGGTTTTACTGAATATAGTACTTAATAAAAAATAATAAGGGGGAGAAAGAAGGAGAGAAGAAAAGAAGGGAGGGAAGGAAGGAGGACAGGAGCAAGGAAGGATACATGGAAGAAAGGAAGAGGGGAAAGAAGTAGAAGAAAGAAAGAAGAAAGGGGATAATTTAATTTGTAAAACAAAAACAATTTCCAATCATCAGTTTCAACCTCTGGACTTATCTGTAAGGTGATGGCAGAATTGAAGTCTAAAATCTAAGTCTCCTGAATCTCAGTTCAATAGAACAAACAAATAAGTACAATAGATCCAGATATAATTCAGAGAGAGGTCAATTATCCTTGCAACTTGGAGGAAGTATACGAGTTTGCTGTTTCTCAGTGAAAGCCAATTCCCTGTCGTGGCCTATTGAGCAGCCACATGTTCTATCTGTTGCTATTATTTGGAGTATGATTAGAGGCACCAGGAAAATAATTAGAAACATCAAGAGAAAGATTAGGTGCATCAGAAGAATGAGTAGGGGCATTAGCATTGATCAAGCAGGAACTCTATGCCAAGGACTATGCAGGGCACATGAAACACATTTTCTCATGGCATCCTCACAAACCACACACTGAGGTGAGGATTGTTCCCCGCAGTGAGGCTAATGAGAAAATCAAGACTCAGAGAGTTTCAGGGTATATGAGGAGAAAGAATAATACCCTGGAGACCTGGATGCTTTGGTCACTTATTCCCTTTCCCCACCCCAGGCCTACCTGATGACTTTTACTTACACTTCACATTTGATTCAAATGTCACTTTTTCAGGAGGCATTTTCTTTTTTTCTTTTTTTTAATTTTACTTTATGTTCTGGGGTACATGTGCAGAACGTGCAGTTTTGTTACATAGGTGTACATGTGCCATGGTGGTTTGCTGCACCCATCAACCCATCACCTGCATTAAGTATTTCTCCTAATGCTATCCCTCCCCTAGCTCCCCACCCCCCAACAGGCCCCGGTGTGTGTTGTTCCCCTCCCTGTGTCCATGTATTCTCATTGTTCAACTCCCACTTATGAGTGAGAACATGCAGTGTTTGGTTTTCTGTTCTTGTGATAGTTTGCTGAGAATGATGGTTTCCAGCTTGGAGGGGATTTCTTACCACCCTCACTAGGTCAACTCCTCTCTTACAGACCTCCATTTCCTCTTTGTACTTGTCACTTCTAATCATGCATTTTTGAGTGATTAGTTGACTAGTATCTGAATGCAAGGCACATGTCTGCATTGGTTTGCCGTTGTTTTCCCAGCTCCTGAATAGCCCTGGCACATAACAGGTTGCCAATAACCACTTATGAGCAAATGAGTTAGATCATTTTGTTGAGCACATATTCTGTCCTGGGCCCTGTGCTGATTGATCTTGCTGTGTACAGTGGAAAGTCATACATGGTCACTGCTTTCAAGGAGCTCATAGTCCCATGGGGAGATTGTCTTATTTTTTTATGATATTACTATGTTATTTTTTAAAGATACTACTTTAAAAAATAAGAGAGTTAAAATGTTATTGGTAATAGGGGGCCCAGGGAAGTCCCTGGGTGGAGAGAAGGCAGAGATAGTTCATTTTACCTAGGAATGGGTTTCTAGAGGAGAGGGAGCTTGGTGGGAGCCCAGGAAAGTGAAAAGGTGTTTTTCAGGTGGACAAGGGTGATATGTAGTTAGGCAGAAGGAAATACAGATGAAGGGAGAAATATGAGCAGAGGGAAAAGAAAAGGAGATGTGAAACAACATCCATAGCAAATGGTTTGGTTTACCTGGAGCACCTGCTTTGTTCAGAGGCATGTCCAAGATTGCAGTTGAAGAGGTGTCTGTGGGTTAGATCAGGAAGTGGTTTTCATGCTTGCCTTGGGAAATTGAACTCTTAATAGTAACCACATGTTGATGGCTAAACACAGTTAAAAGGATATTGAACCATTCATCCATTATTTGAGTAAACATTTATTGGGTACTTACGTGCTAGCACGCTGAAAAATGTGGGTAGAAATAATACAAATTCCCTCCTCCAAGAAGCCTGCAGTCTATCAAATATGTAACAGCAGTCAGGCCCTGACTTCTACGTTAACTTGTAAGACACAAAAACAAAAATGAAGCAAACTGAAAGCAATCGGTCATCTTCTACTCAGCATACCCAGAGTGGGCTGATAGTGACAGAGTAGGCAATGATGAGGGATGTGAGGAAAGGAGGAATTACTGTGAAGGGAGGATACATAACTCCAGGAGCTCTTCCTGGAGAAAGTGGCTCAGAGGATAAATTCTGCAATGCAAAGAGAAGAATATGTTTTCAATGCACACATTTTTATGTTCTTAAATATCTGTTGCATTTCCCCCCCACGACTCAGGTCTAAAAAAGCTTCCCATCTCTGACATTAAGTGACCACTCCAACTTTATAGTCCTCCCACATCCTCCACCTAACTAACCTTTCTTGAACACCTACATTTTGCCAGGCACTTTTATAAGCATTTAGTTATAGTATTCCATTTACCCACTAACTTGTAAGATCTGTTTCATAAACACCATCTTGCAGATGAGACAACTGAAACCAGAAAGTGTTAGGTTGCTGCAAAAGTAATTGTGGTTTTGCATTATTGGAATTTGCCATTTGATATTGAAATACATTCTTAAATAAATGTGGTTATGTTATACATCATTTTAATGGGCATTTCTTGCTTTTATTTTTTGCTAATGACATTACTTGCTGTTTATTTTATGTTTATTTTAGACTGTAGAAATGATGTTAGACAAAAAGCAAATTCGAGCAATTTTTTTATACAAGTTTAAAATGGTCATAAAGCAGCACAGACGGTTCACAACATCAACAGCACATTTGGCCCAGGAACTGCTAACAAACGTACAGTGCAATGATGGTTCAAGAAGTTTTGCAAAGGAGACAAGAGCTTTGATGATGAGGAGCATAGTGGCTGGCCATTGGAAGTTGGCAATGGCCAGTTGAGAGCAATCATTGAAGCTGATCCTCTTACAACTACATGAGAATTTGCCAAAGAACTCAATATTGACCATTCTACAGTCACTCAGCATTTGAAGTAAATTGGAAAGGTTAAAAAACTTGCTAAGTGGGCCGGGCGTGGTGGCTCACGCCTGTAATCCCAGCACGTTGGGAGGCCGAGGCGGGCGGATCACGAGGTCAGGAGATCGAGACCATTCTGGCTAACAGGATGAAACCCCATCTCTACTAAAAATACAAAAAATTAGCCGGGCGCGGTGGTGGGCGCCTGTAGTCCCAGCTACTTGGGAGGCTGAGGCAGGAGAATGGCGTGAACCCGGGAGGCGGAGCTTGCAGTGAGCCGAGATCGCGCCACCGCACTCCAGCCTGGGCGACAGAGCGAGACTCCGGCTCAAAAACAAACAAACAAACAAACAAACAAACAAAAAAAAAACAAAAATTGCTAAGTGGGTGCCTCATGAGCTGAGTGAAAATTAAAAAATAGTCATTTTTGAAGTGCCGTCTTCTCTTATTCTACGCAACAAACCATTTCTCAATTAGATTGTGACATGTGATGAAACGTGGATTTTATACCACAACCAGTGAAGACTAGCTCAGTGGTTTGACTGAGAAGAAGCTCCAAAGCACTTCTCAAAGCCAAACTTGCACCAAAAAAAAAATCATGGTCACCAGTTGGTGGCCGGCTGCCAGTCTGATCCACTACAGCTTTCTTAATCTGGGTGAAAGTATTACATCTGAGAAGTATGCTCAGCAAATCGATGAGATGCACCAAAAACTGCAACACCTGCAGCCGGCATTGGTCAACAGAAAGGGTCCAATTCTCTACAACACCTGACTGCATGTCGAATAACCAGTACTTCAAAATTTGAACAAATTGGCCCATGAAGATTCGCCTCATCCACCATATTCACCTGACCTCTCACCAACCGATTACCACTTCTTCAAGCAGCTCAACAACTTTTGCAGGGAAAACGCTTCCACAACCAGCAAGATGCAGAAAAATGCTTTCCAAGAGTTTATTGAATCCCAAAGCATAGATTTCTACTCTACAGGAATAAGCAAACTTATTCCTCATTGGCAAAAATATGTCTATTGTAATGGTTCCTATTTTGATTAATAAAGATGTGTTTGACCCTAGCTATAATGATTTAAAATTCGTGGTCCAAAACCACAGTTCTTTTTGTACCAACCAATACAGCAAAAATGTGTTTTCATAAATGTTCTACAACAAAATCTAAGAACTTTCCAGTATATTGTATGGTATAACACACTTTCTAGTTCAGATGTCTGCAAACTAAAAAAAAATGTGATGATCAAAACCATTGAATGCTAGCAAAGGGATTACCCAATACTTGTCATCTCACAGCTATTCATTATTGCCAGGAAGTTCTCAGACTTCATGCAAACCTTACCCCCTCATCTTTCACATTAGGAAACTGAGGCCCAGGGAAATTCAGCACTGGCTCAGTGTGATGGAGAGTGTTTGTAGCCAGGCCAGAAGTGAGATCCAGGTTTATAGTTCCTCTTCTTATGATCTTCTCACTAACGTTTATAGTTCTAATGCTAGATTCTGATTCTTCTCATTTTATGTTCTCCTTGCAGTTTGTAAGGTGTGTTGGGAAGGGTATAGGTTTTGAAGCCATTTGGATCTCGGTCCAGGTTAGAGATCTACCACTGATTTACTCTGTGGCCAAGAACGAGCTTCCTCCTGGGTTTCAATGTCCTGTCAAATGGGGTAAAACAATCTCTCTCTAGTAGGTTTGTGATAAGTGTTAAAAAAAGTCACGTATAGAGTAACTAGGACAGAGTTCAACATATAATCCGACCTAATACATGTTCGTTTTTCAACTTCCCTTGCTAGGAGATGGAAGGAAGGTGAAATCTGCCACGATCGCTACTTTCAAAGAATGTGAACTCTCTTTGCTCCCTGCACCCCAACAAAGATTTCTCTCTTATCACTGTGACTGTGTTATCAGAGGGGGATAACATAGTGGTTGGAAACACTTCCTCAGACTGGAGAGACTGGCTAGGATTTGAAGAATGCCTCCCTAGGGTCTCTATGTCAGTAACACTTTATGTTCACCAGTGGAGCACACCAGTTACTTTCTGGATAGATAAAACAATTCCATTACTTACCTGTGCACAAAATGATTTCCGTCTTTGTCAGGGCTGAGGTGCTAGTTTTATGACATAAGGGAGGACTCTGATTCGAGACTGCTCTTTAGTCTCTTATTTCAAAGATAGTTTTTTTCTGAGAAATGGCAGGATTGGAGTGCGCCTTTTCATGGAAGTTCTTTTCTCTGAAATAATGGAAATTTGTAAGTCCCTATAGGAATGGAGTGGCTGAACTTCCAGATCTGAATTTCACTGAAGATGTTTCTGACAGACGTGTCCCTTCAATGGTAATCTTGCCTTCACTAGAGATTTGAGAAAAGAATGAAGCATGTTTTGCATTTTGAAAATAGAAACCATGGCACCCCATCTCTCTCTCTCTCTCTCTCTCTCTCTCTCTCTCTCTCCCTCTGTGTGTGTGTGTGTGTGTGTGTGTCTTTTACCTTGCCTGCATCTCCTTTTTTTATTTTTTAAAAATAAATATTTTTGTTTTATTTTGTTTTATAAATAAAAGTTTTATTTATAAAAAGTTTACTTTATAAAACTTTTTATAAGTTTTATTTATAAAAATAAAATGTTATAATTTCTATGTGTGCAAAAAAATGTATGCACCTGTATTCTTTATTTCCAGTGGAAAATGGCAAGATTCAGACAGTTTCCCAGATGTCTCCAAACCTACTTGTTCTAGAATCATGTAACACAATATATATAGACACAAGTAATATCTATTTTTTTTCTTTTCATGTACTTCTAACAGTCCACTTTTAAGTGCTCCCATGAGGCTTTTCTTGATTTGCTTTATTTTTCTTTTAAATAAAATCTTAAGCTGCCCACTCCAGTGATGAGGTACTACCTAGTCCTAGTAAGAGATTGCAGTGGGATCGAATGGGACAAAAACAAAGACCATGAAGCAGTAAGTACTTCCTAATTATTCAAAGAAGGCATGTGGAGCACTTGCCATGTGGCAGACACAGTGCTGGGAGCTGAAATTAGAACAGGGGGAAAAAAGAAAAGACATACTACTTGCCCATACAGTGCTAGCTTCTTAGAAATTTTTGGCTGAATTTATGAATGAGAGTATTTTTTCATTTATAAAATGTAAATAAAAGCAACCATGTACTAGGGCAGTTGTGAGAGTTAAATTACATGTATGCATGAATATGAGTAAATATGGCAAACTGGTTAGGAGGTCAGGCTCTGAAGTCAGAATGCCTGAGTTTGAATCCCAGATCTAAGCACTGAACTCTTTTTGCCTCAAGTTTCTCTTCAGTGAAGTGAGTGATATGGTTTGGCTTTGTGTCCTCACCCAAATCTCATCTCTAATTGTAATCTCCATGTGTTGAGGGAGGGACCTGTAATCCTCATGTGTTGAGGGAGGGAGGTGATTGGATCATGGGGGCAGTTTCCCCCATGCTGTTCTTATGATAGTGAGTGAGTTCTCGTGAGATCTGGTGGTTTTATAAGTGTTTGACATTTCCTCCTACACACATTATCTCTTTCACCTGCCACCATGTAAGATGTGCCTGCTTCTCCGTCTGTCATGGTTGTAAGTTTCCTGAGACCTCCCCATGTGGAACTGTGACTCAATTAAACCTCTTTCCTTTATAAATTACCCAGTCTCTAGTAGTACCTTTATAGCGGTGTGAGAACGAACTAATACAGTGAGGAAAATGCTATTAGTTGCTGTAAGGAAAAAATGAGATAATTTATGAAAAGCACTTAGTGCTAAGCACAGAGTAAATGCTCAATAATGGTAGTTCTTGGGTACATAGTAGATGCTCAGTTAGATTTTGTTACTAATTCACTGAAGCCAGAAGACAGAATTTTGCAATGTAAGTAGAACTGAACGTGTTTTTATATGTGTAGCTTTTCTAAGATAATTATGTTTGAGAGGTGTTGTTTCCAGTAGAACTCTTTAAATATTATTACACAGCTCTTGGGAACTTGGGAAAATTTTACTCATTATTCCAATACATCTCCCTGAAGACTGATTTCCACCCCCCACAAGTTTCCATGTTCTTCATGGGTCTGGAATTTAGTCAGAGAGACAGGCTACTTTTCTCTAACCCAAGCCTTCTCCTTGGGTGATTAAGCACGTAGTTTCATGGGAAGTTTAAGACCAAAGAATTATGGCATTGTCATGTCAGGCACTCAAGTGTCAGGGATTTGGCTTAAGTGAATTGATTACTGGAAACCCTTGAAACTTGTTATCTTTAAGTTGCTTCCAGCCCCTGTGACCAGAAATGCATGGCGACTCCCAATAACATCTGCCTTTCTTACAATCCCGCCCATACCAGTTCAAAGATCACATAGCTGATTCTTTTATTAATAAAATATTTATTGAGCTCACACAGCACCCTAAGCACTCTGCTAAGTGCTCAAGATTTAGACAGGAATAAAGTATTATCTCTGCTATCATGACTGTTATCTTGCAGTGAAGGGTTAGATAAGGAGACAGGAAATGTCAATAGATTATAACAAATGGGACAGTGGCACAGGGACATGTCTGGGACACATAAGCAAGGTTCCTGCCTCCTCTTTGGGGCCAGATTACATTTAGTGATGACTGTGAGAAAAATGTGTCAGCTGAACTGAGGTCTGAAGGCAGGGTAAATGTAAGCCAGGCAAAGTGGACATGGGATATTAGGATATATTTCTGCCGAAGTAACAACATATAAAGACCTAGGAATTAGCAAAAGCGTAGCACATACAGGAAACTGTAAAGAATGCACAAAGTCTTGTATACAAAGTTGGACATAGTGAGAGTTGAGGGTGGAAAAGCAAACCAAAGGCAAATCTTGTCCAAGGAATTTGAACTAGCTGAGTGCTTGGAACATTGGTACATCTTTGTTGAAAGACTAAATGGATCAATAAACTGTATTCTGAGGGAAATGAAGAGCCATTAATTCATTTAAATTAGCATCTGACTTGTGTTATATGATCATAGAATCTAGGTTAAATAATTCACCTGGTGCCTCATATGAGAGCTTGACATAGGAGGAACAATCTTCCTCTGTGTTGCAATCACCATAGCATGAACAAAATGGGAATATGGGGGAAACAGGAGAAGGAGACAAATAGAAGAGCAGTCATCCCAGGGAACAGACTAAATACGGAAGGCCTATGCCCAGCCCAAAGAAATGCAGAGATGGACAAGTCATCTCGCATGGATAAGCAAGCATTCATCCCAGGGAACAGACTAAATAAGGAAGGCCTATGCCCAGCCCAAAGAAATGCAGAGATGGACAAGTCATCTCGCATGGATAGGCAATAGAATGGAATATGTGTATTTAAGCCCCAGAGACAATGGCGTTCCAACCTTGCCTTTGTCCCTACCACCTATGGACTTTCATCTTTTTGAGACTAAGTTTCTTTATAGGGAAGATGTGATTTTTAACATCCCTGCGTGGAGTTGTTGTGAATATATAATAGCTTTATGTATAATGCATTTATATATAAAATTCTCAGCACAGGGCTATATACTTCTTCTGGGATACTCAGAAAAGATCATTTAAGATAAGAAGCCATCCTAAATTTGGATGTTTTCTAATATACCACTGAGAATAACTATATTTATTGAATGCTTATATTGTGTTATGTGCTGTTCTAAGATTTATAGTGACCGTGGATTTAATCCTGCCAAAGACCCTATAAGATAGTGAATTCTGTTATTCTCACTTTACAAAGAAGAAAACAGAAGCCTGGTGGAAATATGTATGAATTTGCATGAAGATGTATGGCCAGAGGTGGTGGAGTTGGGACTCAAACCCAGGCTGTCTGGGATTGAAATGCTTTCCTATATTGCTGAAAAAAAAAAAATGGCTGTACAGTAAATAAAATATCACAGTGTCATGTATGAAGTCAGTGGTTCTGGCAACCCTGATCTAATGCTGCATGTGGTCATAAACTGAACTCAGGGAAGTTGGAAGTTGAGTTTTGAAACAACTTTAAATCATCTTATTTAGCCCCTTAATACTCACATCAGAAATAATCTTATTTTGTGTACATTGTTAGACAATTACCAATAACCTAACTACGGTTTTGTCTAAGACACTGATTTGACTTAGTTGTCTGGAAGATTTAGTTGTCTGGAAATACATTGTGATATTGCATAAACTTTTAAAAAATCTAGTTAAGTATCGCCTTTTACACACAAAGAAAAACAGTTTTGTTTAAGGTGAAGAGACTTGCTGAAATGTTTGTAATCAGTCCATGAAACTGATTTCCTAACAAAGATATTTGGTGCCATGGAGTTTGAAAAACAGGGAAGAATTTTCAGGTATGATGCAGTCTTCATCACTGAACTCATTGTACTGTTTAGTTATATGTAACAGAAAGAAGTCAAACTTGCTTAGAAAATGAAGGGGAATTTATTTATGGTTGTATCCAAAATTTCAGAGGTAGGAGGAACTTTATGTACAGCTCACATCAGTGACTCAAGATTATTACCAAAAGACTATTTTGTCTTTTTCTTCTTTGTTTTCTATCCTTTTGTTATCATATTAGAATATAAGGTGGCTATACTAGCCAGATACTCCAGGTCAACATGCTTATTCACAGGCAGTGATCGAAAGAACATCGCTGGGGATCAGTCAAAACTGCCTGAAATGGGTATCCAAGAATGGTAGCAGGTCATTTCTCCTAAGGAAATTTGTGGAACTATTATCCTTAAGAAAGGGAAATGGAGGTAAACAGTAAACCAAGGTGTACACTGAAATCTCTTTCTAGGAGAAAAGAGTCCACATTCAAAAGTCCCAAGCATTGTCTGAGCAATGTTATGTGACTTCAATAAACATTTGCAACTTTGTATTTATTGGATTCATCGGTGGTCACTTAGCATGACTGAATGACCTGTCCATAAATATCTGAAGGTCATTCTCAGATCTTAGAGGAATATTAAAGTGTGAATGTTTTATTTCTAAGATTGGGAAACTGATGCTCCAGGAGAGAAAGTAACTTGTCTAAATTCTCCAGACCTGTAAACACAAAGCCGGCATGAGAACCCACTCTTTCTTACTGTCTCTCTGAAGTACATAGAGATAAACAAAAGAAATTTCAACTAATCATGACAAGTACCAAATTATTCAAGAGATTACCCAAACAACTTAGCTAATTCTGATGGTTTTAAACACTAAATCACAAATGAGGCAAGACAGGAGAATGTCAGAGGTGCACACATAACATGTTAGGCATGCATGGGAGCAGTAGCACGTTTGCGTTATTATTTGTTTACATGGCTTAGTATCTAAGGGACATGAAGTATTGTCATTTATCAGAGACTAGGTCTCAAGTTTGACTCTGGTTTAAGTTTTCCATAATCTGCTCAGTACATTTCTTCATTTAGGCAGCTCTTTCACCATGGTAAAAGCATCAGGTGACAACTTCCATCTGGCTGGTCCCAAGTTACTTTTCATGTAATTCATCCTTTTAATAAGCTATCTCCTGACATATTGGGTCCATCTTGACAAGCCATGTTTTTTTTTGTGAGACATCATTCTAATTATCTTAATATCTTAGAAGGAAGAACTCCATAATTATCTTTTATGGGAAGGCTCGAGACACACATTTGAAATTGTATGCCCAGGACTTTATGTGCAGAAGAATCAAGGTATAGTATTATCCAGTGTCTCTGGCAAGTTTTTGGGACTAAATTTCAGGCTACAAGATGTTTGTTGTTCATTGCAAAGGTCAGGTTTGACTGCGTTTATTAAATTACAAACTTGCTTGTCTTGTATCATCGGAAGATGGTATGAATTAAGGCTTTCTCATTCCAGTCACAGTACAGATTGCAGCTGAAAAACATCTAAAGGGATTCAAGTGACCAAGAACATTGAACAGAAAAACCATAACAAACAGTCCCTGCCCTTGGGGAGTCCCTATGCTATTTGATACAACAGAAAATGTACCATATGTTAAAATTTAAGACAGACCAAATATCAATCCCTTCCTCCAAATAAATCAAGCTGTCAGTAGATAAGACCTCCTGCCTCTAAACTTGACTCCTCCAGTTCCCACCACAATGATCCCGATCTCTTACTACTTTTGCAATCAAACAACTTCAATAGATTTTCATTGCTTTAATGATCAAGTTCAAATGCCTTAAAACAGTGGTCCCCAACCTTTTTGGCACCAGGGACCATGTTTGTGGAAAACAATTTTTCCATGGACTGAGGGGGGCAGGATGGTTTCAGAATGATTCAAGTGCATTACACTTCTCATGTACTTTATTTCTATTATTATTACATTGTTCATTAATATATAATTAATATATAATGAAATAATTATACAACTCTCCACAATGTAGAATCAGTGGGAGCCTTGAGCTTGTTTTCCTGCAACTAGGTGGTCCCATGTGGAGGTGATGGGAGACAGTGACAGATTCTCATACAGAGCACTCTACCTAGATCCCTCACATACACAGTCCACAATAGCGTTCGTGCTCCTATGAGAATCTAATGCTCAGGCTGTAATGCAGCAAGGGGGAGTGGCTGTAAATACAGATGAAGCTTCACTCTCTTGCCCACTGCTCACCTCCTGTTTTATGGCCCAGTTCCACATGGACCACTATCAGTCTGTGGGCCAGGGGTGGGGGATCCTTCAAAGATACACAGTGCCTCCCCTACCCTCATCTCTTAATGTTCTTTAAGGCCCCTTTTTACCATCATACAAAAAATGACTTAATTTTCTGTTACATGCTAAACTTATTCACATAGCTAAACTTTTGAAAATACTATTTCTTCAGTCTGGAATGTTCTACTCTAGTAGTCCAAGTAATAAAATCACCCTTTATGATGTAGCTTAATTATTGAAATCTTTGAGAAGGGTGAATTTTATGGCATATGAAATATATCTTAATAACGATGCTATTAAAAACAACAAAACATTGATGACTCTTTTATAAGAAACTTCCCTCTCTTAACTCATTCTACCATACAGTCAGGTACCTGAAAGCAGATATTAACACATATACATGTACATGCACACGATACTAGGTTAGGGACCAATTTTTTTCTCCCTTAAAACCCTGCATACCTACCTATTAACTGTGTTTATAGGTTTACTTGTTTATTTTCCATCTAGACTTGGAGCCTTTAATGTGGTAGCCATTAATAGCACGTGGCTGTTGAGCTCTTGAAAGATGGCTAGTCCAAAATGAGATATGCTGGAAATGTAAAATTCACACACAACATTTCAAAGTCTTGTTATGAAACAATGTAGACTGTCTCATTAGTAGTTTTATAGTGATTACCTATTGAAATTAATATATACATTGGGCTAAGTGAAAATGTTATTAAAATTAATTTCATTTTTTCTCTTTATTTTTTAAAATGTGTCTACATGAAAATTTAAATTTATGTATAGGGCTCATTTTATTTCATTTGGACAACACTGATCTAGACCGTGAGATACTTAAAGGTAGGGACAGTGTTTTATTCATCTCTGCATATAGAGTCAGGCCTGTGGTAGGTGCTCAAGGACTTCTCTGCATGAGATAAGTGACTGAATATTAAGTCCCAAATGAACAGTGCAGACACTGAGAACAATGGGACTACAAGGGAGAGGAAATGAACACTATTTCCATACAAGTCCAGGAAAATCTGTACAAGGGATGCAGAAGGCCTCGAAGCTGGAAACGAAGGCCTTGAAGCTAAATTCTTGAGTAGCTAAAGAAGAGATTGTGCCGTGCCAGGTGCGGTGGCTCACCTCTGTAATCCCAGCACTTTGGGAGGCAAAGGTGGGCAGATCATGAGGTCAGGAGTTGGAGACCAGCCTGACCAACATGGTGAATCCCCGTCTCTACTAAAAATACAAAAATTAGCTGGGTGTGGTGGCATGCGCCTATAGTCCCAGCTAATCTAGAGGCTGAGGCAGGAGAATCACTTGGACCCGGGAGGCAGAGGTTGCAGTGAGCCGAGATCGTGCCACTGCACTCTAGCCTGGCAACAGAGCGAGACTTCGTCTCAAAAAAAAATAAAAAAAAAAAGAAGAGATTGTATGATTTCTCCAAGTCACTGTTGGCATTCACGTTTCTCCTATGAAAATAAAAGGCCAGCATAAAATGGGCTTTGATATGACTTCATAAAGCTGATCTCATCATGACCACTCCAATGGGAATATTTATTTTACCCTTGATTTGGGGTTGCTGATTAGCTTCCAAAGTATGTAGAGGGTCCTGCCATGCCTGGGGTTTCTCTTAAGATATTTTATATACATGTGGTTGGTTCAGTCGAGGAGAGGCACAAAGTTAATCTAAGGCCTTCTCTATTCAAAACTGTCAGGTCCACAGTTTTTATTCATGGAAGCTTCTGTAGGCTATTCTATAGGTTGGTGCAAAAGTAACTGCAGCTTTTGTCAGTAAAAGTAATGCCAAAAAACTGCAATTTCTTTCGCACCAACCTAATATGTACATCTGAATGGGCTGTAAGCAGACATCTGCCCCTGGCAACAACCAACTGATGATTTTTTTTTTTTTTTTTTTGAGACGGAGTCTCGCTCTGTCGCCCAGGCTGGAGTGCAGTGGTGCTATCTCCGCTCACTGCAAGCTCCGCCTCCCAGGTTCACGCCATTCTCCTGCCTCAGCCTCCCGAGTAGCTGGAACTGCAGGCACCTGCCACTGTACCCGGCTAATTTTTTTTTTTTTTTTGTATTTTTAGTAGAGACGAGGTTTCACGGTGTTAGCCAGGATGGTCTCGATCTCTTGACGTCGTGATCTTCCCGCCTCGACCTCCCAAAGTGCTGGGATTACAGGCGTGAGCCACCGTGCCTGGCTGATGATATTTTATAATTAAATTAATCCATTCAGACAGACTTTCTGATATTCAGATTTTAAAATGCAAAAGAGGATAGGGCAGTTATTTGCAAGATAAATCTCTCTCAATAGTAAGTATAGTTTTGTATAATATTGTATAAAAACAATGCTAATAACAAAATGTATTGAAAATTCACTATATTGGACATTGAATGTTATTTACATTACCTCATTCAAACTCCACAAGAATAAAGTTTGGATTGCCATTCTACATTTACAGTTGAGTTAAGTGGCTCAGAAAGTGGAAACAACTGGGCCAAAGTGGAGGAGGAATTAGAACTCAAGTCTGTTTTGCTCATTTTTGCTACCATGTGAAGCTATCTTTAGGGTGTCAGCCATAAGTTTTGATCAGGTTGTCCTGCCACTGACTTGATAAATCAGCCCCTCAGGAAATAATCTACATGCAGAACTTCCAACTGATTGGAGAAAACAGAAGCTCAGAACCCTGCATTTCTGTCGCATACCATTCTTAGTGTAGAATTGGAACTTTAAATACTGGAACCCTGCTCTGAGACTCTGCAGGCCTAATCATCAACGCCTCCTCTAGGTGCCAGCCATAGAAGGACCACGTTGGGTCTGGCCCTTATTTCAGGGAAAAGGAGACTTTCTGCCCAGTCTCCAGGCTGCTGAATCAGCCTCTTTCTTCCTTTGGCTTTCAGAATTTACTTTCAACCCTTTATTTTTCAGTTTGATGGCCTCACACAGACTGACTTTTGTGAATTGACAGAGATAAAAGAAAATAAAAACCTGGTTATGAACCACTGAGTCTATAAACTGGATACTTTCCTAGATGTGTGGAAAATATAACAGTGCTAGTTTTTTTTTTTTGTTGTTCCTCTTGGACTGTGAGTACAAGGCTCCTTCTTTGAGAATGAGCAGGAATGCCTATAAGGAGTTTTCTTTTTATTTTCCCTGACTCCACTTTTTGTTTCTGGATTATGATTTATATCAGAAAACATTTCCTATGGTTTGGAGATATTTTTAGAAGTCTGAGGGTGGTCTCAGGAAAAATGGAAAATACTCTGTTATTTGTTTCTTTATCTTCCAACTTCTCTCTTTAGGTTCCAATCCGGACCTTGCCCTCAGTCTTACTCCTTTCACTGTCCGAGCCAATCTTTTGTCCCTTGTTTATTTCTGTAGGGAAACACCCAATGCAGGAGGTGATAGCTCTGGAATTTGTCATTGATAAGCCACCTCCTTCCAGAAATCACAAATTCATTCTGACTGAACCCTTTTTTGCTTTAAATCAGAGGAGCGGTAATTTCTAGTTTGAAAGTGACAGACACATGTGGATGGTATCCTTGGGAAGAGGAGGAAGAGCAGCACTACAGTGTTATTTTACAGACAGCGTCCTACCTCATCTATGGGCACAGAAAGGCAAGGGAGATCCTTATTTTATACCTCTATGAGAAGGTAGTCTTTTAGCATTGCAGAGATCCTGAACCGATACTTTAGGTGATATGAAATGTCAATCATACAGCACCCCTGATGAAAAACCACTGGGCCTAGAAACTTTGAATACTTATGGTGCTGAATAACTCATTACTTTGGAAAGTTTGCTGTTATTATCTTGTGCTTCTTATCATCAAATATGTTCTCAGGGCCCATTGAGTGCTAGGAAGATCTTGAATCATTTGGAGAAAATGCAGCACTGTGTATTGGTCTCCAGACAGGTTATATTCCTGGCTGAGGTCACAACGTCTGGTGCAAAACTGAATAATGCGAGGGTGATATGGGATTCGTAAGCATTTTTACACTCCTGCTAGGACAAGAGAGGGTTTTGGAGATACAGATTCAAAGACAATTATACGTGAAACAGCAAAGTCTGATAGTTGAGGACATGGCCTCAGGATTCAGAGTTCACTACTTATTATCTACATAAAGTTGACCAGCTTACTTAATCTCCATGAGCCTTGGTTTCTCCATTTGTAACATGGGGCTCACAGAAGTATTTGCTTCATAGGGGTGTTGAGAAAATGAAATCACTTAATACATGCAAAATATTGAGAATACTGCCTGGCATATAGTAAAAAAGAGCTCAGTAAACTTAAGCCATTATTGTTATGACCCTGACTCAAGCATGTGTTGAGAAATCCTGAATCAAGTGTAGTATCATCATAGAGGAATGGAACACTTGTTTGTTAAATCTTTGCACTTGCAAGATTTTTAGTGGACACTAAGTTCTTTACTTTTACAGTCTCATTTGCTCTTTTCTAAAATCCTGTTGTCTGGGCACATCTTAATGTTTCCCATATTACAGATGGGAGACTTGTAGCTCAAAGAGGTCAGACATTTTTTCCCAAGGCCTCAGCTTAAATGTCACACCTTCAGAGATAGATGCCTTCTCAAAGCACTCAATATAAAACAGTCACCCACTCCCGTTTTACATTTACTCTAAGATTATCATCTGCATGTTATTCACTATTAGCTGGCATTTTTGTCATATTCCTGTGTGCGACTGTGCTTATTTTATGCCTTTTCCCAGCTAGAACACAAGCTTTCTGAGGATAGGAACCTTTCTTGTCTTGGCACAGAACCAATCTCCAGCATTTAATATGTTGCAAATCTTTGGTAAACATTTGCTGAAGGAGTAAATGAAGGACACTAGAAGGAGAACAGAATAGAACAATTATTCTGTAAGAAAAACAGAAGGAGCTGTCTTTGCTTTCCAATGCTATCCCCAACTTCATGACCTTGGGCAACTGATTTCCTGTCTCTAAATTAGGGAAATGAGAATAGTAACCTCTACTTCCTTACAGCTATGATGAGGAAAAATAAAATAAAATTTAAAAATCACTTAGCATAGTGCCTGCGCATACCAAGGGCAAAATAAATGCTGGCTTTTGTCATTGGAGGAGGCAGGATTTGTGAGGTTTGTTTGAGAGTCTTTCCTGCTATGTTCTATGCTTATATAGGAAATTATGAATAATAACTTTGATGAGAACAGAAAAGTTCAATAAAACCATCATCTCTTTGTTCCATTTGGTTACTTCAAATTTGACAATTATCTTTTAATGGAGAACTGAACTAAATGTTCTCATTATTTTCTTTCCAGACTAAATGCTCCTTCTTAAACTAAGTCTCCCAATCCCACCTCATATGTAACTATTTTATTTCTTCCCACAAGCTCAAGGAATGTAAAAAAAAAAAAACGAATCTTAAGATGTTAAGCTTAGTGGAAATGCAGGAAGGGCTTACAGGTTGGTTGCCTGGTGCAATTTTCTGTCATGCAGGGAAACCAAGACTGAGAGAGGGAAATGGATTCACCTCCTGACACAGTGGACAAGCCAGGACTTGAACCCAGGTCTCTTTAATACAGTTTCTGCCATGTTTCCCTGACACTCACACAGAGAAAACAAATCTACAACAGTTATGTCTCCACTTCGTAAACCTTCCATTCTCCATCACCACTTCCAAATAAAGAATAACGGTTGTTACAGGAATATGTCATTACTTGCCCATTTCGAATTGCCAACCAGGGACTCCCATTTCCAACATGTTTATGTAAAAGATTAGGAGACTCTTTGCTCTAATTGGTCATTTTTCCACTGAGTAATAGAGTTGCATCATTGTTGAATTGGCTCAGCCTGACACAGGCAGACACACTGATATATGTATGCTTTAATCTGTTAGGACCAATGAGGAAAGAAAACCGTTATTTACTTTTTGTCCTGACCTCACCATTTAGCCATGGCTCTTTGAGAGCATACTTCATTTACTGAACAAACTGCTCAGTAGCATCAATAACTTGTTTTAGATTCTTTTAAAGAGGACTTCATATGGCATTCAATCCTTGATTCCCCAATAAAACAACACAGCTGTTCCCTTGCAGCTCGTCTCTCAGCAGGAGCTGCAAAATCATATTTAATCAACTTTGCTTTAAAAGCCATCCAGTTTCCTTTAGGGCTTTGGCGAACTTCCCTGGCCAGGATGGCCCCTGCTGACATGTCAGCAGCTACAGCTTTTCCAAGCCCTGGCGGAGGGAGTTGCCATTTGCTGAGCACTTTCTCATGTGCCAGTCCCTCTATTGGGCACTTTAAATTCAAGGTTTTATTTAATCCACATGGCAGTCTCATGAGATGGGGATTGATCTCTGATTTTAAGATAAGGAAACTGAGGCTTAGAAGTGTAAAAACATTTTTCCCAAATCAAAGAGCAACAAGTGAAAGAATTGGGATTCAGCCAAGTTCTCTCTAATTCCAAAATCTGTGCATTTTCTACTTTTCAGTTTGGCTTTCTACATAAAGAGGTACCAAGGAATTATACAGGGGTGAGTGAGACACAATTTAGTCAGTATGTCAAATTTGGCAACAGAGTCCCATTGCTATAGCTCCTAAGTCTTTTTAAGACTTACAGCTTTTTCTTACCATGATGAAATTTGCTATTAGAATATAAATAATCTTGATGGCATCTTGTATTCAATAAAGATTAACAATTATTATGTACAATTTACTCTTCAAAGTGAGGTGAAGGGATGCAGAGATCAAATAGGTATATATCTTGCTCTCAAGAAGCTCTAAGTCTAGAAATAGAGATACAACAGCAACATCAAACATGCTAATGAAAAATAGAAAGTGATAAGTGTTATGAGTGGGTTAAATTATGATGGAAATTTGAAAAAGGAGAAGTCTATTCTAGCTAAGGCATAAGTCTTATCCAAAACTTTGAATGTAAAGACTATAAGTATTTTCCATAAGGCTTTATGGAAGATTGCAATAGTCAGGATGATTAACACTAGCTCCTGTGACACCCCCAAAGTATCAGTGGCTTTAACACAACAAGAATTTCTTCTTCACTCTTTGTTGGGGTGAGGCAGTGCTCTCATCTATGATGTCACTCAGGATATAGGCTTCTTGTATCATGTGGCTCTACCCTTTGAGAGTCCTATGTTTCTAGCCACCTGGTTAGAGAAGAGAGAGAGAGAGAGAGAGACAGAGAGGGAGGGAATGGAGGATCAAGTGGAAAGTAGAGGAGCCAGGCCTGGAAGTGGTTTACTTCATTTCATTTACATCTCAGTGGACAGACAAGTCACATGGCCCCAACACAACTGAAAGAAGGATGGGAAATGTCTTCTTCCTGTAGGCCCAGGGAGAAAACAGAGCTTAATTGAGCACATAGCATTGTTTCTGCCACAAGGAATATGAACATAGGTGTTGCAGAATCATTTAATTTAAGAAGTTGAGGGACATGCAGGATGAAGGTAGTGTAGAGGGTATTCATGGAACACTTTGATTCAAAAGAGATTGGTTTGGGGTCGGGCATGGTGGCTCACGCCTGTAATCCCAGCACTTTGGGAGGCTGAGGCTGGTGGATCACCTTAGGTCAGGAGTTAGAGGCCAGCCTGGCCAACATGGCAAAACCCCATCTCTACTAAAAATACAAAAATTAGCTGGGCATGGTGATGTGTGCCTGTAATCCCAGCTACTTGGGAGGCTGAGGCAGGAGAATCACTTGAACCCGGGAGGCAGAGGTTGCAGTGAGCCCTGATTGTGCCACTGCACTCCAGCCTCGGCGACACACCGAGACTCTGTCTCAAACAAAACATAAACAAACAAGAAACAAAAGAGATTGGTTTGGAAAGATAGTTGATACCAGATCTGGAAAGGCCTTTAGTGACAAGCATTTTCCAAAATGTATTTTTCAGAATGTTAGTGAGTAAAATATGAAGAATGATTTGAGTAGTCAAGTAGATTTTGGAAAAACTGCGTTATCAAATTTTAATTGCCTCGGTTCCACAGGATTTCGATTTTTAGAGGGAGGCACGATGTATCAATTATAATAAACCTTTTCGATCACAGAATCTCTTTTTGGTAGACTATCTTGTAAGACTAATATTTTGTGACATGGAATCTTAGGCAATGAGGAACCATTAAGCAAGAAAGACAAATGATTAGACTTACTTTTAGAAGTACAAGCCAGAGATGAGTTCCAACCCACATCCCAGATTTGACCAATTAATAATGGCTGGCATTAGTGCTATCATGAAAGAAATTATGAAACTTCATCTGAACTTATCTAGGAAAAGGTAGTGATTGATTAATAATGTCTGCTGTAGAGTAAAGGATATAGAGGTGTGTCTTAGTTAGTTTGGACTTCTATAACAAAGTACCATAGATGGGTGGCTTAAAGAACCCACACTTATTTATCATATATCTTCCAGCCTCCTATCTGGAGGCTGGAAGTCTAAGATGAAGATCCTTGCAGGTTTGCATCTGGCAAAAACCTGCTTCCTGGTTCATAGATGGCCATCTTCTCTCTCTGTATGCTCACATAGTGGAGAACAGAGAGAGGAAAAGCAAGCTCTCTCATCTCTTTTTTTTTTTTTAAAGGCACTAACCTTGTTCAAGGGGATTCCACCCTTATGACCTAATTACCTCCCATAGGTCTCACCTCTTAATGCCACCATATTGGGGATGAGAATTTCAACATATGAATTTGGGGGGAAGGCAAACCTTCCACAGCAGGGTGTGATGGTTAATTTTGTGTATCAATTTAGCTAAACTATGGTGCCCAGTTGTTTGGTGAAACAGTAGTTTAGATGTTGCTGTGAAAGTATTTTGTAGACACGATGAACATTTACAATCAGTTGACTTAAAATAAACGATATTATTCTTGACAATGTGTCTCATCCAATCAGTTGAAGGCCTGAAAAATAAAACTGAAGTTTTTCAGAGAGGAAATTCTGCCTCAAGAGTAACGAGGAAATCCTACTTGAGTTTTCAGTCTGCTGACCTGCTCTGCTCTGTAGATTTTGAATTTCTAGCTTACTGGCTTGCCATCCAAATTTTAGACTTATCAGTCCCTACAATCATGTAAGAAAATTCCTTAAAGATAAGTGTGTGTGTGTGTGTGTGTGTGTGTGTGTGTGTGTGTGTATGTGTGTGTGTGTGAGTGTGAGTGTAGGTTCGGTCTCTGGAGAACCCTGACTGATACAAGGGGTGACAACAGCATGATGGCATTTGATTTTGTTGCTTTAGGTGAAGGTTGCAAGTTGGGTTACAAAGAGAGCTTGGGTGCCTGAAAGTGGTGTCAACACCAAAATGGAAAAGATTTCAGGAGAAGAAAGTTCAGATTTGGAACTTTGTCCTTTAGATGTCACCTGGACAAACAAATAGACATCCTTCAGAAGAACGTTCATTCAGAGCTAAGCAGAAGTCAGCATTATTTCCAGTGTGCAAAGATATTTTGAAGAGAATGTATATCTCCTTTAGGATCCTTCAACAGATACGCCACCTGTTTGCCTGCAGCAGTTTCCTGAGGCTGCAATTTGGAACAAATGCCTCTAGTGACAGGGAACAAAAAGAGTTGCTTTGTCCTGAAAGGAGGTTAAGAGTCATTTGAGGCTGACTATTCAAGACACACCTGAATGGGGTGTGAATTAAGAGAAAGGAGGGCCAGGTGTGGTGGCTCACTCCTGTAATACCAGCACTTTGGGAGGCCTAGATGGGAGGATTGCTTAAGCCTAGGAGTTTGAGACAAGCCTGGGCAATATGGTGAGACCCCATCTCTAAAAATAAAAGAAAAAGGAAAGAAAATAAAACAGAAAGGAGGAAAACGGTTATAGAAAAAGGAGAGGAACATCACTAAGCGAAAAGCTGAATGGAGGTGAGTCACTGGGCATGACTAAGCCATGACTAAGACCTCCAGGGTGATAGATGAAGGTCTCACCACCAGGAGAGTGGAGTAATTATTAATGCATGTTTGCCTGGTGAGTTATTTAGTTACAAAAGCCACAGCAGAGGCTCTTCATTGTAACAGCTCAACAATCATATATAGAGTTCCCGCAATGCAGACACTCACTAAACACTGGGGTCACACGGGGGAAAGACACAAGTCCAGCCTCATTTTGAATCAGTCTTTTTGTGTGTTTTAGTAGCTTCCCAAACATAACTTTGTCTTATCACTCATAGATGTAATGAGGTAGCTTGATTCTATTTATTCAACAAAGACTTATTGATTTCCTACAACAAACCATGCACTGTTCTTGCTATGGGGAATATAGTAGTGAAGAAAATTGGCTAAACTTACTCCTTGCCTTCATGGAGCTGACATTCTCATGTGGGTGACAGGAAATACCATGATAAATAAGTAAACTACACAGTAGGATCTGTGGTGATATGTTAGAGAAAAAAAATAAAGCAGCTTTATCAATCAAGAGAGGTTAGGCAGCCAACATGCAATAATTAACAAACTGGAATCTCAGTGACTTTTCCACTCGCCTAATTTTCATCGTGGGCCAGAAGGGGCCTCTGCTCCCACAACTTCACTGTCTTCCTTGCTCTAGGACTCTGACTATAGAGCAACGAATATCTGTGCTATTATAGGGGAAAAAATAAAAAGAGATTTCTGCTGGGTCTCACCTTGGGGAAGCAATGCTCAGCCTGAAATTGATGCACATTATTTCCACACATCATTCATTGGAATGAACTGATTAGTTGGATTGACCTAAAATATGGAAGCAGGAAGTACAGTTCTATCATGTGTTCAGACTGGGGGAAATCCTGTAAATATGGCAAACAAAAATAGGGTCATTTAGGTCACAGTGAGGACTTTGGCTTCTCCCATGAGTAAAATGGGAAGCCATTGGAGACTGTGAACAGTCGAGTGAGTGCAGAATGAGACAGACTTTTGTTGAGATCTTGGCTCTGTGACCCAGAACATGTGATCTATAAATTGGGGCAACAAAACCTACCTTATTAGATTGGTAGTAAGATTCACTGAGATATTTGTGTAATGCCTGGCATAAAATAAATTTTGGCAAAATGACAATGATATATTGAATTTCCTATAAACCTATTTGTTTCATCAAATGAGGATGAATTTCCCCCAAAGCAAAAACCATGTCTAATTCATCATTGAATTCTCAATTCCTAATACAAGATTGGACCCACTTCATTCCCCTAATATGTGTACTTCATTCTCCACAGGATGGCTGAGAGGAGGGAAAAGATGCAGAGAGCATCTGTGTATCCTTGCTGCTAAGAATTCACCTTTTTTAAAAAAGGGAGCTGTCACCTTGAATAAAAAAGGCTGAAGCAGCAATTCATAAGCCACAGTTAATGATCAAACTCATGGCAAGTCAGCTTTAGAATCCAGTGGAGGCATGTTCTCTGTGGCCTTATGGCTTGGGGGACTGTTTGGAATATGGTTAGCTGTCACCTTATATTTCTGATATAAGCTATGACATGCCTGTAGCTGACACATTTGTCCGCAGACTCTTTGTTCAAAGAGAAAGGTATACCACAGTTGTGCTAGTAATGGTTGCAATGCCTAGGGATAGAATTACGAAGAACTTGAAAAATCTTGCTCTTAGCATGTGTCACCATAATGAATAGATCGACGGTACAAGGTCAAACTTAATGCACAATGGGAAAGGTGGAAATTTTTTTTATTATCTTTCTTTATATGTGTCTCCTTTCACTGCATAGCTTTTTCTCCACACTCCTTTCATATTGATCTGGCAATAATGCTAACTTTGGTGCATTCAAGAGGCCCCTTTCCCCACCTTCATTTTGTCTTTTCTCTAACAGCACTTGTTTTTCATATTCTTGAACACATTCAGCTAGTGGCTGTGAATTTGGAGAGATAAGCATATAATAACTATGATGATCATACTTCTTAGTTTGCCCAGAACAGTCATGGCTTTTGCCCAATGTCTAGGTGTAAATATTAATGATAATACCTTTTATTCTCAAATTTTTCTCAGTTAGAAAAATATATGGTCCTATTTATTATAGAAATTTATCCTTTTCTGAAGGGCCACACAATGCCAGAAACTATTATGCCTTTCCACCAGCGTGATCCTAGAGTTAACTCAAAGTTTCACGTGTTGTTAGAAATATGAGGGGTTTCAAAGTCAACCAAAATAGCTGGAAGGGAAGGACATTGTCATAGTCCATCCAGGGAGTTAGCAGCCCACTCTGCTGCCAATCTCAACCAGAATTTGACCTCCCCATCAAGTTCTGCTGTCACATTATCCTCCTCTAGGAGAGGAAAGATGGTGGTGACAAAGCACTCAACTTTGGTCTCGATGGACCTGGGTTTAAACTTTGGGTCAATTAATCTATGACAGTTACTGTATTAGTCTGTTCTCACACTGCTATAAAGAACTGCTTGAGACTGGGTAATTTAGAAAGGAAAGAGGTTTAATTGACTGGTAGTACAGCATGGCTGCAGAGGCCTCAGGAAACTTAGAAATCATGGTAGAAGGCAAAGGGGAAGCAAGGCACCTTCTTCACAAGGTGGCAGAAGGGAGAATGAATGCAGGAGGAACTACCAAACATTTATAAAACCATCAGATCTTGGAAGAACTCACTCATTATTACAAGAACAGCGTGGGGGAAACTGCCCCCAAGATCCAATTACTTCTACCTGATTTGTCCCTTGACATGTGGGGATTATGGGGATTATAATTCAAGATGAGATTTGGGTGGGGACACAAAGTCAACCACATCAGTTACCTCTTAATTTAAAATTTTTAGCAGGAATACTAACATATGATTCACCCAGATTGTTATAAAATTTAATCACATAATGTCATATAATGTGAAAAAAATTATATAATGTAAAAATTGTTTAACATAGTTTATTGACACTATTGAGTGACAGCTTTTATTAGTATTATTAATAAAATAAAAATTGAATTTTCATATTACTGCAATTACCACAGGGTCTGAAACCTAGTAGTTACTATACACTTTTTATTTTGAATCTTGATATATACATACAGCAGACATTGTTTTTCAAAACAATTTCTTTCTCATTAGTACAGAAGGAACTTTGGATGTGGGAGAGAAAGACAAGGAGAAACCTGAAAGCAGCCCAGTTATGACAATGAATGGTAAGATATTCTCCTGACCTGAGATCTGCTTTTACGGAGTAAATAAATGAATGTTACATGAGCCCAGTGCAAAACAAGCAGGGTGTGATTATGCAGGCAGTCTTGGAGAAGTTAGCACCATTGTCAGCTCTGAGGGATCATAGGAGTAGAACAGCTACCACTGAAAGTAAAAAGGAATCTGAATCCAGTTGTTGACAATGACAAGTCAAGTTTTAAAAAACCTGAGTAGAATCTGCTGCTATTTTAATAATGGTTGGATACACTGAGCAGAGCCTCTGACAGAGGTAGGATGTGTTAAGCCCTGGGGTTCCCTGCACAGTGTTGCAGCAGAGTAGTGGTCCCTCAGCTGTGAGCTAGGTTAAGACCTGAGACTGAAATGGATACATTTAACTCATGCCCACCCCAATCCCAGGCAAAGCTTTTCAAGTCTTGATTGGTCCTGCCTCTCTGAGGGTTTTTTTTTTTTCCACTTTAAGTATATTTTTGAGGTTCAGAGCCGTAAGAACATATCATGGAATTTGCCCACAAGTGATAAAGTATCATCTCAAATTTGGGCTTAACTTGTGTTGGGGACTCATATTTGCCTTAGGGAGTTAAAATTTTTACTATGTAAGATAGGGAGAGAGATATCAAATTATGGTGTATAGAACATCTGCTTTAAAATCATTTGGAAAACTTTAAAATGCTGACTTCTGTACCTTATCTTTGACCTACTGAATCAGACTATTTGAGAAATGAATATGAAGGTTGATTAGCTCACAGAGTTTTACTATCCTCATGATTATTGAGAAACCATTAGGCTAGTGGCTCTATGAATAGGTTAGCATAATAAAAGAGAATTATCTTCATCAAGATCCAATAATGGTAGTTGCTACCATCTTTATCTGACCATTGAGAAAACTGATGTAGGAGGAGTTGCAATCTGCCAAAGACCCAAAAGGATATAGTTACAAAAGAAGGAGATTATTTGTTTTTGTTTTTTTGTTTTTTTTGAGACAGAGTCTCGCGCTGTCGCCCAGGCTGGAGTGCAGTGGCACGATCTCGGCTCACTGCAAGCTCCGCCTCCCGGGGTCAGGCCATTCTCCTGCCTCAGCCTCCCTAGTAGCTGGGACTACAGGCGCCTGCCACCACGCCCAACTAATTTTTTTGTATTTTTAGTCGAGACGGGGTTTCACTATGTTAGCCAGGATGGTCTCGATCTCCTGACCTCGTGATCCACCCACCTCGGCCTCCCAAAGTGCTGGGATTACAGGCGTGAGCCACCACGCCCTGCCAAAAGAAGGAGATTATTTGTCTTTGCCATGTTCTAATGGAAGTAGAGGTAAGATGCTTACTCAGATTCTTTTCTCCCTGAATCAGTGGGGGACATTTCCATGGACCAAGGAAGAGGGATGATTTAGGCCAAAACCCTAATTTTGATTATTTGATGATAATTTATATTAAAAATATGAAAAAATAGTAACCAAGCACAAAATAATTATAGTACCTTGAATGAGTCCTGGTAGCCTCTGCTGTCTCTGATGATGTCAAGAAAGTCAGGGGCATTTTCCAGGGGCAACAGTAACTATTGCCTTAAGTTTGTATTTTTTATTCATGTTAATGGAATTGGAAAAAGCTTAGATTTTCGGGAAATAGTAACTCACAAGTTACCAAGCAGATGGCAATTTCCTCTCTGCCTCTTGCCTAAAAACACACTTTGGATGCGTCATAAGCAAAGCCCAGGCCCAGTTAAAGCTCTGTTATTCAGTCCGGAAGCAGTTGCTTCTGTATTTATCATGGTGCTCAGGGTATAGATATAGATCTTAGACATTTTTAGTGAGATAGTTTGAGGAGCCTGTAGAGGCAGAGAAATCAGTATGAAATCTGGGAGAAAAAAAGGGCATTCATTTTTGAAACAGGTATAATTTATAGGAATGGACACTTCAATCCTTTTCTTTAGAACACAGTTTTCATCTGACCAGTTTGCTTCTTGCATTGCCCAGAAAGCAATCGATCATCTACTCCTTTTTTTCAATGTGATCAATAGAGAAGAGTGTGCTGACTTAGAGAAGAGATTCTCAAACTTCAATGCACCCACAAATCACCTATCTTGTTAAAATGCAGATCATGCTTCATCAGGCCTGAGAATCTGCATTTCTAACCAGCTGTCATGGCTGCTGGTCTGTGGACCACACTGCAAGACCAGGACTTAGAGCATGGTCAGTTGCCCAAGTTCACTTGAGACCATGAGAACATTACTGAGCTTCTGAGCCTTCATTTCCTCATTTTAAACATTTGCATATAATACAGATAATGAAAGTGCCTAACATATAGGACTATTTTAAGTACAGAATATAGTCCACATAAAGTGCTAAAATAATTAATTGTCACATCATATTCTATCAGTAAATGTTTGCTATCATTATTAGGCATTTGCTATGTGCCTTCTATATGCTAGGGTTCTAGGAAAAGAATTAGAAGATGTGCTTTTTGTTTCTTAAATCTAACAACCTAGAAGCGGTCAGTAAAATAGGTTACATATAGGCACATAAATCTACCATGAGTTAGCAGATAGATGGGTACACGCTTCAATGGCAGGAATACTGGTCATGGAGTAAGGAAGCTGGTTTCCCTATTCCCTTGTCGTAAGGAATTTTGTGAAAACCTCTTTCATTTTCTGGATTGTTGTCTCATCCTTTATAACAGAGGAATTTTACCCAGCTGCATAGTTCTGATGGCAGTGTCTGCTGCCATCATGCCTGCTGCAGCAGGAGCAAGTGGGAGCCCTGCCCCTTCTGAATTGGGATGGGAGATTCCCGTGCCACTGTAGCTGCCCAAACTGCAGCTGCAGACTCAGGCCTCCCTGCTCTAGGGAGCAGGCAGGAGCCCCACTCTCCTGGGTGGGGCTACAGCCACCCAAACTGCAAATGTGGATCTGGCCACCCTCCCAAGCACAGGATCGGAGTGTCTCTGCAGCCTGCACCCTCAGGTGCACCAGGAAGGATTCCCCCTCCATCCCTACAGGCTCAGGGGTGTCTGCTCCCACTGCCCAGCCTCTCTCTGCTCCTGACACCTCCAATGTCAGAGCAGGGTTGGAGCCAAGCCCAGGGGCCATGAATGGCAGCAGGAGGCAGACAGAGTCCTAGGCGGAAGTGGGTGGAGTCCCCAGTAAGGTCCCATTCTCAGGCCAGGGAGGGCCCAAAGGCTGGGGGCTGGGCTGCCAGTTTCTCCAACCAGAGTGGCAACTCATAGTGCCTCTTCTGGCCCACCCATGGCCGCCCATGGACCCATTCACATGTACTTCCCCTCTCTGAGGTCCATAAAAGCCCTGGCCTCAGCTGGGTGCAGTGGCTCGCACTTGTAACCCCAGCACTTTGGGAGGCCAAGCCAGGTGGATCAGCTGAGGTCAGGACTTTGAGATCAGCCTGGCCAACATGGTGAAACTCCGTCTCTACTAAAAATACAAAAATTAGCTGCACATGGTGGTGGGCACCTGTAATCTCAGCTACTCTGGAGGCGGAGGCAGGAGAATCGCTTGATTCTCTGTGTGGGGGTTCTGATCCCACATTTCCCTTCTGCACTGCCCTAGCAGAAGTTCTCCATGAGAGTCCTGCCACTGCAACAAACTTCTGCCTGGGCATCCAGGCATTTCCATACATCTTTTGAAATCTAAGCAGAGGTTCCCAAACCTTACTTCTTGACTTCTGTGCACTGGCAGGCTCAACACCACATGGAAGCTACCAAGACTTGAGGTTTACACCCTCTGAAGCCACAGCCTGAGCTGTACATTGGCCTCTTTCAGCCATGGCTAGAGTGGCTGGGACACAGGGCACCAAATCTCTAGGCTGCACACAGCACGCAGACCCTGGTCCCAACCCAAGAAACCACTCTTTCCTCCTGGACCTCTGGGCCTGTGATGGGAGGGGCTGCCATGAAGGTCTCTGACATGGCCAGGAGACATTTTCCCCCATGGTCTTGGGGATTAACATTAGGCTCCTTGCTACTTATGCAAATTTCTAAAGCTTGCTTGAATTTCTTCTCAAAAAATGGGTTTTCCTTTTCTACTGCATCATCAGGCTGCAATTACTCCAAACACTTATGCTCTGTTTCCCTTTTAAGAGAATGCTTTTAACAGTACACAACTTACTTCTTGAATGCTTTTCTGCTTAGACATTTCTTTTCTGCCAGATACCCTAAATCATCTCTCTCAATTTCAAAGTTCCACAGATCTCTAGGACAGGGGCAAAATGCTGCCAGTCTCTTTGCTAACATATAACAAGAGTCACCTTTGCCCCAGTTTCCAACAAGTTCCTCATCTCCATCTGAGACCACCTCAGCCTAGACCTTATTGTTCATATCACTATCAGAATTTCTGTCAAAGCCATTCAGCAAATCTCTAGGAGGTTCAAACTTTCATACATTTTTCTGTCTTCTGTGAGCCCTCCAAATTGTTCCAATCTCTGGCTGTTACCCAGTTCCAAAGTTGCTTTCACATTTTTGGGTATCTTTTCAGCAGTGCTCCTCTCTACTGATACCAACTTACTGTATTAGCCAGTTTTCATGCTGCTGATAAAGACACACCTAAGACTGGGAAGAAAAAGAGGTTTAATTGGACTTATAGTTCCACATGTCTGGGGAGGCCTCAGGATCATGGAGGGAGGCAAAAGGCACTTCTTACATGGTGACGGCAAGAGAAAAATGAGAAAAAAGCAAAAGTGGAAACCCCTGATAAACCCATTAGATTTTGTGAGATTTATTCACTATTATGAGAACAGCATAGAAAAGACCAGCCCCCATGATTCAATTACCTCCCCCTGTGTCCTTCCCACAACATGTGGGAATTCTGGGAGATACAATTCAAGTTGAGATTTGAATGGGGACACAGCCAAACCATATCAGGGATCTTCGCAAATTATCAGATGACCCTGATAGGTATATAGAGGCCTTCCAGAACTTAACCCAAGTATTAATATGTGAACTCTCCTGGAAGGATGTAGTGTTACTTTGGAATCAAACCCTGGCCAACGCTGAAAAGCAGGCCATTCTCAGCAAGTGGCAAATAATTTTGAGGAATGAGCTTTATATCTTGTATAGCACGAGGGAAGGGGAGGAACTTTATCCAGTTGGAAGAATAGCAGTACCATTGGAGTACCCTAAATGGGACCCCAATGATGAAATGGGAGAGTTGAAGAGGAAACACTTTAAAATGTGTGTATATTAGAGGGCTTTGTAAGGGACTGAGACTAGACCTCTCAATCTCACTGGGCTACCTGTGGTAGACCAGGGATTTGACAGGAGTCCCACTGCCTTCCTGGAAAGGCTAAGAGGGGTCTTGGCAAAACACACCCTTCTCTCCCCTCATTCAATAGAGGGATAGCTGGTCCTAGGGGATGAGTTTGTTACTCAGGCAGCCTCTGGTATCAGGAGGAAGCTGCAGAAACAGGACATAGGACCAGTAGTACTTTAGAGGACCTCCTGAAAGTGGCCACCTTGGTCTTTTATAATAGAGATCAGGAGGCCAGAGAGAGGGAAAGGAGACAGAAAAAAAAGCAGAGAGTCTCATAGCCACCTTACAGGCTCAGAAACCCCAGAGTTCCTAAGATGTACTTGTTGACTTCTGCAAATGTAAACCACTGGAGGTCAGACTGTTCCTGAGACACAGGTAACCAGGTCCAGGGCTGGTCTTTCAAATGGTACAGCAAGGCTTATGGGTCCCAGGGTTCTTTTCCCTGGCTTTGGTGATTCAGACTGCCATTATCATCCAGGAGCCTTGGGTGATTATGGGTATCAAGGGAAAGAGGATGGATCTCCTGGACTCAAGTGCGCCTTTCATTCTCTCCAACCTAGGTCCCCCTCTCTTAGCATGACTGTGAGGAGCTCAGGAGAAGCCAAAACTCTTAGTTGTCACCTCTTTACGTCAGGACCCCAATTCCTGGGACTGCTATTCCTGGGACTTCCTTTATCTCCCTTGTTTGAGGAGGACCTGGCCCCACAGCTTTGCCTGCTTGTGATAGGGAGGCAACAGAGGAGTGGGCCCTGCCAGTTGCTAGATGCAATGTGGCAAGGGTCATTTGGGACTAATTTAAAGGGTTCATATACCCTCCTGAGGCACCTTTTATCCCAAACTTTGGTTTGAAGCCCTGTAATGGAACACTAGACCTAAGGCAGATGACAGTGGGAGTTGAGGGTCACAGCACAGGTGAGCATGACTAATTCCTGCCAATTAGGCCCTCCCACTTCACGGATGGAGGTTATGCTCATGGTATAGATAAGGTCTAAGGAACTCACAGATTACCGAGAGTGGGAGGCTTAGGCTCCACTCAGATGAGTGTGAATATTCCTGTCAGCTATGCTTCCCACTTCATGGGTGAAGGTTGCACTTGCACCCATAGTTGGCACCTGCACAAGTCACTGGGACTCAGGGATATAAGGTCAGGAGAAGAAAGAGGGATGCCTTTTCTTCTCTTCATCATGTAACCTGGGTGGTTGCTGGGATGGTGAAAGGAACAAAGGGATGCCTTTTTCCCCTCTTTCCAGATGGGTAACCAACCAATCATTTTCAACCTGCCCTCCTCAAGTGCATCCTAAATCACTGGACAGGACTTCAGAGCTCATGGCTCAGGGAAAGGAAACCCAGAAGCCTGAAATGCTGGCAAAAGTGGAAAGGTTCTTGCCATTCAGACTGTGGCTTCTCTCTTTCTGTGCAAACTAGTTGCAGGAATGATATAAATCACTTCTTTACTTAATTTATGAGCACCGTTTTACTTATAAGCCATTTTGGTTGACACAATATACATCAATAAACACAACTAGACATATATACCCACACACAAACTAAGATCCAATAGCTTGGAACCCTGGCCATGAGATAGCAACATGAGCTCACTGGTTTTACTTTGTTTGTCCCAATAGGTAATCCAATGAAGGCTGTAAACCAAAATTTCAGGTAAAACAGTTTCCATATCAATTTGATTTAAAGGTCAAATCTCCCCAGAATTCGAAGAACACTGAGGCCAAACAGCACCAAAGGAGAGTATCACACATTAAGTAAAGAAGTCCTTCAGAATTGTTAGGATACATTTTTGTCTGGATTATGTTTGTCTACTATAACATCTAATGGAGACTCCTGAAAATAGATTTACATACAAGATGTAAGGAAAGTAAAATGTGTCTTTAGTAAAAGAATATGAGAAAGCATGGGAATGTAAATTTTTGCCTAGTTCAGAGGGTTCAAAGATTGTTTTAAATGAGATAAGAGAAAACTAAAGGTTCAAACAAGTTATGGAAGGTTTGTAAAAATTTTGTAAAATAAGTGTGTAAATATATTGACTAAATTCAAAAGGGTATTTGGTTTTTCCATAAATTGAACATTGGAATAAATGCACAACAAGGTTTTCTTGAGGATTTGTCTGTAAGGTTTTATTTTTTAAAAATTGGGGTGAAATTTGGCTTTCTCTTGAACACGACTTTTGTACAATGAAATGTTTTTGTTTGCAAACTATCAACAAAAGAAGGGAAGGACAAAAGACAGATTATTTGGAAAACTAGGTCTTCTGTCTTAATGAGTAAACATTTTTGCTTTTTAAAATAAATTTGAGTCATCATTGTAGCTAAACGGATGACTTATGGCAATCTGAAATTCTATTAAGTGTTTGAGTCTTTACAGCTTCAAAATTGCCTTTCCTAACTCCCAACTTTTGGAAGCTACAGAGGGACCCTGGAGTGTCCAAAGTAGAGGTAAACAGGATTATTTGACATGTTTAGTTATATAGGATTATTGAAATAAGGTGGTGCTTGATCTTCAGGTTATATTTTAGTGAAAAATGTTAATATGTGTTCCAAAATAGTATGAGATTTCTGGAGTACTGATGTCTGAGTCTGTGTTATTAATCATAATTAGGGTCATTGTGTTAGGTTATCGTAAATCACAGAGGTGACCAAATTTCTTTGTCAATTATGTTTTTGACTGTAACTAACCTAGGACATTTTAACATTCATAGACAATTGTTGTCTTGTTTTGATCCTCTTCAAAGAATGGATTATAACCCTCAAGTGCAGGTTTCTTATAACTTTGAAGATTGTGAACAGGAGTTGAGTAGGTAAACTGAACTATTGGAAGACCAATCTTTTTTGACTTTTTGCTTTTTTCTTGGAACAGTGCTGATCCTTATGTCCTGTTTTTCAGAATCAAGGGTTTTTTTGAGCTATTTGTGGCTTTAAACAATTGTAGGGTGAACCAACCAGTGATCTCTGACCACAGCTCAGAAGAAACAAAAGGGATGGGCCATCAAACTCCAAATGGTCACAAAGATGGAGCCCTGGATGATGGCTCCCTTGTACTGGGGACCTTTAGATAGGACCCACCGAGAGAGAGACTTGACTGTAGGTTTCCCAGAACAATGCTCCTTGTCAGCATGAAGCAGTTAAGAGCTGTCATCGTCTCCATCCTAACAGCAGTTAGGTGTACCTCTTCAGAGGGGGGATGGATGGCATTGGCTGCCGCCATCATGCCAGCTGCAGCAGGGAAGTGCAGCTGGGGCTGCACACTCCATGGAGCAATTGGGAGACCCTTCTGAGTTGGGATGGGAGCTCCCTGTGCCACTGCAGCTGCCCAAACCACAGCTGCAGACCCAGGCCTCCTGCTCTACGGAGCTCTGCCCAGGAGGGTGGAGCAGAGCTCCGCTGCCTAAACTGCAGCTGTGGATCCAAGCCTCCCTGTGCTCTTGGGGGAGCTGGGAATAGGCAAGATCTGCCCTCTCAGGTACAGCTGCAGCCGCGGCATAAGCGGCTGCAGACCTGGGCTTTTGGCTCCGGGAAGCAGGCAGGAACTAGGGACAAGCGGGAGCCTTGCTCCTTTTGAGTTGGGGGCGGAGGTGTGGTGGGGTGGTGGGAGATCCTGGGCGCAGCTGCGGCCACCCTCCTAGGCACAGGACCCAGGTGTCTCTGCAGCCTGCACCCTCGCACGCCTCTTGAAGGAGCCCTCCCCCACCCCCATCCTTGCAGGCTCAGGGGTGTCTGCTCCCGCTGCCTAACCTCTTTCTGCTCTTGGCACTTGATACAATCTTGGAGCCGGGTTAGAGCCAACCTCTGGGGCCATGAATGGCAGTAGGAGGCAGACAGAGTCGTGGGTGGAAGGGGGTGGGGTCCCCAGTAAGGCGCCACCCTCAGGCCAGAGCGGGCCTGAAGGTGGGGGGCTGGGCTGCCAGTTTCTCCTGCCTGAGTGGGGACTAGTGGTGCCTCTTCCAGGCCCGCCCATGACTGCCCATGGACCAATCAGCAGGCACTTCCTCCCCTCTGAGGTCCATAAAAGGCCTGGGCTCGGTCAGAGCAGGGTAGGGGACTGCCAGAGGAGGAAGAGAGCGGAGGTTTGAGAGATGAGGAGATGACCAGCTGCAGAGAGGAGCACCCTCTCTGCTGATAGCTGGAGAAGATGGGATGAGAGACCTGCAAAGATATTCCAATGACTTGCCTGTGGAGAGGAACCACCCTCTTCAGAGCCTCCTCTCTGTTCAGAGCTGACGACCTGCCTACAGAGAGGAGCTACCCACTCTTCTGAGCTGTTCTAACACTAAATAAAACTTTTTTTCTTCACCTTTCAGTTGTCTGTGTACCTCATTCTTCCTAGATGCAGGATAAAAACTTGGGCAAAGGTGCCACAGCCACAGAGCTTTCCAGCCAGAAAAATGGACACCCCAGAGATCCCGTAACTGTTCCATTCCCCAAGTCATGACTTATTAGCTTTGATGACCTTAGTCAAGTTTCTTGAACTCCCAGGCTTTATTGTCCTGATTTACAAAGTTGAGATAATAAGATGACAGTTGCGAGGATTAAACATCTTAGCAGAAAACATTTGGATTATCATCTTGCTTCTTTAAGCACTCAATAAATGCAATCATCATTGTCCTCCTCCTCCTCCTCCTTTACTAGTCCTTTTTCCTTACTATTTTTTACAAACTCTGTGACCTTAGTCACCTCACATTAGCCACGACTCATCGCTTTCTAAAATGTTCAACTATTAATATATATTGGAGCTATTTTTACTTTTTTTTTTGAGTGGTTTCTGAAACAATCAAAAGATTAAACCAGAAGTCAACAAACTGTTTTCTGTACTAGACCAAATAGTAAACATTTTAGGCTTTACTATAGACAATATAGTACAATACACAAATGGGCATGGCTGTATTCCAATCAAATCTTATTTACAAAATAAAATAAAATAAAATAAAATAAAATAAAATAAAATAAAATAAAATAAAATAAAATAAAATAAAATAAAATAAAGGTAGGTCGACAGGACTTAGTTTGCTCACCCCTCCTTTAAAGTAAAGAAGCTGTAAATGTTCTGTGATTTATAAGGAAGTAAGTTTCACCCAACACAAACCTGTGATCCATGAAATGCAACATAATATTGTAGGAAAGTCAGTGGCTCTGTGTTCTCCAGTAGTCCTGCCTTCACCTTAAGAACCCCATAGCCTTAGAACCAGTCTTACCTTGGAGAAGGATCAAATCTCTCTTTTTTAACAGCTATATTAAACTGTGGCCCAGATAGGGGAATTTATTTATTCAAAGTCAGCAGCTCCAGGGATAGAGCCAGCACCAGAATCTTGATCTCCTGGCTCCAAATCAGGGACTACGTATTTTCTCTTTAGCTTGAAAAGAGAAAGAAATCATTTTCCTCAGGAAAAAAATAACTTATTTCCACTAGAGTTTTAATATAGAAATATGTTTTTTAAACCTTCTTGTTAATGGTTATGCCACAGTCAGACATGAAAACACTGCTATATCTGCTTAATGGGAATACCAGTCCCCTGTCCTTGTCACTTGGATCTCATATTAAAGATCTCCTTTCATTTCTATTGAGACAGAAAAACACCCTCTCCTTCTACTCACATCTAGTCAGATTCCAGAATCATTTCTTTGGCAGTAAATCAGTAGTGAATGAAAAGGCTACTCACATCTATCCATATCCTATTCCCAAAGAAGAAATGGGAACAGAAAGCCCTGGAATGAATACAAGCTTCCTTCTGCTAGGATCTGAATGGAAATACTTCTCTCCTTTTAATATGCCATCTGTGTAGATTTTCATGGAGTTCCTTTTCTTATTTTCCTATCCTGGCCTTGCTGAACTCTGATAGGATAATAATAATAACAACAATAATAACAGTTATGATTTAATGAGAATGTACTGTTTACCAGCATTATGCCAAATATCTTAGTCATGTGTGAGAATATTCTGAATCCCATTTTATGGATGAAGAAATTAGGCACAAGGAGGGTAAGTCAGACATGCAAAAAGAGGATTATGACTTCAGAGCAGATGATTTAACCCTGCTTAGATTCTTCCTGCAAATAGCAAAGAGGTAAACCATTTTGATATAAACTTAACGATGTGTACCTATACAATTCCATTTATATGAAATGTCCAGAGAAGGTAAATGGTCAGAGATAAAAAGTAGATTAGTTTTTGCCTGAAGCTGGGAGTGGGAATGGGGAGTGACTGCAAGGGCCATGAAGGATATTCCTGGAGTGATGGGAAAGTTTTAAAATTGGGTTAATATTATTATTATTCTGAGACAGAATCTCACTCTGTTGCCCAGGCTAGAGTGCAGTGGCATGATCACAACTCACTGCAGCCTCCATCTGCTGGGCTCAGGTGATTCTCCCACCTCAGCCTCCTCAGAGCTGGGACTATAGGCATGCATCACCATGCCCAGCTAAGTTTTTGTAGAGATGGGGTTTCACCATATTTCCCAGGCTGGTCTCGAACTCCTGGGCTCAAGCAACCTGCCCACCTTGGCCTCCCAAAAGAATAATTGTGTGATTATAGACATGAGTCACTACACCTGGCTTTAAAATGGATTATAATAAGGCTGGGTGTGGTGGCTCACGCCTGTAATCCCAGCACTTTGGGAGGCCGAGGTGGGTGGATCATGAGGTCAGGAGATCAAGACCATCCTGGCTAACATGGTGAAACCCTATCTCTACTAAAAATACAAAAAAAAAAAAAAAAAAAAAATTAGCTGGGTGTGGTGGCAGGCACCTGTAATCCCATCTACTCGGGAGGCTGAGGCAGGAGAATGGCATGAACCTGGGAGGCAGAGCGTGCAGTGAGCCGAGATTGCACCACTGCACTCCAGCCTGGGCAACAGAGCGAGACTCCATCTCAAAAAAAAAAAAAAAAAAATTGGATTATAATAATGGTTGCACAACTCCACAAATTTGCTAAAGATCATTGATTTTTCTTTTTGCACATGAGATGAATGAAACTTATGGTATGTAAATTAAGCCTCAACAAAGCTCTTAAAAGATTAAACACATGGAACAGAAATTGTGAAGGCTTTTCTTAGTCTTCATGGCTGCTCCTCTTGTGTGGGCATCTTCATTTCTCTTTACAGCCACAATCAGATTTGACCATAGAAAGGTCCCTTCTCTCCCAGGATTGTTAACTACCAATTCTTTGATGATAGAATATGGACAGATGAGGATTAACTGCTTCCTCAATGCTAATTTATTGCCAAAGCAAGAATCCTGGAATTTGAGTGGGTGCAAATAGAGGAAGAGGGTGCTTCTTCACTTTAATAGAAATGAGACTTTTATTACAAATGGCATATGATAAGAACAAGGGACTGTTTTTCCCATTAAACAAACACAAGCATATTTTAATATATCTTAAAAAGGTCTCTATTTCAATAAGCGCATTTATGTATTTGTTTATTTACTTGACATGCATTCACCAAATCCTTCTTATGTGCCAGGCACCTTTCCTGACTCTGGGGATAAAACAATGAGCAACCTAGTCATTACCCTTGTCTTCCTAAAGCTTTCAGCCCAGCAGGAAATCTTACCTTCTTCTTTCCATCTTCATGAAAATTCTACCTATTCTCCCAGGCTCTAACTCTATTGGGAGGTAACCCCTCCCATATAATCCACCACATCATTTTTTCTACCTCTCTCTTATGACTCCAGTCATGTCTACATTGCAGTGGAGTTATATTTGTTTACTACTAATTGCCAGAATTATCTCCTCTACAAGTCTATAAAATCCTTCCTAGTAGATGCTGTGATTAATTCACCTGTTTGTCTGCTGAGTACTCATCATAATATTTTACACCTAGGAGATAATCCATAAGCCTCTGTTATATGAATTTGCTAATTTATCCATGAGCCACATATTTTAGATAATTTTCAAGCAACAGGTACTGTTCTGGGCACTAGGAGATTTGGTGGTGAACAGGACTAGCAAGATCCATGTCCTCCAGGATCTTACTTTAGCTTTGAGGAGACAGTCAATGAACAAATGATTAGAAAGACACAGTGAATTTGGATAAATAAAGGATATTATGAAGGAACTAAACAGAGAGTAACTTATTAGGGGTGGACTGCAGGGAACTACTTCAGCAAGGATAGTCACAGATGCTCTCTTTGGGGACACAGTATTTGATCTTAGACATGAAAAATGAAAAAGAACCAGCCTTATGAATAGTTAGGTACAATAATAGTCTAGGTAGAGAGAAAAGCAAGTAAAAAGACCCAGAGGCAGGAAAGAATTTGGTGTTTTTTTTAAGGAAAACAGGAAATCAGGCCAGTGTTGCTAAAGCCTAGTGAGAGAGAAAAAGAAAAGGAATAGGAAGATAGGAAGAATCAAATCATGAAAGGCCTTGCAGGCCACAGGAAGGAGTGCAAATTTCATTCTATGAGCAATGGATGAAGGACCTTTAAGAGCAAAGTGACGTATATGTTATTTGTAGTTTAGTGAAATGATTTTGTATGATTTGTAGCAAACGTATAATATTTTGGGGCTAAAGCAGTGAAATCATGAATAAATACTTTTTTTTTTTTTTTGAGACAGGGTCTCGCTCTGTCACCCAGGCTGGAGTGCAATGGCGTGATCTCGGCTCACTGTGCCCTCCACCTCCCGTGTTCAAGCGATTCTCCTCATGATAAATACTTTGAATGTAAAGTTCCTTAGGCAGGAGTCTGGAGACCTGGGTCTGGATTATAGAGTGATCTCAGTGTTATCAGACATGTACATCAGTTTACTGTTTTCAAACCCAACTCACTGAGCTTTCTAGTATCAAATGTTCTTTGTTAATTTCACGCATCTCCTTGTGGACCACCATGCCCAGCTAATTTTTGTATATTTTGTAGAGATGGGGTTTCACCATATTGCCCAGGCTGGTCTCAAACTCCTGGGCTCAAGCGACCTGCCCGCCTTGGCCTCCCAAGGATCAGATTATGGAAGGCCTTGCAGGCCACAAGAAAGAGTGCAAGGCCTTCCATGATCTGATCCGTATCTACATCTCAAATTATAAACATGTGTTACAATGAAGAATCATCAGAAAGATCACTCAAATAATCAGGGAGGTAACTTGGAGTTCTGGGCATCTCCTGATGTTGTATCATATTTTTGGTGGTGGTGGGGTTTCTGCATCTTACTTCTTTCCTCGGGAATTAGATGCACTTCCTATTACCCAGTCTAACTTTAACTGCAGCTCTCATTATTGCCTTTTATTGGTTCGACTTTGCTGGATTTGGTACTCCGCACACTTCCTCTCATTAAAAGAAATCCATTTCAACCCCAGTTTCCTCATTAGAACCAATATTTTATGTGGGCAGCATCCCATTCTGTGCATCTTAAGATGAAGAAAAGATAGCGAACAGTGGGCTGGGAGCCAAGAGATCTTGTTCTATTCTCCACTGAGCTATAAATCATTGTCTGGCTACTCCCCTTCTCTGTGCCTGGGTTTCCTTATTTGTAATTTAAGAGGGTTGAACTTGATGAGCTTGTATGTGCTTCTCTTGTTTCCTAACTTGTCTCAATTGGTGTTGTGTTTTCCTCTCTGTAGTTTTTAGGGCTCTCAAGGGTTATGGCTTAGTTCATTGCCTAAGCTTTAGCATTTGCAACAACTCATTGCAGCAGTTCTCCAGTTTTGTTCCTTTGCCCACTCCATTCAGCCATCCAGCCAGCGAGTCATGCACTCACTCATTGATGTTGGAAATATCCTTAGAATTCTGCTAGGTATCAGATACTATGTTGAGTAGTAGGGATTCAATAGTGTATATAATATAGTCTCTGCTTTCAAGGACTTCAAAGTCTGGGAGGAGAGAGATAGACATAGCCAACCTTATGCACAGTGTGTAGTGCACTGACTTCCATGGGGGAGAGAAACTCAGGATGTGGAGGAAATTAACACAGGAGGCATCTATGACAAGAAGTAACCCAGCAAAGATTCCCAGATGAGGCAATTCACAGGCCGAATCTTGAAAGTATAGAAGGAGTGAGCTGCGTGAATGAGCAGGGAGAGGTGCTTGAGTAAGAGAGAGCCTATGACAGTGAACCAAAGGTGAGAAATCTGTAAGAAGTCCAGCTTGACTGGATAACTAAATGGAAGCGTTGGGTGGATAGGCACCAAGGCTGGAGATCTAGGCAAAGAACACATCAAACAGGGCCTTATATATCATGCTAAAGAGTTAGAGTGAGTGACTGAATGAACAGCTGAGGAAGAAAAGGAAGCCCCATGATATGTTAAGTACTGCAGCACTCTACACAATGCAGTGTGAAGTGTGTACCACATTGTTTGGCACCTACAAGACATTATAGCATTGTGGTAATGTGCAGATTCTCTGGGCAAACAACTCTGGATCTGAATCCTATCTCTACCACTTACTAGTCATCTGACCTAGAGAAATTTCTTAACCTCACAAGGGATCATCTTTTCTCATTTACATCAGCGTTACTGGAGGGATTAAATGAGATTACATACATAGAGCTCTTACTGCGGGGTTTGCACTTTTGAAAGATTTAATAAATGTTAACTACTATTAAAATAAATGTCACTGTACCCTCCCCCTCTCTTTCCTGCCTTCCTTCTCTCTCTCCCTCCCTTCCTTCTTTTCTTTTTATTTCCTTCCTTCTTTCTGTCCTTCCTTCTTTCTGTTCATAGACTCCTAGCTTAATAGACAAGGACGAGATTAAAAAATCATGCAGCCCAAGTGCTTGCATTTTTCTAATCTGTATAATGATGCCACCTCATTTATTTGGTTCAAACAGTGTCTGGATATTGGTGCATTTAGCCAGGACTGTTCACTGCAAAATAATTCAGCTGTGTATCAGTGAAGATGGAGGTAGATAGTCAAACCCAGTAGAACTGGTGGCTACAGATGTAACACAAATCTTTCTTTATGCCAGTTCTTTCATCAAGACAGAGGACCAAATTCCACCTTTTTCACATGGATGATTTACCTGACACCTAGATGAGAAGATGAAGACAGTAATTAAAGGCATGACTTGCCCAGTCAGGCCTGAGTGTTTATCTTGACCCTGGCCTTTATTAGCTGTATGATGTAGGCAAGTTATTTAACCTTTTGGAACCTTAATTTATTTATGTACAAAATGAAGATTACATGGTCCACTCGCAGCAACCTAGAGGTAGTGCAAGAAAAATGCATGTCAGAGTGTTTGACGCAGAGTAAGTTTTCAGTATATGGTAGATATAATATTCTTACCAGTTTTGTTAGTGTTATTATTAGTGTGTGTACGAGAGTTAGTAGTTGTGTAAATTTATTATTAGTGTTTAAAGTATTTTATTTTACATTAAGTGCCTTTGTTAGTATTCTTATTATTTGTGTCTATATTATTAAGTAACATGGAAGATAAAAATACTCATAGCTAGAGCATATACATAGGCTGTTGTTCCCTTGGTAAGGACCAAAAACTGGCCAAGCTGAGAGCATCTTTTGAAAAGATGGATCAGGACACAGTTTCATCTTTTCCAGAAGGTCAGTCCTCAGGAAACCAGACTTGAGTTTGCTATTGCTCCAGAGGTCAGCTGGGATGGGTCTGGGGGCCTAGAAACAAGACCAGCAAATATGCTGGCTGGGAGCGAGGGTGGCAGCAGGTGGATGATGCCAATCCTGGTCGACTCAGAGTCACAGCACCTGCCCAAGTCAGGAACTACAATTCTTCATAAAGAACAAAGAAGCTACATTTTACTGGGAGGAAAGAGCCACTGGGCTTGTAAAGGAGAAATGAAGGGCTGGGCTTAGCTCTCTGGGTCAGGAAGGATTTGTCAGAGAACAAAAATGGTAACTTGCGAGACATTAGAGAAAATTATCTCTGAGAGAAAGACAGGCTCGGCCTAACGTGTCTTTCCTTGTGGTTACATTATTTGGTGCTTGCTGGGTGACAAATCATCCATTTTTATCTTTTATGTAACTTTAGTTTTGATGTTAGGAGCTAAGAATAACTAATACCCAAGAGGGTATGACCCTGGAGCAAGGCATGCTGGGAAAGCACATTTCTGGGTGCATGTTGCCTCTGTGCCTAGAGACATGGATTCAAATAAAAGTCACAGCTACTGTCCCACCGGGGGCCATTGCTTTGGAAAGTTTAACTGAGCTTTTGAATACATCTTTGTTTGCCATTCTTATTCAAGGTTATCCAAAGACAAATCTGCTTCAAGAGAGGAGAAAGTAGTAAATTTAAATGGACCTTTCAAACAACGTTCAGTCTAAAAATGGAGAAGCTCAAGATCAAATACGTATTTGAAATCACTGGCTAAGAAACAAAATTAGTGTTTTCAATGGGCATCGTTTCCTTGGTCTTGCTGGCTCAGAAGAGCAAGTGCAAGGGTTGAGAAATTCTGTTCTTGCTCAATTCCATTAATGGTCAGGCAGTTGGGGGAAGAAAGCCAATCACCTCCCATCCTTTTCTGACTATTTTTGTTGTCTAGAGTTATGTCCATAAGAGGTCAACTCGCTGTGGCTGAAAAGAAGGGAGCGTATTGGATATTTAGTTGTGAACTTTTGCATGCATAGGCTGAGATGGGCTAGTCAGAGATTAATCATACCTGTGGGGCCAATTTGTTCCTTTCAACCATCATGGGAGGGAACCATGATTATTAGCGTCTCTACTTTATAGATGGGAAAACAGATTCCCAAGAATTTTGGTGACTCACCCAAGACCATACAATAACCTAGTGACAGAGTCAGAATGTGAACTGGAATCTCCCCAATGCTTGACTATACTACAATTATTGGAGGACCTAATGATCTTTTTTATCTTACCAAAAATCAGAAGAATGTTTAGTGACCAAACTCTGCATCTGGTCTTATTTCTCTTGACCTCTAGACTGAAATGTTCCCAATTTCTCCTCTTTCTGAGCCATATAGCATTGCCAGCTGGTAACTTCTCAGTAGGCTTAGTGAGATCAAATATGTGAGAGTTTTCAAATTGGGGTGTTTCAGCTTCAACGACCATCATGTGCATCCCTGGAATCCCAGGACACTGGGGCATAGACAAAGCTTAACCCCATCATATTATTTGACATAAGGGGAAACAGATTCAGAGAGAAAGAAGGAGTTGCTCATAGTCACACAACTGCTGTGACATTGCATGTCCATCGGTGTTTTCCAAGAACTGATGAAATAGATGTTCAAGGAAGCTCAAAGAGAAGAGATAAGGAGGAAAAACATTCATTATTAACAATCTCTGTCACTTCCTTGCTGTGCAATCTCTGATAGGTCTCTTAAACTTTTTAATTCTCAGCTACCTCCTGTGTTAAATAGTAATCATATTGGAAAATACCCCAAAGGTATATGAGGATTAATTGATTCTGTGTATGTAAGTCTCCAAGCACAGGGCCTGACCTTAGTAGAAATCAATGCATAGGAGCTATAATAAGGTCTTATCAGGTCAGAAGCACAGAGAGAAGGAGTGGGTTTGTGAGCTTGAGCGGGACATTGCTAGAGGGAGCTGAGAGAGTGATCTGAGGGGATGTCTGTGAGTTCCCACAGAGCAGTTCAGTTTGGGAAAACAGAGGGGTGAAGATAACAGGAAAAAAAAGGGCATGTCCTTTGGTAAATTGCTTATTGTTGCCCAGATATCACTGTGGTAACAAGGAAAGCCCCTGAAATCAGTTTGTCCACAGCTCAAGATATAACTCCCCAGGGTTTTCAGTGGCAAGTTAAGGGGTTCCAAGGAGGAGCCAGGAATGAGGCAGTCACAGATGGGAACATTTATTTCTTTGAGAGTCTTCCGTTTAAGATGTTCTCAGAGTTTTGGATGAGCTAAAGGGCTCTTCAGGCTAGAACTTGGTCTTGGAGGGCAGCTTCCCTTCCACCTGGCCATGTTTATCTTACTTCCATTAGAAGGCAAGATGCCAACTTTCCTATTCAATGAAGTGTTTAGATTCCATGAGGTTTGTAAATAGCCTCTGGGAACTCCTTTCTGAAACTTCCCATAGGACTTCTAAACTCTCCTTAATCAGAGCAGATTGCAAGAGCAAATGCTTCTTATTATGGGTTTTAAAAAGGTGAGTAGACCATAGATAAAAATCATAGTAAAAGTGGGAATTTGAGGAAGGTCTGTTTGCTCAGGAAAATTTTCTAAATTTCAAGGTTATAAATGAAACTGTAGATGATCACTCAGGCAGGATGTGGTTTAGTTTCTTCATGACCATGATAATGTTTTTCACATAAAAAGATAAGTAGTACTCATAGAATGATGTAGAGAAAATCATTTTGTTTGAAAGAATAAATTGTTCAAGCATTTGTAGGCAGTCATTCAGTTTTAAGTAGCTACAGACAACCCTTATCTGTTCAGTTACAGACAATCCTTATCTGTTCATGGCAAGTAGCCACATACTTTTCACCAATATCCTTTTCTGTAGCTCCCCAGTGAAGAGTTGACATTAAAGTTCCAGGGTGGAGTTGGAGTAATTTTGTTTTCCTCCAGGGGACACAAGTGCAGAGAATGGATAAAACACAAACACTAACAGAGAATAGATAAAGCTTCACTCTTTAATGCCACCTCCTGGAGCCCATATGAAACCCAAGAGTGAAGAAAGCAAAGGGTTCTTAGGCATAATAGGGCATTAAGGATAACCATCTCTTATTTCTTTTCATTCCAGACAGGGTTTGGCCTGGCAGTTCAACCTGATTGCATGAAGGGTTGTGGTAGGCAGAGATGTCTGATTGCCTTTGAATTCTTTGTTTTCTAACCAGAGGGGAGATAGTTCTTTCAACAGAAAGTCCCAGCAAGTGCAACAACAACCGCGGCCTGGTGTGCCTCTACTTGCCTTGGCTGCCTCAGAAAGAGCCCTGAACACTCCTCCTAGGGCCTGTCTATGAAACCAACTGGATGTAGTCTTATTATTTATCAGAAGTTGCCAAGCAAGCAGTGGTAGACAGCAGGCTTTCAGGGAATTATCCCAGGGATTCCTTACCAGTCTTCAACCAGATATCACACCAGAGCAATACATATTCCCCATGCAAGAAGCAGAGTAAGCAATCCATACCCTTAGATACATAACACTGATTAGTGCCTCTGTTGTTAAAGTTATTTCCCTTTGTATAAGATGTATTCAATGTTTCAATGTTTACAGTGAATTTAAGAGGTAGATATAATAGTTATGGTGAAAACCCTCATTTTGCAGAAGAGAAAACAGAACATTGCCTATGCAAAATGAATCTACCAAGGTCCGCAGCTATTAAGTGCAAAGTACAGGATTTAAACCTGTTTTGAAAAAATTGACAAAGTCTCAGGGCCTTGTCCTGGGTCCATTCATTCCATTCAGTCACATATATTCTAACTCATTCATTCATTCCTTTAGCAAGGATGAATAGAGCACCTGCTACGTTACAAGCCCTACTCTAGGTACTCAGGTTACGTCACAGAACAAGAAAGACACAAACATTTGCCTCTGCAGTAAGATATAGAATAAAATATGTATAATGTCTCCCTTTCCATTGTCAGCCATCACCTTGCGCAGCACGGCTTTCTACTTAAAGAGTGTTTATTGTGTAGGCGAAGTGGGCACAGACAACGGACGATAATCACAATACCAGTTTAAATACTAGATAAAAGGTGCTAAGTGATCTGGAAGAAAGAGAGGAGGGCAAAGGAGATCAGAAGTGTTAGGTAGAAGGACAATTACAGTTTTAAGTAGGATGACTATGGTAGTCCTCATTGAAAAGGTAAATTTGAGTTTGAATAAGCTCCAGAGAGGAATCTGGGAAAGAGCTTTCCAGGCAGAGGACAAAGCAAGAGAAGAGATTCTAAGGTGCCAGGCATGGCTAGAGCCTTGCCTGTGAGTGACGGGAGAGTAGTGGAAGCTGAGGTTTGCAAGATAATGGGGCCAAATCATGGGGGCCCATACAGGTCATTGTGATGACTTAGGCTTTTACTCTGTAAAAACTGTAAAGTCACTGCTGAGTTTTGAGCACTGAAGTGGCATAATCAAATTATATTTTTTCAATGATTCCATTGGCTGCTGGGTTAATATTAGTTTGAAGGGGGCCAGGGTAGAAGCAAAAAATTCAAAGAAGGCATACAACAGAGACAGTAAAATATGTGCATGAAAGCCTTCCAGTTTGTCCTGGGTATTTATGAAGACACCTCACATTCTCTTTTTGCAGTGAAGTGAGCATGATATGACTCGGTTTTGCCTAGAAGCGACATCACCATTTCCAGGCCTGGCCCTAAAACCTGACATGTGTTCTAAACTCTGCTCCTTCTGCAGCAACCATTGAGACCCTGTGTTGTGGATGAAAGCATTGTAGGGTGGAAGGAGCTGAGGTCCTCAATGACAGCGTGGAGCACAACCACCCCTTCCCATGCCAACCACACTGGGCTGTGACTTGAGTAGTTTTGGAAACTATAAAAAAGAACATTTTGTAAAAATTCCTTGTCCCTCTCTATTTCTTTCAACCTTGTTGCCAGAGATTGTTGAGATTAACTTCCTGTTTTTATTTTTCAAAGCAAGAAGAGCAGGGCACGGGTCAAATGCACCTCTTCTCCACATCTCCCCAACAGCTGCTTAAAATCATGCCTCTGTCCTATCACACTTTTCAACATCACAGCCTGCCTCGGGGACCTAAGACACTTATTATGGAGAATCTCTAAGTCACTCTGTGCCGAATGTGGAAAAAGAAAACACTATAACCACAACAATCATTAAAATTAAAATAAATTTGTTTTCCCTTTCTTCCTAAAAATATATCAAATTATTGGCAAGGTTTCCTTGAACATTTCAGCATGTTTACTATTTGTTTGAATTCTTTTCTAAGCAGATTGTCATTCACTATACCAGTTGTTGAAAATTATTTAAACTCCCCACACCACCAAATATATATATAGAGAAAGACAAATAGAGAGATAGATATAGATATTCTTTTACCTTCCTTCAATTTGATGTTTTATCAGATACCTATGTTTAGAAAATTTCAAAGGTAGAAACCCAATTAGCCTTAATGATAGACAGGAAGTAAACTTTTCCCAAAGAAATTACCATAATTCTCCCTAAACAGCCTCTTGGACATAGAAAAGGGGAAATGAGGATTAATATGCTTACTACGTGCTGGGACTACACTGGGAACATTATTTAGAATATTTCATAAATATCTTCAGCATTACTCTTAGCCAGCTTGTGGTTAAGATGGAAGGAGCCAGTGCTAGTATTATCTTCTCTGACAAATGATAAGCAGGCACAAAGAGGTGACATGACTGTCACCATCCCACACTGCCAGGAAGAGCATATCTGGATGTGTGGGGCACATCACTGCAGATGCTATTACTTTCTTTTCCTGGAACAGTCAGAGGTAGAGAAACACTGCAAAACTGATACAGAACAACTGGGGGATGCATAGCAGCACAGCAGTTTAGGAAACCACCATTGGATTTGGCCAGGACTGGGTGTGGATCTTGGTTTTGTCCCTTTCTGGATGTGGTCTTTGACAATGTTGCTCAGTCTTTCCGTGTGTCCTTAAACATCAGTAATGGCTATAGTATATTTAACATGGTCTCTGGCGTATTATGAGTACTCAAATTGTAGCCACTGTGTTTATTCTAGTACCACTAAAATGTCTCCTGATTTTGAAAGGAGCATCCCCAGAGCATTGTGTGGCTCATTTACAGATTTGTAAAATGTAACATTTACCTACACCCTCAATATCTGCTGAACACTTTCAATAGGCAGTGACCATGGGTCCTCCTTGAAGGTCATAACTAGTTAAGTCAGGAGGATTCTTCAGGGGTTTAGGAGAGAATGAGAGAGCTGACTCCCGGAAGTGGGAAGGGAATCACCCTGACTATTTCCTGTCTTTGCTGCTTTCCTTTCTCATAAGGGAGGGCTCTGGGAATGGGAGGCAGCAGCATCCTTGTCCATACTACACATCCTTTGTTCCCTCCCACCATGGGCAAGGAGGGATGGATTGTAGCATAGCCATGTGAGAACCATGGAGCAAAGGTGGAAGGCTAGAGGGCAGCAGGGAATCTAATTAGCACTAGTCAATTATCTGTTCTATGCAACCTGATGAGTTTGCTGTCAGAGGGAATGCAAAAACAACAACAAAGAATTTGTTTTTCATCTTCATCTCTATGAGCTCCTGTGGTGCAACTGTCAGAAAGCACTTGCCCCAAATATTTTATTTATTGTCAACTTTTGCAGAGAATGGAGTAATTCCCATGGGATCTGCTAGGTAGGTTAATGGACTGAGAAGATTAATAAATTATAGACATGGTACTTTGTGCAATGTACTAATGTGTATTGAACATTATTTCATTAGATCATTACAAAAGATTGCCATCTGATGATGTTTTCTGTTGCTATAACAGAATACCTAAGACTGGGTAAGTTATAAAGAAAATAAGTTTATTTCTTCCAGTTCTGGAGGCTGGGAAGTGGAAGAGCATTGTGCCAGCACCTGGTGAGGGCCTTCTTGCCGTGTTACACATGATGGTAGGTGAAAGCTCAGTAAGAGAGGAAGTATGAGGGGCAGAACTAGCTTTATAAAACCCACTCTGAGGATAACTAGCCCACTCCTGGCATAAAGGCTTTAATCCATTCATGAAGGTGGAGTCCCCATGACCTAATCACTTCTTAAAGACCACACCTCTTAATACTGATACAATGGCACTTACATTTCAACATGAGTTTCGGAGGGGACAAACACTCAAACTACAGCAGTAGCTATCCCCTTTTTAGAGATAAGAAAAATGCATTTAGCAAAGTTACATAGCCAGAAAGTGTCAGAGTCAGAAATCTACCCAGGATTGTCTACTCTAGCCTCTTAAGCACCCATATCTCTCTATTACATCTCCACATTTAAAACAAAAGCCATGGCATATGATTCTACACTGTTGAGGGGACTTTAGGGTGCTTGCTGTTTGAGCCCCTGAGACAGGCCTCACATCCAGTGGAGCTGGTGTCTGGCCTCAGACTGCAAGAGGAGAAAGTGCACATCTGTTAGTCTTTAACATGCATCATTGAAATTCTTGCAAGGAGTCTGGATGGAGCTGGTGTTCTTCCCTGTGCGTGACCTTAGGCCAGCCAGTGGCCAGCAAGAGAGAAACACACCAAGGTTCCCAGGGAGGCTCTGAACAACTCTTTCCCGGAATTGCTTTTCCTGCCCAACCTAGTGTGAAAGGAATGTGGTGAGTGGTACATCCAGGGAGATGGCCTACACGGATACCTTCTTTGTGTCTCTTATTATCTTTAGGTTTTTACTGATGCCCTGCACAGAGAGAGGTCTGTAAAGTGGCAAGCAGGAGTCTGCTACAATGGAGGAAAGGATTTTGCTGTATCTCTTGCCAGGCCCAAGGCTGCAGAGGGAATTGGTAATATACTTCATTTAATAATAGTGTTTTAAGGGACATTATCATTTCATCCTATGTGGTAGATGTGATCATCTTCATCTCACAGATGAAAAGAGACAAACCTGGGATTCAGAGGTACTTGCCTATGAGTTTCTTACAGATTTCCTCTTACAATCCAGAACTGCTGATTCCTGGGTCAGTGTCCTTTCCAATATGGCATCTTAGGCATGGCAATAAGTGAGATCTAAAAGCTAGTTATTTGATGCTTGGACAAAGGCTTAGGGCATGGGCTTTGACCTAATGAATCAGTAGATTCTAGTCTAATATTTTAAAGGATTTGAAATGATTCCAGTTTATAAGCCCCTTTAACTGTCTTCTAAGATGTGGCTAAACATTCCAACCTTCCTTAGCTCAAAAGTGGACAAAACAAGAGATTACACATGTTGATACTTTGGGAGTCATAGAAAATTCACATATACATAGGCAGAGTGGTTCTGTAATTAACCAAATCTTTAGAGGTCCAAGGTTAACAGTATTGACCATTCATAATTAGCCATAAACTCAGACATTTTAAAAGCCTCATGAAAATAGAAGTATAGTTTTCAAATGTTACAGACCCCAAACACCAGTGTTTTATTGCCTACAGCAAGCATAGCTCACAGATCATCACAAGGCCTTGCACAAAGGAAGCCCAGTGAATATTTGTAGATCCGATTTAATTAATGAAGGCACAAACCCCCTGGCTTTCTTGCTGGGTTTCATGACATCTTATTAAACACACTTTATTTAGCAAGCTTGGTTATTTGCTTTTTTTTTTTTGTCTCCCAGCAGATTGAATGTAAGTGACTTGGAAAAGGAAGAGGAGTTGCCAGAAACAGCTAAAATGTCAGTAGAAGACTTGACAGCTTGAGAATAGAGGAAAAAATAAAAGCGAAGCAGACAAAAAGAACCTTACCTCCCCCACAATACAACATTGGGCTGCTGAACCCACAAAAATCTAAATCCGTTTAGAATCATCTATTTAACTCCTCAGAGACATGCACAAACTATTCTAGAGAGGCTTGTGCCTACGAAGATTACTTAAGAATGTGTTGACACATTTGGAGGGGGTTAATTTACCAGTTATCATTTACTAGAAAGGCTTTTTCTATAAGAATATATGAAAGAGTTTCCTCGGAGCATTCAACCGGGCTTCTTTGTAGGGTATGTGTACTGCTTGGAGCTACGGAAGACCACGTCCTAGAAGTGCTGTGTCCCTGAGGCACACCTATGTGTGTTATCTCTCTGGCATACTTTCCAACAAGGATTCTTTTCTAGTCTATACATTCTGATTAATTTGCAGTCAGAGGCAATGCAAAAAGCATTCCTTTTCATCCTAATCTCTGTAAGCTCCAATATGGTACAGCTGTCAGAAAGCACTTGCCCTGAAGATTTCCTTTATCATCAACTTTTAGAGTAAATGGTATAGATCTGCCACTGCCTATTCTGGTTTCAAGATTTGGTCTTACATCGTTTTTTTCCTTTTTGTGGCAAACAAAATACAAAAACAAATCAGCAAACAAAAAATGAAAACAAAGGAACAGACATTTATATATATGTATGTATGTATATATATACATACATATATGTATACATATATGTATGTATATATATACATACATATATATATAGACAGAGAGAGAGAGAGAGAGAGAGATATGTTTGCATGTATAGTTAGTGATATGGTTTGGCTCTGTGTCCCCTCCCAAATCTCATCTCAAATTGTACACTCATAATTCCCATGTGTTGTGGGAGGGACCCTGTGGGAGATAATTTGAATCATGAGGGCAGTTTCCCCCATACTGTTCTCGTAGTATGTGTGAGTAAGTCTCACAAGATCTGATGGTTTTATCAGGGGTTTCCGCTTTTGCATCCTCTTCATTTTCTCTTGCCACCGCCATGTAAGAAGTGCCTTTCGCCACCTGCCGTAATTCTAAGGCCTCCCTAGTCATGTGGAAATATAAGTCCAATTAAACCTCTTTTTCTTCCCAGTCTCAGGTATGTCTTTACAAGCAGCATGAAAATGGACTAATACAGTCAGATAGATGATAGATATAGATATAGAAGTAGATATATAGGTATGGATTTAATGTAATTGTTGTTAGCAATGAATTATGAGCAAATTGTCTGTAGAATGCAAGACAGAAAGAAGCCTTCTTTCTATGCTGAGTTTATCCATATTCCTATGACACTGATAATTAACACTGTACCAATTAATTAATTAGTACAATTAACATGTATTGATTAGTCACTGTCCATAAGCAAAGCCCCGAGTTTGACTGAGGTGTAAATTCAGTGTGTGGCTCTAGTATGAATGAATGAATAAATCATATTGATGTGCGTCATGGGGGCAAGGCATAGATTTACTGTGCTAATCCACGAAGATTTCTTAAAGAGTTAATCACTAGACATAATGTATAATGTCAATAATGGACATAATGATGGATTAAAAATGTCAATGGTAGAAATAATGATGGCAATACAGAAAAGAGTTACATTTTATTGGATATCTGGTGTTTGTCTAAAATAATTCTTACTACTTTATCTATACTCTCACAATAAATCCTCATAAGAACACATTGAGACAGAAGTCATTAGCTGCTCATTATTGAACAGGAAACTGAGAATCAAGGAGGTTAACTCAAAACCCCAATTCACTCAGCTAGTAAGTGACAGAACTGGGATTTCACCCTAGGTCTGCTTGTCTTTAAAATCCCTCCCTCCTCCACCCTTCTTTCTATTTTTCACCCTCCCCCACTTTTTCTTCTCCCCTCTTCTTTTTCTTCTCCTTTTTCTTCTTCTTCGTCCACTCCTTAATGCTAGCTAAGCTCATAGATGTCTTCTTTGATGTATTATCCCTGATATCCTTTTCAAGAGTAAAATGATTAAAAATATAAGCATAAACATTTATTGACACCTACTTTTTACAAAGCACTGTGGCATTAAAACTTGCAATTTATAAAAGAATGGGGCAATAGAGCACATGTTTGCTAAATGCTTATGATGAATCAGGTACTATATATTTTACATTACCACTTTTTAATCTTCTCAATAACAATATCTATTTTATTCTCATTTTACAAGTGAAGGGACTGCAGCCAAGAAAGTGTAAGGAAGAAACTGGTATAGAATTACATGTCCTGTAGAAACTCTGACTTGCCTAAATAGTAACCAATTCAGGCAATGTCTTTTTAGCTGGGCCAAGACACACAGAAAGGAGTGATGCTCTGAACCTCTAGGACTGAAGGGCTTGCACAGCCCCTGTGCTCAAGCACACACAGAGCCTCAAATGGAATGTTTTGGAGACATTCTTATACAGAATATGGGAGGTATAAATTCCAGAGGGCCATTTGATGGTAAGTTATCAAGTAGGTAAAAGAGTTTATTGGCTGACCGAACAGTTACATTCCTATAAATGATATGATGAATGCTAAAAAAAAATGCATGTATACAGTGAAGCTCTTTGTGCATGCTCTTAAAAGAAATAGTAAACAAAAATGGTATAAAGTAAAAGTTAAACTCAAATAATATAGACACTTCATAAAATAATAGCATTGTCATACAATGGAACAAAACGCAGCTGTTAAGATGACTTACACCCATATTCAATGACATGAAAACATGTCTAATGTATAGCCCAGGTAAGAAGCATTTCAAAACTATGTATTAGGGCTGGGCATGGTGGTTTACACCTATAATCCTAGCACATTAGTAGAGCAAGGTGGGAGGAACACATGAGCCCAGGAGTTTGAGACCAACCTGGGCAACATAGTGAGATCCTATCTCTTTAAAAAACAGAACAAAACAAAACAAAATCTATGTATTAGATACTGAATAAATCCATATTTCTAGAATTAACACACACATATACACCTGAAAAAAATGTGTATGAACCCACAACTTTATTTTTGATTGGCTTTTGATTGTGGGATGAAGAATAATCTATACTTCTTTCTTAAAATTTTCCCAAATTTTTTGTTTTCTAATAATATAAACTAATATTTATTGAATGCTTACAGTGTGAAAAATAACTTATTTATACTTCTTTCATTATCACAATAATCCCTATTTTAATATTATGCAACCTGAGGCACAGAGAGGCTGATAGGCTACCCAAGAGAGTGGCAGAGCTCAAATTTAAGTAGATTTTCTGCTTCTGCAAGCTCACGGTCCTATCTACTACTTTATACTACAATTGCTACTTAACAATTTTGACATTAAAAAGTACAATTGAACAACACTAATAAAAATAACTTAAAATTTTTGCTTCCAGAAAATGCACAATTATCTGTTAATTTTACACAACATAATAAGTGGAGTTTCCACTATTTCATCATTTAAAGGCTAAGCCATTCTTCATTTTCAGGTGTCTCCATTTCTTTATTTTTGACAACATGTCTTTCAGAAGATACTTAAAATAGATATTGTCTAATGTTTTCTTAACTCCTGGGAAAGATTGCCGCACGGAATTATTTAGCATCCAAGGTGTCATGGGATGTTTTAAGAGGTAGAGTATGTGGTTTTAGTGGTGGTATGGTTGTTTCTTTTTGTAGAGGAATTTATGGATTGCCAAGTGTCAAACTCAAGAGGTTTAATTGCAATTTAACTTCCAAGCCACAGCCTTCAAACGTATTTGGGACTTTATAAGACATAGTACAGCTCCCCTGAGACCCCACCACCCTGTGGGCTGCTCTATCATGGTACTTATCATGGTTCCTAAAGCAGTTTGACTTTTTGTCTAGATGTTTCATTAGACTGAAAGCTGGATCCGTCTTGTCAACTGCTGCATCCTCGGAATTTAAACATTCAGCTTATTCTGAAGTCTGCTAGTTCGTAGGGCCAGGAAGTTCTCAAAATGCTAGTATTGAATGCAGGGTGCATCTCCTCTCCTATCCCCCTTAAAGCTATTTTAAAAAGTGTGCGACATTTCTGCATTCTGTAAATCAAGATGGAATCTATCTCTTGGAGGAGACTTTTAGATGTGCCTTTGTTACCTTAGAGATATAGGTAATTTATCACTTATTGTTCTAAGGAAAGTTTAGAACCAAAGTAATAATGTAGAGGGTTTGTCCTCAGTCTAGAATGTAAGGTTCTCAAACAAAGGATGTTCATTTTAAGCAGAAGGCATCTCTCAGTGATGATGATGATGCTGATTTTAATTTCTTCAATGTTCTGGTGGGGTTAAGAGACAGCAGGGGTTAAGGCGACCTGAGAAAAGCAACTTTTCTCCTGTGACACCTCAAATGCTGAGAAAAATGACCATGGGGGTGTCCTGTAAAGAGAATAAAGAGAAATGGTGTGTGTACTCAAGGGGGAGATATTTTGTATCCAGCTCTGGGTTTTTATTTATGCATTTTCACTCTCTTGTATCATGCTCAAGCCTTAGCAAAGTTTGATAAAGTTGAGTGTTTTGTCTCAGCTGATGGAAAAGAAGTTGGGGGCATTGACCTGGAATGAGAGATGAGAAGCCCAACTAAGATAGATTTGTGGAACATACAATCACTTCCTAGGGATTCTCAGAATTATATGGGAAACAGGCAAGGCTTCCTGCATACTCAGTATTGGGACCTGGATCATATTATTTGGATGTGAAAGGGAAAGCTGCCCCAAGGAGGATAGAGAGCCTGGGGTCACTTGGCTTACATTTGGTTTAGAAAATTTAAGTTTCCTATAGGATAAAGAGCACAGGGAAGATATCTGTCAAACATTTCATAGCCCAATTAACTGAATCAGTTATTTATTCCCAAATCACTATAGCTTTACAACCATAATTTGATTTCATATTCCCAAAGATACACTTATCTGGTAAATATTTTATAGAGTTAAAATATCTTTGAGAAAACATAGGTTTTTCTGAATCCTGATATTGTGGCAATTTTATCAAAGCACAGTGAAGCTCCAGCTTAGAAAAATTAAAACCATGATCAGAAAACTGTCCTCATGAACCAATCTCTGTCTTTGCATCTCCAGCATAACTGAACAATTTTCATGCATTTCTAAGAACAAATTGCAAACAGACATCCCAAGAGGATGTTTTAACACATCACCAATTTGGAAACGATGGCTGGAAATGTCAGCTAGGAGAAACTTTTAGACACATATGATGGGATGGACCAGCCATAGGCACATATCTCTTAGACTGAGAGTGGTAAACCTAAGAACTGGAGAAGCAGGGTTAAAAGAACAAGCCCACTAGTCTTCTCCTCCATGAATATATGTGATTACTACAGTGTCTCCTTATCCTCTCAAAGGATTGCTGTCTTTGGCAAAGCTAAGGATCTGAACGGCAAAAGGAGGTGATTGATGGTCCATGATTGGATTTCCAGAGCAGAAGCTGAAACCTCTGAGTACTGACTCCACCTCCTTGACTTCTCCCCTGCCACCTCCTCCTTAACTGATGGCCAGTGGCCAACTGAGAGTCCCAACCAGGGAAAGCCATTTCCTCTCCCCAGCATGTCTGGAGGGCATCATCATCTTCTGTGCCCATTTCTCAGGTGTATTGCCACATCAGTATATGATCTGAGATGGTATCTCCAGCTTCCTAAACAACTAAGGGAGATCACAGATCAAAGGCTTTGGGAGGAAAGGCAAGGCCAGTAGCAAGGGGAATTCTTTCCAGAAGAAAAAGGTAATCACTTCTCAAGACATAATCTGACCCAAGCCAGTTAATATCATTTGCATCTTGCATGACTTTTGTTAATGGGGCTCAGTCAACTTGACATTTTTAAATGTTTCATTGTTTTAGTTCTTCTAGATAAAATCATGACTGTTCATTGAACTGTTGTATAGACTATAGACTAAATAAAAGTGGCTTTTAATGTGTATAATGACTAATCTACTCCATTTTTAACCACAACTGAAAGCTATGAATGAATGTTAAAATTTTGTATCAAAGATACTCAAACTTTTGGAGTTTTTCTTTATTTGGAAAGACAGAAATGTTTACTTTTTATTGTTACCACTCTCATTTTACATAGAATAAAATGAAGATTAAATTAGCTAAAGACTTGAAATGGGACAAAGCTGGGAGTATTCCAGGTTGGATGAGACGGAAGCAGTGTCCTATCATGAAAAAAGTATTGATAACAAGTATCAGACAACTTTGCCCACTGTCTTGGGCTTGGAGATACAGTGGCTAGAAAATTATGCCCTCTGCCTCCAGGGACATCAGTCTCACACGGGAGGTCTCTCAGAAGCAGAAAATTGCAGTAGAGAAATGCAATCTGGTAAGTGCTACAAGGGGAGAAGAAGACAAACTGGGAGGCCACCCTTTCTAATGGGGGGGGAAATGTGATATGCCAAGGAAAACTCTGAATGGACTGAGGAGACAGAAAGAGTTGTGTACTCACTCTAAATAGTTATTTAAATGTGGCTGGGACACAGTGTATGTGGATGTAAGCAAGTCATGATGAGGTGGCTGTTGAGAAATAAAGCTCAACCAAGATTCAAGGATGAGATTCTGGAGGACCTTGTGTTCTAGCATTTTTAACATGATTCCAGGGCAATGGAGAGCCAACAATCATTAGGTGACAGTTATTTATTTGTACATTTACTTGTCAGGTATTTGTCATGCATCTCGTACTTTTTATTTAACAAACATTTATTGAACACATAAAGGCACTGGAGACAAAGCAGAAAAATAAATAAACACAAAAACAAACAAACAAAAGACAGACAAATCCTTCTTCCTCGAAGGAGCAGATGGCAGTTTTAGATGTAGTAGTCAGGGAAAACCTCACTGAGAAGGTGGCATTCGGGCAAAGATATGAAGGAGGTGAAGGGTAAGCCATGTGGGTATCCATGAGAAAAACATCCTAGGCAAAGGGGAAAACCAGGGCAAAGGTCTACAGGAAAGAGGGTATTGGGTGTGTTTGAGGAACACCAAGAAAGCTCATGGGGCTGGAGAGGAGATGAATCTAGAGAGATGACAGACCATGTGGAACATTGTGCAGGCTTTGGCGCTTACCCTGGATCAGAAGGGAAGCCACTGGAATGTTCTGAGTAGAAGCTTGAAGTACTAACGCTTCCAGTCCAGAACAATTCCTTGGAGTTGAGATGAAACAAGGACAGAAACAAAGAAACCAGTTAGGAGGCTGGTACATTAACCCAAGAATAAAAAATGGTGGTAACTTGGATTGTAGTCGAAGCAGTGCGTATGGTCAAAAGTTGTAGTGACACCCAACAAGATGTGTTGATCCATTGGAAGTGGTGTGCAAGGACAGATGGAAAGTCCAGAATGACTTCATGTTATCAGCTTGAGCACCTGACAGGATGGGGTTGTCCTTAGCTGTGTCCCATGGGGAAGACGGTGGGAAAGAAGCTGGGAACATGTTGTGGGAGAAGATAAGAAGTTTAGTTTTTGATCAAAATATTGATTGCATATGCAAGTACAAAGACAATTATTAAAATCAAAGTTTTGGGGACAGGTGTGGTATAGACATATAAATTTGGAGTTCTTTGGTCTATGGAAGGTATTTAGATGTAGAAGAATAAATGAAAACACTGAGAGTCAGACATCGTCAGACACTGGGACATTCAGCAGAGAGAAAAATAAACCAAATGCTTGTCCTTGAAGACCTCACAATAAATAAAAATAAATAAATAGAACAAAGTACAAAAAGTAACGAGTAAAACAATATTATACTGATTTCTGGATGCAGAGTAGAGAACAACGTGGGAGGGAAGACAGACCTGAGAAGTTGCTTTTGCAATTCTCAGAGGACATCTTGTCTTGAATTTGGTGTCGGCAGTGGGAATAGAAAAAAGATTTGGGAGACACTAACAAGATTTGATCTGTAAAACTGGGTAATTTTTTTTAAGTCCACCAAAATATTTTGCTCAAAAGACACAAAAACAGTTTTTGGTACTTAAAAAAAAAAAAGGCAGCAAAGTGAGGTTGCAACTCATAGAATTGACCTTAGTTGTAATCCCCACTCCGTTTGCTTAACCCTTTTATTACAATTGGTGCCACTTTAACTTTTCTATGTTTTAGTTACCTTTTCTGTGAATGGGATAAATAACACTTTACAATGTTTCTACGAGTATTAAAGAAAAACTTACAGAGTAGCTCCTAGCAGGAAGGGTTAGTGTGGAATAGTTAGCAGGTGTAGGAGAGGAAAAAAATCACTTTTTCCTCTACCCAGCTTTGGTTCAATGGCTGGACCCCTGCAAATTAGACTAACAAATGACAGATTAACAAGATAAGAACAAAGAGAAATTGACTAATATGTGCACTGCATTATTCAAAGGAATATTCAGTGATGAGTAATTTAAAGGGATGGGTATACCTTGGGCATATATGTCATCTTAGAAAAGAATAATAAATTTGTAGACAATTGATAAGACAAAAGAAAATGACTTTGAGTTCTAGTGGTGGCAAATTGTAGGAAGGAAAATATATGAGAAAACTAACGGAAGAATAGAGCTAATTAGTGAGGTTTGTTATGTAGATTCTCCTGGTACAGTCTTCAGTCTCAAGGATAATAAGGGTTTAGAATTGTTTCAGGTGATTAAATTATGTCCTTTCTGGTAGAGAACGTGGGGTGGGGGGGGTGCATCCTTATAAATTTATGTCCCACTTTTAGGCAAATAAGAGTAGGACAGAGAGCTTTTATTTTATCTGCTTCCTCTCAATTGTCTTCAGCTCCAAATAATCAATATGCCAAAGTGGCATATTCTGCTACCCTTCACAGGTATTCAGAAGTTATTACTTCTCTTTTTATCTAATTAAGAAGCTCAAAAACTTCATAAAATGAAATAAAAACAGAACTCATTAACTCAACTAAAAAAATGACTTTAGGCATGGTTGGATCCAAGCTTATCAAAGCTCAGCTTCTTTTCCTCTCTCACTCTGCTTTCAGATCTATCAGTTTTATCATCAGACAGGCTTTAACCAGATAATGCAAGAGACTGAGGCTGTAAAAGCTGGCTATTCCAAGTGTCAGGCTACAAAATGTTATTTGTTTTGTCATCAAGGCTCCTTTTGTCCTACCTCAAGCGGAGCTATCTGTTAACTATTCCACCATCTATGTCCTTATGATATTGAATTGGTGCTGTGACTACAGGCAACCTCAGTGGAAAGAATGTCTCTTTTCCAATATCTTCAGCAAACTTTCCAGATATGACTCTTGGCCCATCCTAGAATATGCTACATTCTTGACTATGGACAAGAGGTTGGAATTCTCTCATTTACCTAGGGCTGGAATCAGCCTCACCCAAACCTCATAGAGTAAGGTTAAGGGAGGATCAAGGAGGAAAAAATTTCAGTCCGCTATTTTACTTTTGCTATTTGATTATACTTTCAAATACTTCAAATGTTTCTGGCCACCAGGCTTCTCATTTTGTTATGTAGTAGCCATGATGGATTTCATGACTCAAAGACTATGACAACCTATAAACTCTTTGTAAGAAGAAACCTTCACTTGAGCCTGGGAAGTCTAGGCTACAGTGAGCTGAGATCATGCCACTGCACTTCAGCCTGGGAGACAGAGAGAGATTCTGTCAAAAAAACACAAGAACAAAAACAAACAAACAAACAAAAAACAGAATACAGAAAAGCAACCTTGTGCTTGGGAGGAAAGCCAGGCATATGCCCCTACCCCTCCAACTACTTTCCATTCCTGCCTCCTCTTCATATCCTTCCATAGATAGCTGTCAAAACCATATTGCTTTGAAAAAACAAAATAGCATTTCAGTTCCACTCAGCCTTTTAACAACTGAAGATAGTAGTTAACTGTAAGACAAATAAAGGGATTCCTAAAGGCACAAGCACAGCATGACAAATTAGCAGGCTCATGGCCCTAGGATAGGAGAGAGCTTCCCACTCAGTCTGAATCACCAGCTCACTGGTGGGAATAATTTATTTGATGCAAATAAAAAAATTGAACATTTATAAACCAGCTAAACAAGAAGCTTAAGGGGAGAGCTTCTGGTGCTTGGAAAAAAGAATTTATTCTCCATGGGAATTAGATGATTGGACATCTATCAGGACTTCGGACATGCACACATCTGGTACAAATTGCTAGGATACTTAGTCACTTAGTAAAGTCCTCACCAGCACGTAGCTTTTGATTATAGACCTTGCTCTTCCACTGGAAAGCCTTTCCTCTAATGTGAGAAGGACATATTGGAACTGTCAATCATACCCCCAAAATAAACCTCTAACTTACTGCTCTCTATTTCAATGTCCTCACTAGAGTCTACTCTCTTGTCTAGAAAACTGGTGGCAGTAGTTAACAGGTTTTTCTGCTTATTCTTTTTTTAAAATAATCTTTTTATTTGAGAATAATTTTAAATTTACAGAACGGTTCCAAAAATAATACAGATAGCTTTTGTAGATCTCTCATCTGGTTTCTCCTAGTATTAACATCTTACAACACCACAGCACATTTATCACAACTAAGAATCCAAAATTGGTACATTACCATTAACTAAACTGCAGACTTTATTCAGGTTTAACCAATTTTTATGCTGACATCATTTTTCTCTTCCAGGATACCACATAGCATGTAGTCATCATATCTCATTAGTGTCCTCTGGTCTGTGACAATGTCTGTCCTTTCCTGCTTTTCCTGCCTTGACAGCTTTGTGGAGTACCTGAGGCCAGAAATTTTCACCAGTGAACCCAGTTCATGTTTTTCTGATGTTTGCCTCATTAAACTAAGTTTATAGATTTGGGAAAAGAATCTCACAGAGTTGAAGTTCCCTCCCTATCACATTACATTAGAAGGTACTTATTATCAGAATGGCCTATTGTTGGTGACATTAACCTTGATTATTTAGTTAAGGAAGTGTTTGCCAGTTGGTTTGTTAGTTTTTTTTTATATAAAGTTACTACTTTGCCCTTTCCCACACTCTACATATTGGATGTGAATTGCTAAGTATAGCCCACACCCAAGGTGGTAGTGTTGTGGTAGACCTGGTGGGAAGAATTGCCTATTTCTATTTTTATCCAGTGCAAATTCATTATACACATTGAGTGCACTTTTTAAAAAGCAATAAACAAACAAATAGAAAACAAATTAAATTAGGTAACTCTCTTACCTAATACCTTTCAGTGCCTTCCCAATCTCCTCAGGAGAAATCTGAAATCTTGTTGATATTGTGCCATTAATTGAACTGTACAATAACCTTAACCCCTCTCCCCTGAGACACACCCAACTTCTTATTTCTCTAACTCCTACTTACTTTCAGGTCTCAACTCCAGTGTCACTTCCTCAGAGAAGCCACTGTGAATTCCCCTAAAATTGAAATTAGTTTCCCCTACTGTCACTTTTTATTAATGTACTGTTCCTTGTAGAGATAACTACAAATTATCACAATTTATAAATTTGTAATTCTGTATTCATTTAGTTGACATTTGCCTCCTCCATGAATTTACAAGGATAATGTGGTCAGAGCTATGTTTATTTTTTTTATCAGTTATACAGCTCTTAGCACGAGCAGGATTTTGTACATAGGCAACAGCAAATAACTCTGGATAATTAAGCAGAAACAAGTTGTTAAAAGAATAAGAAGTCACAATTCACAGTGTTGCTGGTAATGTTGACCCAAAAAAGCCAAACTCTGTAAAATACTTGAAGAGATTTATTCTGAGACAAATGTGAGTGACCATGGCCCAAGGCACTGTCTCAAGAGGTCCTGAGAACATGTCCCCAAGGTGAGGTGGTTGGGTTACTTTAGGAAAGAAGGAAGGAAGGAAGGATGGAAAGAAAGAAGGAAGGAAGGAAGGAAGGAAGGAAGGAAGGAAGGAAGGAAGGAAGGAAGGAAGGAAGGAAACAGGAAGTTTGTGCCATTCAATTTTTGATTCATCTGACTCCAGATTTACCAAGAAAACATCTGACAATAATTTGACATTTCATGAGGAACCAGCCACTGGAAAAGAATAAGCTGTTCAGACTGCCTGGAATTTCTCACTGTTAACTGAAAAACTGGCTTTTGACTAAGATGTGGTGTACCCTGTAGCCTGGTACAGGGAAGGAATGTACTGACCTCAGGGACACTCATATTCCAGTCCATGTGACAGTTATATTTTGCAATATCAGTTAATAAATTAAATTTACAATTTTGTAGTTAATTCCTGAGAGTTTAATTACTGTGATTCTCATCCGAAGAGATGAATTTGCTCTTAAATGGGTACGCTTAGCATAGGGAATGCAAGCCTCTATAATTATGTTGGCAACATTTTATTTCCTAAACTGAATGGTAGGTATATGGGCTTTCATTTATTCTTTGTCACATTTTGTGTATTGAAATCTTTTATAATGTATTTTCAAATAAAATGCAATAAAAGGAAGAATGGTTTAATGAATGAAGAATGAATTTGCTTTTAGAAGATATTACTTTAGCCCAGATTAACCACTTTTTCATTTCCTTCTACTTTACCCTCCAACAACACTGAATTAATTGGATGAATTTTCAGTTCCATCTCTGCTATGCTACTTCTTATACAGTTCCATGCCTTATTTCTTTTCTCCTGCCTTGGAAAGCCTTCCTTTATTCTTTCTTCTAGCCACTCCCTCTCACATATTTTTTTTTTAAAGACAACCCATAATCATCATACAAGACAATTCAGGAATTTGTTTCCTACTGAAGAGCCTTCTCTTTCAGTTTCTCCTACCCGTACTTACTGGAGAAGGCTCTACTCCTACCCATGCCTTATCTCCATCTCTCCCATCCAGTGGCATTATGTCCTCTGCTGCTCCAAACACACTGCACTATCTGTTTACAGGTTTGCCTTGCCACCAACTAGAAACTGGCCAAGAGAAGGAACTAAGCCATATTCATTCCTTGACCTCCTGTACCCAGCAATATGCCCAACTCACATTTACTGAACTGACCCTAGGAAAGCTATGTCTCTGAAACGTAGTTGCCTCCATTATAAACACACACAGGCAGACATAGTATAGCCTGCAGCCAGTTTTTAGCCACATATTAGCTACTTGAAGCAAAGCTTGCTTTTCTATACTCCCAACACATCAAGGCTAACCCAATTTCCTTCTCTTAACAGTGAGTAAATTAAGGCTCAGACAGGGAGAGTAACCTGTACAAGATCGCACAGGAATGGAAAAGCAATTCAGAGCCAGAATTCAGGTCTCTTCCAATGGTACCTGTTGATGATCATGAAAAGCACGTTGTCAAACTTCCTGATGCCCCAATTCTGCAGAGCAGCTGGGTGGAAGTGGTTCTTACTGGCACAGCCCTTCAGCCAAACCAGATCAGACTTCCAAAGAACAGCTTGTAGGAGTGTCCACAGTCAGTGGCCATTAACACGGCATTTTCACACTTCCTGGTGCCTGGCCTGCACCGGCAGGTCTGCTTCCTTTTGGTCAGTTTCACTGGCAGACACAGTAAGTAATCTGTGTACCCTTTGAAGGCCTTTCCCCTAGGGCCTTGTTAGCCTAGGCTCTTGGAGCCTTGGCTGAGACTGTCCTTTCCATATTCTGCTGACCTGAAGTCATCTGGTGCAAATGGAAACAGAGGAGCTGGCTCTCTGGAAATGAGTCTTACAAAAACAAGTTGCTTTCTTTTCAAACTGTGAATTCCATTAACCAACTGGAATGGCCTTTATGTATTTGGCATCAGATATAGACTTGCCCTCCTTTTGCCCCTTCAGAATTTTGGAGATAATAATGTTCTACCCTTGGGCATTTCCAGAGCCAACCTGGAGGGAACATTTTAGCATGGATTTCCCAGCTGGTTGTTTTCTTTTTTAGAAAGTGCATCTTTTTTTTTTTTTTTTTGCCAGAGTCTTACTCTGTCACCTAGGCTGGAGTGCAGTGGTGTGATCTCGGCTCACTGCAACCTCCGCCTCCTGGGTTCAAGCAATTCTCCTGCCTCACCCTACTGAGTAGCTGGGACTACAGGCGCACACCACCACACCTGGCTGATTTTTTTTGTATTTTAGTAGAGATGGGGTTTCACCGTGTTGCCCAGGCTGGTCTTAAACTCCTGAACTCAGGCAATCTGCCCGTCTTGGCCTCCCAAAGTGCTAGGATTACAGGCGTGAGCCACTGCGCCCAGCCACAAAGTGCATCTTTTTAATTGCTGGTCTGCATTGATATGCTTGAGAATGCACAACTGAGTTACCACCCCTTCTTGCCTCTCTTCTGATTCTAGAGGGAAACTCTGTGATAGCCTCATCTATTGCCAAACAGATCAGAGTATGAGCATTCTCAAAGCTAGAAGGCCCTTCAGCAGCACCTGGGTAAATCTTTAATCTTTATGAATGAGCATGAAAGTCTGAAAAGGGAAGAACTTTGACCAAGCATACCCAATATTAGAATTGGGACTAAACCCAGGTTTTCTGGCTCCTGATGTAGATCTCAGAACTTCAAGGCATTTTCAAGCAACAAACAAGAACAAAAAAGGGCCTCAAACATTGATAATATTGATAAAAAATTTTCTATCAGTTTATCTTTCAAATTCCCTCTTCATTCCCTCTCTTGCTTCCTTTGTTTATTCATTTGTTTACTCTTAATTCTTCATCTGTGTTTCTTTTGCCTCAAATTCTTTTCTACTCCCTTCAATTTGTCCTTCAAACGCAGGTCTGTGAAGTTCAGTGAAGTTTTTTTCATGTCCTGGGACAAATAGTTCCAAACCTAACTGTGTCTAAATTATTGGAGAACTTTTTTGAAGGAAGAAATCCCCGTACTTAATGTGTGAAAATTCACAAACAAGAGGCCTAGAGTAGGTGCAGAAATTTGCATTTTTGAGAAGCACACCAGATTATTTGGGTGCATTAAGTAAAACAAAACAAGTTTTGGTACAACTGTTCTACATTTTTCCTTTGGAGTATGAGGGGTTAGCACATATATCTCTTAAGAATGAGCTTACTATAAGAAGTCTGGTTAATTCATACCTCAAGAGCCCATCTTGTCCAAAGTAAAATCTCTACTTTCATTTATATCTCAAATCCTGTAGGTGTTTTGGGACAGAAAGAAAAAGTCTGAAAAAAGATCTAGAAATAGGTAATGGCTATTCACATTGTCCTAAAATTAGACCTCACATTTTTCTAAAATGGCTCTCTCCAACTGGAGTTTTAGGTTTATAAAGATTGAAATTTAATCTGTTTTTCACCTCTGTATCCTCAGCACCCAGAACTATGACCAGCAGATGACTTGGGACTTAGTTGTTGAATGAATGGGTGAGTGAATGAGTGAGTGAGTTAATGCCTTCCCTGCTGGTCTGTGAGCAACTTGAGTGGAGAGATGAATCTTGTGTAGCCCTAAGACCCCAGAACCCATCATCAGAGCACATGGCACAGATCAGGTGCCAATATGTTTTACATTGAATTACATCCATTCCTCTAAGATCATTAAAATAGCAGCAGGATTTAATTGGAAACATACCACTCAGTAGGAATACATTTCCATTTTCATTTTCTTACTGTTTTTATGCCAGATATAACTTGCTTTCCAAATTGTAGATATAGTGTAAGTGTACTTTCTTTAGCTCAGATTTTAATATATAAACAAAGGCTTCTAGAATGCTAATTTTGTGGCACATCAGAAGTGTCATTAAGAATGATATAACAAATGAAGAGAGAATTAAATACCTGGCTACTACAGGAAAAAAAAAGGACAAGTTGCTTGTGATAGTCTAGAATGGTAAGTTGTAAAAGTTATTTGTCACTTTGGGAGGCTGAGGAAGACAGATCACCTGAGGTCAGGAGTTCAAGACCAGCCTGGCCAACATGGTGAAACCTCTTCTCTACCAAAAATACAAAAATTAGTTGGGCTTGGTGGTGGGCACCTATAATCCCAGCTACTTGGGAGGCTGAGGCAGGAGAATCACTTGAAGCTGGGAGGCGGCAGTTGTGGTGAGCTAAGATCACACCACTGCACTCCAGCCTGGGTGACAAGAGCAAAACTTAGTCTCAAAAAAAATAAAAGTTATTTGTCTTATCACCCAACTAAGAAATAGAAATTTGAAATATTTACATAAAAAGAGAGTGAAAGGAAAGGAGAAAAAACACTTATTGAATCTATTCTGAGTAAGGAGAACACAGAGTGATGCTTTCCAAAGAGTAATGTAAAGTTAGTCATCAGAGAATGACCAGGAATCCTGAGCTTAATGTCTGACCAATTGAAAGTACATTTTATCTCATTGTGGTTTTGATTTGCATTTCTCTGATGGCCAGTGATGGTGAGCATTTTTTCATGTGTTTTTTGGCTGCATAAATATCTTCTTTTGAGAAGTGTCTGTTCATGTCCTTCGCCCACTTTTTGATGGGGTAGTTTGTTTTTTTCTTGTAAATTTGTTTGACTCATTGTAGATTCTGGATATTAGCCCTTTGTCAGATGAGTAGGTTGTGAAAATTTTCTCCCATTTTGTAGGTTGCCTGTTCACTCTGATGTTTCTTTTGCTGTGCAGAAGCTCTTTAGTTTAATTCGATCCCATTTGTCAATTTTGGCTTTTGTTGCCATTGCTTTTGGTGTTTTAGACATGAAGTCCTTGCCCATGCCTATGTCCTGAATGGTAATGCCTAGGTTTTCTTCTAGGGTTTTTATGGTTTAAGGTCTAACGTTTAAGTCTTTAATCCATCTTGAATTAATTTTTGTATAAGGTGTAAGGAAGGGATCCAGTTTCAGCTTTCTACATAGGGCTAGCCAGTTTTCCCAGCACCATTTATTAAATAGGGAATCCTTTCCCCATTGCTTGTTTTTCTCAGGTTTGTCAAAGATCAGATAGTTGTAGATATGCGGCGTTATTTCTGAGGACTCTGTTCTGTTCCATTGATCTATATCTCTGTTTTGGTACCAGTACCATGCTGTTTTGGTTACTGTAGCCTTGTAGTATAGTTTGAAGTCAGGTAGTGTGATGCCTCCAGCTTTGTTCTTTTGGCTTAGGATTGACTTGGTGATGCGGGCTCTTTTTTGGTTCCATGTGAACTTTAAAGTAGTTTTTTCCAATTCTGTGAAGAAAGTCATTGGTAGCTTGATGGGTATGGCACTGAATCTATAAATTACCTTGGGCAGTATGGCCATTTTCACAATATTGATTCTTCCTACCCATGAGCATGGAATGTTCTTCCATTTGCTTGTATCTTCTTTTATTTCTTTGAGCAGTGGTTTGTAGTTCTCCTTGAAGAGGTCCTTCACAGCCCTTGTAGTTGGATTCCTAATTTTATTCTCTTTGAAGCAATTGTGAATGGGAGTTCACTCATGATTTGACTCTCTGTATGTCTGTTATTGGTGTATAAGAATGCTTGTGATTTTTGTACTTGATTTTGTATCCTGAGACTGTGCTGAAGTTGCTTATATAGCATCTTACACCAGTTAGAATGGCAATCATTAAAAAGTAAAAAGTCAGGAAACAACAGGTGCTGGAGAGGATGTGGAGAAATAGGAACACTTTTACACTGTTGGTGGGACTGTAAACTAGTTCAACCATTGTGGAAGTCAGTGTGGCAATTCCTCAGGGATCTAGAACTAGAAATACCATTTGACCCAGCCATCCCATTACTGGGTCTATACCCAAAGGACTATAAATCATGCTGCTATAAAGACACATGCACACATATGTTTATTGCGGCACTATTCACAATAGCAAAGACTTGGAACCAACCCAAATGTCCAACAATGATAGACTGGATTGAGAAAATGTGACACATATACACCATGGAATACTACGCAGCCATAAAAAATGATGAGTTCATGTCCTTTGTAGGGACGTGGATGAAATTGGAAATCATCATTCTCAGTAAACTATCGCAAGGACAAAAAACCAAACACCACATGTTCTCACTCATAGGTGGGAATTGAAAAATGAGAACATATGGACACAGGAAGGGGAACATCACACTCTGGGTACTGTTGTGGGGTGGGGAGAGGGGGGAGGGATAGCATTAGGAGATATACCTAATGCTAAATGACGAGTTAATGGGTGCAGCACACCAGCATGGCACATGTATACATATGTAACTAACCTGCACATTGTGCACATGTACCCTAAAACTTAAAGTATAATAATAATAATAAAAAAAGAAAGTACATTTTAATAGTTATCTCATGTGATTTTCAAAGGTTGAATTTGACCTAAAGAAGGTGGTTTGGTGAAAAAGAAATGCCTTTTTGAGACATAAGGAGACTTCAGTCACACAATTGGCTCCTACAACTGCAAGGGAAGGAGTTAGGTAAATTGAATTATTCGTCTTAATTTTTCATTCCCCTGTAACAACATTAACCATGCACACTCTTGCTTTGGCTTTGTGGTAATAAAATGTATTCCCCACCCTGTGACTTTTGGGGTGGCTGTTGATTTTCCATGTCAGTAGGATGTGAGCAGGCATGATGCAAACAGATGAGAAATGTGCCTGCTCTCTTGGATTTGCTATCTCCCGCTTCTGCCATCACCACGTGCACATAGCCTGGGTGCCCACTCCCCTGTAAACCTGGGCTGCAGAGTAAGACATCAAGAGCAGAGCTGGACCAGACCTACATCTTGAAGCTAAGCCAAGCAGAGCCTTCTAGAGCCCAATGGATGCAAGAAGATGTGCCTGAAACTCTCCAGAAAAGGCCTCTGTCTTAAGAGAAAAGTGATACCTCATTATACATATTCATGCATGTAAGATATCCTAATCTCAAGATAAAATAGGCTTCCATCTTTACTCATTCATTAATTTAGTCATTCATTAATTCAGTCATTCAACAAATAATTACTAAGCACCAACTATGATACTATCTAAACTGGTGGTTCTTAATTCTCTGAAACTATATGTCAAGGTTGATGTATTGGTGCATTTTTCTGTGGAAGGGATTTATGAATTTACCCATTTACTCAAATGAGTCCTTTTACAATTTTATTTTATGTTAAATTAACAGATAATAATTTTATCTGTTTATGGGATACAATGTAATGTTTCTATATGTCTATACATTGTGGGGTAAATATTCAAAAACCTGCGGGTAAAAGACCCTATCAGCCAAGAATATTATACCCAGCAACTTTTTCTTTCAAAAATTAAGAGGTGATAAAGATTTTCTCAGGGAAACAATAGCTGAGAGAGTTCATCAACACTAGGCCTGCCTTACAAGAGATGTTATTGGGAGTTCTAAGATGAAGGAGGACTTCAATTAGTAACATGAAAACATATGAAAGTAAAATCCTCATTGGTAAAAGTACACTATGAAATTTGTAACAAATCTAATGCTGTAATGATGATGGGTAAATCAATTATATCTCTAGTATAAAGATTAAAAGGCAAAATGAGGCCAGGCATGATGGCTTATGCCTGTAATCCCAGCACTTTGGGTGGCCGAGGCGGGTGGATCATGAGGTCAGGAGTTTGAGACCAACCTGGCCAGCATAGTGAAACCCCATCTCTACTAAAAATACAAAAATTAGCCGGATGTGGTGGCAGGTGCCAGTAATCCCAGCTACTCAGGAGGCTGAGTCAGGAGAATGACTTGAAACTGGAAGGCGGAGGTTGCAGTGAGCTGAGATCATGTCACGGCACCCCAGCCTGGGTGAAAGAGCGAAACTCCATCTCAAAAAAAAAAGCAAAACAATTTAAAACAAACTTCCAATAATCTTTTAAATGGGCTTGTAAGCTGCATCCAAATGAGTAAGTAAGAGATCCTGGTAAAAGAGTTCACTTGGGGTTTGATTTATTTGCCATAAAAGGTTAATTTTTAACTAATATTTTATGTTATCTGCTGGCTTATGACTGCAGACTAAAAAACATTTCTGTTCAAATCATTTGACTATTGCTAGAAGGACGGACCAGTAGGGTTGAATTTTAATATTATAATTACTAAATGAATGCACTATTCATTTGTAATGATCACCCATATAATGAGCAATTAACACAGTAACAACATAAACCTTGTACACTAAAATTATGATAACATACTAAATGTTTATAAATACTATCTTAAATTTTAACTATTGCCCTAATAATTTTGTAATTAGGGTTCTAATATCTTTCTGTTAGCACCCTAACAATTTGCGTTTTCATAACACTTTTTCCTGTTAAACTAGTCTAGGCCCCCAATAGTTGCTTTATGGCTATTTTTTTTCTTAAATAACATGATTTTAACATCCTGTACCATTCTGATTTCTCTTTGGTGCATTTCCTAATTTGTCACTGATTCTCTTAAATACATCGATCAAAATTGACAAGACTTCAAGTGCAATAAAATGTTTATCTCCTACTACTGATGAATTGTGTTCCCCACAGAATTTATATGTTGAAGCTCTAACCCCCACTGTTACAGTATTTATAGATTAGGCCTTTGGGAGATAATTAGATTTAGATGAGGTCATAAGAGTGGGGAATAATTTAGTGCTCTTATAAGAAGAGACACCAGAGAACTTGCTCATTCTCTCTCACAATCATATGAAAACACAGTGGGAAGGTGCAAGAAAGGAAAAAAGCCCTCATCATCAACTGACTATGTTGGCATCTCAGACTTCCAGCCTCCAAAACCTTAAGAAAATAAATTTCTGTTGTTTTAGCCACCCAGTTTTTTGTTATGGCAGCCTGAGCAGTCTAAGACACCTCCCTTCGCACTTCCCATGCAGTGTCTGGCATAATGCTTGGCTTCCATGGAGTGATTGATAGACTTGTCCTTAGGATGCCAGCCTTAGGGGACCATTCTTAGTTTGCCCAGAATCGACATAAACTGATGGGCCTAGGAGGCCCCTCAACTGCATGCCAGATTCTCCCACTGTTGGTCTGGATTTCTGGGTTTCCAGTGCCTGCCTACCCATTCCAGCCTTGGGGAGCCAACAGCTTCTTGGGGAAGACATCACATTCATGAATAATATGACAAGCATCTGAGTTGGCAGCAAGGGGTGGCAGAATTTTCTTAGGGTTGAGGCCAAGGCTGACAGATTTCCTGCTTTCATTCAGCTCCTAGAGGCCCAACAAATTCACGTGGCCATGTCTGGTGCTCCGGGACTCACGGTGGGAAGACTTAGAGAAAGCTGGGTAATATTCTCCTCTGCAGCTGCTGGATATCCTCCACAGTTTATTCATTCTTACAACTCCCTCATGAAGGACTGATGAATACCTGCTGACACACAGTAGTGCTGCCCGCAAGAACAGTAGAGCAGCGTAAGTGAGTCTCTTCAATTTCCTCACCCCAAAAATGAGGGCAATGGTAATAAAAATATTGCTCAAGATTTCCAACAGTAAATCTCTCAGGCCATGTAATTAGAGCTACCATCACTAGGCACTGTTCTAAGAACTCTTGACATACTGTTTCTTATGAAGCCTACAGTGCTATCAGCAAGACGGTCATGCTCATTTTACAGGTGAAGAAACTGAGGATAGGAGGATTTATTGACTTGCATGAGTTCACAAAGCTAGTTAGTGTAAAATTTCTTTCCCAGTGCTTGATGCATAGCAAACACTCAATCTGCATGTATGAATCTATAAAAGTACCAGATTTTGGTTTTTAATTCAAGTTGACTACAAAGCCTATGTTTCTAACCATTGCATCGTATTGCTTAACTGTAAACTATAGAGCGCTGTTCATCTGTAATGAGCATTTGGTCATTGGTTCTGATTCCAAAACTGATCACCCTATGAGTCAAATCCCAGCGGACCTTCTGAACTTTATATCCTATCTATTTATATATTTTGTGAGTTACAGATCTGGGGCAGGCTTCTGTGTGGGGCAAAAGTAAAAGAAATATTAGTGCTGACACTATGTTTGAGAATATTATCCCACAGAAGAGGGAGGAGAGTAGGAAAAAATAAAATTCAATGAAAAAGCTTAATAATAGCCTGTCTAGCCTGCTCTTATGCTGCTATAAGGAAATACCCAAGACTGGGTAATTTGTTAAAAAAAAAAAAAGGTTTAATTGACTCATAGTTCAGTGTGGCTGGGGAGGGAGGCCTCAGGAAACTTACAATCATGGCACAAGGCAAAGGGGAAATAAGGCACTTTCTTCACAAGGCAGCAGGAAGAAGTGCTGAGTGAAGGTGGTGAGATCCCCTTATAAAACCATCAGATCTCATGAGAACTCACTCACTATCACAATAACAACATGGGGGAAACTGCCCCCATGATTCAATTACCTCCACCTGGTCTCTCCCTTGAAATGTGGGGATTATGGGAATTACAACTTAAGACGAGATTTGGGTGGGGACTAATCATAAAATTCCGCCCCTGGCACCTCCCAAATAACATGTCCCTTTTACATTTCAAAACCAATCATGCCTTCCCAACAGTCCCCCAAAGTCTTAATTCATTTCAGCATTAACTAAAAACTCCATGTCTAAAGTATCCTCTGAGACAAGTCCCTTCCTCCTATGAGCCTGTAAAATCAAAATCAAGTTAGTTACTTTCTAGATACAATGGGGGTACAGGCATTGGGTAAATACAATAATTCCAAATCGGCCAACATGAAGGTGCTGCAGGCCTCATGCAAGTCTAAAATCCAGCAGGGCAGTCAAATCTTAAAGCTCCAAAATGATCTCCTTTGACTTCATGTCTCACATCCAGGTCACACTGATGCAAAAGGTGGGCTCCCACAGCTTTGCACAGCTCCATCCCGTGGCTTTGCTCGAAGCTGCTGTCACAAGTTGGCATTTAGTGTCTGCAGCTTTTCCAGGTGCACAGTGCAAGCTGTCAGTGGATCTACCCTTCTGGGGTCTGGAGGACTGTTGCCTTCTTCTCACAGCTCCAGCAGGGAGTGCCCTAGTGGGGACTCTGTGTGGGGGCTTCAACCCCACATTTCCCTTCTGCACTGCCCTAGCAGAGGATCTCCATGAGTGCTCCAACCCTGCAGCCAACTTCTGCCTGGATATCTAGGCATTTCCATACATCCTCTGAAATCTAGGTGGAGGCTCCTATACCTCAATTCTTAACCTCTGTGCACCCACAGTCCCAAAACCATGTGTAAGCTGCCAAGACTTGGGGCTTGTACCCTCTGAAACAATGTCCTGAGCTGTATGTTGGCCCCTTTTAGCCAAGGCTGGGACACAGGGCACCAAGTCCTGAGACTGCACAAAGCAACAAGGTGCTGGGTATAGCTGGAGAAACTGTTTTTGCTTCCTAGGCCTCTGGGCCTCTGATGGGAGGGGCTGCCATGAAGACCTCTGACATGCCCTGTGGAAACGTTTTCCCCGTTATCTTGGTGATTAACATTTGTCTTCCCATTATTCAAATTTCTGTAGCCAGCTTGAATTTCTTCCCAGAAAATGGGTTTTTCTTTTTCATCAAGCCATTAGGCTGCCAATTTTTCACTTTTATGTTCTGCTTCCCTTTTAGACGTAAGTTCCAATTTTAAACAATCTCTCTGTGAATGCATAAAACTGAATGCTTTTAAGAGTACCCAGGTCACATGTTGAATGCTTTGCTATAATACTTAAAAAATTTCTTCTGCCAAATATCATAAACATGTCTCTCAAGTTCAAAGTTTCTCAGATTTCTAAGGCAGGGGCAAAATGCCACCAGTGTCTTTGCTAAAAGATAGCAAGAGTCACCTTTGCTCCAGTTCCCATGAACTTCCTCATCTCCATCTGAGACTATCTTAACCTGGACTTTATTGCCCATATCATTATCAGCAGTTAGGTCAAAGTCATTCAAAAAGTCTCTAGGAAGTTCCAAACTTTCCCACATCTTCCTGTCTTCTGAGCACTCAAACTGTTCCAACTTCTGCCCATTACCCAGTTCAAAAGTTGCTTCCACATTCTCAGGTATCTTATAGCAATGCTCTACTACCTCAGTACGAATTTACTGTATTAATCCGTTTTTACATTGCTATAAAAAATACCCAAGACTGGGTAATTTATAAAGGAAAGAGGTTTAATTGACTCACAGTTCAGCATGGCTGGGGAGGCCTCAGGACACTTACAATCATGGCAGAAGGTGAAGAGGAAGCAAGGCACCTTCTTCACAAGGTGGCAGGAAGGAGAAGTGCTGAGCAAAGGTGGGAAGAGCTCCTTATAAAACCATTAGATCTCGTGAGAACTCACTATCATGAGAACAGCTTGGGGGAAACCACTCCCATGATTCAATTACCTCCACCTGCTCTCTCCATTGTCACATGGAGATTAAGAAGATTACAATTCAGGATGACATTTGGGTGGGGACACAAAGACTAATTATAGCCACTTATTTAATGTTTATCTGTGGCAGACATTTTGTTAAATATTTCATAGACAGTATCATTTTATCTTCATATGACCTCATGAAATAGGGACCTTTACTATCTCTCTGTCACAGATGAAGAATATGAGAATATTTATTTAATGATTACTTCATGCAAGTCCTTGATGTTCCCTGACTTGTGAGACAAAATTTAGCAAAGTCATCAGCATGGTAAAGAGGCTGTGTCAGGCCTCAGGGAGCTCTGAGTTCAGATCCCTTCTGCCAGTGAGTCCTGATGAATCAGAAAAAAGGGGTTGTCATCTCATTTCTAAATCTCAGTTACCTCACATGTGAAAATGGGGATATATATTGTACAGTAATATGTGAGATAGCTGACACGGTTTGGCTGTGTTCCCACCCAAATCTCATCTTGAATTATAGCTCCCATAATCGCCACATGTTGTGGGAGGGATCCAGTGGGAGGTAATTTAATCATAAGGGCAGGTTTTTCTTGTGTTGTTCTCATGATAGTGAATATGTCTCATGAAACCTGATGGTTTATAATGCACAGTTCCCTTGCACATGCTCTCTTCCCTGATGCCATGTAAGACATGCCTCTGCTCCTCCTTCATTTTCTGCCATGATTGTGAGGCCTCCCTGGCCATGTGGAACTGTGAGCCCATTAAACCTCTTTTTCTTTATAAATTACCCAGTCTCTAGTATTTCTTTATAGCAGTATGAAAATGTACTAATACAGTAGCTGTAAGGCTTAAATTAGTCAGTAAAGTGCAATTTGTCTGCTTGATAAAGGATAGCTGCTAACATTATTATGTATATATATAATAAAAACAAACCAAAAAAACTAAGCCAATAGATTCCAAGTTCAGGTGTGAGTTTCAGACAGAGAATGTTTTCAGAGTAAGGAGAAGCCACTGACTTCCAGCTTGGAGGTGAGGGAAGAGCTGTGATCATCACCATTCAGAAAATCAAGATCAAGTCATTATAGAGTCTCTATTCTGTTCAGACCCTAGGCTAATTAGGGGGCACACAAAGAAATGAATGAGACCATGTCTCCCTTCCTAAAGTGCACACAATCGGATGATAATATCCACATGAAATCCTGGTATCTTTTTTTTTTTTTTCTGAAAAGTTTGTTTGTTTTAATACAATTGAACATTTCATTTTTCCCCCCACAGTAATCAAAGCAAACATTTTATCATTATTATTCTTGGTATATCAAAGTAAATTCCAGGAATGTAAGAAAGTCTGACTTGGAAATATTACATAGAAAAAGGCTGAATTAACACATTACATTTTTTAGTTTTTCCTTGTAAGTATACATTGACATCTACTTATCTGATAGCAGCACTGCTGGTTTTGAGTGAGTTTTGTTTTGTTTTGTTTCCTTCCAGAGGGAATGCAGTATGCCAGTATTTTCTTTGGAACAAATTAAGAAGATAGTAACAAATAACAGAAGAAATACTTCTACACATATATTTTCCATGGGCAATAAATAGATAAGTATATAATTATGAAAAAATAAGCCTCAACTATGCTTTTTAAAATTTCTCAAGGTTTACTGGATTGTTTTTCTTTTTTTTTGTTTATTTATTTATTTATTATTATTATACTTTAAGTTTTAGGGTACATGTGCACAATGTGCAGGTTAGTTACATATGTATACATGTGCCATGCTGGTGCACTGCACCCACTAACTCATCATCTAGCATTAGGTATATCTCCCAATGCTATCCCTCCCCCCTCCCCCCGCCCCACAACAGTCCCCAGAGTGTGATGTTTCCCTTCCTGTGTCCATGTGTTCTCATTGTTCAATTCCCACTTATGAGTGAGAATATGCGGTGTTTGGTTTTTTGTTCTTGCGATAGTTTACTGAGAATGATGATTTCCAATTTTATCCATGTCCCTACAAAGGACATGAACTCATCATTTTTTATGGCTGCGTAGTATTCCATGGTGTATATGTGCCACATTTTCTCAATCCAGTCTATCATTGTTGGACATTTGGGTTGGTTCCAAGTCTTTGCTATTGTGAATAGTGCCGCAATAAACATACGTGTGCATGTGTCTTTATAGCAGCATGATTTATAGTCCTTTGGGTATAGACCCAGTAATGGGATGGCTGGGTCAAATGGTATTTCTAGTTCTAGATCCCTGAGGAATTGCCACACTGACTTCCACAATGGTTGAACTAGTTTACAGTCCCACCAACAGTGTAAAAGTGTTCCTATTTCTCCACATCCTCTCCAGCACCTGTTGTTTCCTGACTTTTAATGATTGCCATTCTAACTGGTGTGAGATGGTATCTCATTGTGGTTTTGATTTGCATTTCTCTGATGGCCAGTGATGGTGAGCATTTTTTCATGTGTTTCTTGGCTGCATAAATGTCTTCTTTTGAGAAGTGTCTGTTCATGTCCTTCGCCCACTTTTTGATGGGGTTGTTTTTTTCCTGTAAATTTGTTTGTGTTCATTGTAGATTCTGGATATTAGCCCTTTGTCAGATGAGTAGGTTGCCAAAATTTTCTCCCATTTTGTAGGTTGCCTGTTCACTCTGATGGTAGTTTCTTTTGCTGTGCAGAAGCTCTTTAGTTTAATTAGATCCCATTTGTCAATTTTGGCTTCTGTTGCCATTGCTTTTGGTGTTTTAGACATGAAGTCCTTGCCCATGCCTATGTCCTGAATGGTAATGCCTAGGTTTTCTTCTAGGGTTTTTATGGTTTTAGGTCTAACATTTAAGTCTTTAATCCATCTTGAATTAATTTTTATATAAGGTGTAAGGAAGGGATCCAATTTCAGCTTTCTACATAGGGCTAGCCAGTTTTCCCAGCACCATTTATTAAATAGGGAATCCTTTCCCCATTGCTTATTTTTCTCAGGTTTGTCAAAGATCAGAATTCAACAACCCTTCATGCTAAAAACTCTCAATAAATTAGGTATTGATCGGATGTATCTCAAAATAATAAGAGCTATCTATGACACACCCACAGCCAATATCATACTGAATGGGCAAAAACTGGAAGCATTCCCTTTGAATGCTGGCACAAGACAGGGATGCCCTCTCTCACCACTCCTATTCAACATAGTGTTGGAAGTTCTGGCCAGGGGAATTAGGCAGGAGAAGGAAATAAAGGGTATTCAGTTAGGAAAAGACAAGTCAAATTGTCCCTCTTTGCAGATGACATGATTGTATATCTAGAAAACCTCATTGTCTCAGCCCAAAATCTCCTTAAGCTGATAAGCAAATTCAGCAAAGTCTCAGGATCCAAAATCAATGTACAAAAATCACAAGCATTCTTATACACCAACAACGACAAACAGAGAGCCAAATCATGAGTGAACTCCCACTCACAATTGCTTCAAAGAGAATAAAATACCTAGGAATCCAATTTACAAGGGATGTGAAGGACCTCTTCAAGGAGAACTACAAACCACTGCTCAAGGAAATAAAAGAGGATACAAACAAATGGAAGAACATTCCATGCTCATGGGTAGGAAGAATCAATATTGTGAAAATGGCCATACTGCCCAAGGTAATTTACAGATTCAATGCCATCCCTATCAAGCTACCAATGACTTTCTTCACAGAATTGGAAAAAACTACTTTAAAGTTCATATGGAACCAAAAAAGAGCATGCATCACCAAGTCAATCCTAAGCCAAAAGAACAAAGCTGGAGGCATCACACTACCTGACTTCAAACTATACTACAAGGCTACAGTAACCAAAACAGCATGGTACTGGTACCAAAAGAGATATAGATCAATGGAACAGAACAGAGTCCTCAGAAATAACGCCACATATCTACAACTATCTGATCTTTGTTTTTCTTATTAAAATATAATGCACTATCACTACTATCTGTCCTGGGAAAAACAAACCCTGAGGTTTGAGTTTCCTCCTTCAGCCAATAGAGTGATATCAAGAGTAAACTTGGATTGAGGTCAACCTGTTTGAGCCAATAGAGAGTTCTGTAGTATATCTGGTTATTTTACTAATGTATACATATTCTATGTTACAATCAAGATACTCATTAAGTATTTTCTATCAGAGTTGTATATCCCAAACAGGTTCTTAGATGGAAATCCTGGTTTCTTAAGTTTTGATCGACTGCTGGTTTGGAGGGCACAGTAATGTTGCCTCATATATGTTCAGCATCTTTACAGTTTCTACAGTTCTGTCACATGCGTGATTTTGCTCACATGGCTCCCTTTCCAACCTTGTGAGATTCTCTCTCTTCCTTGTGATATCAAGCCACTTAGCAACCATCCAATTCACATAAGTGGGAATTGGCAGAGTTAGGGCCCAAACTCTCATCTGCCTAACCCCAGGTCCAGTGCTCTGTCAGCTCCTAGAATGCAGTGGTGGAAAGAACTGCCTGGGTAGATACAGGAGGGATTTTCAGGAAATGTTCCTTAGAAGAGGGAACAGTGCACCCCAATGTCTCCCACCTGCCACAAATGTGTCCTGGTAGGTGGTGTTGCTGGCTAGTTCTCCATTTCAGTAGCTAGTGAAAATCATTGACCCAAAGAAAAAGTGTTTTTTACTACATTCTATTGCAGATGAAAAGCAAGCATTTTCAAATAAATAATCTTTTTTTAAATGGACTCCAAATAAGGGATATCCTGCCCTGAAACACTGAGACACATCTTAATGGAAATAACATGGGCTTCAGAATCAGAGACATGTTTTTTCTAACATGAGTTCTGACACTTAACAGCTGTGTGACTTTGGACAAACCACTAGGCTACTGAGAACCTCTGTCTTTTCATCTGTAAAATGGGGAAAATAATAACTAGCTGTAGAATTGTGGAGATGATTAACTGTTATAGTGTGTTCAAAGTGTCTAGATCATAGTGAACCCCAAAACATAATAAAATATTACATTTTACATTACTTTTACATTAGTAATTGAATGAACTGCAGTTATAAAAAAGAGTTACTTTCTAGATCCAGTGACTTTGGAAAGTCTTATGATTATGATGCCAGAGGCTTTCAGGCAGTTAGCTTGATTCACAGCTTCAAAAAGTCAGCTGTGTTTGGTGTTAGGAGGGGAGAGTGAACTCATTTCCAGGTCAGGCAAACAAGTATGTAAGAGAGAAGCTAGAGCACTATTCTCAGATCCCCAGATTAGATAAGAATAGTAGAGTAATTGCAAGAAATTCCTGGGGCAACAGGAGATCATTTTAGATGTATGACATTTGTCACAGATGTTTGGGCTTTGTGTATCTAATGAATAGTTGGCCATTTATTTTGCTTCCATATTGGTTTGGTGAGACTGAAAAGGTTATGCTACCCACAATGACTCCAAACAGGCTGTATCGTTTATATTATCATATATACTCTTTAGATAGTAGATTTCAGACATGATCTCACTGCTGAGCAAAGCTCTGGATTATATGAGCAAAGCTCATATAATCTGAAATTGTCTAGCTGGAAAGCCACCCCAGAAGTTGAAATTTAGGGGGAGGTATACATGGAGAAAGGTAATTTCAACAGAATCCTGATCGTATTGAGTTAGGAAAAGTACAAAATGCTGTGGGAGCTGATAGGAGTGTCACTGAATTCAATATTGGTGATAAGGGCATTATACATTTACCTAGAGGAAGTGATGTTTCAGATGATGATGAAACTGTATTAAAATTATAACGAAGTGGAAGGAGATAGAGACATGTCCTTGAATAAAGGAAATGCATGTGCAGAAGCATGGCAATAAAAGCGTGATACATTCAAGGAACTGAACAGAAATCAGTCATGTCTAGAATGTACAGTGGTTGGTGGGAAAATGGCAAGAGATGAGGATAGAGAGGGAAAAAGTTAACATTCCTTAAAGGGTCGATAAACTGTGCAAAGGGATTGGACTTTATCCTTGGGGTGAAGTGTTAAGCAGAGGCATGCCAAGATCAATCTTATGATAAGTCATATAGAAGGTGGGTTGAAGGTGAGATGTGATGATGATGGAGAAGAAGTAGGAGAAAAGAGAAGAAGAAGGAGAACAATCACCTTCAACAATGTCATCACCGAAGAGAAATATGTGGCCAAGAATTCAAAAAATCCCTTTTTTATCCTCAGACAGCTCTATTCATGCAAGGATTGGGGTTAACTCATGAAAGGAGTTTGATAAATGAACACCAGGTGGTACATTTGATTTCATAGATCTCTTCGAGATGGCCAGCCTAGCACTCTCAGAAAGTGGCACTGGAAGTGTGGCTGATATAAAATAATAAATATAAAGTAAATTCACACATTATTCTTGAAAACCAAAGAATAAATTGTGGTTTTATGTTTAGCAAGAAAGTTTTCAAATGCAAGATGCATACGTTTAAACAAAGCTGATATTCTATCCTCCATCTAATAGACCTCATCTCAGGCACTGAGGGGTAGGGCAGTAGGAAAGTTGAAGATTATTTTGTAAAATCTATTTATTGAACTGATTGCAAAATCAGCTCAGAGAAGAAAAGATGTGCTCATAGTCATAAAGCAAATTAATGAAAAATTAGTAGTAGTATTGTTTTCTCAATTGCAGTCTTTTGTGTGTGTTTGATTTTAACTGTATTCATGACTTTATCACTTACAAAAGTGAGAATGAGGTAAATTTTTACAATAACTTATTCCCTGAGATAAGATATATTCACCAGGATGTAAAAATGGTAAACGGTAGTAGCTAGTTTGTATGTGGGGTTGGGAGAAGGGAGGAAATGTTGGTGGGGGTGGGGGAATTTTAGTTTTATATATGTGTGGAAATGATGGTAATAAATAAAGCTAAGTAGATTTTATTATTACAGGATGTTTAAGAGCTTGTAATAAGCTAATTTGCCTTTGGAAATTCTAAGAGGAATATTTCTATCATTCTAAAGTGTTCAATATGACATTAGCTTGACATGTTTTTTTTCTGTAAACTACGCTCTTATATCAACTTTTTCGGCATCTTCAGAATTGACATTATAATTATATATCATATGAAAGACTCTTAGACTTTTATCTGCATTTCCTATTATGTACTTCATTTAAGTATGTATCACTAGAAGTTAATCAGCTTCTCTTGAAATTCATCTGGAAGCTTTTGACAGATAAAATAATTCAAAGTCTAAATAAATCAGACTTCTCCCAGCTTTGAACATTTTATGATTTACTTCAAGAGATTTGGCAGTGTCTGCCACCTTAAATTGAAAGACTTGTCTTGAGACTGTCAATCTTCAACTTCATAAAAATATTTCATTTTAATGCAACATTGGAGTATAATGTTTTATAAGCAACAATTGAGGATCTAAGTTAAATTCAGAAACATGAGGTGCAATAAATGCAAATAAGTCAACTGAGGAGATCATTAGATGATAGGTCATTATCCATAAATAGCTAAGTTTGTTCAATCAAGGTCTAGTGGCTAAAAAAAAAGCATTTGACATTATGTAATAGGCAAACCAGTTTCAGATTCATTAAAATGGGGGTGGGCAGATATATGTTAGAATTAAGCAACTGGCTATTATGCAGCTGACTGGTGTTTTACAGACCACATTTTAGGAAACATTTTTTCTCTATTGCAAGGAACAAAGTGCCCTAGAATCTTGCCAACCTCTTACCACAGGGTAAACTATTCAAACTTGAGATTCACACCTACTCATATAAGTTTTCAGGTCATTTCTCAGAGGCATTTTTCCTCCAAGCATAATCCCATTTTTCCCTAAGGACTCAAGAAGCTATCTCAAATTTTAAATCTATGAAAAGTTGTTGACATTTTAAGATATCTAATACTTAAAAATCTATGGTCTAAAAAGTGTAGAAGTGAGAATATATGTTCCAATATTAAAAGTAATATACAAATCTATCTTTTCCCTTAGAATTTTACTTTTTCATTGTGAAAATCTTTTTACCCATTTAATTCACAAATTTAGTGTTTTTTTGCCAAGTTAACACTTCTGAATGATTTTTTAAAAACTGTCAAAAGAGGAAAAACTAAAACATATGATCTTAATTAAGTTTAAATGAACGTTTTACCAATTCAAAATTATAGTTTAAAAAGTTAGTACTTTATTTTAGAGAAAGTGAAAGTTTATAAGTCTGTTTTTGCTTTAAGTCAAAACACACCTGCCCCTATCTCAGAATCATTTATATCCCTAAGTAAGAGTCCTTTGTCTGATAATGGTCTCAGGACATGCATTGTGAGGGTGATATGGTTTGGCTCTGTGTCCCTACCCAAATCTCACCTTGAATTGTAATCCCATGATCCCCATATGCCAAGGGTGGGACTAGGTGGAGGTAATTGAATCATGGGAGCAGGCTCCCCCATGCTGTTGTCGTGATAGTGAGTGAGTTCTCGGGAGATCTGATGGTTTTATAAGTGTCTGGTATTTCCCCTGCTTGCACTCATTATCTCTCCTGTTGGCCTGTGAAGAGGTCCCTTTTACCATGATTGTAAATTTCCTAAGGCCTCCCTAGCCATGCTAAACTGTGAGTCAATTAAGCCTCTTTTCTTTATAAATTACCCAGTCTTAGGTATTTATTCATAGCAGTATGGTAATGGGCTAATACAGAGGGGTGTGGATATCACCTCCATTTTAAGTAAACTACTTAGAATTGTGTCTTGAACACTATTAAGTTTCCTATAAAAATCTGAAATGGCTTCCCTAAACACCTGTAATGTGTTTAATGGTGGCCCCCCAAAAGATATGTCCACATCCTAACCCCCAAACCTGTGATTATCACCTTATTTGTGAAATTTGCAGGTGTAACTAAGGATCTTGAGATGAGATCATTCTAAATTACCCTAGGAGCTCCTACCTCCAATGATAGGCGTAGTATAAGAGGCAGAAGAGGAAGAAACTTATAGCCACCAGTCAAGGGATGCCTAGAGCCACCAGAAGCTAAACAAGGCAAGGGAAGTGTTCCCCTTGGACTTTTCAGGAGGAGTGTGGCACTGTTGACATCTTCATGTCAGACTTCTGGTCTACAGAACTGTGAGGGAATATTTTATTATTTTAAGCCACTACATTTGTGGTAATATGTTATGACAACCACAGGTATCTAATATACAACTCAAACACTCAATGTCTTTCCTTTTCTGAAGTCATTAGATACCAAGAGCGTAGATTTGAGAGCCAACTCCACAAATGTGGAGACATCTATTTCAACTATCAGTGAAGTTATCAACATATGGCAGTGGAGTGTTCTTTATTCCTTCTGAGATTGTTGGGATGACTTGAAGATTTTTTTTTTAATAAAGCACATTGTGAACTATACGCACTATATATGAGGCAATTGTTGAAGTCTTTCTGTGACATTAAAGTTAGTAATTCCTCATGTTTTACTTTATTGCCAATAAAAATTTAATGAGGTGAAAATGCCTGATAGCTTCCACTCTCTTCACTGTCTCAATTTGTTCATCTTTAAAATGGGAATTACATGATAATCCTGGTCTCATGGCGTTCTTGAGAGGATTAATTGAGTTAATGAGTGTAAAGAATTCAGAAGAGTGACACATACTAAAGGCTCTCTAAATATGAATTGTTATCATTATTAATATTATCATTATTATATATGTTAGTATCCTACTTACCGATGTGCTAATCACAAAGTAGACACTCAACATTTGTGACCTGAGTAAATACCTAATCTAAGTTTGATTTAGCTTGATGTTTCCTAGCAGAAAATCTATATATCTGTTATGTATGGATACATTTTTATGGTCTTTCTTCAAACTACTAAGCATGATGGTGTCATGGTGTGGTAAAGGCATCTTGGACTTCAGAGCTAGATAGACCTGAGTTCAAATCCTTGCTCAATCCTTCTTTGTAACCAGAGTCAGGTTACTCGTGATAGATATATCTTAGGCTGTCTGCTCAAAGTTTCTTCTCTTTTCCACCCACATTGTAAAAGCCCCAGCATCCGTGGCCTTGTCAGAGGTTACTGATGACTGAATCAAGATTGAGGATTGGATGCAAGCTTAGCTATGAAAGTATCTTTACGGGGATTTACGAAGTGAGCTGAGAGAAAGAGAGAGATATTCTTTTCTAGGAATTGAAAACCCAAGCGTTAGTCTGGAGTGTTAAAGCAAACTAAATATGGTGTGAGAAGGACTCCATACTTCTATATTGGAGTCCTGTGGACGAACTGCAACGTAGCTTAATAGGTAGACAAGATTGAAAGCCTGACTTAGGAGTATGTGCCTGTAACAATAGCTGAGTTTTGGTCAATCCCAGCAGCCGTATTTCAACCACGCATACACTGCTGAGTGTTCAAACTGTGTTCAAATAAAGTGAATGACGAGCTGTAACCAATCCAGCTGTTCTGTACCTCACTTCCAATTTCTGTTATGTAATTTCCTTTTTGTTTTGTCTATAAATTTTCTTCAACCACGTGGCTGGGCTGGAGTCTCTGTGAATCTGCTGTGGTTCTGGTGGCTGCCCAATTCGCAAATCATTTATTGCTCCGTTAAACTCCTTTAAATTTAATTCGGCTGAAGTTTTTCTTTTATCAGGAGAAAGAGAGGTGAGAGAGGACACAAAGGAGTAAAAATGAGATAAAATAGGCTATGTGAAACAGAAAGGAACAAAGACAGAACTTCTTGGACATCTAGAAGGTTAGGCTGTATCTTTTGCCTTAGATTCCGTGAGACACATCTGTAGGCTTATAACAAATTTCACTTTTTTTTTTTTTTTTTTAAGCCAGTGGCGCTTTGTTCTTGTTGTTAATGCCATTACCTGTAGCTAAAGGAGTCCTAAATAATATACTGTTTATTCTATCTGAGGTTTTTTTCTTCCTTTTAAAAATGAGTACATGAATATTCAGATCATGGTCTTGATAATTAGAGACGATGTCTACAAAGTGTGCAGCTCCAACTCTGAAGCAATAAAATGTCCTAACTTATTGAGATCATCCTTCTGCTCCTCTGTTTGCTTCTCCTTCATCATCCTCATTATAATTGCCATGATCCCTTTCCTTTCATGTAAAAAAACAAAACCAAACAAAACACAGATGACTGAGTTTGTATTTGAATCATTAGAAGGGACATAAAATATTTTGAATAAATATGTAGATACAATTTTGTCAACTTTCCAAGGCTTAATAAAGCCATGTATTTCATTAACTATGTTTTTTTTTAAGTGCTTCAACTAGGATTAGAAGATATCAAAGCATTTAGCCAACCATATTTTGTCTACATTCGTCCAAATGAGCAGATGTTCCCAAGTCTTTTTAGAGATTGTTTTGATATGTGCACCCACCCTTGGCTACTAGATGGATGGTTCTAATTAGTTTAGTCAATTGAGTCAAATAATCAGTCATTCAATCAAGCAATCAGTTGACCTGCTTCTACCCTTCTCCCCTCACCAAAGTGGCTTATTTGATTATGCTGTTGTTCAGTTTTACATTTAATCCTCATGCGTGTCCCCTTAAGTAGAAGAGTCAGCCATTACAAGGCATAACATGATTTTTTCAAAACTAAATGGGATAGACTTTGGGTTTTCTGATTTCCAGAGAAACTACTTTTCCTCCACAGATCACACACACACACACACACGCGCACACACACACACATAAACACACACACACACACACACACACCCCACATACACACAGGGGAAAGAAGCAACTACCTTTGCCCTGAAGTACAAGCCATTTTTACTTTACAGGTGGGGAAACTAAAGTTCAGAGAGATGTGACTTTGCCGATGTCACAGGGCAATGGGTGTTCCAAGGGACTGAACCAAAACTCACAAAATCTAGATCCCCTATTCAGTAAGACGCAGTACCTAAGTAACATAAGACACAGTACCTAAGGGACAGAAGCCTGATCTGGGGCTCCAAAGAGCATAGTTTTGCAGACAAGACCAAACCATGGAAATAGATAGCTTCTGGCAAAAGAAGGTCTAGAAAACTCAGTGTAGATAAGGTGGAAGGGGTTGCTGCAATGGCCCAAGCATAAAGTGGGAAGAGTGTAGAGAGGAAAAGCAGATCTGAACAAGATTGGCTTCCCCCTTGCAGGCTGCATTTGCCTTCATTGAAAAACAAAACAAAAAATTAATTCAAGAAGCATTATCTATAGAAAGTGAACTGGATGGGCCGTTTGCCTAGAGCTAAATATGCTGACTCTATTTTTGTTCATTTCCAGCTACTTTGTATTTAATTAATGTTTCTGTAATGGCTTGTTTGAGGCAGTAAACCTCTTTAGTAATAAACTACATCTTTTTTGTTATATCTTTGGGTTCATCAAAGAGCACAAGAAATAGTTTTAAAATGCTGAATGATTTTTTAGATATGACATTCCCCCAGCCTCGCAATTCCTTTTTCTTGCTATTAACGCTAAAAGACTCAATTTAAAGGTCATTTTCTCCAGGAAGCTTTTCCCATTTTCACCTTTTTCCATTAAAATCAGTGTCCCCACTCCCTGAAAATGTTGCATGTATGTCTATTGATGCAAGCATGTTATTCTGCTTTATTTCTGTGTTAAATTACTGAAGACAGATTGCCTTCCTAGCTGTAGGGTCCCAGAAATTTGTAACCATTTTACCTCAATACTTAGGCCTAGGATAGTTATTTTCACTTTTGATAGGAGAAAAATTTGATAAATAAATAAGAAATAATATGAATATGGCTCTCACACATGTTGAGTAACTCCTAGGCAAAAGCTGTAAAGTTTGATTTTGGTATTTCTCCTTAAATATTTAGTATTTGTGGCTTTCTCTTCCCTAACATCCAAGAAGTTTCATGGGATTATCATAAACTAAACCATACTAAGATATAGAGTACTAAAAATATCATAGGGGAGTTTCTTCTTAGCTTGGAAAAGGCATAAAGTTGAAGGATTCTGAGCTCATTGAATTGACAGAGATGACTTTAGTTGGGGAGATGGATCAAGAAATGGGTGCTTCTTAAATTGGTCTAAATTGATAGTTTTAAAACATGTTTTATCCTTTTGGAGATCTAGGTGTGGCTAATTGTGATTGGAAATAGGGTCACTGGAATCCTGAGTTTGGATTAGTTTTAGCTCTGTCAATCCTGTGGCCTGGATTACACAAAATAAGTCTCAGCTTCCAAGATTTTCTATTCATTACTTCTAGAATATCAGCTGAAAAAAAATTAAAAATTACCTTTGGAATCCAGGGCTAGAATTGGATATGAACCAGGAATAGTAAAATCAAACAACTGAGTAGTTGAGTATTAGTCATTTTGTGTATTCAAACCTGGGGCAAGGTAGGCCAAATATATGGAAGCTGGTCATTATATGGAAGGAAAGAAGAAGGGAAAGGAAAAGGGATGAAGAAAAAGAGAAAAGAAAAAAGCAAGAAAAGTAAAAAGGAAAGAGCAAATAGTTGAGAGCTAACCTGGGCACATTAAATACCATGTCATTAACTGTTGGAAAAATAGACGTATCCCACAAAACCCAAGTGCATAGTAACCGACATAAATATTTTCTGCAAAGATCTACTCCATCCTGGGTTTACGTCTGTTTATAATTGATGACAGCAACTCTTGGCTCGAGAGGACAATCTTTATTCACATCACTCCGCTAGGCTAGTTTTAATCGCCCAAATATAATTCAATCTTTAGAGTTTGTAGTTCTTAACTAGGTAATGTCAACATGGGAATTGGCCAATGGAACATGAATGGGAAGACAGCTACCTTTGTTCAAATTTTCTCTTAAGGTGGATTAAAACCAGAACCTTCTACATATTGTTTCTCACTTTTTCTTTACATCATTGTTTTCTATAGTATAAGATTATACAAAGATCTAATATACTGGCCAACTATTTATTTTTATCTTTCACTCTTACAGTAATCAGAAAATATTTAATGTTAATTGGATATTACCCTCTGTTAGTACTTTGATTTATGTATAAGCCCTTGGAATTTATTAGTCACTCACATTTTAATGTTATCCTCACATTAATACAATCAAGGCATTTCTCTATACTCTCACACTTTCTATATTATGTTTTATAGATAAAAAAATATGAAGGTCACAAACCGGTAAATAACAGAGATGAGATTTGTGTGCAAATCTGTTGGGTTCCAAAATGTGTTCTCTTTCTTGTCCTGCCATCATAAATATTTTGATCCTAAATGTTACACAGTCTCGTGATGAAAAGCTGCACCAAGTATTGTCTGAAAGACTTTATTTAGCACTTGTATATAGACATATTTGGTAATAAAAACTTTGCCACCAGAAAGGCTTTCATCAAAGTTATTAGCAAGTAGCATTTAGCGTACTTTACCATTTCCAGAAAATTTGACAAATACTTTCTCATTTAATCTTTCCAGCAATGAGTTAAGTGAACCAGTTAGGACAGCTGAAGCTGTGATGCAGTGGTAAATATACTCCTAAATCTCTGTGGCTATAAGCAACACAAGTTTATTACTCTCTAGTGCCATGTCTAATGGGAGGGAGGTAACTCTTCAAGACAGCTTTTCATGTGGCAATGCAGGGATACAGAGTGCTTCTGTTTTGTGGCTCTGCCATCTCAACAAATGGTTTTCTTGATTGTTGTGTCAGGGGAAGAGAAAGTATAGAGAACTAACTCTTGCTTCTCAAGTTCTGTTATTAAAAGTGACACTTATTACAGCCCATTGGCCAGAAATAGTCACATGACCTCAGCCTAGCTGTGAGGAAATCTGGAAAGTCTTCTCACAATCTTAGGAAGGAGAAGACTAGCTGTGGTCAGTGTTAGTAATTTCTACCACAGAAAGTTTGTACTCTTTTCTCCATTTTGTATAAAACTCTTCCCTTATGCTTCCAGGAAACATCTGGATTGCTCTGTAATGGGAAGAATCCCATGTTATTTATGACCAATCAAAAGTAACTCAATATGCCATAGTTATTCAATCTTCCCCATAGTTCATCTTTATTTCCTTTGTTTCCTTTAGAAATCAAGCTGAATTGAACATTCAGAAATCACACTTTCTTTGTATTTTCTCTTTATTCTTCTTATCTTTTCTTATCTGGAATCTCAAAAAATTTTATCACTACAATTTGTTTTCAGTCTGTCTAGTCAACTGTAGTCTGGATTCTCACTTCTTTAGACTGCTTCACCAACAAAATAAATTAAACTTTATAATGCTGTATTAATAACCTCTCATAGTAGAACACTGATATTTTATTAACTTAAAAAATTTCCACAACTAGAGAGAAGATGTGGAGGAATAAATGGTGCTAAGAGAGGACAAACCCTATCTTTTCACGTACAGAAATAAAACTAAGGTTCAGTGATTTTAATGAAGTTGCCCAAGGTCACAGAGCTATTTATTGTGGCTGGTGTGGTGATGGCTGTGTTTATGAGGACAGAGACAAAAGGGTGATGAGGATAATGATATTTGGACTAAGTCCTTTTCAGCAGTCCTGAGGTTGTTTCCTGCTATGGGAGAAGAAATATAGTTCATCTTTGTACTCCTCAAAAACATTGTTGATGAAAAAAAGTAAAGAAGAGTTTGCATCACTCTGCAAAGATTTTCTTTTCTTGAAGTTCCTGCCATCCATATATACTAATCTTTATATGGCAAGGCAGTATCACTTATCCATTTATTTTATTCAACACATATTTATTGAGCAATTACTATATGCAACGTTTTAAGCACTAAGAATACAGGGTCTACTGAAATGACCATCCTTTCATACTTCCACCAGAAATGCTCTCTGTAGCATTCATAAAATCTCCAGTTCAGCTTTTCCTACCCAAGCGTATCTTAGTTTACTTATGAAGCAGCGTGGCTGCTGGCTGACACATATCACTCAGTGCTCCCCTCCCCTTATCATGTATGGTAGGACACTGCTATTTGCCTCCCTCCAAAAGAATCTAGGGATTTCCCAAATTAACACAAGAGTAAGCACAATTAGACTTATTTAAACTCAGGAGAAACATGTTTTGCTCATGAAGTAGTGGAAAACCTGACATCATGTTTAAACTTAATCCAACTGCAATCAGATGTCTAAAGTTCAGAACTGAAATGTCAGACAGGAAAAAAGTGTTACCCTCATGGCTACTGTGCTCTAAGCCGAAGATGATTCAAGAAAAAGACTGTGTGTATGTGTGTGTGTGTGTGTGTGTGCGCTTGTGTGTGTGTGTTTCCTCAGACCATTAGACAATTACTAGCACTAGGAACTGGGGAATTACAATATGATTGAACAATTAGGAAATGTGGACTAAATCTGAGATTTGGGATCTCTTTGGGTGGTTTTGAGATTTTCTTGAAACATGTACAGAAGTAAAAGCAAATTGCAGACACAAACTGTCTCTTTTTTTTCTGATAGATACCTTTGCATAATTTTTTTTTGGCTCTCTGATTTTTACTCTTCTATGGTTAAAATATTTACAAGCAGACTGGAAAGCTTTTCTGGAAAAAGGAGATTTAGATTTCAAAATATAAAATTTGCTAGTCAGTAAAGTTGAAGAATTTTTTTTCTTATGCATGGAGTTTATCTTCTGGTAAATAGTATATATTTATATCATTATTTCCCACTAGCAAAGAAGCGATGTATAGAATAAAGGCATTTGGGAAATTATTTTGTCTTTAAATATGTCTTTTGCTTACAAGTTATTTTTCTTATTGAGCCAATTTCTCTTTCCTCCTCTTCATAGACACCTTCCTATGCTTCTTCACTAAATTTGGAAAATCCTTACCAAGCATCTTCTACATGGCAATCACTGCTAGGCCCTAAGGATCTCACAATTTAAACAAAGATCAGGTTATGAAGCTACGGGACAAGTGCTGTGAAGTTTGATGTGGGGACCATAATGAGTGGAGAGAGGAGCCGTCTAATTCTGCCTAGAAATTTGCAAGATTATTTCACAAAACAAGTGCAATTTATGTTGTGTTTTGCAGGAGCAGTAGGGCAGTTTGGCCAACAAAGCATGAGAGCAAGGACACTGCAGCAACTGGAATTCCTAGGTCATAGATGCAGATGACAGCAATACGGCTGGAATACAGGGCAGGTGGAGTGAGCTTTGGTGGGAAGTGAGGCCATAGGAAGAATAGTCATGAAGAGCATGGCAGGCCATATGAAGATGGTTTTCTTGTGGCTCTGAGTGTGTCTTTTGGCCTGTCTGCCAACCTATAAAATTAACGCAACACAAAATGGGTACATATGTAGCCAGGAGAAATTAAAGTGATATGTCCAAGTGGTTCTCAAAGATACAGTACTTGAGCATGACTAGCTTTGTGGCTTCCCAGGGATTTTCCAACAGTTCATTAAATAAAGTGATTTAGGTCGGGCGCGATGGCTCACGCCTGTAATCCCAGCACTTTGGGAGGCCAAGGCGGGCAGATAACCTGAGGTGAGGAGTTTGAGACCAGCCTGACCAACGTGGAGAAACCCTGTCTCTACTAAAAATACAAAATTAGCCGGGCATGGTGGCGTATGCCTGTAATCCCAGCTACTCGGGGGGCTGATGCAGGAGAATCGCTTGGTGGAGGTTGCAGTGAGCCGAGATCACGCCATTGCACTCCAGCCTGGGCAACAAGAGCAAGAGCAAAACTCCATCTCAAAAACAAACAAACAAACAAAAACAAAAAAACAAAAAACAAAAAAAATCACACACAAAAAGATTTACTGAGATCTATTGAGTACTTTCTACAGAACCAGCAGAGAATCCAAGACTGTGGAAAAGAACCAGGAAATATCTAGTATGTTTTATTTAAGATAATGAAAGGAGAGAATGGGATGGCTCAATTGCTTCAATTACTGACTACCATTAGTTGAGTTTCTACAATATGCAAGTCATTGTGTTTGAAGCAAGAAAGAACCACATTTATATCTACTACATCATTTACCAAAAGGAACCACTTGTCTTGAAGAGGCACATAGTGTACTACCTAAATAATGTACACAAACAAATGTGATAAAAGGAAAATTATATACAAAATGTCTCCGACAGAGTTTCCGTTAGGGTAATTTGTATAGAAAGAGACTGGATATTACTGAGTATCCTCTATAATCCTCTGTAAAACCAGAAGTTAGCAAATACAATCTCATCATCTTCACAACAATTCCCCAAAATAGACATCCTTATCTTCATTTTACAACCAAGGAAATAGCTGAAAGAGGTTAAGGTAACCTGCCTAAATATAAACCACTGCTATAAGTAAGGACTTGAACTTAGGTGTTTCTAGTTACATAGTTATGTTTTTCTGCATGTTATATGGGCTAAGTGAAATTTAGAATAGCTTGAAGAAAGGAGTGACATTCAAGAAAATCTGATTCTGACATTCTCATAAAGACACAGCCTTATGTATCTTAGCTCTTCTATTAAAAGCTGGCAAATATGTCTCATTGTTCAAAGTGGTCAAACTTAGATAAAAACAAAGCAATGGAAACTTTCAGACTTAGCAAGTTCAGATGGTCTCCCGTGCAGACACAGGAGTTCCATGGCATGTAATGTGTATGTATCCTTCTAACTTGCTTAAAATCATCTGGCGCCAGTTATGTGGCTGGAACCAGTTTGCAATAACTCCTGTTTGTTTTTCAAACATTTATAATAACATTGAATAAATAATATTAGCCCATGCACATTGTTCATTGCCAGGGAATACATTAACAGAACCCTCAGTTCTCTAAGTACAATTTTGGTTGAGAAGACTTATCGGCTCTGGTATTAAAGATGTTAAGAAGTGAAAGTTTGCATGTGATGAGATGGAGTGTAAATGACTTTGGTTTGAAGCCCCGTCACTTGAAATGTGGACAGGGCCATGAAAGGCTTCAGTGAAAAAGTAAACTTGAGATTGTAAATAATGCCTGATCTGACATTTCCTTTGTGGGGATGCCAGTAATGGGGTCCAGCTGCCAAATGCAACGCTCCATTGAGTCATGGGAGAAAACAACTTTTTTTTTTTTTCAAACTGATATTGTGAGTTAAAATGCACAGCTACATGCCATTTGTTTTTCTACTTTACAACAATTCAAACCAGACTATTTTCTACTGCAGCCACAGAAAAACAATCCTCGTGGCCAGCCCCCATCCTTCCTCCCTCCTGACAGATATCTTTTGTTCTCAAAATACAGGTTGGAAATGGGAGCTGTTTACTGAGTTTTTTTTTTTTTTTACTGAGGTTGCATGATGAAAAGCTTTCATAACTGATCCTGAGGTGCTAGAGTGTTTTAATCAGTGTGTAGGATTTTAATTAATCCCAGGGCTGTCCCCTTTCTCAGAAGCTAAAGGTGCAAGTTTATATTCCTCTAGGTTATGTTTGAGTGAGGCTGAAAGACCCCTTTAGAAGACAGAACAGAGAATGCAAAGAGATTCATGCTGGAGATAGAGACCTGAATTCTATCTTGTGTCTGTTTTTTCTGGGATTGTTGCCCCGTCTGCATGATAAGGAGACTTGAAGAATGACTTTGCAACCACTGGGCCAAGACTCAGGATAATGTGAATATACACAGAGATGTTTTGATTTTAAGTTTATCCATAAGTGCTTTGTAATCACTGAAGTCAAAGGCTAATGTCATAGTCTGTAAATTCTACTCACATTTTTAGAATTCTTAAAGTCAAAACTGGACAGCCATAGTTAAATTGGTTTATTCGGTTTATTCTCCTGTGTCCTCGTTTGTAGAATAAAAGGGTGGGCCAGGGTAGAGACTCTATGGCTTCTGGAACAAAGTTCAATTTCCTGGATTCACAGTCAAGTTTCTTCAGGATCTGACCACTTGACATCCCTCCAGATCTCAGATCTGCCTCCTACAAGCCCTGTGCACATTCCCATGTCCTAAATGTTAATTGTCCAGAGATCTTTACTATTTTACACTTTTTGCCTTCTGATAAGTTACTGCTTCTGCTTAGAATTTACTTAACTTGCATGATTAAGCCAGAGTAGTAAATAGCATATTCTAGAGATACTGGCATTTTTTTCTTTTTTTCTTTTTTTTTTTTTAATTGAGATGGAGTCTTACTCTGTCATCCAGGCTGGAGTGCAGTGGCGTGATCTTGGCTCACAGTAACCTCCGCCTCCCAGTTGCAAGCGATTCTCCCACCTCAGCCTCCTGAGTCTCTGGGATTACAGGCGCGCATCACCAAGTCCGGCTAATTTTTGTATTTTTAGTAGAGATGGGGGTTTCTCCAAGTTGGCCAGGCTGGTCTTGAACTCCTGACCTCAGGTGAACCACCCCCCCTTGGCCTCCTGAAGTGCTGGGAATACATGCATGAACCACCGCGCCCGGCCTGAGATACTGGCCTTTTTAAGTGAATTCCATGAGACATTGGTCTCATAAATGTTTCTCTGGTGAGTTGGGCATGTGTTTTGGGGAGAAGTGGGAAGGGGAGAAGTTTTCATAATGAAAAAATTAGGAACAATGATGTTTATTCTGCCAATTACAGAACCATGACACAGGTAAGCATAATAAAGGTTCTGAGAATTCCTGAAAAAGAAAACTGTTTAAGCCAGCATTTCCCAAATGTCCGTGATGACAAATTCCTTCTGTTACATAACAGCTACAAACACACTCCAGATCACAGTGGGAAACACCTGTTCAAGTTAATATAAAACATATGTCACCTACAGATTATAAATTTTTAAGGACCGATGATGTGCTTCATTCTTAGCAATACAATTTAATTAGTTTTTAAATTTTGAGATAATTATAGTTTTCATATGCAGTTGTAGGACATTATAGAGATATCTATGTACTGTTTACTCAGTTTCCCCCAATGATAATATCTTGCAAGTCTATAGGACAGTATCACAACCAAGATATTAATGTTCATACAGCAAAGCTACAGAACATTTCTGTAACCCCTAGGATCCCTGAAGTTGACCTTTTATAGCCACAACCACTTCTCTCCAGCCCCTATTCCTTTCTTAACCCCTGGTAACTAGTAATCTATTCTCTATTTTTATAATTTTGTCATTTCAAGAAAGTTATGTGAACAGAATAATACAATATGTAATCTTTTGCATTTGGATTTTTTACTTGACATAAGAGCATTCAGATAGTTGCATATATTAGTAGTTTGTTCATTATTATTGTTGAGTACTATCCCATGGTATGGATGTATCACAATTTGTTTAATCACTTACCTGCTAAAGGATGTTTGAGCTTTTTTTTTTTTCTAGTTTTAGGTTGTTATGAATAAAGCTGCTATAAACATTAGTGTATGGGTTTTTGTTTGAATATAAATCTTCATTTCTCTGGGTTAAATGCCCAAGAATGCAATGGCAGTATCATGTGGTAGTTGAATGTTAGTTTTAAGAAACTACCCATCAATGGTGGATTGAATAAAGAAATGTCATACATATACACCATGGAATACGATGCAGCCATAAAAAAGAATAAAATCATGTCTTGCAGCAACATGTTTGGAGCTGAAGACAATAATCCTAAATGAATTAACACAGGAATAGAACCAAATACGGCATGTTCTAACTTATAAGTGGAAGCTAAACATTGATCACACATGGGCATAAACATAGGAACAATAGACACTACAGACTACTAGTGGGGGTAAAAGGGACGGGGCATGGGTTGAAAAACTACCTATTGGGTACCAGGCTCACTACCTGGGTCCAAAATACCCATGTCACAATCTTACACATGAACCCTCTGTATCTAAAATAAAAGCTGAAATTAAAAACAACAATGACAACAACAAAAGCAAACAACTGCCAAACTGTTCTCCATAGTAGCTGTATCATTTTACATTCTCAACAGCAATGTCTGAATGATTCAGTTTCTTCACATTTTAGACAGCATATGGTATTGTTACCACTTTTTATTTCAGCCCTCTAATAGATGTGTGGTGATATTGCATTGTGGTTTTAATTTCCATTTCCCTAATTGCTAATAATGTTGATTTTGTTTTTCATGTGTTTATTTGCCATCTATATATCTTTTACTTTGAGGTCTCTTGATGTATTTTGCCTTTGTTCTAACTGGATTGTTTACATTTTATAATGCTGAATTTTAAGAATCCTTAATATACTTTAGATATTTTGTCACATATGTGGTTTGCAAATACGTATCTCCTGGTCTACCTTTTTCTTTTTTATCTGTATGTCTTTTATTTCACTTTCCTCCCTCATTATATTGAAGAGAATTCCCAGCATTATGACAGCAAGGACTCTTCTCTTGTTTCTGAACTAAGAAATAAAGCCTTCAGTCTTTCTCCGTTAAGTATAGTCTTAACTATAGGGTATTTCTTTGTTTTTGCTAAATGCTTTTTATTAAGTTTGGGAAGTTCTCCTTTCCTATTTTTCCGACTTTTTTTTTTTTTTTTAACCATGAATGGATGCTGAGTTTTCTCAAGTATATTTTCTGCATTGATTGATATATTCATGTGATTTTGCTTCATCAGGCTATTTGAATGGTGGATTACATTGAATTGTGAAGATTTTCTCCTATTTAAAGAAATTGTTTTATAGTTGTATGTTTTACATGTAAGTTCATAATCCATTTTGAGCTAATTTTTGTAGAAGATGTAAGACTTAGGTCAAGGTACTTTTATTTACTTATTTTTTATTGCTCATGGATGTCCAAGCACTCTGCACAGTTTGTTGAAAAAACTATATTTCCCCATTGAGGGCAATGGTAGCTACATAAAATGAACTGTAAGTATTCCTTCCTTTTATTTTCTTGAAGAAGTTATGTAGAATTTGTGTTATTTTTCCCTTAAATGTTTGGGAGAATTCTCCAGTGAAACCAAATGGGCCTAGAGATTTCTCTTTAAGCAGCTTTTAAATTATAAAATTGATTTTCTGAATAGCTATAGGACTCTACAAATTACCTGTTTTATTTTGAATAGCAATTTGTGTTTTTCAATGAAGTGTTGCATGTTGCCTAAGTTGTCAGATTTATGTGTCTAGCTTTGTTTGGAGCCTTCCTTCATTATGTTTTTTGTGTCTACAGGTTCTGTAGTAATATCTCCTAATTTGTTCATGAGCTTTGTAGTTTGCATCTTCTTTAATTTTTTCTTTGCCAATATCACTAGAGGGTTGTCAGTTTTATTGGTCTTTCCAAAGAACTATTAAATTAAATTTTCATTTAATTGATTTTCCATATTGTTTTTCTATTTTCTATTTCATTAATTTCTGTTCTTATCTTTTCCTTTCTTTTTTTTTTTTTTTTTTTTTTGCTTGCTTTGGGCTTATTTTGACTTTTTCTCTTTTCTGATGTACATACTTAATGGTATAAATTTTCTTCTCAGCCCTGCTTTAGCTATGTTCCACACATTTTAATATGTTGCATTTCATTTTCATTCAGTTCAATGTATTTTCTTTATTCCTGTGAGATGTTATATTTGACCCATGGACTATTTAGATGGATGTTGTTCAGTTTCCACGTATTCAAAGATTTTCCTCTTATCTTTTGGTTATTTATTTACAGTTTGATTTCATTGTGGTCAGAGCACATTGGATTACTTTAAATTCTTTTAAATTTTTTGAGGTTTCTTTTTTGTCCTAGGAGATGGTATATCTTGACATATGATCTGATGCTTGAAAAAAAAATGTGTATACTGCTATTGTTGAGTAAAGTGTTCTTTGAATGTTTATTAAATCCTATTGTTTGATGATGTTAATTTTTCCATATTATTTTTGATTTTCTGTCTAGTTGTTCTATCAATTATTGAAAAAGGTGTGTTGAAGTCTCCAACTATGAATGTACAGTTATTTAATTCTCCATCAGTTTTTGTTTCATATATTTTTCAGCTCTGTTATTTGATGCATACACACTTAGGTCTGGTATATCATCTTGATAGATTGACCCTTTTTCATTGTGTAATGCTGTTTTCTGTCTCTGATGATTTTCTTTGCTCTGAAGTCTATTTTATCTTACATTAACATAGCTATTTTTGTTTTCCTTCAATAAAAATTCACATGATATATTGTTTTCATCTTTCTACTTTTAACCTTCCTGTATTTTGCCATTAGTTTAATGGCAAAAACCACAATTACTTTTGCATAAACCCCTAATATTTGGAGTTTTTTATATATAGCAAATGACTGGGTCATATTTTTTAAAGCAACTCTGCCAATATTTGTATTTTAATTGTTGTACTTAAATAATTTACATTTGATGTAATATTGCTATGTTAGACCTTAAGTCTGCTACTTGATTTGATTTGATCTTTTGGTTTCGCTTGTAATGTTTTTCATTTTTCCAATTTCTTTCCCCAGCCTTCCCATGGGTTACTGAACATTTCTTAGAATTACAATTTGATATACCTTTAATATTTTTAAGAGTGTATCTTTTGTGGTTCCTCTAGGTAATATATTACATCATTTATACAGAAGTTATTGCAGTCTACTGTTGCCATCATTTTACTAGGTGGAGTAAGGTATAGAAAGCTTACCTCTCTTTATGCTGCTTTAAAATCTTTGTCAGCTGATACTAACATCTCTGTTATCTTAGTTTTATTATTTATTGTCTTTTTTTGTTCTGTTTGAGATCATCCTAATCCTTGACATGATGAGTGGTTTTAAATTAAACAAGGAGATTGTTTTGTAAAAATCTGGATCTTATTTAAACCTACCATTTAAATAAGACTGGTTTTCTCTGACATTGTCCTGCCAGGGGCAGGGAGAAGACCATCTTGTCTGGTGATGGTAAAATCCAGGTTCTCTACTTGATTTTCATTGACACTGAAGGAAGGGAGGCTCATTGCTATTGCTGGAAGGAGTCTGGCTTCCTACGGGATCTCCACTACTGCTACAGAAGGTGTGGCTTTATTACTTTAGATGATGGTGAAAGTCCTGAATCTTCACGAGGTCTGCCCTGACACTGTCCCAGTGTGAAGGGAAATGGGGAGTTGGGGTAGAAGTTCAGAAATTTTATGTGGTCTCTAATGACACCAGCAGGATGGCCCATTACTGGCTAGAGGAATTGAAATCATTGGTCCTAACTTGGTCTTCTCTTAAATCACGCCAGTCTTGGGTATTGGGGGTGCTGTATTACAGCCTTGTGAGGATGAATGTTTAGGCTGCTCCTCACCTGGCATTTACTCGTGCAAGTATGGATTGGTCACAGTTTCTGATGCATTTGTCCATGGTAGATTGATGGTTGCCTAAAATCTGTCTTTATGTCCGGCCTGACTGTTCCTTTCCTGGTCTTTTGCTAGAGAGGAAAACCAAAAAGCTTTTGTTGGAGATTTTGGTCTACGCTAATGCTAATGTCTATGTCTATTAGCATTTTTAGGTTACTGGCTTCTTTGACTCCCAGTCTTGAACACATGAGGCAAAAAGAAACCCACAGACTCACTGTCTCATTGTTCCTCAGGTCACAAGGTCCCTAGATGGCATGCCTTCCTCTCCTCAACCTTCTGAGTCTTCTTTTGTGTGTTTATATATATAGTATCTACAGGTTTTAGTTGCACTTACTAGGAGAAAGGTAGATCTACTCAATCTTTCTGAAGGTGAAAGTCCTTTATAAATAATTTTAAATCATCATATTGAACGCTTATTACCTCTAGAAATAATATGATATTCTTTGTATACAGTCATACCTCTGAGATATTGTGGCTTCAATTCCAAACTAGGGCAACAAAGGAAATATCACAAGTAAGCAAGTGACACATTTTTTTTTCCTTTTTTTTTTTTTTGAGACGGAGTTTCACTCTTGTTGCCCAGGCTGGAGTGCAATGGCATGATCTCGGCTCACCGCAACTTCCACCTCCCAGGTTCAAGCCATTCTCCTGCCTCAGCCTCCCTAGTAGCTGGGATTATAGGCATGTGCCACCACACCCGGCTAATTTTGTATTTTTAGTAGAGACAGGGTTTCTCCATGTTGGTCAGTCTGGTCTCGAGCTCCCGACCTCAGGTGATCCACTTGCCTCGGCCTCCCAAAGTGTTGGGATTACAGGCGTGAGCCACTGCACGCGGCCCACATTTTTTTTAGTTTGCCGGTGCATATAAAAATTATGATTCCATTATACTATAGTGTATTAAGTATGCAATAGCACTGTGTCTAAAAATGTGCATACCTTAATTAAAATACTTTATTACTAAACAATGCTAACAATCATCTGAGCCTTCAGTGAATTGTAATCTTTTTGCTAGTGGAGGGTCTTGCCTCAATGTTGATGACTGCTAACTGGGATCAGAGTGATTGTTGCTGAAGATTAGGGTGGTTGTGGCAATTAGAAAAAAAAATAAGACAACAGTGAAGTTTGCTGTATTGATTGACTTCCTTTCCTGAAAGATTTCTCTGTAGCATGTGATGCTGTTTGATAATTACCCAAAGTAGACCTTCTTTCAAAATTTGGAGGTTGGGCATGGTGGCTCATGCCTATAATCTCAGTGCTTGGAGGTGCCAAGGCAGGAGGCTCGCTTGAGGCCAGGAGTTTGAGAACTGCCTGGGCAACAAAGAAAGACCCTGTCTCTAATGACAACAACAATAAAATAAATAAATAAAAAATAGCCAAGTGTGGTGGTGTGTGCCTGTAGTCCTAGCTACTCAGAAGGCTGAGGTGGCAGATTGCTTGAGCCCAGGACTTTGAGTCTGCAGTGAGCTATGACAACCACTGCACTCCATCCTGGATGACAGAGTGAGGCTTTGTCTTTAAAGAATGAATAAATGAATAAAACATATAAAATTGGAGTCAATCCTCTCAAACCCTGCTGCTGCTTTAACAACTATGTTTATGTAGTATTCTCAGTATTCTAAAGCCTTTGCTGTCATTTTAACAATTTTCACAGCATCTTCACTAATAAATTCCACCTCAAGAAACCACATTCTTTGCTCATCAATAAATAGCAACTCCTCATTTGTTAAAATCTTATCATGAGATAGCAGCAATTCAGTCACATCTTCTACTCCTAGTTCTATTTCTATTTCCATCTCATCTGCAGTTACTTCATCCACTGAAGTCTTGAATTCCTCAAAGTCACTCATGAAGGTTGGAATCAACTTCTTCAAAAACCCTGTTAATGTTGATATTTTGACCTCCCTCCCATGAATCACGAATATTCTTAATGGTGTCTAAAATGGTGAGTCCTTTCGAGAAGGTTTCCAACTTACTTTGCGTAAATTAGAAGAATTATTCCGTATGGCAGCTAAAGCCTTACAAAATGTCTTAAATAATAAAACTTAAAAATCAGAATTACTGCTTGATTCATGGGCTGTAGAATGGATGTTGTGTTAGCAGGCATGAAAACATTAATTTCCTTGTACTTCTCCATCAGAGATCTTGGGTGACTAGGTGCATTGTCAATGGACTGTAATATTTAGAAAGAAATCACTTTTTTCTTAGCAGTAGGTCTCAAAATTGGGTTTCAAATGTTCAATAAACCATTCTGTAAACAAATTTGCTGCCATAAAGCCTCTATAGTCTTTGATTTTATTTATAGAACATAGGAAGAATGTATTTATCATAATTTTTAAGAGTCATAGGATTTTTTGGATGCTAAATGAGTATTGGCTTCAATTGAAAGTCACAAGCTGCACTATGTCCATTGGAGCTTTAAAGTCAGGCATTGACATCTCCTCTCTAGCTATAAAAGTCTTACATGGCATCTTCTTTGATATGGTTTGACTCTGTGTCCTCACCCAAATCTCATCTTGAACTGTACTCCCATAATTCCAATGTGTTGTGAGAGGGGCCTGGTGAAAGGTAATTTGAAACATGGGGGCGGTTCCCCCCATACTGTTCTCATGGTAATAAATAAGTGTCACAAGATATGATGGTTTGTCAGGGGTTTCCACTTTTGCATCTTCCTCATTTTTCTCTTGCCGCTGCCATGTAAGGAGTGCCTTTTGCCTCCCACCATGATTCTGAGTCCTCCCCAGTCATATGGAACTGTAAGTCCAATTAAAACTCTTTTTCTTCCCAGTCTCAGGTATGTCTTTATCATCAGCATGAAAACAGACTAATCTTTCAATATAAGACTGTTTCACCTACATTGAAAATCTGTTATTCAGTAACCATCTTCATCAAATATCTTATCTTCTTGATAACTTGCAGCAGCTTCTACATCAAAACTTGTTGCTTCACCTTGCACTTTTATGCTTTAGAGACAGCTTCTTTCCTTAAATATTATGAAGCAAGCTGTTTAGTTTCAGACTTCCGAAGCTTCCTCTCAGCGATCCTAGAATTGAAGAGAATTAAGGCCTTGCTCTGCATTAGGCTTTAGCTTAAGGGAATGTTGTGGATGGTTTGATCTTCTGTCAAACTAAAACCATCTTTATATCGGGAATAAAACTGTTTTGCTTTCTTATTCATGTGTTCACTGGAGTAGCACTTTTCCTTCAAGAATGTTTCCCTTGGATTAGCAACTTAGCTAACTGTTTAGCACAATAAACTTTTTTTTTTTTTTTCTGTCCTGGCTTTCAAAATGTCTTCCTCACTGAGATTAGTCATTTCTAGATTTGATTTAAAATGAGAGACATGCGATTTTTATTTCACTTGAACACTTAGAGGCCATTGTAGGATTATTATTTGGCTTAATTTCAATATTGTTGTGTCTTGGGAATCACAGAGGCCTGAGGAGAGGGTGAGAGGTGGGGGAATGCAGGTTGGTGGAGCAGTCAGAACACACACAACATTTATCGATTGTTTGCTCTCTTGTATGGGTGTAGTTCTTGGTGCCCCCAAACAATTACAATAGTAACATCAAAGATTACTGCTCACAGAAAACCATAACAAATATAATAATAACAAAAAAGTTTAAGGTAGTATGAGAATTAATAAAATCTAACACAGAGACACAAAGTGAGCACTTACTGTTAGAAAACTGCTACCAATAGACTTGCTAGATTCAGGGTTGCCACAAAACTTCAATTTGTAAAAAATGCAATATCTGTGAAGCACAATAAAATTAAGCACAATAAAATGACTGCCTATTATTTTATTTTGTCCTTAATAGACAATGAGTGTGGTATCATTGTCTCAATTTAACAATTGAGCACTGAGATTGGGAGAAGGTAAGGGGACTTAGCTCAGCAAATGACAAAGTCAGGATTTAACCTATATCTTTTGCTTGTGTTCTTTTATTTAATATGTTCACTCACTTAAAAAGTCATGCTGTAAATTCTAATCTATCCAGGACAGTTGATTTACTTCTGGAAGTTTGTGTTTGTGATGTTTGTTTTGTTTTGCTTTTGGTGAGAGAATTCTTGATAATTAAAAAGATTTCTGAAAGAGAATAATAAAAATGGTAAGAGATTCAGGAGTCAGAACATATGAAGGAGAACTGAAGGAAACTAAATATTGGAAAGAAGACTCTGTCTTCACATATTTGAATAACTCTCAGATAGATGACGCTTTTGAACTATTGTGAGGATCTCAAGAGATATGACCAGGACTCATAATTAAATGTTATAAAGATACTGAATTCAGCTTCATTATAAGGAAGAACAGTTACAAATGTATGAAATGAAGATAACTGTGTTTGTTGGTAATAAATCCTCATTCCTGAGTCAATCAGAGCAGAAGTGGGATGAGTGTCTTGTTGCTGAGAACGATGCAGAAATTTAGCAAATATAACCATGAAGTCCCCTCTAACCTTCACAGTCTTTAGTGCAGGCTCTTTCATGTACCTGCTATGTGATATTGGACTAATTACTTCTTTCTGAACTTCACTTCTATAGAATGGGAATAATAATAGTACCAGCCTCATAAGATGACTGTGAGATTGGATGAGATAATAAATGTAAAATGTTTAGTACTGTACCTGCAATGTAGAAAACACTGAAGAAATCAGCAGTGATAAGAAGGATGATAATATGGTGGGGTCCAAAGGCACTGCAGGAACATTGAGTGTTCAGGCTATTGTATGAGATATAGGTTGAAAAACTGGTCAATGGTCTTAAGTAATAAAGATAGGTAGATCTTAGTAATGAAAAATTTACTCGACCCAACCTGTCTATGGAAATTTCATTATTCTAGAACTGACCTAAGCTTATCACTGACACTTGACATGTCTTACACTCGGGATACATCCCTGCATACAGCAAGTACACAGCAAACGCTGTTCATTTATAGGCACCCAGTTATAGGCTAATTCAAGTTTTTCAGAATCTGTTCATCATGTGAGTTAACCAATCCCCATATCCAAGTTACTGTTTGATCTTTGATCAGTTTCTTAATATTTCTTAGACTTCAACCTTCTGTTTACAAGAAGAGATTAAAGAAGCTCATCTATAGTCTGTGATTTTGCTCTGAGATTTAGTAATTTTCTATTTTGAAATTAACCCGCACATCTGAAGGGGTCAGAAAAACTGTATCACTGCAACTGACCAACAAATCAGAGAAATTTACATTATCAGTCCAGTAGAAGATTGCAATCCAGCCAGATACTATTCTAATTTTATTCCAGTTTTAAAAGCAATGATTCCATGGACCACTGCCATCCTGCTGAGCTTCACTTTCTTAGATGAATTAGCTATTCCCAGCATTGCTTCTTGCACAATTCCTGACTCTGTGAGGGTGAAGTTAGTATTGCTTATTTCACCTCCTTGCAAGGAAAAGCCTTCAAGAAGTTTAGGAACTGGGGCTGGTTCCAAATAGACACTTTCACAGTTAGATCACTTCTAATGGTGAAATATTTTCCAGACAATCTGAATATTTTCATCTATTTAAACACTGTAGTCATCAGGACATGCCTGCCTCCTACATAGGCATTCTATATGAATTCTCAGCCTTCCAGTGGCTAAGGGACATGTCCAGTTATAAGAACTATTCCCTCCCAAATCTATAAGTTAGTGGTGGACGACGTCTTTGGAGAAACTTTTTTTCCTATTGCCTCTCATGCAGTCGATGTCACAGTGTCTCCCAGTAACTCAAACCAAGTGCCTAGAACTCATTTTAATCTTCACGCTTCTCTTTCCCCATCATCAGTTGGTCTCCACTTCCAGTCCATTCTACCTTCTAAGTTTTTTTGTTTTCAATTCAACTCTTCTTCAGTATTAAAACATCCACTAGGCTGGACTATCTATTTGCCTGGATTGGAGTCTCTTTGCCTCATTGGTCAGTCTCACTATCTTCTTCAACATCCTCCACACTGCTTGACCAAGCCATCATTTTCAGTTATACAATGGGCACAGTCATTCCTTGTGTCAATTGTTTTAGTGGCTTCTCATCACCTACAGGATGAAGTTTACATCTCATATGTAGCATGCAGGGTTTCTCATAATCCAGCTAATTCTCCTTTTCTGATTTTACTTCTCATCAAGAACTCCTTTGCACCCAAAGTCCTAATCACTGAACTTCTAATATTTCAGCAATATGTCATATTCTTATTCCTCTGGCCTTTTGCAATTTGATTCTTTTTGCCTATAATGTTCTTCCCTTCAGAATCTATACCTAGCAAACTCACAGGATTTCACTGTGAAGAATTGCTTTAATTATAACCTCTTCTATAATACCTTCCCTAATCAGCTAGGTAATTTTTTCCTATGTACTCATTGTGCTTTTATAAAGGTTATGTTTATTTGATTATTTTTTTCCTTAAAGACTGTGGACACTAAAAGGAAAAAACAATTCTTTTCTTTTTAGGCACAGATTATGTGCTCTACTATTGTATTAAAAATGTGCAAATATCAGCTGGGCGCGGTGGCTCACGCTTGTAATCCCAGCACTTTGGGAGGCCGAGACAGGCGGATCACGAGGTCAGGAGATCGAGACCATCCTGGCTAACACGGTGAAACCCCGTCTCCACTAAAAAATACAAAAAAATTAGCTGGGTGTGGTCGCGGGCACCTGTAGTCCCAGCTACTAGGGATGCTGAGGCAGGAGAATGGGGTGAACCCAGGAGGTGAAGCTTGCAGTGAGGCGAGATCGCGCCACTGCACTCCAGCCTGGGTGACAGAGCGAGACTCCATCTTAAAAAAAAAACAACAAAAAACAAAAAAATAAAAATAAAAATATCTTTCTCTTTGTGGAAAACTAGCTCTCTCTTATTCGCATATGAGAAAATTTTAAGATAAGTAACTTTGGCATTTAAGAAGGCAATAGCCCATGACTAGTGTCTATAGTGGTAGGCAGGCTATAAAACTGCAAGGGGTTGTAAAAGATTCATTTAGTTGATTCTATGCTACCTGTGGGCTATGGTTGTTGGTTAACATTTCTCCTATGAGGCTTTCTTTTTTTTCTTTTAGCATTCAAAATAAACATTTATTTAGCTCAGGAGACCCCACGAAAGTCCTGACTGGAGTAGAATAGTCACCAGGGAAGTGAGTCATGCATGTGTTTCTAACATTCATCTTTCTACCCTGTTTCTGACCATGGAAGGGACATTTTGGCCAAAATACATATGCAGAATAAGACAGATCAAGAGTACACCATTCCTCCAATTCTCAGAACTCCAGATCTAGCAAATCTTACTAACAATAGAGACAAAGTTGGCAGATAGTTGAGAGTCTAGGTCTTTGATCACTCACATTGTGAGGAAGAGAGTGCAGGTGACTGGACCCAAGGCGTGACTGTCCATCTATGCAGTGGCAACGCCACTAACCACTGTATTTTGGTGGGGAATATAAAGATCCCTGTTTGTTCTGATCTTGCAAACATGAAATTATAAAGGGAAAATATGGAACAGAACAAGGGAGACTAAGAAGGAGTGGATTCTAAAAGTAACTGATCAGCAAAGAAAATATCACTTGACGAAAGTGACTTTTGTTTGTTTGTTTGTTTTTTTAGACGGAGTCTCGCTCTGTCGCCCAGGCTGGAGTGCAGTGGTGCAATCTCCGCTCACTGCAAGCTCCGCCTCCCAAGTTCACGCCATTCTTCTGCCTCAGCCTCCCTAGTAGCTGGGACTACAGGTGCCCGCTACCACGCCTGGCTAATTTTTTGTATTTTTAGTAGAGACGGGTTTTCACCGTGTTAGCCAGGATGGTCTCTATCTCCTGACGTCGTGATCCTCCCGCCTCGGCCTCCCAAAGAGCTGGGATTTCAGTCGTGAGCCACCACGCCCGGCTGAAAGTGACATTTTTATACATCCTCATAGAGAAGGTTTGTTTACCGTGTGCTTCCTGATTCTCCTGTGTTTAAGACATCTTCTGCCTTCGCACTCCTCTGTTCTTTCTTTGCTTTCACTCCTCCACCAGGTTTTGATAATTTTTCAAGCTTAAATCAAACCCCATGTCTTTCATGAAGATTCTCTGATCTGTTTCATAATCCTAATCCATATCATTACCCTGCTTGGCACATACGTCAGGTGGCATGGTTCTAGCAAGAAACACCTTCTTTCTTGCTAATGTTGTTAAACTGATAAGTTCGCTTGACCTCTCTGACCTGTATTTCTGTGAGAAGACACAAAGATTCCAAATCACAGAAAGGTTCAAAAGTTTTATTTCAGATCCTTTTCTAATGTTTGCTGTGAGAGAGGGGTCAAAGAGAAAACAGAGCCAGATACTTGTTAAAGGTCGGAAGATAGATTTTATTCAGACTACTATAGAAGAAGGAGAGACTCTAATATAGAACAAGCTCAACTCCAACTAAGATGAAGATAACAAAGGTTTTTAAAGGGAGAACAGATAGGGAACAAAACTGGACTAAGCGGGAATGAGAAAGAGACTGGGAGCTATGTAGAAATGGAGAGTTACAGAAAAGAGAGGTAAGTGGAAAATTACTTAAAATGGTATGGCAGGCCGGGCGCGGGGGCTCACGCCTGTAATCCCAGCACTTTGGGAGGCCGAGGCGGGCGGATCACAAGGTCAGGAGATCAAGACCACCCTGGCCAACATGATGAAACCACGTCTCTATTAAAAGTACAAAAATTAGCTGGGCGTAGTGGCGCACGCCTGTAATCCCAGCTACTCGGGAGGCTGAGGCAGGAGAATTGCTTGAACCCGGGAGGCAGAGGTTGCAGTGAGCCAGGATTGTGCCACTGCACTCCAGCCTGGTGACAGAGCAGGACTCCATCTCAAAAAAAATAAATAAATAAAATGGTATGGCAAAGTGGGTTGGAACAATGTACATTTTGGGGTTTGGTGGCTTGTATTTTCTCGAGTAAAAACTCAGCATGGAAGCAGAGGTTGCCTTTAGGGACATAGCTTGGTGCAGATGAAAGCCAGGCTAGAGTTTGGTCAAGTATCTTCAGAGTTTGGACAAGTCCTTTTTGCCACATGAGAGTCAACTGTTCACAGATAAAAGGGTAGAAAATACAGAAGAAATAAGGGAAGCCTGTGACAGGGAATTTAGTGGACAGTATAATGGCCCCAAAGATGTCCACATTCTAATTTCTAGATCTTCTGAATGTTTCTTTACTAGGCAAAAGAAACCTTACAGATGTGATTAAAGTTAAGGATCTGGAGTTGAATAGACTATCCTACGTTATTCTGGTTGGGCCCAATGTAATCACAAGGGTCCTTGTAGGAGGGAGCATCACAGTTAGGGAAGGTAATGTGGTGTGAAACAGACCAAAGAGAGATTTGAAACTGCCATGCTACTGGTTTTGAATATGGGGAAGAGGCCAGGGCTGAGGAATAAAGGCAGCCTTGAAGTTTGATTAGGCAAGAAAATGGATTCTCCCCTAGGGGCTCCAGAAGGAATGCAGCTCTGTAGATTCCTTGATTTTTGCCCTGTATGACCCATTTTAGACATTTGGCATCCAGAATGGTACAATAATTGATTTGTGTTGTTTTAAGCCATTAAAACCTGTTTGTGTTTGTGGCCATTTGTTACAGCAGCAGTAGGACAATAGATAATAATGATCATTACCCTTGTGCTACCCACTTCATCATTGCTCCCAGGCCCTGGCATCTCATCCCAGGGACTGAACTGGTACCACATCCTGAAGACTGTCACATCTCAACTACAGTGTGCTCTGAATCTTGTTCCCAGAAGCAGAGTTCCATGGTAGAATAGGAACAGGGTTGATATTCATTTCCCCAGGAATGTCATGGCATTTGTTACGTTGCTTGTGGTTTTGATATCAATATTAATGATCCTAATGTAATCGTCATTTTATCATTTAATTGCATTTCCTTGATGAATTAAATGACTCCCTAGCTAATTGACATTTAAAGACAGAGTACATGCTCCTTTCACTGACTTACTTAAACATGAAAAGGTTGGAGTGATTAGCACAGGCAAAAGCTCATTTCTAAACTATTTCAGTCGTCTTTTCACAATCTGCCAATAATTTCTATTCCAAAAGCAATATTGGCTAGGGTACTGGAAGAATGTGCTAGTATTTTCAGACAGACTGCAAACTACCAGTAAAGTTTACTGAGCAACTCTGTTACTCAAGCCACAGAGTTGATAATTTTTTCTCCTGGGAAATCATATGTTCCCCTTCACTGCTATTTCTCATCCCTTCTGTGCAGGTTACGGTGGTCAGTGTTCAGGACACAAAGTCCTAGAAATGTGGCATTGCATATTTTATCAGCTTCGCCCTCTGAATTCTAGTTCTGTTCCCAACCAGATCTCATTCTTTCACATTGATATAACTGAGTTAAGACTCAGGTTTTGAGCAAGATATCAGGGAGCAAAGAACCACTGTGATAATTTAGCAACTGTGAATAAAGAGCATATAATATACCAGGAACCGTGAAAGCATTTTGTAATTACTTCATTTCTTTAATCTGAATTCTTATGTTTTCAATCTGACATTGGTTAATGTTGGTGCACTATTGGTTGGAGTCACAGTTGGGCTTGGAAAGTAAGTAGCTACAATTCCTAATAGCTAGAGAGTTTTCAGAGTAATAATGTATACTTTCGTTCTTTTTCCCTTAAGAAATGGGGCCATTCCTTGTTACAGAGGCAGAGTGTATGGCATTCTAGCCCTATAGGATGGTTGATAAAAAATGTTTTTTTGAACATATATGTATTTGTGTGCACCCTAACAATTTGAAATAATTTTTGTAGATTTAGGCTTTTCAAACATGTAGCATATGCATTTTTGGAATTAATACTGTCTACCCTGGTTGTGCCTCCACCAGTTCATTCATTCATACATTTATTAACTAAATACATATTTAGCAGTGTTGTTGAGCACACTTCTGAGTATTATGAATATTATGTGAACAAAACAAAGTTGTTTCATGAAGTTTATATCCTAGTGAAAGAAACGAGCAATAACGACAAGAAAACTCACTTATATAAGGTCAGATGGTGATAATTCTTATCTGGGAAAATAAAGCAGAGAAGAAGAAAGGGAGAAACAGACACATACATCAGAGAAAGCTTTTCTTGAGGTGGTGATGTTTGAGCAGAAACCTGAATGAAGTGAGAGTAGCCGGCCATGTTTCTCTATGGGAGAAGAGAGTTCTAGGCTGAGGACTGGCAACTGTAAAGGCAATTCTGATGTAGAAGAGTGTCTAAGGCCATTGTCCTAGGTTAGTTTGCCCATGCTGTCTTATAAGTTATTCATTATGGAAGCATTTGCAGAAGGAATCTGTAATGGAGTCTAGGAGGTAGGAAAGGAAAGAGTAAGAATTTACACAAAGTGCTGGCCTTAGCTTCGTCTTTCCTGGAGATTATACTACACTTCAGGGAGCCAGGGAGGAAGTCGACTCCCCTAGATTCCAGGTCTCTGTTAGGATAGGCAAGAGGATTAGCTCCATATGCCCAGGGGCAGTCCTTTAAACAAAGTCTCGGGGTCAGCCATTAGAAGATAAGGCTCGCAGAGGGTGGACGATGAGCACAAGAACAACACAGAGATACAAAAGGGTCTGGAAAAACCATCAACTGTGTCTGCTAGAGCCAGCGTACTGAAGCACAGTGCGAGAGTGTACAGAGCAGAGGATCAGAGAGCCCTGTCAAGGAGGCAGTCAGGAGCCAGACCATGGAAGGGCTTCAGAGTTTTATAAGTGCTAGGAAACCAGAGGTATTTGGAACAATAGAGTGGCATGATCTGATTGACATTTTTAAAGGATCATTAGACTGTGGTGTGAATCCTAGACTTGGTGGAATAAGAGTAGAATAATTTAGACTTGCTAGGGGGCTATTAGAGAATTCTAGGGGGATTATGATGTTGGACCTGCACTGCTTGTCCAACACAGAACCCACTGGTCAAATATGCTTACTGACAATTGAAATGTAGCTCCTTTAAACGAACATGCTCTGTAAGTGTAAGTATGCATCAGACTTCAAGGGCTTAATAGAAAATAATGTAAAATGTCTGCCTAATATCTATTTTGTATTAACTACATGTTGAAATATTTTTCTCAAATAATTGCTCAAATGGATGAAATAAAGCATTAATAAATATGTTAATAAAATGCTATTAAATATGTTATTCAATGGTTTCTTCTTACTTTTTAAAATGTGGCTACTGGGAAATTAAAAATTGTATGTAGGACTCACATTATATTTCTGTTGGACACCCAGTTTAGACTCAGATGGGGAAAAGTGCTTAGATCCTGCATATATTTTGAAAGTAGAGAGGACAGGAATTGTTGATAGATAGTATATGAAGTGTAAAAGATAATCAATCAATGATAGTAATATTTTCTGAGATGCAAACAACTGGGAGAGAGGGGTACATATTAAGGAGGGTGATAAATGGAATTTATTTTTGATCATAAGTTGGACGTGTCTAAAGAACCTTGAAATGGAGGTGCTGAATGGGGTGGTTGAATATATGAATCTGGAGCTCCTTGTAGAGATCATGGCCGGAGATTTATGTGTAAAGATATTTAGTGTATACATAATTTTTTAAGTGATTAGACCAGATACCATCATCTAAGGAAGAACATAAAGAAAAGATAAGTGATCAAATCCTGGAGTGGTCAATCTTGTGGAAGACTGGGGTCTGGTGGGGGATCTTATGAATGAGACTTGCTAGCCATCTGAACTTTGTCAGGTCACTTAACTTGTTTAAGCCTTTGTTTCATTATGTATAAATGGGCACTAATAATAGAGTAAATTTCATAGGGTGGCTATGAGAAGTAACTGGGATAAAATAATATGTATCCACACTTAGTACAGGGTCTGGCAAAAATCAAGAACATGGTATCTCACTGTATCAGTCACCAGGAACAAGAAAGGCCCAATTTTGGGGGTGTTTGCCCAGTTTTTCTAATATCAGAAAAAATTAAACTGTTTGACCACTCCAGACTAGGAACAGAGCTAGTACCTTTTTTGTCTCTCAACTTTGGCTTCCATTTGGCACTTTTTGAAATGCAGATGCCATATCTACATGGACCTAGAATGGACTAGCAGAAAACCTTGCTTGGTTTCTAACAAGAAGAAAAGATATTTAATTTGAGACTCTGAGCCAGGGGGAGAGCAGGCACTCACATTTGTGTGTGTTTGTGTGTGGCTGGAGAGGTAGCAGAAGTGTTCTGTTGGTTGGGCAATGAAACTGGATCCCTATCTCTCACTATATACAAAAAAGTAACTCAAAATAGATTAAAGACTTAAATATAAGACCTGAAACCCTAAAAATTCAAGAAGGAAACACAGAAAACACTCTTGTGGACATTGGCCTAGGCAAAACATTTATGACCAAATCTCAAAAGCAAAAGCAATAAAAACTAAAATAAATAAATGGAACCTAATGGAATTAAAAAGCTTCTGCACAGCAGAAGAAATAATCATCCAAGTTAACAGACAACCTACAGAATGGGAGAAAATGTTTTCACATTACGTATCTGACAAAGGACTAATATCCAGAATCTACAAGGAAGTCAAACAAATCAGCAAGAAATAAACAAATAATCCCATTAAAAAGTGGGAAAATAACATGAATAGACACTTCTCAAAAAAAATATATATATGATATATATTGAACATTAAAATATATTACATAAATATATTGAACATTAATATATAACATGTAAAATTTAACATAAATATATATAGCATTAAATGGAAAAAGAAGATCATTCAATTTCATTTTGAAGAAAGGGTTACATGCACATGTATGTTCATCACAGCACTATTCACCATAGCAAAGACATGGAATCCACCAAGGTGCCCATCAACGGTAGATTGGATAAAGAAAATGTGGTACATGTACACCATAAAATACTTTACAACCATTAAAAAGAATGAAATCACTTTTGCAGCAACATAGCTGCAGTTGGAGGCCATAATCCTAAGCGAATTAATGCAGGAACAGAAAACCAAATACCACATACTCTCACTTACAAGTGGGAGCTAAACACTGGATACTCAAGGACATGAAGATTGCAACAATAGACACTGCAGATTCCTAAAAGGGAAGGGGGTGCAAGGGGAGCAAGGACTGAAAAACTAACTGTTGAGTATTATGCTCACTAACTGGATAACAGGATCATTTGTATCCCAAACTTCCACATCACTCAATATACCCATGTACCCCCTGAATCTAAACTAAAAGTTATAATTATTTTTTTAAGTGTTAATACCCCAATTAAGCAAAAGCCATGATATGGGTGGAGGGGGTGATTTTTCAGCTGTACATATGCATTTCAGTATATGCACACATATAAACATAAAGGTATTTGGGTGACAGATACACTAAAAGCCCGGACTTTACCACTACACAGTATACCCATGTGACAAAATTGCACTTGTACCCCTTAAATTTATACACATTTTAAAAATGTAGAAGCATTAATATGTACACATATAAGCTTGGATTTGGGCTAGCTTGAGGTTAGAAAGTGGATAATTAAAAAAAAGAGGAATGGGAAATTATATAGATCTTGCTTTGTTTTAGGCACTGTGCTCTGTACTTTACATAAACTACTTTACCTACTTTTCACAAATTATTTGTAAAATAGCTACCAGTAGCCTGGAGGCCTTACATAAATTGCCCTGAGTCACACTACCAAAAAGTAACATATGAGGGCTTGGAAGTGAGTCTATCTGACTTTAAGATCTAGATAAGTTTTCTACTCCATTGAGGAGTAGAATACTTCCAAACATTATTCCAACAGTAGTCCAGTGACTAAACTTTTATAATAAATTTCTGCCTGGGGGTTAGCAGTAGCAGGTGTATGTATTGGAGCCCCATTCCTGGATAATCTTCATGCCTAGAGTTATTGCAGACATCAAAGAGGCCGTGGACATCCAGTCAACTCATTTGACACATGATGAAACTGAAGCCCAGATGTGATTCTTACACCTACGACCACATGGTTATTTACAATGAGGAACAAAGATCAGGATTCCTGTTGTCCAGTCCTAAACAATGTCACCTTCTGTCACCTCTCAAAATGGGGCACATGCAAGGGGCAGGACTTTTAGGACTCACATGGGCTCATATAAAAATGTAGAAGAGACAACTCCCTGACAGAATTTAACTGGAAGAGAGTCCTAATCTGAGCCTTTTGATTTGACCATTCTCCTTCTAGGGTCGAATCGAAAGGCTCAGGTTAGGCTTGGGGAGATAATTTGGTATCTGTGCATTCTTGGAGTTCACTCCACAGAGGACAGAAATCCATAGGCATGCTGCCTTTATGGGAAGCACTTGTTTGCCTAGAGGGCTCTCTTCCCTTTTAACTTCTCTGGGAACTCTGCTAACATGTCAGGGAGAGCTGATCAAAACAGTAAATGAGGACCCTGACAAGGATTTTCAAAAATTGCACGCAGATGTCTCCATTTCAGAGAATTGGAAACACAAATCTTTTTTGGATTGCTGTAGCAACAGGGAGAGACAAAACAACACATTGCAAGAAGCTGTCCTGTGGGGACTGATAGCAATTTAGGAGAGTGGAGCTGGGGGATTGCGGAGTCCAGACCAACATGTGCTGAGACTGGGAATCCCACTGTGGAACGTGGAGCTTGTGTTCTGATGGAAACCACCAGTCTCCACGGCACATTCCCTTCGGTCTGAGCCCCAGTGTGAGAATGTGAAAATGTGAAATTGGGAAAGGAAAGGCAGGGGGCCAGAAGTAAAGCATGGGCTGGAAATGCTGTCTTTTTGGCTCAGTCTTCATTTGCTCTCTACCAGTCCTCCGGATCACGACCAGTAGAACACAACAATCACGTGTTCACAGCAGTTTACCATTTACAAGTTATTTTTCTGCAGCTACTGTCTGAGTTGCTCATTTCATCATTTCAATTTAGATAATGGATAATCAGAGCTCAGGGATAGGAATCTAGAATTGTAGTTTTAATTTAAGCCCTTCTGGCTCTAAAACCCTTGACACTAAGCCACACTAACCAGAGGGTTCTTCAATCATTTCATTGTTATTGAGAAATTTTAACTTTCTTTATACTTTGCCTGTTAGGCCTCAACTTCCCTCTGAGTGGCAAATCTGTGGTGGCCAAAGAGGCTGGCCTTTATTTCTTTGTTTGGCTTTACTTCTGAGTTATGAATTGGGAAAAGGAAAACTACAAAGTTCAGGGTCAAGCTGTTGGGCATATGCTGGAGTCAGTTGATACAATCTAATGATCTCAATGTCCAAAGGGTCTATAAAGATCTATCAATCTAATTAATTCTTAAATGACACACAATTTTTAAGTCACGTATCCAAGTAAGCAACCTCCCAGTCACAACTGAAACCTTGGTTGGTTTTAAATAAAGGTTAAATGTTTAAATGGGTCACTCAACAAGAACTCATTGTACCCTCATGACTGTGTTTTTGACATCATGACATTAACTAGTGTGGTTCACTACATCCTGGTTGACATCATGTTGCCTGAGTTAATGACCATATGTGTACCAAACATAGTAATTAACTAAAGAGGCTACTTAGAGGCAGAAGTGAGCAGTCCAAGGGCTCTGGATAACTACAAAGATCAAGGGGATTAATACCCTTGCAGGCCTCCTGACTGCAGCCCCTCAGTTGGGAAACTCAGCATTAAATGAACAGTACAAATTAGAATAACTTTTCTGGGGTCAGGGAGAGTATATAAATCTTTTGACTATGCCTCTTGACTTAAAATAGTGAAACAAGAGAGTTCCCTTGGCCCCTTTGCAGGACTTGTGAAAGGGGTGGCTCGTTTACTTGGCCATTGTGCTCAACCCCTTATGGGAGGGAACACGCAAGCAGACAGGTGTGGGAACCAGAGTGAACAAACACTGGAACCACCAGCCACTTCTCTCCAGTGGGAACAGGCCCTGTTTAGGCCTCATGGCAGCATCCACATGTGTTACAATTGCTCTTTTATCTCTGCCTTTGGGAAGGGATGCCTGGGACCCCTGGAACCCCAGAGGGCATGCTAACAGCTCAGTGAGGCATTTACCTCATTGTATGGGCCAGCTTCCCTCTACCAGTGAGGACTAGGGGCCAGTGTGACAGCCTTTTTTAGTTCCCCCACCCAGGGTGTCCTGAATTCTTGTCCAATGTCCAAGAGAAATGAGGTCACATGGACCTAAAGGATGGTGAATGCGGAGATTTTATTGAGTGGTAGAAGTGGCTCTCAGTGGGATAGGGAGCTGGAAAGGGGATGGAGTGGGAAGGTGCTCTTCCCCTAGAGTTCAGCTGTAGTCTCTGATGTCCAGCTGCTTTTTCTCCTCTAAACATTCTGATGCTTCTCTCTTCTGTTCTCTGCCACACTGCTCTGCTCCTCTGCCAGTGGAGCTTGGGGTTTTCATGGGCACAGGATAAGGGGTGTGGCAGGCCAAAAGGAAACATTCGGGTGGGAAAACGGGGATGTGAAGTTCTCATTTTAGCATTTCCCTGCCTTCTGTCCATATCAACAGCATTGATAAACCTCATCATATTTATGTGGTATGCTATTTCAAAGCTATTTTTATTCTATTTCTATTGCAAATACCACTGTCAATATAACACTAGCAATACTATGAATGGGGCTTCACATATATTTATAATGGGGATCTGATGTGAGTCACATATTATCATAAATGCTTCATATATTTATTTTTTCAGTTTTGCAATGATCTTAAGGGCTGTTTTCTTATTCCCTTTACAGAAGAAGTAAGGCATAAACAACTAAAAGTAAAGAGATTTGCCCCAGATCACAGAGTCGGTAACCCCCAGAACAAAAATTTGAATTCATATTTGTTTGAATTCAAGGCCATTGCTTTTTCTATCTCAGAATAACATGGAGACAATATTAAAAATGGATTTTTTTGGAAAGGAAGAAATTGGCATATAGTTGCTTATAAATTAACGAATAGCCTAAATGGAAGTAAAACAGAGAAGAGGATGTAAAAGCAAGAGGTGACTCCACAGGTTGATGTAAGAAGAAGAGAACAGTAGTACTAGATTAGAGTTTTTTGCATTGTTTTACATTTGTTTATTTTATTTTATTTTTGGTGTTGTTTGCTCATTTAAAGTGTCCCAGTTACCATGAGTCCTACCAGAGCTTCAATGGAAAAAGTGCTTAATGGTCAAATAAGCCACAGGCTCTATCCTCCTTGGGCAAGTACAAATATATTATTATCATAAAGGCCCTCTTCATTTAGAAAGTTGAAGCCTAGAGGGATAGATTTAGCTTTACCTAGTGTTTCTTAAATGATTTAGCATTACCTTTCTCTTCAAAATACCTATTAACATTCTGTAGAAGTAGCTGTCTCAGGAAGTCTTTTTTGGGGAGCCATGTATTAGATGCAGGAAAAGTTTTCTCCTAGTTTGCCAACAGGTCCCAGTATAGATTAAACATTCTAAGGGCCCCAAACAAATCTTTTCAAATCTGTCTCTACTCAGCCACCAATCTAGGAAGTTGAAACAAAGGATCTATGACTGTCTCCCATTTCTGTTAGGCAACTCAAATAGCATTCCCATTAGAAACTCAGGAAATTTTAATTTCAAATTGCAAGAGATTAACGTCAATTCCCCACTACACCTTTGAAGAGAATGATTAAACTAGTTCTTGAGTTCTTGGTGCTAAAACATTTGAGTCATAGGGATGGGGTCTGGGGGCAGGGCTTTGTGTCTTCTTTCCTTTGTCTTTCTCTGCATTTTCTTAACAGCTGGGCACAATTAAATCACAGATGTTAACAGTGCTGGATAAAACAATTATTGTTACATGACTTTTCTGAGAACTCGGTGGGTGGGATTCAAGAGGTAACTTGGTGTGAAAACTATGTTTAGCACAGCAGAACTTGGGACTGACAAAGACATTTATGGATTTTATAATACCAGATGGACTCCCAGATGAAAGGCTTAGGGTTTGCATTTGGGATTGCCGGATGTGAGATTTTTCCAAGGTTGCAGGATAAGTGAGGAAGATTTCATCCATTAGTGTATGTCAAAGTGTGCCCTGCTGGCTTTGAGCATCCAGTGTGAAGCCAGGGACAGGAGAGGTGTCTTCACACAAGACCAAAATGGAAATCAAAGTCAACTTTCAACCTGGAATAAAAAGAGAACTGAAACTGGGACTCAGAAGATCTGGGCTCCAGTCTTCCTTTTATACTACGTTTTTTAAGACTTTGGTCAATGGAAGATTCAAATCCAGCACACATTTATAGAACATTTATTGATATTGTAGATGCTATCAAGAAAAACAAAACACAGTTCTCAGATTCTCAGTGATGAAAATTTACAAGGAGAAAAAAGAAAATATGTGATTAACTGGCTGAAGTAAAATATAAACCAATCACTAAGGATAATAACTCAACCAAATAAATGAGCTACAAGATAGTAGACATGGCCAGGCACAGTGGCTCACATCTGTAATCCCAGCACTTTGGGAGGCTGAGGCAGGCGGATCACCTGAGGCCAGGAGTTCGAGACCAGCCTGGCCAACATGGCAAAACCCCGTCTCTACTAAAAGTACAAAAATTGGCCGGGTGTGGCTACTCAGGAAGCTGAAGCAGGAGAATTGCTTGAACTGGGAGGTGGAGGCTGCAGTGAGCCAAGATCACGCCACTGCATTCCAGCCTGGGTGACAAGAGTGACACTCTGTCTCAAAAAAAAAAGGAAAGTAGACATGAGTCTGAGTTGATCTTTAAAGGATTTTGACAGGTAGCATTATCCAGGTCAAGAGAAGAGTAAAATCAAAGGCACGGAGGCTTGGCCATAGTTAGAAACCATTTGGGAACTTGTGATTTGAAGGTAAAGAGTTGTGGTTGTAACTCAATAATAACTTTGGATAGTTTATTATTCTTTCAGGCAGCAGGAATGTAATGATGAGAAAATGGGGAACTTCTGAAGACTTTGGAACAATTATAATTCATATCACATTTTAGGAAAAGACAGAATACATTTCATATCTCTAGTCCAGAGATGGATTTTTAAAAATACAGATTTTAGCCATTATTTTTGTCACTTTATCAAACATTGAAGCCTTAGCCAGATAACATCCTCTCTCCAGACTTCAGTATGAAATGAGCTGTAGACTTTGGCTCCTTTCAGAACAAAATCAATTTAATGTAGTCTCTGTGGTGGTCAAAGAAATTGGAGAGGTGATTGGCTTCCTTTTTCTGCACCAGGAACCTTGCCCCCAGACATCAGAACAAAAGGTAATCTATGAATGACTTTAAGTCACCTTGCCTATGCATTGATCAGCTTAAAGAGCTAGCTCTACAGTTGCTATCCTGTTATAGGGAGTGCTGTCTTAGAAAGTGTTGTCACTATACTCATACTGACCCTAACTGAGATCTGCACAGAAACAATCCCTGGTAAGCATCCTTTATAGCACTGCTACAAAATGCAGTTTGTAATTTAGCTGTTATTTGGAGACATGCTTTCATCTTGAGGCTGGATGACCACTTTTCAGCTTTGGACTAAATATTATTCTTAAATGTCAATTGCACATTATAATGCTGGGTGTCTGTAACAAAATCTTCTTCAAAAGTAAATAGAAATTTGTTTATAATAATCACCCTTAATGCCACCTCATGTTAAAAAGTAGTGTTTTGAGAAATGTCAGTATTTAACTGACTTTTTCAGAAATAAGAATAATACAATTTTACAGAGTAAGTTTTATCTAAGAGGCTCAATAGCATGCAAAACTCATAAATGTCCAAAATGTTTTATTGCCTTTGGAATTCTACTTTTCAAAATTTTCTATAGAGACAGTGAATTCAGAAAACCCAATGGTAATACATGAAACAACACATGTAACTAAATCACTGTACAGACTTGGGCAAATCACTTCCCTTCCCCACTCTTGGTTTTTCCCAGGTTGTTACTGGATTTAAACTGGATTGAAATCATGGTTGGGACTTATGTAGAGGAACAGATCTAGGGATAGTATACCTGATAGAAGAAATAGCATGTTCAAAGGTAAAGATGAGACTCATTTATTTGTAGGGTATGGAAGAGAGGGAAAATAATATGCAGACTGATTCTATTAAATCCCATTAATTCTGAGTAAAAACCACAAGCTAAGTGTGAGTCCTTAATTTGAAATTCTTAAACATCTGAATAAATAGCTTTGATTTTTACTTCAGCTTTATTGAAGGTCTCATATGATTATTAATGAGCTAATTTTCACAGTTTTGGGAGATGGGTAGTTTTACGCCCATAGTAAAGAGATGGGGACACAGTAGCTCAGAGGAGTTGTGGAACCAGGGCAAGAACCCAAACCTCCCATCTCTAGGTTATCTGGCCTCTTAAAACAGCAAGTAGCCATTTCAGGTTCTGGTTTCAATTATCTAACTACACTCTCAATGCAAACAAAGATTTTGAAGCAATATTGAACCCCACAGAGAGATCCTGGAAAAATATTCCCAGTGCTTATGCATACACACAGCATTGTTTCTATAGAGGCAGTAAAAGTAGGAAAAAAAAAAAAAATAAAGCCTCCAGCAAGTGCTTCCATAAGGCCACCTGAAATTCTGGGATAGCTCTACTATTCCAATGCGACACTTAAGAAACGTCATGTAAAGTTTTACAAGAGGAAATGCTCCTACTTTTTGCACAAAAACCACCTCTTAATATTCTTTCATGGTAAGCAAATATATAAGAAGTCATCGGTATACTGAATAGTTGATGACTAAAGATTATTTTATACTTTTGATGTTTTTAATTTTACTTTGTTTTACATTTGCATAAAATTATACAAATTTACTGTGTACAACATGATGTATTAAAGTATATATACATTGTAGAATGGATAAATCTGGCTAACACATGCATTACCTCACATAGTTATTGTCAGGCCTCTGAGCCCAAGCCAAGCCATCGCATCCCCTGTGACTTGCACGCATACACTCAGATGGCCTGAAGTAACTGAAGAATCACAAAAGAAGTGAATATGCCCTGCCCTACCTTAACTGATGACATTCCACCACAAAAGAAGTGTAAATGGCCGGTCCTTGCCTTAAGTGATGACATTACCTTGTGAAAGTCCTTTTCCTGGCTCATCCTGGCTCAAAAAGCACCCCCACTGAGCATCTTGTGACCCCCCACTCCTGCCCGCCAGAGAACAAACCCCCTTTGACTGTAATTTTCCTTTACCTACCCAAATCCTATAAAACTGCCCCACCCTTATCTCCCTTCACTGACTCTCATTTCGGACTCATCCCACCTGCACCCTGGTGAAATAAACAGCTTCATTGCTCACACAAAGCCTGTTTGGTGGTCTCTTCACACGGACGTGCATGAAATTTGGTGCCGTGACTCGGATCGGGGGACCTCCCTTAGGAGATCAATCCCCCGTCCTCCTGCTCTTTGCTCCGTGAGAAAGATCCACCTACGACCTCAGGTCCTCAGACCGACCAGCCCAAGAAACATGTCACCAATTTCAAATCCGGTAAGCGGCCTCTTTTTACTCTCTTCTCCAACTTCCCTCACTATCCTTCAACCTCTTTCTCCTTTCAATCTTGGCGCTACACTTCAATCTCTCCCTTCTCTTAATTTCAATTCCTTTCATTTTCTGGTAGAGACAAAGGAGACACATCTTATCTGTGGACCCAAAACTCCGGCGCCGGTCACGGACTGGGAAGGCAGCCTTCTGTTGGTGTTTAATCATTGCAGGGAAGCCTCTCTGATTATACACCCACGTTTCAAGGGTGTCAGACCACGCAGGAATGCCTGCCTTGGTCCTTCACCCTTAGCAGCAAGTCCCGCTTTTCTAGGGGAGGGGCAAGTACCCCAACCCCTTCTGTCCTTGTCTCTACCCCTTCTCTGCTTTTCCGGGGACAGGGCAAGTACCCCAACCCCTTCTCTCCTTGTCTCTACCCCTTCTCTGCTTTTCTGGGAGAGGGGCAAGTACCCCTCAACCCCTTCTCCTTCACCCTTAGCGGCAAGTCCCACTTTTCTGGGGCAGGGGTAAGTACCCCTCAACCCCTTCTCCTTCACCCTTAGCGGCAAGTCCTGCTTTTCTGGGGCAGGGGTAAGTACCCCTCAACCCCTTCTCCTTCACCCTTAGTGGCAAGTCCTGCTTTCCTAGGGGGCAAGAACCCCCCAATCGCTTATTTCTGCACCCCAACCTCTTATCTCTGTGCCCGAATCCCTTATTTCCGCACCCTGACCTCTTATCTCTGTGCCCCAATCCCTTATTTCCGTGCCCAAACCCCTTCTCTGCTTTTCTGGAGGGCAAGAACCCCCCACCCCTTCTCCGTGTCTCTACTCTTTTCTCTAGGCTTGCCTCCTTCACTATGGGTAAGCTTCCACCTTCCATTCCTCCTTCTTCTCCCTTAGCCTGTGTTCTCAAAAACTTAAAACCTCTTCAACTCACACTTGACCTAAAACCTAAATGCCTTATTTTCTTCTGCAATGCCGCTTGACCCCAGTACAAACTCCACAGTAGTTCCAAATAACCGGAAAACGGCACTTTCAATTTTTCCATCCTACAAGATCTAAATAATTCTTGTCGTAAAATAGGGAAATGGTCTGAGGTGCCTGACGTCCAGGCATTCTTTTACACATCAGTCCCTTCCTAGTCTCTGTGCCCAGTGCAACTCGTCCCAAATCTTCCTTCTTTCCCTCACGCCTGTCCCCTCTGTCCCAACCCCAAGCGTCGCTGAGTCTTTCTAATCTTCCTTTTCTACAGACCCATCTGACCTCTCCCCTCCTCGCCAGCCCAAGCTAGGTCCCAATTCTTCCTCAGCCTCCGCTCCTCCACCCTGTAATCTTTTTATCGCCTCCCCTCCTCACACCTGGTCTGGCTTACAGTTTTGTTCGGTGACTAGCCCTCCCCCACCTGCCCAGCAATTTACTCTTAAAAAGGTGGCTGGAGCCAAAGGCATAGTCAAGGTTAATGCTCCTTTTTCTTTATCCCAATCAGATAGCGTTTAGGCTTTTTCATGAAATATAAAAACACAGCCCAGTTCATGGCTCGTTCAGCAGCAACCCCGAGACGCTTTACATCCCTAGACCCTAAAAGGTCAAAAGGCCATCTTATTCTCAAAATACATTTTATTACCCAATCTGCTCCTGACATTAAATAAAACTCCAAAAATTAAATTCCAGCCCTCAAACCCCACAACAGGATTTAATTAACCTCGCCTTCAAGGTGTACAATAATATAAAAAAGTTGCAATTCCTTGCCTCCACTGTGAGACAAACCCCAGCCACATCTCCAGCACACAAGAACTTCCAAGCACCTGAACCGCAGCGGCCAGGCGTTCCTCCAGAACCTCCTTCCCCAGGAGCTTGCTACAAGTGCCAGAAATCTGACCACCAGGCCAAGGAATGCCTGCAGCCCAGGATTCCTCCTAAGCCGTGTCCCATCTGTGCAGGACCCCACTGGAAATCGGACTGTTCAACTCACCTGGCAGCCACTCCCACAGCCCCTGGAACTCTGGCCCAAGGCTCTCTGACTCCTTCTCGGCTTAGCGGCTGAAGACTGACGCTGCTGGATCGCCTCGGAAGCCCTGTAGACCATCACGGATGCCAAGCTTTAGGTAACTCTCACAGTGGAAAGTAAGTCCGTCCCCTTCTTAATCAATACGGAGGCTACCCACTACACATTACCTTCTTTTCAAGGGCCTGTTTCCCTTGCCTCCATAACTGTTGTGGGTATTGACAGCCAGGCTTCTAAACCTCTTAAACTCCCCAACTCTCGTGTCAACTTAGACAATACTCTTTTAAGCACTCCTTTTTAGTTATCCCCACCTGCCCAGTTCCCTTATTAGGCCAAGACACTTTAACTAAATTATCTTCTTCCCTGACTATTCCTGGACTACAGTCGCATCTCATTGCTGCCCTTCTCCCCAACCCAAAGCCTCCTTTGTGTCCTCCTCTTGTATCCCCCCACCTTAACCCACAAGTGTAAGATACCTCTACTCCCTCCTTGGCGTCTGACCATGCACCCCTTACCATCTCATTAAAACCTAATCACCTTTACCCCGCTCAATGCCAATATCCCATCCCACAGCATGCTTTGAAATGATTAAAGCCTGTTATCACTCGCCTGCTACAGCATGGCCTTTTAAAGCCTACAAACTCTCCTTACAATTCCCCCATTTTACCTGTCCTAAAACCAGACAAGCCTTACAATTTAGTTCAGGATCTATGCCTTATCAACCAAATTGTTTTGCCTATCCACCCCATGGTGCCAAATCCATATACTCTCCTATCCTCAATACCTCCCTCCACAACCCATTATTCTGTTCTGGATCTCAAACATGCTTTCTCTACTATTCCTTTGCACCCTTCATCCCAGCCTCTCTTCGCTTTCACTTGGACTGACCCTGACACCCATCAGGCTCAGCAAATTACCTGGGCTGTACTGCCACAAAGCTTCACAGACAGCCCCCATTACTTCAATCAAGCCCAAATTTCTTCCTCATCTGTTACCTATCTCAGCATAATTATCATAAAAACACACGTGCTCTCCCTGCTGATTGTGTCCGATTAATCTCCCAAACCTCAATCCTTTATAAAACAACTCCTTTCCTTCCTAGGCATGGTTAGTGCGGTCAGAATTCTTACACAAGAGCCAGCACCATGCCCTGTAGCCTTTCTGTGCAAACAACTTGACCTTACTGTTTTAGCCTAGCCCTCATGTCTGCGTGCAGCGGCTGCTGCCGCCGTAATATTTTAGAGGCCCTAAAAATCACAAACTATGCTCAACTCACTTTCTACATTTCACATAACTTCCAAAATATATTTTCTTCCTTATACCTGATGCATATACTTTCTGCTCCCCGGATCCTTCAGCTGTACTCACTCTTTGTTAAGTCTCCCACAATTACCATTGTTCCTGGCACGGACTTCAATCCGGCCTCCCATATTATTTCTGATACCACACCTGACCCCCATGACTGTATCTCTCTGATCCACCTGACATTCACCCCATTTCCCCATATTTCCTTCTTTCCTGTTCCTCAGCCTGATCACGCTTAATTTATTGATGGCGGTTCCACCAGGCCTAATCGCCACACACCAGCAAAGGCAGTCTATGCTACAGCACAAGCCACTAGCCCGCCTCTTAGAACCTCTCATTTCCTTTCCATCGCGGAAATCTATCCTCAAGGAAATAACTTCTCAGTGTTCCATCTGCTATTCTACTACTCCTCAGGGATTATTCAGGCCCCCTCCCTTCCCTACACATCAAGCTTGAAGATTTGCCCCCACCCAGGACTGGCAAATTAGCTTTACTCAAAATCCCTGAGTCACAAAAACTAAAATACCTATTAGTCTAAGTAGACACTTTCACTAGATAGGTAGAGGCCTTTCCTACAGGGTCTGAGAAGGCCACCGCAGTCATTTCTTCCCTTCTGTCAGACATAATTCCTCAGTTTAGCCTTCCCACCTCTATGCAGTCTGATAACAGACCAGCCTTTATTAGTCAAACCAGCCAAGCATTTTTTCAGGCTCTTAATATTCAGTGACAGACTAATAGTCTATTAAAAACACACATCACCAAGCTCAGCCACCAACTTAAAAAGGACTGGACAATACTTTTACCACTTTTGCTTCTCAGAATACAGGCCTGTCCTCAGAATGCTACAAGGTACAGCCCATTTAAGCTCCTGTATAGATGCTCCTTTTTATTAGGCCCCAGTCTCATTTGACACCAGACCAACTTAGACTGTGCCCCCAAAAAACTTGTCATCCCTACTATCTTTTGTCTAGTCATACTCCTATTCACCGTTCTCAACTACTCATACATGCCCTGCTCTTGTTTACACTGCTGGTTTACACTGTTTCTCCAAGCCATCACAGCTGACATCTACCTTTTATACCTGTTTTTCTCCTTCTCTTATTCCATTTAGTTTTTCAATTCACACAAAACCGTATCCAGGCCATCACCAATCATTCTATACGGCAAATGTTTCTTCTAACAACCCCACAATATCACCCCTTACCACAAGACCTCCCTTCAGCTTAATCTCTCCCACTCTAGGTTCCCACGCCGCCCCTAATCCCGCTTAAAGCAGCCCTGAGAAACATCACCCATTCTCTCTCCATACCACCCCCCAAAAATTTTCGCCACCCCAACACTTCAACACTATTTTGTTTTATTTTTCTTACTAATATAAGAAGGCAGGAATGTCAGGCCTCTGAGCCCAAGCCAAGCCATCACATCCCCTGTGACTTGCACGCATACACCCAGATGGCCTGAAGTAACTGAAGAATCACAAAAGAAGTGAATATGCCCTGCCCCACCTTAACTGATGACATTCCACCACAAAAGAAGTGTAAATGGCCGGTCCTTGCCTTAAGTGATGACATTACCTTGTGAAAGTCCTTTTCCTGGCTCATCCTGGCTCAGAAAGCACCCCCACTAAGCACCTTGCGACCCCCACTCCTGCCCGCCAGAGAACAAACCCCCTTTGACTGTAATTTTCCTTTACCTACCCAAATCCTATAAAATGGCCCCACCCTTATCTCCCTTCACTGACTCTCATTTCGGACTCATCCCACCTGCACCCAGGTGAAATAAACAGCTTTATTGCTCACACAAAGCCTGTTTGGTGGTTTCTTCAGACAGACGCGCATTAAAGTTATCATTTTTATGGTGAGAATACTTTAGATCTACTCTCTTAGGATTTTTCAAGAATACAATCTATTAATAACTATAGTCATCATGTTATACAATGGATGCCTTGAATCTATTCCTCCTGTCTAACTGAAATTTTGTATCCTTTGACCAACATCTCCCCGCCAACTAGTCCAGCCCCTGGTAACCACCATTCTACTCTCTTCTTCTATGAGATCATTTTTTTTTTTTTTAGATTCCACATGAGTGCAATCATGTAGTATGTATCTTTTTGTGCCTGGCTTATTTCATTTACCATAATGTTTTCCAAGCTCATCCATGTTGTCACAAATCACAGGTTTCATTCTTCTTTAAGGCTGAATAGTATTCTACTTACATGAATAAGTGCATACACACCACATTTTTTATGCTAAAGATCTACTCTCAGGGAAGTGCACCAGGACACCCTTTACCTCTCAACACACTGTTTTGAAGTACAGGGTATGTATATGTATCATTCAAGGTAGGACTAGCTTCTGAAGGACGTGGAAAATTAACATATTGATTAAGTTGTACTCATAGAATATCTAAAAGTACTTGCCAAGCTCACATGGAAGCACATAATAAAAAGAACAACAGAATATATACCAAAGTTAGCTTCCTCTAGGAATTAGGTGTCCTCTGAGAAAGAATTTCAGGATGGTTGATTTGAGATGATTTCTGTTCACTTTCTTTAGAAGAGAACTGTTATTTTATAATGTTGTTTGTTCTCTGAAAGGATAGTTATGCACAACATTAAAAAAAAAGAAGTGGAGATCCGTACACCAAAAACTGTTGATTTCAGAACAATTGAATCATTTATTTTGTCTTGAAAAGAGTAAAATGCTAGCTCAAGAAAAATACAAAATAATTTAGAGTAATAAGAGGTAGGAAAGCCAATCACATCAAATTAAAAATTATTGAAGACTTTAATTCATTCTACTAATAATTTATTGCTTACCGTATTTGCTAGGGTTTTCAGAGAAAGAGAATCAATAGTATCTAATCTATATCTGTATCTATATCTAATCTATCTAAAAGGACTTATTATAAAGTGTTGGCTCCTGTGATTATGAAGGCTGAGAAGTCCCTAGATTATCAGTCAGCAAGCTGGAAACCCAAGAAGGTTAATGGTCTAGTAGTCCCAATCCGACTCTGAAGGTCTAGAACCACTAGAGCTGATATTGTAAATTCCAGTCTGAAAGCTGGCAGGCTTGAGAACAAAGATGAGCCAATATTAGATTGAATAGCTCTTAGCTGAAGGCAGTCAGGTAAGAGAAATTCCCTTAGTCTTTTTGTTCTAATCAGGTCTTCAACTGATTGGATTAGGGCTACCCACATTAGGGAGGGCAATCTTCTTTACACATTCTGCCAATTCAAATGTTAATTTCAAAGAGAAAGATTCTCACAGACACACCCAGAATAATATTTGACCAAATGTCTGGCCAACCCATGGCCCAATAAAGTTGACACAAGAGGCTGGGGGGCGGTGGCTCACGGCTTCTGTAATCCCAGAAGCCAAGGCTGGCTGATGACAAGGTCAGGGGTTCGAGACCAGTCTGGCCAACATGGTGAAACCCCGTCTCTACTAAAAATACAAAAATTAGCTGGGTGTGGTGGCAGGTACCTGTAATCCCAGCTACTCAGGAGGCTGAGGCAAGAGAATAGTTGGAACCTGGGAGGTAGAGGTTACAGTGAGCCGAGACTGCGTCATTGCACTCCAGTCTGGGCAACAAGAGAGAAACTCCGTCTCAAAAAAAAAAAAAAACAAAAACAAAACAAAACAACAACAACAACAACAACAAAAAACAACTAAAGCTGACACAAGAAATTAACCATTACTCCATTACTTCTACAGTATAACAGACACCTAACTGGGTCCTGGAAATCATGTAAGAGAAAAGTTAGGTGAATCCTTTCTTTGAAATTTATAATCTAGTGGCTCAACCCAACTTAGAAATCTCTTCTGCAGTATTTTTGATATGGAATCATATTCTACTTCTGTTTAGATATCTCTGGGGACTAAGATCTAGCAGTTATAATTTCTAACACATAGTTGACCCTGCTTATGATTTAGATTTAACTCTAATTTATTGAAAACTATTATATACCACTTCTATGTGTTCTCTTGTATGTTTCATCTCATGCATTTGAACTCATAAACAATACTGTGAGGTGGGTAGTCATTGACCTGTTTTTAATTTCCAGCTGAGAAAGGTGAGGTTTAAAATAATAATTATAAATGAAAAGAAAAATTATTTAAGAATTAAGCTTTCACAGTGAAACTACCCTACTGTGTTAGCTGTGCTAATCAAATGAAAATAATGGTGCTGATATTGTTTGAAAAGGAACTTATGCTGTTTTGTAAACAGTAAATAATAGAATTGAATTTCCTTGTAAACACAAATGCAAGTACTTTATCAATCTTCTACTAAGATTTCATTTGAAGTTTGGCTTAATATAGCTACATTAAGAGCTACATTAAGTAGTTTTTTTTCTCCATCAGACTAATGCTGCTCTCTAGTCAGAATATCACAAAATCAAATTCCTTCATAGTCCTCAACACACTTTGATTTTTGTATGGTCCTCCCCAACCCCTCCATGACCACAAAGCAAGAAATCTCCATGTATGCAGGGATTATAGTTGTGTTTTTCTACAGTGACTTTTTCATCCTAGGGCAGATTCTGGATCCCTGTGGGTGCTCAATAAAGATTTAAATAATTAATACATTACTTTTTAAAATCCTTCAACATAGGATTATAATTGTGTACTTATGAGATTATATTTGTGTACTTATGAGAACCTCCTCACCCCACCACCCCACTATAGATTTAGTTTCCTGTATGGTATGGACTATGTCCCAATCATGTCTGAATTCCCAGTATTAAGCGCATGGCCTAGCCTAGAATAACCTCAGTCATTTTATGCTTGCTAATGAAAGAGTCCTCACTGAGAGTATCTATCCTTCTGGCACATCGAGAATACAGACAAAGAATAAAGCTGTCAACAAAAAAACAGACAGGATTGTGGTAAGGAAGATGGGGCAGAATACATAGAAGAAAAACAGATGATGAATGGGCATTTGTCTGACTGTTATCACCTCATGCAGTTCAGCCCTTTTCACCCAGACTTATTCTGGGGCTGTGGAAATTATGCTTGGACTCCAGTTATTTTTAATAAACTATCTTAATGGTAGTCTTCAGCAGAGCTGAGATTCTCTTCTCCTTTGTCAACCCATCTTCTATCCACTTTACTGAGTCACTTTTTTTCTGGTTCTGATTTATTTGCTCAACATAAAAAAAAATGTTTTTAGCATCTACCATGTGTCAGACACTTGCAATACTGATGTCACTCAAGTATCAGAAAAGATAACTCTGTTCTCCAGAGTACCAGAGGACTTGAGATGAGTTCTCTGACAATTCCATAGCCTGTGAAATCCCCAAGCTTTCGCCACAGTTTCTGCTAATGCCTGAAGATTAATATTCTACTGTCTGTCACTTCTTCATCTCCATGTGTGGAATCTTGCTGCATACTTGGTTACAGAAACAAATCTCAGCCATTTTGTGAATCCCTGAAAAGATTCACCTCATATAAAAGCATTATTAAAGAGGGGAGAATGTTTTAAATATTTTGTGGAGACCTGTGGGACACCATCAAGTGGACCAATATATACATAATGGGAATGCTGGAAGGAGAGGAAAGAAAAAGGAATAAATATATATATATATTTTTAAAAAATGGCCCCAAAACTTCCCAAATTTGATAAATAAATCTATACATCTAAGAAGTTCAACAAACTCCAAGAGTATAAACACAAAGAAATTCATACCAAAAAACATTATAAACTATCAAAAGAGAAAGACAATGGGAGAATATTGAAAGCAGCAAGAAAGAAGTAACTCATCATTTACAAGGGATACCGAGTACGATTAATAGATTGTATCTCAGCTGAAACCATGGAGGCCAGAAAGCAATGAGATGACATATTTACAGGGTTAAAAGGAAAAAGAAAACATATCCAGCAAAAAACTACCTTTTAATAATAAAGGAGAAATTAACACATTTTCAGATTGACAAAAGCTAAGGGAAGTTGTTGCTAGTAGATCTTCCCTACAAGAAATGCTAAAGAGAGTCCTTCAGATGAAAATGAAAGGACACTAGGCAATACATCAAACAAATAAAAACAGAACCCCGTTAAATATAACTACATAGGCAAATATGTAATATAACCCAGTTCATTTTGGGGGCTGCTTTAGGGTTTCTGTCCATATATTTTTAATTATTTTTCCCAGAAAATAGGCCTTACTTTTCTGTTTCTATGTGTTATATTTTTTTGTTGTACTTGAAAACTAGACATTTTGAATATTATAATGTGGTAACTCTGAAAACTAGATTATCTTTCCCTCCCTAATGTTTGCTGTTGTTGCTTGGTGAGGGCTTGGTTATCCATTTGTTTAATGACTACTCCAGACTATTTTTTATAAAGTCTGTATTTCCTGTCATGTGTGGTAATTAAAATCTCTGTTCCATTATTTCAGTCATTAGCTAGTGATCTGACAGAGTTTCTTAAATTTCTGGAGCCAAAAAGACAACAACAAAACTACTCTCTTGGTCTACGCAGGTTGGCTTTGGGCTGAAATAATCATTCAATTCTTTGCCATTGTGTCTACAACCCTGCCTTGGCCCTTACTCCCTATTTATGCAGAGCTGAAACATCAGCCAGAGGTCCAGACTAGGATCTTTTCAGGCCTTTTCCAGCCCTAGGCATGTACATTGCACTTTGGATTTTTTAGTATACATGGTAGCATTTCAAACTCTTATCCCCCTCAAGACTCTTCCTTCTCAGTTACCTCCTTTCTAGGCTGTATGGTCTGTCTACTGATTGCCCCATCTGCCATCCTTTGCCCTTGGCATCTACATGTAATATATGTCATTTTTTTTCTTTTTTTGAGACAGAGTCTCACTCTGTCACCCTGGCTGGAGTGCAGTGGTGCAATCTTGGCTCACTGCAACCTCTACCTCTCGGGTTCAAGTGGTTCTCATGCCTCAGCCTCCGCAATAGCTGGGATTACAGTTTCCCACCACCATGCCCGGCTTGTTTATTTATTTATAGGTATGGGGTTTTGCCATCTTGGCCAGGCTGGTCTCAAACTCCTGACCACAGGTGATTCACCCACTTTGGCCTCCCAAAGTGCTGGGATTACAGGCATGAGCCAACGTGCCTGACCTCGTAATAAACATCTTTAATGATTTTGACGTGTGCCACCCACGCTGAGAAAATGAAATAAAGGCAGTAGTCTGCAATGGTCCCTCAGGGAAGCACCAGACTGGTCAAAATGCACAAGAACAGCTTTTGAAAACAAGGTCTTTGTTGCTGCTTGGCATCATCAAATCACATCAGGAATGTGGACCATCATTCCCATGGCTGTCACCTAACTGGTGAAAGGGAAATGGTGAGTAAGCAAAAGCATCATAATGCTTTCTTTTCAGAATTTAGAAACCACTTTCTTCATTAAGCACCCCTTTGGTTGTATAAATTGTTTATTAGATATAAGGATTATGAAAACACTAATGCTGTCAGTTTTTGCCCACTTAAGATACTTTAGTGGAAAAATCAATTCTTAGAGCTCCCTATTTTGTAATTTTCCATGATGCTCACAAATACATAAATACCTCTTGATTCACAGAATTTTCCTGTAGGATTCTATCCCACTGCTGTACACATGCACATGGCAAAATGATGTTTGTCTATAGTTAGTTATTAGTTTTGACTTTGTTTGTAATAGTGAATGATTAAAGACAACACCACATTCATTAGTTAAACAAACTAAGGCATATCTATATAATGGAGTATTCTGTAGCTACACAAAAAGGATTAAGATCTGTTTACATTTATAGAGAAAAATCTCCAAGATATATTAACTAATACAAGCAAGTGTCAGACCAGTGTATATAATATTCTATTTTGTGTGTAAGTTAGGAGCACGCATAGGAATGCCTGTATATGTGTGTAAAAATCCTTCTGGAACAAGGCCCAAGAAACTAATAAACGGTAACTACCTGTGAAGGGCAGACAGGGAGTGGGAACTGTGTACATGGGATAGAGATAACAGGAAGAATTTATACTGTAAACTTCCTTAAACTTGTTAGCGTGACCCATGTGAGTGTACTAATTATCCCCCAAAATAAGTTCAAAATTCAATAACTTATCATTACCTTTAGGATAAAATCCTAACATCTTTTCATGACCTTCAAGGCCATGCTTGATCCTACCTCTGCCTTTGCTACCTCATCTTTCCCCCACTGTCTCCCTATGCAGCATGATGCTATCACATAAGTCAGGTTTTTAATTGTTTTAATTTTTAAATTTTATTTATTTATTTTTGTAGTTGTTTTTTTCCCAGTTCCTAGAATTTTGCAAATTCTTTTTTCCTCAAGGATTTTATACCTAATCCTTACTCTGCAGGCATGTATATTGCTCTGAAATTCACATGGGTGGCTTTTTCTTGTCCTTCAGCTCTTAGAGAAATATTTTGCTAAAGCTCTTTGATAGGGCCGGGCACAGTGGCTCACACCTGTAATCCCAGTACTTTGGGAGGCTGAGTTGGGTGGATCACTTCAGCCCAGGAATTCGAGACTAGCCTGGGTAAGACAGTGAGACCCCATCTCTACAAAAAGTACAAAAATTAGCTGGGTGTGGTGGCATGCACCCATGTTCCCAGCTACTTGGGAGGCTGAGGTAGGAGGATCAATTTAGACTGGGAGGTCAAGGCTGCAGTAAGCCACAATCATGCCACTGCACTTTAGCCTGGACAACAAAGTGAGATCTTGTTACAAAAATAAAAAATAAAAATAAAAATAAATACTCCTTCATAGGGAGATTTTCTTCATCCCCAGTATTCTCTCTCAGCACACTGTTTTTCTTTGTGTCCTTCATAGTGATTATTCATTTGTTTGCTTTTATTTGCCTTTTTTCCCTACTAAAATCTAAGACACATGTCCAAGAATTGTATCAGTCTTGCTTGCTATTGGATCCCATCAGTACGTGGATCAGTACTTGGTCAACTAACATAGTACGTTGAGTGACGGAATGTGTTAATGGGGGAAGGGGGTTAATTATGTTCTCATATATGGGTGCTTGACTTTTTTAGATTATTTGTCTTTTGGTGCAGATGCTTAGTTGTATTTGTAAAATTGGGATGCTGAAATGTCTGATCTGTAAGGTCTCCAGAGAGACTTTTCACAATACTTCTGCCTCTTCACTCACAACTATTACACCTATAAAGCTTGACCTTGTTCTTTTCTGTAGTAAGACAGTGAGCTCCTACTGCTAGCAAAACTTGCCCCACCTCTGGTATCACAGATAGGCAGAAAGTCATTTGTCTTGAACAAGAGCATCTTCTGACACTGCACTTGTACCTGCAGAACGTAGCATGCAGTATTGCCTTTTGGTATTTACCCTGTCTGTTTGACCTGAAATAAGGTCTCTATCAATAGGTAACCAGATTTTATTTTTCCTCCACTTCTTCTCTTATATACAGGGCCCAGGCAGTAATGGATTTCAAAACCCAAATTAAAAATATAGGCCATATAGGTTTAATATACATATAAACACTTTGGAGCCATTTGGCTCTGAACAAGGGTACTAGCATTGTCCAATAAATTGCTCAACATAGTGAATTTTAGAGAAGACAAAACAACAAAACACACGTACACATAAATACACACCCACTTAAAGTTAATACTCTTGTTTCCAAAGTCCAGAGCTCACATGGTTATGGAGGGAGAACAAATTGGACACCAGGGACAGGGTTCAGTGCTCTAGCAACCAAGAACAAGGGAGAGAGAACTACCAAGCCCGTCATGTGGTGCCTCAGAAGGCTAACATTCAGAGACCCGCTAGCTGAGGATGAATTTGTATGCATGAGTACGCTGGCTGAAATGGGGGTGGGAGAGCTAGAACAGGACCATGTGGGGCATGCTGGCTTCCTTCAGTCTCGAACGACCCATCCCACTTCTTTTGCCTCTGAATCTCTGTTTGGAGCAGCCACTGAGGTGTGCTGTTCACTGGGTGGTTACTAATTTCAGGCTCCAGAGACAGTCACATCTAGTGTTCATGGTGCCTAGTTATCTTTTTGACAAGATAGGACTTACCCAGCCATCACGGTGGTGGAAACCATCACAGAATACATTGGATCAAGCCCCTGCACTTTGCCCAAGGGATGGGCTTGCTTGAGATAAGCCCATTTCTGTTTTCAAATTGGCTGGTGACTTCTCTACCTGACAGTATTCATGTGGAAAACAGCCCAACTTTCTGCCTCCGGATTGTTCTCTACAAGGAGCTATAAATTCAAGGGCCTTGAAAAAGCAGAGGGCCTTGAGAAAAGCCATCATCCAATACTGGATCTTATTAAATGACAGAAGCATAGGTTTTCTGATCTGATAGATAAGGGTTAGTTCTAGAGCATTGTTATTTCAAGCAAATAGTTTACTTTCTTCAAGCCTATTTCCACCTTGGTAGAGGAAACATCTTTTTCATAGATCATGATGAAATTTAAATTAGATCACAGTTACAAACACCTGTCTCAATGCTTTATATAGTAATTGGCTGTTTTATCCTTCTATAATATACTTTTTTAAAATTAAATCCTGTATTTATTTATAGTGATTGTTACAAAATATTTCAACTGTAGAGAAATTGATGTATATTTATACACAGGGGAATGTTATCCACAGAGTCTCTTGAGGATTCTAAAACTGAAATTGCTTTCCTAGGCTCAAAATTCTATCTCTAAAGTTTGATACCACTTTCACATTTTCTACTACAAAGTAGCATTTTAAATGTACTTGGGCCACACAACCATCAATCACAGTTCTTCCACTATGAATTATAGCATTTTAAAGCTTGTGACAGTGAGTACCGTCATATGTCACATTGTGAAAAACACGAGAATTTCCCGTGCACAGTAGCATAAAGGACTTACCTTCAGCATGTTAGAAACTGAGCTAGCAATGATTGGACTGTAATCTTATTTTACCTGAACACCTTATATGCCAAAAGTAGAATAATAAAATTAGTGAATGAGAAAGAAATAAACAGCATTTCAGGCAAAAAAAAAAAAAAAAAAAAAAAAGGCAGGACATCCTGAGGCCTGTGGGATAGAAACTATCAACCCCAGGCAGCCTGGCTCTGTTTGACTCCACATCCAGTCCTTGTCAGGCCCTTATCCTAAAGCATTTGTATCTGTTCTCCACTATCTCTTACTGCTTAAGTGAGAAAGTGAGTCTGGATGCATAGACAGATGATGAAATTATTTAAGACCAGTTTCTTAGGTAAAAAGGAGGGATGTACCAAGGGCTGACGATTCACATTCTGGGAAAGGTAGACATGAGCTTTTCTATACACAAGGTGTTGAAAAAGCATCAGGGACTGTAGATCCCAGGATTTGGCAGAAGGGTTATAACAGATGTCAAGTGTCATCACAGTCATTCTGGCTGGAGGAACTGTACCTAAAGAGTTCACATTCATGGGCTGGTTTCCACTTGCTCTTTCAAATATGGGTAAAGGAATAGAGAAGTGGTTTCCATTCTTTTCTATTTGTGTATCAAAGGGTGGACTGTTATTGGTGCCTGCTCAGACCTTTGCTGACTTGTGTACCAAGCCTAGAGGAATGAGAGCAGTTGGAAAATACTACTACCAGCTACACACATGCAAACTGCAGTGAGCATTCTAGATACCATCTGACCCCTCCTGTGGCCACATGTTCCAGTACTTGTTCATCCTCTCCATTACAGGGAGACTGTCTACCTGCCTACACACTCCATAGCTCTTAGTGTTATACCGGTCAGCTGCTGATATCCACAGGCAAAAGTCTCAGATAGCCTTTAATTTGGAGTCAGTTGTAAAGAAATAAAAATTAACAGTTGGTGCCAAATATGTAACATTACTTGAGTTAAGTGATTCACTAATAGCAGAACCATGACATGTTGGTGTTGGGCTGCACAGGATTCAGATGAGAAGCCCAAGTGTCTTCTGGTATAAATGGGCCAAATGATGTTTTCACTGATGCAGAAAGAAAAGGTAGAGAAAGGGAGCTGGAAAAGAACAGCAAAATAGCAAAAGAATACAACATGGAGATAATATAATATCAAACTGAAAGGCAGGAATGTAGAGTCAGATTCACCCAGGTTTGACTCTGGACTCTGAATTCTGCCACTTACCTGGTTCCCATCATCCTTCAATTCTGAGGTTTCTCAGTTAAATTATTTCTTTGATGATTCCACTAGAAATTATAATTAGGTCAGGGCTTAGCACACAACAAATGGATATGCTATTATTATTCTTCATGGTTTTCCATGTAATACTCCCAACTATCTTGTGTGGTAAATATCTTCTCAATTTTTCAGTTAAGAAAACTAAAGCTTGGAGCCTTTAAATTATTTGTTAAAGTTCATATAGCAAATTTGGTATTGAGATTTGACACTGTGTTCTCTGAACTCAAAGTCTCTATTTCCCTTAGAATTAACATGTCATTTTGGGACTTACATGTCTGAATTGGAAAGCAGCTGATCTTTTTAGAGATTTGATTGAATTTACATGGTATGTGAAATGACTCTGCTCAGTTCAAGGAAGGTGGAATCTGAGCTGATTTTCTCATTTTCTGAACTGAAAAAGTCAGGCACAGTAACCTGAGCTGGAGAAGGCTTGGGACAGGCAGACAGACACATGGATAGCCCAGGTACTTGCCTCAGGAGGGACCATCTTACCCCTAGGATGGTCTTCTCGACCCACGACTCTCTGATATGCTGCCTCCTAGGCTTCCTGACCCACAGTTACAGGACAGCAAATCCCTTCCAGATCTCATTCCAAGGTTAGCTTCACAGACAGGCTGAGATCATTCTTTCAGTCCTGGCCTGCTCCACTATGCTGGTAGACATCCCGAATAAATGAGTACATAAATGAACAAGTGAATGACTCCATGGGAACCATGAACAGAGTCTACATCAAGAAGTTATTTAAGCTTCTGCAAGATGTATCAGTCTGCTACAGAGGAGCAAAATCACCTGCCCATCTGATTGGGCACCAGGGGTGATTGAGCAACCCTTACATGGGTGATCTCATTGATTTGTGAGTTTCTCTGTTTTATTCTGCTTTTGTATCTCCTTAGAGAGACTATTGCAGGGCTCAATTTCTCTATAAACTACCTTTTGGGGATGCATACTATTAACTGCTACAGAGAGACTGATAAAAACGAGAATGGATTTAAAATTAGAGGACTGGGTTTCCAGTTTGCAATTCATGGCTGGGTGATGAATAAATTATATAACTACTTTAGATTCTCAATTACATTATGTGATAAATGAGTCTGATTAAAAAAAGAAACCTCTTTATAGGGCTTTCTGGGAATTATATAAGGCAGAGGATGAAAAAATTCTTTGTAAATGGAAAAGAGTTTTAAAATTGCTATTTAAAATTTTGGTTCACTTAACACTTTGGACTCTGACTGATAGCTATATCTTAATTTAGTCATTTGCTGAAATATTTAGTTCACACAAATTAACTGAGGAACGGCTATGGACTGAGATTAAGCCTGGGAAAAACATCAAAATATTTCCTGAAAACATGACAATTACATTGCCACCTTGGATTGTGAGATACCTGGGAGACAGGAAAATCATCTGATTTATTCTTGTGTTCCCATTGTTTGTCCTTGTTCTAACCCTCACACTCAGCATCTCGTGCTTGTCTCATAACTGGCATTTGGAATGTATGAAATCATCTGGTGTATTGAAGATGAAATATCAAATGAACGCCTTAGCCAGGTGTCAAGCCCCTATCTTTTCCATTTAAATAGTCCTTCACCTTCCCAATGTGAACACTTCTGTACAGTCCCACTGTTCTTAAATACCAAGGCCTTGGCCCACTCCCAATCTTATGTCTTATATCTACATATTCCTACTTTCTGCCTACATAAATGCAATGCGTTATAAAGGCTCGTGACTTTCTCTATCCAAGAAAATTTCCCTTATCTTTTCTTCCAAGCTCCTAGTACCTTGAAATTCTAGATTTGATAATTCAACTCTCAAATGCATATGACCTTTGGGTTTTTTGCCTTATTTTAGATGTTTTATTATTTACATCTTTTCTACTAGTGAGGAAGCTGGGTCAAACACGGCATTAAGTGGCAGAGCTAGGATTTGAACTCAAGGCTTCTGACTCTTGGTCCAGAATTCTCTTTCTCCTACCTAGTATAGGGTATCCTGAAATAAATAGAAAGTTATGATATTCTCTTTACCCTGAACCCCATTTTTAGTTAGAAAAAACTTACCTATCTCTGAAATGAACCCTGACACCCCTCGAATGGAGTTAAATCTATGTCTTCTTAAATTATCCAAAAAAAGTCATACCCTCTTAAAACATTTCATCTTATTCTAGATAAAACTAACTTATTAATCATTCTAACATGTCTTGAAGGTATTCACCATGCTCATTTCTGTATTTGGAAGATATATTTACCTAGATAGGGTTTACCTAACTAGCTGTTAATATGCAGTGCTCTTCAGAGCCTGGTTAGGCACAAGCTGAGTTTGTTGTTGTTTGTTTTGTTTGTTGTTTTCATTTGTTGATGAATCAAATGGAGATTCCACTAGGTTTACTAGATGGTTAAAAGTAGTTAGAAGTACAATGTAAGAACTGTTATAATAGGGGTGGGGGCTAGGAAGATAACTCAATCAGGGATATCAGGGAAGGATTCTGAGGAGGAGTGGTCTGAAACAGCTCTTCCAGGTTTTGCCAGGAGGAGCAGTTGGTGAAGGGGCATCCCTGGAAGATGGAACAGAGTTCCTATCATTTACCATGTCTCCTTGGACAGAAACATGGCATATGATAGAGCATTTGGGGAACTCTACGCAGAACATTATTATAGGAGCATAAGGACAAAGTAAGAAGTTAGAGGCACTAAGATTGAAGAAATCAGTCACCGCCATAGTATAGCACGCATGTACAGCAGATTACTGTGGGCATTTTCCCAGAATTTCCTGATTTTTCCATTGGAAAAGCAGAGTTTCTTTCCATCTGAGGGAGCTTATTTAAGTGTGTTATCAATTCTCCAAAGGGTAGTGGTAATCTTACAGCTCAAGAATGAAGAGATGTCCACATTCTTACCACCTGGCTTTGGAACAAAATGGAAATGTCCTTGCCACATTTAAAGATTAGAGAAGAAAAAAAATTCCATTTTACAGTAATTCCTCAAAAGATACAGATTACACCCTTATATCTTTAGCCTGTGCTTACTTGGAATTCTTTTCATAAGATAATAAAAAAGGGGGAGCTACTACAAACTATTCTCGGGAAATTGAAATATTAATAGTTGTGAAATATTAATAGTTGTGTTTTGAATGGGCTTCCTTCCATAGAACTGTAGAGATGTTGTTTGGGGTTTTTTGTTTTATTTGTTTATTTATTTACTTATTTATTGAGACGGAGTCTCACTCTGTTGCCCAGGCTGGAGTGCAGTGGTGCTAACTTGGCTCATTGCAACCTCTGCTTCCTGGGTTCAAGTGATTCTCCTGCCTCAGCCTCCTGAGTAGCTGGGATTACTAGGTGCCCACCACCACGCCTGGTTAATTTTTGTATTTTTAGCAGAGATGGGGTTTCCTTATGTTGGCCAGGTTGGTCTCGAACTCCTGACCTCAAGTTTACCACTTGCCACAGCCTCCCAAAGTGCTGGGATTACAAGTGTGAGCCACTACTCCTGGCCTTATTTTTGTTTTTGTTTGGCCACAGAGACCAACATTAAAAAAATCAGCCAAGGACAAAAGTAGGAAGCCATGCAAGAAGAAATAGAGCTTCAAGAGGTAGAATAAAGCTATTTTTGTTTTTTCAAAAGGAATCAGGGGGAACAGTGTCCAAGCCATTAACAAGTTTGTGTTTGGAAAATAAGCTCTTTCTTAAATCATATTCTTGAAAAATATTTAGGTTTTGAAAACAAATTGTAAGCAACTCAGTATTTCTGCCAGTAACTTATAAAAACAAAATATTAAACTTTAGGGTTGGGAGGAATCTGAACATCTAGCCAGACCAATCCCTCTCACTGGTCAGATAAGAAAACTGAAACCAAAGAAGCAGTTTGTTCAAGGTCAAACAACCTACTTCTAGCATTCTTAACCTAGGCTCAAAGAAGGTTAGAACTCAAATGCAACTCTTAAAGTTTATGTAATATGGTAACTAAATTGGATAGTCCCTCAAAACATAAATTGTCTTTAAGTGACAAGATCAACAAAACTTTGAGGATGAAGGAGCAGAGGAGTAAACAGAGAAGGAAAGAGAGAAGGAAGCTAGGTACAGTCAGATTTCCTGCTTGGGTCAATTTAAATTTGCTGAAAATAATTTTTCAGAATAACGGTAACTAGGACTCATCCTTGTCAGAAAGTTAGAGATATCCCGTGGTTTGTTCATCCCATAACAAACTTCAATTAATCTTTCATTTAGCAAACAGGGTGGTCTTGGACATCTCATACAACCTGTGGTGAGGAATTTTGCATGGGATAACTGGAATGTTTATAAGAACTTTGACCAGCATTAAGGTCTTGAAATGTAGTCTAAACATGAAGAACAAAGATCTCACACTGGGATGGAAAACCAGTGATTTGAAGTCAGGGGGCTAGTGTTCTCGTCCCTGGTTTGGCAGTTTATTTAAAACATTAGGCAAGTAACCCACTCACACATCCCCTCTCTAGTGGCCAGTAATTCCATCTGTAAAATGGTGGAGTTCACCTTGGAGAACCTTAAGAACATCCTCTTGTTTTTATGCCTCTGTCTACAGGATTATCTCTGCCTGGAATATCACTCTTTTTTCCTTCTTTGAAGTCATCTTCCATGATTCTTCAGGCATTGCCTCTTTCAGGAAGGTTTGCTTACCATACATTCTTACCCTACAGCCTGTCCTAGCCCAAATCAGGAGCTCTTCTTCAGGGCCTCACCCCAACTTGCTCTTATTATCTTTATCAAAACACTCTATAAAATATTCCAGACATTTAAAAAATCATTATGATGATAATAATCACCTAATTAATGCCTGCACGCTAAAACAATTCTTGGAGTCCCTTATTTTGGTCACAGAATTTAGAAAAATGTTATCTCGAAATTATCCCTTCACTCAACTATCTCTTCACTATCTTCGAGGAAGCCTAGAACTCATATGGAAATTTCTTGGAGTTCCTAAAATTTGGTAACTAAAGGATATTTCATCCAAACTATAACTTGTCTTTCAGGGATAAAAGCCACAAAAATTATAGGGTGAATTTAGTGGAGCAAAAAACAGATCAGGAGAAAAAAGAGGAACGTCAGGGATAATATTTAATCCATTCTGAAATTACTAGCATCAAACTGCTCCTGGTACACAGTGGACATTAGACATTAAATATGTAGTTTTGAAAGTGAGCTAAACTGTGCTCGTAGTCAAGTTATCTGAAATAATGGGGTTATAATAAAAATCCAGTTTCTCATAAGCCCAAGATAAAGGTCAACCTTTTAAGTATTTCTTTCAATGACTTAAATGGACTTATTTGCAGCAGCTTCATGGCAAAGCCATGATATCACTGGTGACTTCTGTGTCATTTATTTAAGCAATGTTTCAATTGTGCTGTCCCCAAACTGTAGCCAAAACAAGCTGTCCAATTCCCTGAGGCAATGGCCAAGGCTTGGAAACCATGAGTATACACATGCCTAATTCTCAAGGGGAAAAAGCATGCTTAAACCTTTAAAGTACTTACTTGTATTCAGGTCTTCAAAGTTGTTGTTTGGCTTTATAGTAAACAGGATAAAACTGTCTGGAGAAATGTGAACATTTAGAGAAGGAGATATGCGTGTATATGCTTTAATGAAGGTGGCAACTTTATTCTTTGAAGTATCCAGAGAATTATGAAAGAAGACTTAGATAATCACAAGGCAACTTCTCCAGAAATGAGTGCTCATCAGTGAAAACCATAGTGTACCTCTGTGTATGGTTCCTTGATCCTGGTGGGAGAAACTGCGATTCATTATGACTGTGTAAACACTGGTGCAGAGGAAGGAGACTTGATCTAGGGATTGGAGTTGTCAAATGTTCCAGTGACCTTCTGTGTGACCTTCAGCAAGTTGTTTTTACTCTCTGAACCTCTGTTTCCTTATCTACGATTTTTCTGTAATTCAGTGATTTATATACATTGCCTGGAAGAGGGACCGGCACATGAGAGGTATTTAACAAGCATATGTTTTCATTCCGTGATATGCAGCCTTATCATTTGCAACAACTTCCTAGTCTGCTTATTGCAAGGTATCTGGGATTCCCTAGATAAAGTATGCATTGCCAAGGCTCATGCTTTTATTTTGCTCTATTCTCTCAGGAGTGCTTTCTTCCTATCTTTTCTGCCTAAAGGATTGTAGATAAAATGAAGGGCTGCCAGTGTAATTTGAACCTCAAATAAACAACAGATAAAACTGTAGTATAAGTATGTCCCATATATTGCACAACACGATCTTTTTGTTTGCCTAATCTGGCAAAGATATTGACTTAACACACACTAATCTGTTGACAGGTAGGTGAAATATTTGAACTTCTACGTTGCTTCTCTAATCCTGTCCTCTCTTCCCTTTCTCATGGCGTTTAGTAATCCTTTTCCCTGTGTGCTTAGTAGTACTTTGTCCAGATTTTTACTGTAGTGCTTATATGTTGCTGTGTCTATCTGTCACTTCATCTTCTCTTTCTCTTTCGCTACCTGCCACAATACACAGTGCATCCCTCAAACTTTCAAAGATCCGATCTTTCACCTGTGTTCTGAGTCCCATCCCTTCATATCTTTCTAAATACGCCACACTGGCCTGGTTTTCCTCTTACCTTTACGGCTACTTTATCTCATTCTCTCCACATATACCACTGCCTTCTTCAGAGAATGCAGGTCTTTTCCAGGGCTTCTTTATTCCTGCTTTATTGCTTTCTCTCTCCCTTATTGTTTTCTTTCTCTCCCTTTTTGTACTCTCTTCCTGTCTGTTTATTAGGCAGCTGAACTTTTCAAGATCTCACTCCTCTCTCAGTTACACCCTCATTTGTATTTTCAGCCTAGACTCTTCATTTGCATTTTAGACATGCATATGTGATAGCCTACTTGACATGTCTGCTTGGCTACATTGCATTCATTTCAGGCATAATATACCATAATAATAAAATGATAATATCAACTTAAAATAAAAAATGTTTGAGTGGAAACAGGAAATCAAACAACAAAAGATATTCATTAAAATCTCTTCTGCAGGAGGTGAAGAGGGAAGCATCTTCTGAAATTGAAGAACTTGGATTCTTTAAAAACTAATATGTTGAGAATGGAGAGTACAAGGGAAATGAATGATGTGACTTTTCCATAGTAACAACTCACATTTTCCCCATAACATTAGAAGATTTATTGAAGGAAAATATTGGCCATTTAAGGGTTTATTTGTCTAGAAAAGACAAGTGGTGGGTGTGGGGGTTAAACTCAATGTTCATTATTGATGGGGGCATGTTGTACTGTTTGAAATGCGGTGTTTGTTGAAATTCTCAAAAGCCTTATCAGAACAATCAGTCCATATAAAGCCCCAACACCAACTGTAAAACCATGAGAGATTTTATTGTATTTAATATTTCTGAGCTGGCCAAAACCAGCTTTTATTCAAGATGGTTTTATGCTTCCACATTTGGACTGCACTAGTCTGTGAAAACAAACTAAGGAGAAAGTTAAAAAAAAAAACCAACTCTTAATCTTATGGCTCCTTTTAAAGAGAACAGCTAGATTTGGGGAGAGAAATGGATCAAGGTGGAGAACAAGACTTAATCACTTATTTAGCAAATACGTCATGCACTGAGCTTAATTTCATAATTATCTCACTTAATCCTCACTAGGATCCTGAACTATAAGTATGACCCTTCTCATTTTGTAGATAAAGAAGCCAAATTTTAGAAAAGTTATACTCATGACGGCAACATAATTTTCAAGGACCTTGTTAAAAAATTATTGAGCATTTCGAGGTACCAGTAGCAGAACATAAAATCAGGCATGAGGCCCTTCTAAGCATAGGGCTTTATGTGACTTCACAGGTCACATGCCCATGAAGCCGGCCCTTGTCAGTCAACTCACTCCATGGCACAGAGTGAATAAATGGGAGAATCCAAGATTAATATTCACCCATTTACATTTACGCTATGATTCATGCTCCTCTAAAACTCTCAAGTCAATTCAGTCTTTCCCTTCTTTCGTTTATTCCCCATTTAGCTGTTAGACTTCTCTTGTACTATTTTACAAAAGGCTTTTTGAATGTATTGGTCTTTATTTTTTCACATATAAAGGCTTAGAAGTGAGGGCTGGGCACTGATCACTGTATTGGGTGATATCCCAATGTCCCATTTCCATCCTGCTCATTTCTTTCTCAAAGTGTGTTTATATGTCAGCCAGCTCTTCTTGTGTTTTGGGCATATATCAGAGATTATCTTCAAGAATTAACATCCACAGAAGCTCAGCTTCTGAAAGTAGCCTCCTAGATGTTTATAGCCCATAAAATGCTTATAGGATGTCAGTCACACTCTGGCACCACGCATCTTTGAAACAGAAATAATCCTAGCGACCACTGAATCCTTCAATCTCATTTTCGTTTTAAGGTTGTTGTTTTGTTACTCTAATTTCTGTTATGATCGGTATACTGAGGCCCAGAAGAATCAATAAGTCGCCCAAGGTCATAGAGTACATTAATGACAAATCTGGGACTAAACAAGTATCTTAAGCCCAAACATGAGATTATTTTTTTTTAAAAAAATGAGCAGTTGCTATCTAGTTAATCTCTTCCTTGGTTCACTAAACAGATTCGTCAAGAGTTAGATATGAGTCAGGCGCAGTGGCTCACGCCTGTAATCCCAGCACTTTGGGAGGCCGAGGCGGGCAGATCACGAGGTCAAGAGATTGAGACAATCCTGGCCAACATGGTGAAACCCTGTCTCTACTAAAAATACAAAAATTAGCTGGGTGTGGTGGCGCGTGGCTGTAGTCCCATCTACTCGGGAGGCTGAGGTGGGAGAATCACTTGAACCCAGGAAGCGGAGGTTGCAGTGAGCCAAGATGGTGCCTCCACACTGAAGCCTGGTGACAGAGCAAGACTCCGTCTCAACAACAACAAAAAGGAGTTATATATGTTCTCAGGTTAACAGCTGAATAAATAACAAAGAATGTCATTGTGCCTAGCAGCTAAGACTGTGGGAAGACTGAGTCTCCCGTTCTATGCCTCACCCTGCAGTATAGGAAGATGCCACCTGGGTCAGCTGGGTCATCTTGGATAAAGTGGTTACCCCTTAAAGACTAATGTGCCACTTGCATGGTTAAAATCTTGGCTCAAGTGGCTTATTGGATTATACAGCTTTCTCATGACAGTCGCACGTCTCTGAAATTCTCATGAACTGCTGTTTGGAAAGACTACAGTTGCTGAAAATAAACAGGAACCAAAAAATGCAAGCTGTCCTCTGTTCCCGGGAAAACCTAACTGTGCAAACAGCTTCCTACCCATGAGGGACAGTACAGAGCCAGGTATAGGATGACTCACTGGATTTATGAATCTTCTGTCTGTTGAGTAAGCAAGCACTGAGGATGTTTACGATATATTTTAGTGTTCTTTGAAGGTGTTACACTAAATGGGGAAATGCCCTCACCCTTAATGGCCTTAATAATGCTACCATAATATCCTGACTACATTCTCATAAGCAATCTTTTCTTTCTTTTTTTGTTTTTGAAGTCATCCAGGCTGGAGTGCCGTGGCGCGATCTCGGCTCACTGCAACCTTCACCTCCCGGTGCAAGCAATTCTTCAGCCTCAACCTCTCAGTAGCTGGAATTACAGGCATACACCACTATGCCCTGCTAACTTTTGTATTTTTAGTAGAGACAGGGTTTCACCATGTTGGCCAGGCTGGTCTCGGACTCCTAGCCTCAAGTGATCCACCTGCCTCAGCCTCCCAAAGTGTTGGGATTACAGGCATGGGCCATCACTCCTGGCTGCCATAAGGAACCTTTATATTAGTGAGTAATAGCAGCCACACAGTAAGTTCATGTTGAGTGTCTTGTCAAATGCTGACTAGCACTATGAATATAAAAACTGATCACTTGATTGTATCCAGCAGTCCATAACTTATAGAATAAAATAATTTACAGAGGCATCTAATTCAGGCCAAGCCTCTTGGCAAACTTAATTCATGCTATGAATATTTATTGATTTAACATTATGACAGTCTCTGTGCTAGAACTCAGGTAGGCTGTCCAAGACAACTTAGAGCTCATGGCTTAACTATTCCAAGCACATGAGTTTACTAACAATTTCCATTGCATCCAGGAAGCCTTCTTTTCTTATCTGAATTCCCATTAATCTATACCATTCACTAGACCCTTGAATTCCAGGCTGGGTTGGAAAATCATCCAGCCCAGTATATCACAAAGTGAGGAATGTGCACTATTAGTGGTGTGCAAGACAGTTTGGCAGTTTAAACTGGTAAACTTTAAAAAAAATTTATAAATAATTAAACACTAACCCTCACAGTGTGATGACAATTGTGATGGAGGTGTGCCCAACATGGAAGCCTGTTTTGCTTACTGCATAATGCTGAAGATGCTAGTGATGAGTTTTTCACCTGTATTTATAAAAAACTTCTCAAATCCAGAGTCTGTGTGATGAGTGGTCATAAGAATCAACTCTGATTTCTAAGACTTCCTCCATGTCTCAATATCCTGTTTTTCCTTCTCTTCTTTGGGTGTCTGAGATTTCAGGTGTAAGGAGAGTCTTCTTGGTGGGGATAATGTCTAAACAGATACAATATTTATAATCTGATAAATCTCAAAGGTGTGTCTCTACCTAGGACCATCTCAAGCTTGAGAGGCTTATATCAGATTGCCTGTTCAATGTCCCTACTTAGATACCTAGTACATATCTTTGTGCAGCCTGATCCCTGTTGGGCACCGTTTGATGATGAAGTGGAGACTAAAATCCAGACACATCTACTTGGAGGAAGGAGTGCTTTTTTTTTTCTTTTTCCTTTTTTTTTCTCTTTTTTTGCAAAAAGACAACTTTCACAAGTCAAGTGATGGGTTCTTGGGGCTTCCTCTACCTAGAGGTTCTTCCTAATTCTGTACAGAAATCAGGTCTTTCTCTAACTTGAACAAATATATCCTCTAAGTTAGTAGTAATTTTGCCCTTAAGCAAAAACTATCATGGTATCTATGGGAAAATGAAAAAAATTTAAGATGCCTGAAGAAGCTAGAAGTGAATAATAAGACTACTTTCTTGATAACTTCTACATATTTTTATATTTTTCATATTTAACCTTAAGTTGAGGTATTTTGAAGGGAGTGATCTTACTTTACTCTTCACATATAGCAAACTGAAGAAATTTTGCTGAGTGAATGGATAGACATGGTCCTAGAAAACATATTAGAAGTGGGCAAATCACAGTAACAAATCACCGTGTGTGTGTGTGTGTCTACTTAGCTATACATTGATACAAACAATTATTAAAACAAAGTAGATTGAGCCGTGAGAGGGCTTATTTTTCAGATGCTATTTGAAAACACTCGTTAAGCCATACTGGAAGGCTTCAAGGAGCTCACTGTTAAGACAAAAGTGAATAAACAGAGGAGGTAACAAATTATACTTAGAGCTAAGTTAGAATGAATTCATTCTTGCTATGGAATAACAGAGGAGGAGCTTTAGCCAGGCTGGATAATTTTTTAAATCTTCTTCAACACTTAGAATAATTTTAGAAGAGTGAATAGGAGTGACTTTATCAGCAGTACAGAGGATGAAATGTCTAAAATAATACTTGTGTGAGTGAAATGTCTAAAATGCTGGGGAAGGATGATTTTCTTGACTAGAGGCATCTGCTGTTATCTGGTGGCCCAGAGCTTAGGTTTCAAAAAGGTACAGAAAGGGTTGTGGGAAATAAATTCTGGGGCCCACGTAAATTTGAAGATCAGATTGGAGATGCCTCATAATCTGAAATTCCTAAGATGCAACACATCAGTGGGTGAACTAGAGAAAACCATGTTTTTCAGAGGCATGTGATGGAGTTATTGGCCTTGGTTCTGAGAGGAAGAAAAAAGAAAATTCCCTTAAAACTTCCCAATCATAAGCCCACTCTCACTCAGGTTTAGAGCTGTAATTCAGACAACCTTTGTGGCACAAAACATGTTAATCTAGACTTTAAAGTTCTGGATTGGTAATGCCTCTAGACAAATTTCCGTGAGGAATACACTCTCAACATAGGTTTTAAATATTTCTGACAAATATGGACAAGTGAATTGGAACTCAAAATAAAAAATCACAAAGCACATAAAAATTAGTGGTATTATAAATAAAACCCAGGAGAAACATCAAACAGTATAGTCATATGCAAAAGACTACTTGTACGAATATACAATGTAAAACACTTTTATATTCATTATGTTCTTAAAAAGAAACAAAAAAATCAATAAGAAGCAAGAACTTGTTAAAAATGGGTCAGGTAAATTAGGTAAAAGATCAGAAATTATAGGAATAAAAATATGATAATTGAAATTAGAATTACATTGGATATATTAAACATCAATTAAAGCTAGAGAGAAAAATCAAGAATTGACAGGGCAATGTAAAGAGATTAAACAGAGAACAATGCTAAAGTATAATAAGATAGAAAATACAGGCCAGGCGCCGTGGCTCACGCCTGTAATCCCAGCATTTTGGGAGGCCGACGCTGGCGGATCACAAGGTCAGGAGATTGAGACCATCCTGGTTAACACGGTGAAACCCTGTCTCTACTAAAAATACAAAAAATTAGCTGGGCGTGGTGGTGTGCGCCTGTAATCCCAGCTACTCGGGAGGCTGAGGCAGGAGAATGGCATGAACCCGGGAGGCGGAGCTTGCAGTGAGCCGAAATTGTACCACTGCACTCCAGCCTGGGCGAGAGTGCGAGACTCTGTCTCAAAAAAAAAAAAAAAAAAAAAAAAAAAAGAAAAGAAAAGCAAAAGGGGAAATGAGGAGATGTGCCATGGAGTTATTTGCATCTCTTGGCAATACATGATAGATTAGTAGGTCTGATACATGCTTAATTACAGTTCTAGACATAAAGAGGCGAACAGATTGTCAAAAGGCATTATGCAAAGCAATAGTAGCAGTTTAGTGAATCCTAAGTAGAAAGACAAAGACACACATAAACTAAATAAATTATAGTAAAACTACAGTGACATAGGAAAACATCAATAGCAAAGAGACATTATTAAAATATGACAGAAGAATAAACCAGCTTAAGTCAAAGGCATGAAAGTTAGACTAGCTGCTAACTTTAATCCACAGAAAGAGGAGAGTGGAACATTTCAAATTATTGGAAAAAATCAAGCTGGAATTGAATATCCAATAATACCAATTTAAAAACAATAGTAAAATCAAGACTTCTTCAGATAAACAACTGAATTCACTACCATTACTAAAGTAATTTAAAAAAATAAAATTTGGGAAGGAAAAAAATAATCCATAAAAGAAGGTCTGGAATGCAACAAGAAATACTGAGAAAAAAATGTTACCCATGTGGATAAGTCTAAACAAACCTTGACTATCTATTTGAAATCTAGAATTAAAATTCTGCAATAAACAGTATATGTCATGTAAGGATAATGAGAATTACTATGTCCTTAGATTCTTGTGTTCAGAAAGAGAAAGTAAATATGGACTAACTTTGGATGAAATGAAGCAGGTACAGTATTTAATTTCAGAGAAACACTGTAATAATAGAAATCTAGTAGGAGACTTCCAAAACAGCACAGAGGAGGGAACAATATGGAGTAAGGAGAAATAAATCCCTAATCAGTGAAATATTTTAAATGGGCAAAACATGAGAAAAAAGGAAAAAGCATGAGAATAGAATGCATAAAATAAAATGACAGAAACAAATCCAACTATATTAATACTCAAAATTAATGGCCATGGACTGGAGTTTTTAGGTTAAAAAAATCGCTAGATTGGATTTTTTTTCCCCAAATGAGCTCTCTGATTTTAAAAAGAGAAACACATAAAACATAAGGCCAAAAAAAGAAGTAAAGAATGAAACAAAATTTTACTAGGCAAACAGTAATAAAACTAGGTTGATATAATGATCATAAATGTAGACTTGGAGGTAGAACTCTTTACCAGAAATAAAGAGGATCACTACATGTTGATTAAATGTTTCTTTTGCCAACAAGAGATAATATTTGTATGCACATATCATTTAGTAAAATACAGAGCACAAATTAAGAAATTTTCAAGGAACAATGGATAAAGCCGCTATCATATTAAAATATTTTTAAAAACATCATCTTCTCACAATTATTAGATTAGCCATTTGTTTAAAGAGTCTCTGAGGATACAGGAAATGTAAATGTCACAATTAACAACCTGGAGCTAATGGATGAGAGAAGTTGTCCCTGGCTGTGTGTGTACTGGTGGTATGAAGCGTGTGTGGATATATCCCACACACCCCAAAACCCACCACAAACCCAAAAACCGTGTTTCATATAACATCTGAAAATGCTAGTTTAAGGCATATTTTAAAATTAGTGAAAATATTATTGAATATTAGAAATATTAGTGAATATTAGTGAAAATCAACCACATACCAGTTCATAAAAGAAGTCTGAAGAATTAGCTTATATAAACCATATTATTTAATCAAAACACACAAAATAAACAAAAATAAAACATAATCAAATATGTTGACAATTTGAAAACATACATCTAAATAACTTAGATTACAAAGAAAAATATTACAGAAATTTTAGTATGCTTACAACTGCATGATTGGAATACAACTTAAACAAAATAGTGGAATCCAATTAAAAGCAGGGCTTAGTGACTAATTCATTGTTTTTTATGCTTTTATTACAAAATAAGAAAGACTTAAATTTAAGAAAAAATTAGAAGAGATTTGCAGGAGGCCATTATCCTTAGCAAACTAACACAGAATCAGAAAACAAATACTGCATGTTCTCCCTTGTAAGTGGGAGCTAAATGATGAGAACACATGGACGCATAGAGGGGAACAACACACACTGGGGCATATCGAAGGATGGAGGGTGGGAGGAGAAAGAGGATCAGGAAAAATAACTAATGGGAACTAGGCTTAATACTTGGGTGATGAAATAATCTGTAAGCCTGGGGGCAGTGGCTCAGTCCTGTAATCCCAGCAATTTGGGAGGCCGAGTTGGGCAGCTCACCTGAGGTCAGGAGTTAGAGACCAGCTTGGCCAACATGGTGAAACCCCGTCTCAACTAAAAATACAAAAATTAGCCAGGTGTGGTAGCAGGCACCTGTAATCCCAGCTACTTGGGAGACTGAGGCACGAGAATTGCTTGAACCCAGGAGGCGGAGGTTGCAGTGAGCTGAAATCCTACCACTTCACTCTAGCCTAGATGACAGTGAGACTCTGTCTCTCAAAAAAAAAAAAAAAAAAGAAAGAAAAGAAAAAGAAAAATAGTCTGTACTGCAAACCCCCATGACACAAGTTTACCTTGTAACAAACCTGCACATGTATCACTGAACTTAAAATAAAAGTTAAAAAAGAAAGTATTTGCTCAACTATAGGCCAGGTGGTTCATGCCTGTAATTCCAGCATTTTGAGAGGCTGAGGTGGGAGGATCATTTGAACCCAGGAGTTAAAGACCAGTCTTGGTAACGTAGGGAAAACTATGTCTCTACAAAATATTAAAAATTTAGCTCGGTGTGGCGATGCACACCTGTAGTCCCAGCTACTCAGGAGGCCGAGGTGGGAGGATTGCTTGAGTCTGGGAGGTTGAGGCTGCAGTGAGCCATGATCATCCCACTGTACTACAGCCTGGGCAACAGAATGAGACCCTACCTCAAAATATATATAATAAAAAATAAAAGAAAAGGAGAAAAAATAACAACAGAATTAAACAAAAAAGAAGCTAGAATAAAAAAAAATCAGAAAATACTATAGAGCAAAATTACAACCTAGTCTCAGATAAGCCAGAAGTTTTCTTTTTTTCTTTTCTTTTTTTTTTTTGAGACAGAGTCTCACTCTGTCACCCAGGCTGGAGTGCAGTTGCTGGATCTCCACTCACTGCAAGCTCCGCTTCCCAGGTTCATGCCATTCTCCTGCCTCAGACTCCTGAGTAGCTGGGACTACAGGCCCCCACCACCACGACCGCCCAATTTATTTTGTATTTTTAGTAGAGACGGGGTTTCACCGTGTTAGCCATGATGGTCTCGATCTCCTGACCTCATGATCCGCCTGCCTCGGTCTCCCAAAGTGCTGGGATTACAGGCTTGAGCCACCGCACCCGACCAAGCCAGAATTTTTAAAAATAATATATAGTATTTAAATGTGTGAGTATGTAAAATGAGTTAAACAATTAGAAGGCTTCACAAATCTTTTAATTAGCATTTTGTGCTATTTAACAATCATTTTATTATTATTATTATTGTTACTTTTCAAATTTTTTTTAGATTCAGAGGGTACATGTGCAGGTTTGCTGCCTAGGTATATTGCATGATGCTGAGGTTTGGGGTACAAATGATTTCATCATCCAGGTATTGAGCATAGTACCCAAGTTTTTCAAATTTTTCTCCTTCCTTCCCCACTCTAGTAGTCCCTAGTGTCTATTGTTGCCATCTTTATGTCCCTAAATACCCAATGGTTAACTCCCAATTATAAGTGAAAACATGTGATATTTGGTTTCTGTTCCCGTGTTAGTCTGCTTAGGATAGTGACCTCCAGCTGCAGCCATGTTGCTGCCAAGCACCTGATTTCATTCTTTTTTAAGACTGTGTAGTATTCCATGGCGTATATGTACCACATTTTCTTTATCCAATTCACTCTTGTTAGGTACCTAGGTTAATTCCATGTCTTTGCTATTATGAATAGTGCTGTGATGAACATGTAAGTACATGTGTCTTCTTTGTTTTCTTTTGGGTATATACACAGTAATGGCACTGCTGGGTTGAATGGTAGTTTGAAATTTCTTGAGAAATCTCCAAACTACCTTCTACAGTGGCTGAACTAATTTACATTTCCACCAAAAATGTATAAGCATTCCCCTTAATCCACAGCCTTGCCAACATCTGTTGATTTTTGACTTTTTAATAGTCATTCTGACTGGTGTGACATGATATCTCGTGGTTTTAATTTGCATTTCTCTGATGATTAGTGATGTGGAGCATTTTTTCACATGTTGGCCACTTGAATGTCTTCTTTTGAGAAGTGTCTGTTCATGCCTTTTGCCTATTTTTAAAGGAATTTTGTTGTTTTTGCTTGTTCAATGAAGTTTTTATTTTGCTTGTTTAAAGGAATGAGGAATGGTATAATTACTTGCATAAAGAATTGTCTAAATTCCTTATAAATTCCGCATATTAGACCTTTGTCAGATGCAAAGTTTGCAAATATTTTCTCCTGTTCTTTAGGATGTCTGTTTACTCTGTTGATAGTTTATTTTACTGTGCAGGAGCTCTTTAATCAGCTACCACTTGTCAATTTTTGTTTTTGTTGCAATTGCCTACAAGGACTCAGTCATAAATTATTTCCCAAGGCTGATGTCCAGAATGTTGTTTCCTAGATTTTCTTCTCGGATTCTTATAGTTTGAGAGGTCTCACATTTAAATCTTTAATCCATCTTGAGTTAATTTTTGTGTGTGGTGAAAGGTAAGGGTCCAGTTTCATTCCTCTGCATGTGACTCCTTGCTCATTTTTGTCAACTTTGTCAAATATTAGATGGCTGTATGCGTGTGGCTTTATTTCTGGGTTTTCTATTCTATTCCACTTGTCTATGTGTCTGTTTTTGTACCAATACCATGCTCTTATGGTTACTGTAGCCTTATAGTATAGTTTTAAGTCTGGCAATGTGAGGCCTCTGGATTTGTTCTTTTTGCTTAGGATTGCTTTTGCTATTTGACTCTTATTTTCCATACTGATTTTAGCATAGTTTTTATGATTTCTGTGAAAAATAACACTGGTAGTCTCATAAGAAGAGCACTGAATTTATAGATTGCTTTGGGCAGTAAGGTTATTTTAATGATATGAATTCTTCCAATCTATGAGCAGAATGCCTGGTGAAATGTTTGGGTGCATAGTAGAGAGGGACCCCCTGCACCAGAATCTTTGCACAAGAAGGATGAGGTGGCTTAGGCTGCTGATCCAGGTGAGCTGGTGCTCTGAATGTCTGGGGACCTTCTGAGAAGGAGTGAAGAGGGTCCTGGTGCATCACAATCTATGTCCCAGAAGGATGATGCAACTCAGGCTGCTGAACCCAATGAGCAGGTGCTACAAATGCCTGGAGATCCACCTGGGCATGAAGCAGAGAGGGCCCCACTATACCACAATCTCAGGAGAGCAGGGTAGGGCATCCAGCAATGGCACATGCAGATCAGTTTCAGGTTACCAAGCTAGCCCTGCCTGCAAGTGTTATTGCCCAGGAAGAACCACAGCTGTAAGCAGCTCTCCTCCAGCTCTTAGGGAGGAGAGAACAATTCTAGTGCCTACTGCTGAAGCATTTTCCACTGTCCTGGTTGTAGAGGCCCCTAGCCCACTCCAGAGCAGATGCTCAAATCTCTGAGCCAAGACTAAAGTGCCTGTGCAAGTAAGCAACTGGGTTGCCAAGGCTGTAGGCACCCACATTAAAAATCATGTCCTGCCTGCAGACCCAGGTCTGGAAAAATGTCTGTAGCTTTTCCCAGAGTCTTTCCCTCACAGCATCTCCAAGACTCTTCCTAAGTTTTTTCCAGGGCTTGGGAGAAACAAAATGCTCTCCCTCAGCCTGGGTTGCTCATATCCCCAGTGGAAAGGTACGTCACAGAAAGAGGCTGTCTGTTTCTCTTACATACTGAGCCTTCAATCATTTTATCAACTGGACACCATCACAGGGGCTGTTTGCCAGCATTCTCCTCTCCGGCATCTGGGGTGTCCTTTACAATTCCAGTGGGTTCCCATTTTTCTTGAATTAAAGCTCACAGTGTTGATCTTTATGTGCTATCTTGCTATCTCGCTATCTCCAAGAGGCAGAGGCATGCTGAAAGCCTCTAGTTTGCCATCTTGGAGAAAGAATAAAAACAGAGTTTGTTTCTTTACATAATTAAAACCAAATCATAGCAAGATTGGACGTGAAAGTGTAAGAGAAGAAAGAGAAAGGAGAAATAAGTAAATGATACTAAAGAGAAAAAGGACTTAATGACGCATGCTATAAATTTTTAAATGAAAGTGTTGTATGAACTTTCAGCTAGTAAATTGTACACCTAGGAAAGGAAATAGGTGTACACTGCAGCCGGGCTCAGTGGCTCACGCCTGTAATCCCAGCACTTTGGGAGCCTGAGGCGAGTGGATCATGAGGTCAGGAGTTCAAGACCAGCCTGGCCAACATGGTGAAACCCCATCTCTATTAAAAATACAAAAAAAGTAGCTGGACGTTGTGGCAGGTGCCAGTAATCCCAGCTACTCAGGAGGCTGAGGGAGGAGAATCTCTCAAACCTGGGAGGTGGAGGTTGCAGTGAGCCAAGATTGCCACTGCACCACTCCAGCCTGGGCGACAGAGTGAGACTCTGTCTAAAAAAAAAAAATAAAAAAGAAAATAGATGGACACTTGCATAATGTAAATTACTAAGGAGACTAGAGAAGAAAAAGATAATCTAAATGTATTTATAAAAATTAGAAATTGGCTCAGAATTTTTCTATCAACGAAAAGAAAAAAATAAAGCGTTTTGGGTTTCCTTGCTTTTATTATTTTTAATTTACACATAATAATTGTACATATTTATCGGGTAATGTGTGGTATTTCAATGCATGTGTACAATGTGTAGTTCAAATCAGAATAATTAGCACAACTATCACTTCAAAATTTATTATTTTTTAAAAAAACCGTTTAATAGGCAAATTTACCAATAGTTATGTAACAGATGGTTGTGATTTTATATAGTCTTTCAGATACTGGATAAAAAGAGAGAACTTTTCCTTTTTCATTTCAAAATAATATATCTTAATAAAAGTAGACAGAGCACTTTCAGAATATTCATATTCATGCACAGATATAAAAATATCAAAGCATTCATAATCTAAACCTAGCATAAATCTATTACCACTAATCCAGATGGCAAAGTTGATTTCAACATTATAAAATCTATTAAGATATCTTTATCAAATTGATCTATTAAAGAGAAAAGTAAATATCAATAGATTTAGAAAAAATATTTATACAACTCAACCTCCATTTGTGAATAACAACATCGACTCTCCAGAGGGCAGTATTTTCCTAGGAAGTAAATCCACTTAGTCTGAAAGGATATTGTAGCAGTCAGTACAGGTTAGGTTACATAGTCCATCGTGACAAATAGGACCCAAATCTCTGTGACTTAAAACTTCATGATTTATTTATCCCTTACACTAAATATCCAGTAGAAATCAGCGGGGACCTCTGCTCACTGTATGTCCTTGGGGACTCAGGCTGAAGAAGCAACAACTTTTGGATATTACTAGTCACCATGTCAGAGGAAAGAGGACTCTGGAGAGTCTCAAATGGGCAAGTAATGCTCTGATCTAGAAGTGAGACACATTTTTCTGCTTACTACTTATTGGCTGGAATTAGTAATATGGTCTTGGGTAATTAGGGTAGGCTAGGAAGTTTACCCAATCATGTACCGAGAGAATGGATAATTTTTTCTTTTTTCTTTCTTTTTTTTTGACGGTGTCTCTCTCTGTCGCCAGGCTGGAGTGTAGTGGCACGATCTCGGCTCACTGCAACCTCCGCCTCCTGGGTTCAAGTTATTCTCCTGACTCAGCCTCCCGACTAGCTGGGACTACAGGCGCACACCACTACACTCAGATAATTTTTGTATTTTCAGTAGAGATGGGGTTTCACCATGTTGGCCAGGATGGTCTCAATCTCTTGACCTCGTGATCCCCCACCCTCAGCCTTCCAAAGTGATGGGATTACAGGCATGAGCCACCGCACCTGGCCAAGAATGGATAATTCTTTACATTTAGACTCACTAACTATAAACAACTCACACAGGACTCACAAGAACTCACTAAGGACCCACATAGCCAGCTACCAAAACTGTATAGCTACCTTCATGCTTAGTGGCAAAATGTTAAAACCTTTTTCCATAAATCCAAGAACCAGACAGGGTTTAACATTATAATAGAGATCCTAACCAGCTCATCAAGGCAAAATTAATGAATTAATTAATTACACTAATAACTAATATATATTCTTTATGTATGAAATCCAAAACAAATAAATTAACAAATAAAATTAATAACAAAGTAGAACAAGCTTGCTTAATGTAAGATTTATATACAATACTCGATAGATTTCTTGTACCAGGAAAAGTTAGACACTTTAGTTAGAAATACTATTTCCTAATAGTAAATAGATGAGGTACCTAGGAATGAATCTAACACATGATGTGCAAGATCTTTTGTGTAGAAAGTTAAAAAAAATAACTTGTATCACAAAAGATTTTTTAAAAGTCCTAAGTGGAGAGACATGACATATTCATAGAAACAAACTACTGAAGATATTAATTCTTCCCAGGTTGATAGATAGATTTAATGCAATACCAATAAATATCTCTGCAGGATTTTCTTTTTTGTGGAAATGATGGGTGAATCCCGAAATTTATATCAAAGGGCCAGGAGCTTGTCTTAACTTTAAAAACAAGACAGGGAAACTTGTTCAGGCATATAAATGAGTTGTTTAAAGCCATAATAATGAAGGCATTTTACATTTCTGCAGGTATAGACAAATAAACAAATGAAATCACATAGAAAGCTAAGCAATGAAACAGGCATTTACGTAAACAGTATATACCAATAATGACGTTGTAGAGCAATAAAGGAAAGCCTGACTAATTCAATGAGGCTTAATGTTGACTTTTCATACAGAAAATTTTAAAATAATGTTTCCTTATATAACACGCAAACACTAATTAAAAACTACAAGTTTAGAAAAGAGAAATATATATGTGCCTGTGGGGTATGCAAATAAGAAAAGCTGTTACACACAAAAGCAAATCATAAAGAAAAAGACTAATAAGTCTAACTGCATTTTAAAAATAAGAGCTTCTGTTAATCAACAGACATCATAGAGTGCCAGTGCCCCCCACACATTTGGAGAATGTATTTGCAACATTCAACAATGTTGCAACACAACAAATAAAGTGTTAGTATATAGAATATATAAAGTATAATGCATGTAACCATATATAAAAGTTAACAAAGACATTGACATTTTGTAGAAACAGGAGCATGAACAACCAATAAACATTTGAAAAATGCTTGTTCTCATCAGTTATAAGGGAAATACCAAATAAAATGGCATAAGATTACCATTTCACACTCTTGTGACTGGTGAAAAAGAAAGTACAATGATACTGATTGTTGTAAAAGGTGTAGAGCAATAGCAACTTTCATATGCTGCTTATGGAATGTACATTGGTCCAAATATATCGAAAAATAAATTGGTATTGTCTACTAAATTTCAAAAATTCCTACAACCAAGCAATTAGATTCCTATGAATATCACCTAAATAAACTTGCACATGTATACCAGGAAATGTTCTACAAGCATGTTTCCAACAACGTTGATTTTACTAGCAAAAAACTGGAAGCATCTTAAATCCCCATCATCAGTAGAACTGACATACTGTAAAATAGTAATTGCATTACATACTATGCAGCAGAAAGAACATACAGCAACAGTACAAAAAAATAGGTTAATTTCAAAACAAGATTGATTGAAAGTAGTATTTCATGAGAAAATATTTGCAGTATGATCTCCTTTATGTTTATACCACAATAAACAGAGGAATATTTGTGAAAAAAATCTATCCAGAAAAACAAGATATAATTAACATAAAATTCAAAATAGTGGTCACCTCTGAAGGCTGGGAGAATGATAATGGAATGCACATGGCAGGGCCACATAGGCAGCTCCAAAGGTTCTTTAACATTCTATTTCTTAAGCCGGGTGGAGTATATATGGCTCCTGGTTTTCTTAGTATTTCTTTTTATATCCATCCATCCATCCATCTATCCATGTATCCATGGATCTGTGTATCAATCTATCCAGCTATCCGTCTATTCATTTATCTACCTGTCTTGGTCCATTTGGGCTTCTATAACAGAATACCAAAGATGGAATCATTTATAGACAACAGATATTTACTTCTTACAGTTCAGGATCAAGGCACTGGCAGATTTAGAGTCTGGTGAAGGCCTGCTTTCTGGTTCATGCACAACTATATTCTGTGTCTTTACATGGTGGAAGGAGAGAGGGAGCTTTCTGGTGTCCTTTTTAGAAGAGCAGTAATCCCATTTATGAGGGCTCCTAATTACCTCTCAAAGATTCTATTTTCAAATACAGTTGCATTGGGTATTAGGTTTCAACATATGAATGGGGGAGGCAAACATTCAGTTTATAGTGCTATCTATCTATCTATCTGTCTATCTATCTATCTATCTATCATGTAGCTAACTAGCTAGCTAGCTTACATGTATTTTTCTATATAAGATATAGAGTATTTCATAAGAAAAAATAAAATTTGGGTAGGATTTTGGCAACAAATAGATAAAGGATAAAAGAAAAATCTGGAGAATTTCACAGGCAAAGGCACTGATGCGTGAAAGGCATTTATGTAAATAAGCATGTACTTTTGAAGAATGACATCTAATTCAAGTATGTATTCTTGATGTTAGAAAAAGTTTCAGAGTCAACTGAAAGGCAGGCAAAAGCACTGCTGTTTAGATATGTGGCTCCTTTAGGGTGGCAAATTGAAGACAAATTCCCTTGTATTATTTTCCCTTTCCTGGATATTTAGCCATTTCACTCTCAGGGAAAGGGAGGATCTTAAGAGAGGTACAAGTGGACTGCAGTCCCAGGAGCTGTAGCTTGTCTGGGGGGAGAAGCACAGAGCTGCATGAACAGGGCCTTGCTCAGGTTGGCATCACTAATGTGTAACCCGTTGCATGGACATGTAATGTGGCATTAGTAATGTACTTACTGCACTGCCTGGCACACAGTTGTGCTCATGAAATATTTGGGGTATGAATGAATGAATAAAGCCTTTGACAATGAGGAGTCATGGGAACACGTCTCCTTTGTTGATGCTGTCTCCTTCTCCTTTTTCTTTTTTTGGTTATTTTCGCTTTGGCTAGAGAAACTTTATAACATTTTTCCCCTTTCCTTTTCAGTAGCTGGTAGGGGTGGGAAGACTCGAGGAGGTCCAAGACTAACTGTGAATGGGCCTGATTTCCAATGATCCTTGCAGAGTGCTGACAGATGTCTGACATGAGAGTGAGATTGAAGAAGCTGCCAGCTGGAGCCAGTAGCCAACCTCCTTTTCTGTGGAAATCTCCATAGATGGTGGCAGATCAGATGTCACCGCATACAGGCTCTACGCTCTTTCCTCTCCTCTCATTACCCCTCATTTCTCCAGCTCACATCTCCTTCTACCCTCTATCTGCTTATTCTCCTTTGCTTATGCTTTTTCAATGAACCATTTTTGTACCTTTGCTTTGCTCAATTTCTTCTTGTACTCTTTGGACCATTATTTCTCTTTTTGGCCTAGAGGATCTATAAGAAACTAGGAGTATGGTTGAGGCAACATGACTTGATTATAAATCTCATGCTTTTGAGAGTTCAATTTTTCCACCTGTAGTGTAATTTCCTTCTAGATTTAGTTTCCTCTCATTTTTGAATTTTATTATAGTTTATCTTTAACAGAAATATAATGCAAGTTCATTATAAATGAAATTCAGAGAGGCATAAAAGAGAAAAACTATAAAAATCATCCAGACAGGGCAGCTCTTTATGTATTTGGGGGGGATATTATTCTTCTAGTCTTTGTCTGCTTTTTACTATTATTTTTCCTTTTGGAAATTAAGGGCACCAATCACTTCATATTCTTCCTTTTCAGGCTGTAACTAGTGTAAGAAAGAAGCAGGAGTGAAACGTGGAGCTAATAAAAATAGAGGCTCGATAGTTTCCAACTTGTGAGGCTTCTTTATAAGGCAGAATTGGAGAATGTGGCTGGGAACTGAAGTCAATTGTCCTCTGATAACCTGACCAGCAAATCTATGCTTCCAGACCTACTGTGAGGAGTATTAGATCTGATTATACTGCACTCACCTCACTACCTGCATGGAAAATAGTACTTGCCTTAGAAACACAGAATAAAGAGCAGGGGACAGAGGGTGAATAGCAGGAGTTCAGGCTCACCTTTAGGCAGCTGAGCCTGCCCATCTCCAGGTGTTCTTAGCCTTTGAAATTAGGAAAACCAAAGAGGAATCCAAGCCCTTCTTTCAGATGTTTGAGGCAGAGAAACATGACTGCCTATTTCCAAACTTTGGTACAAAGTAGCCTCACCCATTCGTACAAGTTTGAGTTTGTATTAGGAAAGAACCAATCAGGAAAACAGAAACCAACTAATCATTTTAATTATTTAAAAAAAATTTAACATGTAGAATTTAATAGAAAAAATTTAATATAGGAAATCTAATGTTGAAGAAGTAAAAGAAAAAAATAGCAAAGGGATAAATGAGGTAACAAAAGGAAACTGTAGAAAGCAGGGTGCCAGGGTTGGGGAACAAAGGGAAAAGGCTGGGTTTCTCCAAGCATAGGAGTATAGAGGAGTGGTCCTAGTCCCAGGCACAGGACTGTGTTGGGACTTCAGGAACTTGAAGGAGGGGCTGCAAGGAGTGATGACTTAGATTTAGAGCTACAGATGCTTATTGGGCACCCACAGGTCTTAGTAACAGGATTTAAAAAACAATCACATCAATTAAAGAAAACAAAAGCTGCCTCTGCTTGCCAGAAAGAGATGGCCCCACATAAACAAGACTGTATTGTCTCACATCCAGAGGTGGACAGAGACAACCAGGGAGGTATAGGTCATGCTTTACTTTTTAAAACAATTTAAACAGTACATCATGAATATACACTTATTTAAATTATTTAAAGTTTACTAAAATCCATAGATGAAAAAGTACACGTTACCTTCTGCTCACTACTCTAAATAGACTTCTAGGCCTTTTGGTGAAAAACGTATACATACACACATACATACATATACATACACATACAATATACAGTATGTAAATGTATATTCATGTAATTTGGAGTTCCTTTAGACATTAATGGGATCACAAAATAGGAAGACAAGTGCATAGATTCTTTTTAATAATTTTCACCCAATATTATTTATCAGAAAATTTCTATTCTTTGTAAAGGCTGCACTGTTCTTACAGGAAGAATCCTTTCAAATTAATCTGATCTTTTTTCCACTATTGGACATTCAGTTTTCCATTTTTCAGAGTTATAAAAATGTTACAGTGAATATTCTTAGGCATATATCTTTATACAGATGTGAAAATAAATCTGAGGATAGTGCCTAAACTAAGTATTTGATAAAAAGTTAAATGCAATGCAAGTTTTTAATAAATTCTTCCAAAAAAGTATTGGTATAAATTATCAGCAGGTGTTCCTTTTTAAAAATTATCTTACCATAATTGATTTTTTTAAATATTTCTTAGTACTGTCATTTTGATGGGGAAAATATCCCATTGTACCTTCATTTTTAATTGTTTAAACACATAAACTTTTTAATGTTAAAGATTAAATTCATGTTATCTGTAAGAAAATGATGTTTAAGCTGTGTAATAACAAAATATTATTTCTTTAACTTTCATATTAAATCAGACAGAAGCTCTTTGACCACTTACTTTTTGTAGAGATCGGGAATGGGGTCTCACTACATTGCCCAGGCTAGTCTCAAACTCCTGGGCTCGATCAATCCTCCCAACCTGGCCTCCTAAAGTGCTGGGGTTACCGGCATTGGCCACTATTGCCTGGCTTATAGACCAGTTACTTTTAATGACATGTTATTTCTAGAAAGGAAAAGTTACTGGTTTGAATAACTTTTCAGAGGATTATTTGTACAACTTGAGGGCATTTTTAAAAACAACTATTAAATATAACACACATTCCTTGCATACAATTTTTATTTTCCAAGAAGACAGGTTTACAGAGAAATTTAATGGATCAGTAAGAGATATTTCATAGCTACCTGAGATGGATTAGGATGAATCTGACTGGGATGAATATGCTTGCGTGCCTCTACCTTTTTCTATCATTCCTTATTGACCTTCAAGGCAACTCGATGCAAATCACCCACTTTAAAAATCTTCTTCCTGAGACATTGTGATATTTTTCCCAAATGAAGTTTGCACTTCCTATTACAACCTCCATAGGATGTTGACAGAACACTTGTATAATAATTTGTGTCAATTCCTGCTATCTCTGCTAGAACATAAGCCTAGACAAAAGCCAGGGTGTCATGGTCTGACGTGCTTGGCGCTACATCCCTAGCACTTAGCACAAGGCATGGGGCATATCATAAATTTTGTAATATGTGATGAGTGACCTGATTTTGTGAAATGAAATAAAACTCTCCCTTCTACAAAAGTGTCGAGGACCATTGAGATGTTGTATATGGTTAAAAGTATAAATTTGCTAAGAGGGCAGATCTTATGTTAAGGCTTTTTATCACAAAAGAAAACAACAGCAGCCGCAGCAACAACAAAACCCAAAATAGAACCAAAGGGATTGAGATGAAAGCTTTGGAGGCAATGAGTAAATGTATGGCATTGACTGTGATTGATGGTTTCATAAGCGTATGCTTATCCGCAAAAACATCACTTTGTATAAATTAAATATCCAGAGCTTTTTGTGTGTGTATCAATCTCAGTAAAGTAGCGAAAACACAAAACAAAACAAAATGTAAAGCCAAACTTATAGCATGGTGAAAAGCATGATTTCAAGATAACTCACTTTCATATTTAGGTAATTCAGTTGTCATTTGGCTCCCCTGATCACACCCCATTCTCCTTCTCTGCTGATTCTATGACCTGTGCATTTCCAGTGAAAGTCAAAACCTAACCAAATATTCCACAGATACCCAGCAACTGATTTCTCGGGGCCTCCTCTGCCTCCTGAACTCCTTCTTTCTCTGGTCTCTGTTGATCTTATAACATGCATGATGTTATTTATTTATTTTTTTTAAGACGGAGTTTCGCTCTTGTTGCCCAGGCTGGAGTGTAATGGCGCATCTCGGCTCACCGCAACCTCCTCCTCCCGGGTTCAAGTGATTCTCCTGCCTCAGCCTCCCAAGTAGCTGGGATTACAGGCATGTGCCACCATGCCCAGGTAATTTTTTGTACTTTTAGTAGAGATGGGGTTTCTCCATGTTGGTCAAGCTGGTCTCGAATTCCTGACCTCATGATCCACCCGCCTCGGCCTCCCAAAGAGCTGGGATTACAGGCGTGAGCCACCTCACCTAGCCCATGATGTTAATTTCAATAAGAAAGTCAGTCATGTCCTTCAGCTCCATAAATCCCTATTCACACAAGGGTTTGTATAGCTCTATTAAAAAAAAAAAACATCCCACATCACCAAGGACTTCTACTCATCTTCCCCAATCTCTTTCACTCTCTAATCATCCCTTTCTCCAAAGGACCACAGATCCACTCCTGTACCCCACATCCCCCATTCTTACTCAGAGTGACTTGGCCTGTTTTCTCTGAAGCACTGGAATTCTCCAACCTCTAATTTATTGGAATGTAAATTTCTATCACAGCCATATATCAAGAAAAATTTTTCCAGTAAGAGGTAATTTACTCCTAAAGAGGAATCTGGTGCTGGTTGGTAAAGAAATAATATTGTGCTAAATTTACATTTACACATATTACATCTAAAATCTGGGAATGTTTTACATATGTGGAGTTCAGTCTGGCTTTTATAAACAAATGAGCACTACAGTAATTACTGCACTTTCCTTCCATAAATTGTTGGGCATGCCTATGTTATCATTCAGAGAAAGCAGAGCTAGCTTCTCTTGACCCATTCAGAAAGTGGATTGTGAATCAGGCCCAGAAAAACATGCCTTTAACCCCACAGTAATTTATGAGGAGAGTAGTTTCAAAATTTTGCTGAGAATTGGAAAAAAAAAAAAGCAAAAGAAAAGAAAAAAGCAGCATAGGAGAATGCAAGTGCAATAGTCATTACTTTTCAAGCCAGTAAGGACAAGTTTTGAATTAAAAAAAGGGAAGATATGAGTTATATCACATCAAATTTATAGGATATTCTTTGTGAGCCCACCAGAACAACGTAAAGATCTTTACTGAACAATTAATTTAGGTGATTTAGGACAAGATTTGTTTAAGAATTTTTTTGGCATCCCAGTAAAATATAGCAGACCTATAGAAATGGGCACAAATCACAAGTGCATGGCTGAAAAAATTTCACAATTTTATTATCATTATTATTATTTTGAGAGAGAGTTTCACTCTATCGCCCATGCTGGAGTGCAGTGGCGTGATCTCAGCTCACTGCAACCTCCGCCTTCCAGGCTCAAGCGTTCCTCCCATGTCAGCCTCCTGAGTAGCTGGGATTACAGGCATGTACCACCGCACTCAGCTAATTTTTGTATTCTTTAGTAGAGACAGAGTTTTGCCATGTTGGCCAGGCTGTGTTCAAACTCCTCCTGGCCTCAAGTAAGTTCTGGGATTACAGGCGTGAGCCATTGTGACTGGCCAAATTTTTCACAATTTAAGGACACACCCAAACCAGCAGACAGATGAGAAACTGAACATGGTCAACTCCCCAGAAACCCTCCTCTTATGCCCTTCAGTATCTTCCATTAGGGTAACTCCTCTTCTGCTGATACATAGCTTCTAAGAGATTACATTTGCCTGTTGTTGAACCTTATATTGGTGGAATTATATAGCATGTACTCCATGTATTCTTAGGAATCTGGCTTTTTAAATTCAACATTATGTTTTTGAGATACCTCCTCACTATTTTATTTATGATTATTATCATTATTATTTAATACTATTAATTTCCTACTGTAAATTGCATTCATTGAATTGAAATACTGAATTCCTTCTGTTGGAATAGATTTACCTTTTCTTATTGTTTGTATTTTTTCTCTTTTATTAAAAAAATTAAAACAAAACCACAGAAAGTATAAATCATCTATAATACACACACACACACACACACACACACACACACACACAACTTATGCTTTCCAGGGAGTGGAAACTGACTTTACTTGTGTCAGATTCTTATTTTAGGTTCTAAGTCTCAAATGATCTTCTTCTCCTCCCTTCCCTTCTCTTCCTCTCCTTCCCCTCCTCTTCCTCCTCCTTCTTCCTCCTCATTTCTCTCTCTCTCACACACACACACTTTTTGAGTCACCCTTTCTGTTCAATGAAAGCCAGTATTATGAATAGACCAACCTAGATCTCCCTTAGTTTTATAACTGGCAGCTACAAGAATGCCGAGCTTCCTTCTTTCACCAGGACCATATAACTTGGGAGAGGATTTTTACCATAGGAAAGGGGATTCTATAAAGATAAAAAGGGGGGTTGCATAATCAGACTAGGTAGGAGAAAATATGAACACCACAGTACACCATGCTTAGGATCCATTATAGCTAGTCCATAGATGAGGTCTTAATTTGTGTCAATACAATAATAACTCAATGAGCTAGGAACAGAGACTTTTAGTCAGTTTCACACCTGAAGTCTAGATGTGAAGGACTTATTTGTTTGATGTAAATATGTTTTTAGCAGAATTTATGGAAAGCTTGGCATGGCTCCTACTTTGATTGGCTCAGAAGTCAAGCATGGCCCCATTATATCTACAGAGAGGAGTGATGAGCTGTGTGCTGCTGGACTAAAGCCCAAGCGGGCTAGCCAAGCCAGAGCAGTACCCACCACACTGGCCCTGGAGCAGGACCAATGCATGAATATCCTCCCTAGTCTACCTCTGGGTGCTAATGTTTCCAATGAGATTGGGAGGCCTGGGCCCGTCTACTGGAGGAATGGATCTCAGGCTTTCAAACTGGCTGCAGAACTAACTTTACATATATCTGACTTCCCTGACTTATTAGAGCCTGCTGACCCTGGGAGATGACAGCTTTGGTTGGATGGATGAAGGTGGGGTGAGAATGATTAATAACCAGAGTTTCTCTGGAATCAACATTCATGGCAGAAGATAAGTACTAATCGGTATAGTTGTTGCACAGGCTGCTAGTTGTGTGTATTTTCAGATAACGGGGTTAGGATATTCTCTTACAGAATATTGTTACACATCTTATGGATTTAGAGAACTGGTAATATGTAGACCCTCTTATACTGTGGGTTCTTGGTACTGGCTTAGAGCATTTAGCTACTGTTTATTGGGAATACATAGTGAAAGATTAAAATAGAATAAAATTATCTGATGCTGTGTTAATTTTCAGAGTTGTTAAAATTATGTTATGTGTAAAGGAAGGGATATTTCCTATTCATACATTTAATTAGATAGATGGTGGGTAGATAGATTAAAAAAAAAAGACTTCTAAATGCTAAGAATTCATTTAAGCAGTGCATGAGATGCTCTTCATTTAATCCTTAGCACAGGTCTAAGAGTTAGGTACTGATATTATTCTCAAGAACCTGGATTTAGAAAAGATGATAACTTCCTTGCCCAAAGTCATACAGATAGTTAGTGAAAGACCTGCACTCTAAATACGGGATGTGTGCTTCCAAATTTTAAGCTAAGTTTCTACAGTGTCCCACTGCTTTTGAGGGACTCAACACATAATTGACTCTCATTCCCTTTCCTTCACGCTTGACCACCACGTCTGCTCACAGCAAGAGCAAATGCCACCTGCTTTCTCCACATGCATTCAGAACAGCTCTGTTCACACCAGGGGCATTCTTCCCAGCTGAAACTCTGGCCTGGAGTCTGTTCACACAGCCTGAGCTAATAAAGATCCAAGAAGCTCCTGGCTTCACTGAAAACATCAGAGGCAAAAGAATGCAGAATAGGAGCAATGGATACTGTCCAGAGGAAAATGGGCTCCTGTTCGAGCAGACCTTGTTTCACCTCTCAAGCAAGGGCAGAATGTGGGAATATGAGGAGTCCCAAGCTGCCATGGAAACAAATGACCACAGGTTGTACCACAGCATTATTTCATCTTTCCTAACCTCTCCCTTTAAATTCTCATATTATCTGCACTAGTATATTTAGTCATTTATTTTTTAACCCAATCATTGTTTCAGCATGCATCATTTGTCAAATGCTATGTTTGGTGTTGGAGAGATGATAAAAGGATAAGGCAACCCTGCTTACTACCTGCTAGAGTCTATTTATCTGGTGGGAAAGTCAGGTGTCTAAGCCTAGACTTGAAGGAAGAGTGGGAATTCTCCAGTAATTGGGATGAGGATGGAAAGAACTGTTTTCTGTATGAATAGGAAATGTGGTGAGGCAGGAGGGTTGGATTTGAGAGTGCATAGGATGATTTCACAGAATTCAGTCATTCAGTGTGACTTGGATAAGATATCACAGGTGGAGAGATACACGGCTGAGTATTAGGAGACGAAGCTGGCAGGAGGTGCAGGGCCAGATTGTGAATGGCAGTCTAAGCCTCTCAAAGAGTTTGGGTTTTATGCTTCTCAACACACTTAGGAAAGACAAAGTTTATACTGTATATCACATACAATTGTTAAAATTAAGGATCAGATCATAGAAATGAATCACTTGAAGCCAGATTCTGCAGCCAAATTTGGCTAAAGAAGCAACAGGGTGGAAGAAAGAGAAATGATAGAAAGCATTTAAGAGTGCAATTTGCTTTTCTCACCTGAAGGTGCTGGTGCAAGTTAGGTTTCTGACCTCTCCAACAGGCATCTTGTGCCCTGATCCTCATCACCCATCAATCAAAGAACAGCCCTGCCTATCCTACTTCGTAGTTATGAAGACTGCTACGGTTTTGCTGTGCCCCACCCAAGTCTCATCTTGAATTGTAGTTACCATAATACCCACGTGTCATGGTGGGGGGCCTCGTGGCAAGTGATTAGATTACAGGGCAGTCCCCCCATGCTGTTCTCATGATACTCAGTGAATTCTCATGAGATCTGATGGTTTTATAAGGGGCTTTCCTTCATTTCATCTGCACTTCTCTTTCCTGCTGCTGTGTGAAGAAGGACGTGTTTGCTTCTCCTTCCACCATGATTGTAAGTTTCCTGAGGCCTCCCCAGCCATGTGGAACTGTGAGTCAATTAAACCTCTTTCCTTTATAAATTAGCCAGTCTTGGGTATGTCTTCATAGCAGCATGAGAATGGACTAATACAAAGACCAAATGAACAGTGACTGGGAAAGGACTATGTACTTATTTATCTCCTCTCTCCTTTTAGGTCTCTAGCTTGAGATAGAGATATCACTCTATGGCCCACAAACTAGGAGGTTTTATTCTTCAGAAGCCAAGAGATTCTTTCTCTAACAGAGTTTCCCATGGCCTGGAAGATAACCTATGACTCTCTAACCCAGTAAGCATGGCTGCTGGCCTCTTCTCTGTTCATTCTACTCATGAACCCGATGCTCTGGTCATGTGGAATTCCAAATTTGATATGCTAAAAATGAAGAAACAAAACGAAATGATTCCTTGTATATTCTGTAAGTTGATTCCCCACATCCCCACACAGATACAAGGCAAATGCAAAACACTCAGCTAAGAATTCAGCCATCTCTGCCTTGCACATGTTTCCATTGCCCAGATTTCCTCTTTTGATGGTTGTCCGGAGTTCACCTGTTCTCAGCCCTCCCTCTTCTGGGAAGCCTTTTCTGATTTTGGTGCAGCCATCAGTGAGATCTCTTTTCTTTGTACCCACAGCAATCTACAATTCCAATATTGCTTTAACCTCTACAAACAACCCCTTGAACTCAGAGTGAAAATAGAGTCACATTTGTTGGATGTTTCCAGTTGATCTCTCAGGTCCCCAGATGCTTCATGACTGCATACATCACTCCATCCTATGACTTCATTATTGTACAGTGTTAAATTTTTGGAGTACTCTCTCAACAGAAAAAAAAAACTGTTAAAAATGAACAAGCAGAACAACCATCGCAACAACAATAAACACAACATGAGCTTATGAAATCCCCAACCTCTAAGATAAAGCAAGAGGAGGGGTGTCAGATAAGAGCATTTCTCTCATTGCTTTCAGCTGCCAAATCTGTCCCTTTAGAAACTGCTAATCTCTGCTCTGACAGGCCATACGGCTCATCTTGCCACAAGACCTCACTTGTCCAATTGTCATGCCACCTGCCGTGGTTCTTCAAGGGAGAACATGCTTATATATTCTTAGCTGAGCCAGGCAAAGAGGTCCCCAATGTGGAGTTCTCTATTTGAAAATCCTCATACTCAGCTCTCTCAGGTATGTAGCCAAGTTATCTGCTAGACCCAAGAATTCTGGTCAAGGAAGTGACTACGTCTGCTATATCACCAGCCTAGAATCCCTGTGCCCTTTCCTTCCTGGGAATTGACTTAAGGGGGCAGGCAGATTTTTCATGCACAAAGGATCAGACTGCCCTTCCCTTATATAATGGGGTGACAGTCTCATCCTTCCAAGAGATGTGTCCTTAGTTCCTCAGTTTTCTTTTATGGAACTCTAACCTCAGTGACAAAAGAGTGATTTATCTTTCCAGTAGAGGCTCATCATGGGATTTCAAAATATCTACATGTATGTTCAGATTTGCAAAGTACCCTATTCTCTTTTTCCCCAGTTCTAGGAGAGACTGCTCTTGATGAATCAAAAATGGTTTCCTGGCATGTGTCTTGTTGAGAACAGAAGGAAAAACAAAATTTAATCACTGGCATATATCCCACCACAATCAATTTCACGATTCTATAATGCAATTGCACCATTTCTTGCTAATATGTGCTATTAGACAGCAGATTTGTTGAGAGTGGGAATTACATCTTACCTATAACCATTAAGGCATTACACCTTAATTCTATCCATGCACAGTTTCTAAGCTAGAACCTGCTGCGGAGTTGCACTCTAGTGATTTATTTATTATTTCACTAAAGAAAGAAGACTGAATGAGTGCATGGATCTCCTCCTAGAGTCCTTTCTGGGCACCATGTTCAAAATGAAAAAGGTCTTTTATCTGTGGTCACCAAAATTATATTTCTGAAAAAGATGCTGAAGTTTGTCTTTGATAAGCTCTCTTACATGTAATTACCTATGTTCCTGGCTATCTTTTATAAAGCAGCAATAAACTCAAGATTGTCTAATAACAATACCAGTGGAAGTACTATGTGCAAAGACCCCTTGGGAATCCCAGGATGGAAACACCTTCCATTAAAAAAGGTAACAGTCTCTTCCTTGGCAATACAGGATAATGGTGATATCAGAATATTTCAGAACGTATGTGCCTACTTATCAACAGGTATCAGTGTGAAGACACTGTGTACAGGTTCTGGCTCTAGCTCTGCTGCCAACCTACTAAGCTAGCTTTGATAAGTCTTTGTCCATCTCTGGGGCTCAGTTTCATTTTCTCCAAAAAGCAGTGGAAGGAATGTATTATCTCCGTGATCACTTGGAAAACCACATCCCTGCTTATTAATCTCCTGGAAGCTCCTATGGATTACGTACCTAAAATCAGACATGCTGGTCTAGCTCACAGGCCCTTTCCCTCAACACTGACCCTCATCTGACTGGTGGGCCAGCCAAGACTTAATATTTACCATTATGTTGTGTCCAAAGAGAACTGCTGTGATCTGGTAGTGGGGATTTGGAGTTTTCAAAATCCTGAACAGTGGCTCTTTACTGCTCCCTGGTGGTATAAGTGGGCTTCTGATGATGTCCAAAGAAAACGTTTTCTCTCTGAGATGTAGACTCCGCTCTTATCTTTTGGAAGGCTTAATGAGCCAAATATGTAACATGCCAGCACAATGCCTGCTACCAAGTAGCTGCTGAATAATGCATATTTATTTGTCCCTTCCAAAGGAAATTGGCTACAGATAGTTATGTTTTGAAGATTCTTTAAAAATATTACCATTATAGAGTAGGAATTTAGAGCATACAATAATAATGATAATGATAATAAATAATAATAGCAGTAAATCATGGGTATTTATTATATAACACCAAAAAAACTAAAAGTAATCAAGCAAAAGAGGGGTATACAAACTCTGAAAAAAATGAAAATTTATGTATTTGCTCATTCTTTTATTTATAATTTGTGAAGATGATAGGAATAAGGGGAGTCTAACACTTATTAGAGTCTATATTTTTCCATGTTTTCCATGTTGATATTTAACACCTAGAAAAATCTAATCATGCAGAAGTGAATAGCCTCATTCTACATAGGAGGGAACTGCGGCTCAGGGAGACAAATAGCGTGCTGAACGTTCCAAGAGCAATGTGTGGCCAGCATCTATAATTTAATCCAAGTATGCCTTGCCCCAGACCTTTGCTGTTTCTAACATATCATCCAGCTTTCTGGGGGCTTTAAAATCACTTCATCGTCTACCCCTTGAAAAGACGGAGAAACAATGACTCAGAGAGAGATGCTCTTTCTCCAGTGGTATGCTGGTAAATGTTTACCAACCAAGTCAGGGTGGTGGTGGGCAGGGACCAATCTATGGTATTTGCTGATTTCTCTGTTTAAAAAATACTCTCATCATGATCTATTTTATTGAATGTGGAGTTGGAAAGTAACGGGCTCTCGTGTGCTGGCAGCACATGACTGCTCCTAAATTTTACAGTGACAGCTTACAAATATTTATTGAGTATCAACATATTCCAGACTGATGTGAACAAGAACTCAAGTGTCTGGGCCAACTCCAGCTCCCTTCTGCTTTCTGGCTCTGGACAATAGAATCTGAGATGTCATTCTGCTACAACCTCACCAATTGGCCATTTTAGCCTCTGATTCTGCCCTTTTCCTATGACTCTGACTTCATGATATGAGAATATTTAGTATCAAGGTGAGGTGGCAAGACATTCATAGAGACTTAAATGAGTCACTGTCTGCCTATAGTAATGCCCCTTAGTATGGGAAAGAGATGCCCCTCTCATGGTGTGGTACCAATCAGCATCAGGATCTCTGCAATATGCTTATGCCAGTGGACTCTATGCTTCATGAAGGCAGAATATCTATCTTTTTATATACAGTTGCATTTCTAGAGCATAGAAAGATGGACTGATCCACTGTAGGTACATAATAAATAATTGTTGATGGCCAGGATATTAGAATTTCACTGTTTATATAAATTGCTTATTATTCTATGATTTTGGAAAGGACATTTAAAACCTCTGGAAGTCAGTTTCTCTATCATTGAAATGAAGAAAATACTAGCTACTATGAAAGTTTTTATAGGATTAAAATACTGTACATCAAGTTCTAGGTACATAGTAGAAAATAAACAAAGAAAATTATTCTTTTCCTTCTCCTCCTTCTCCTCCTCCTCCTCTTTCTCTTCCTCCTCCTTCTCCTTCTCTTCCTCTTCTTCCTCCTTCTCCTCTTCTTCTTTCCCACTACTTTTTGTTTTTATTATTATTGTCACTATTATTATTACTATTATTATTTAATTATTTTTTATTTTCAAGAATGCCATAATATAAACCAGGCTTATGAGACAGGTAGATTCTGATCACAACACCTTATATATATTTGGCAGACATATTTACATCATGCATCTCAGCCAATACTCATAACTTCCCTCTCTTAAATAGGTATCAGGTAGTTCATTTTATAGGTGAAGAATGAGGTCTGCACAATTAGTACCTCCTGGGATTTTTGCACAAACAAAAAGCTTCTCTGCTTGGATAACTCTTCTGTGGTGTGCTTTAAAGCTAAGCTTGTTTGTTCTACTATATTCAAAGGCTACTTCCTCTACCTGAGGCAGAGTTTGCTGTTTCTCTCTTTGTGCTCCTGTTGCATGGGATAACTTTATCTACCATTGTAGCTTTTACTTGTCATTTATTGTTCCTTTTATTAAAAGCCTATTTCTTGACAACCTCCTGGCTGTCAGAAATTTTGCTCAGGCTTTAGGAATGTAGTGAGTAGCAAAACAGATAAAACTTTCTGACCCAACAGAGCAAAGATGTCATGAGACATAGACGTTAATCAAATAGCCATAAATACACTCTATATGAAATAAACAGGCAGCTGGAATTGAGAGAGCGAAAGGTAGCTTGAGATTAGACTGAGTTTTTTAAGCAAGGGCAACATTATCCATAATTGTCCTACTAAGGATTTCAGGTTTTTATCCTAAGAATAATAGGAATCTTCAAAATAGTTTAAACAGAAGAGTGACTTGATCAGAATTTAATTTTAAAATACTACTGTCTTTCTTTTATAGAGAATACAGCTATTTTCCACACTACTTAAAGACACAGACCATGTTCAGTATTCCTGTAGCATCTAGCAAAATAGTTGGCATATAGTTGGCACCTAGGATTGTTGTTAAAATAGTAAATGAAATACAGCAATAGCTGAGATTTATATATATTTATAAATTATGTAATAATTTTTATTTATAAATCATGTAATAATTTTTATTATACTTTAAGTTTTAGGGTACATGTACACATTGTGCAGGTTAGTTACATATGTATACATGTGCCATGTTGGTGCGCTGCACCCACTAACTCGTCATCTAGCATTAGGTATATCTCCCAATGCTATCCTCCCCCCTCCCCCCACCCCACAACAGTCCCCAGAGTGTGATATTCCCCTTCCTGTGTCCATGGATCTCATTGTTCAATTCCCACCTATGAGTGAGAATATGCGGTGTTTGGTTTTTTGTTCTTGCGATAGTTTACTGAGAATGATGATTTCCAATTTCATCCATGTCCCTACAAAGGACATGAACTCATCATTTTTTATGGCTGCATAGTATTCCATGGTGTATATGTGCCACATTTTCTTAATCCAGTCTATCATTGTTGGACATTTGGGTTGGTTCCAAGTCTTTGCTATTGTGAATAATGCCACAATAAACATACGTGTGCATGTGTCTTTATAGCAGCATGATTTATAGTCCTTTGGGTATAGACCCAGTAATGGGATGGCTGGGTCAAATGGTATTTCTAGTTCTAGATCCCTGAGGAATCGCCACACTGACTTCCACAATGGTTGAACTAGTTTACAGTCCCACCAACAGTGTAAAAGTGTTCCTATTTCTCCACATCCTCTCCAGCACCTGTTGTTTCCTGACTTTTTAATGATTGCCATTCTAACTGGTGTGAGATGGTATCTCATTGTGGTTTTGATTTGCATTTCTCTGATGGCCAGTGATGATGAACATTTTTTCATGTGTTTTTTGGCTGCATAAATGTCTTCTTTTGAGAAGTGTGTGTTCATGTCCTTCGCCCACTTTTTGATGGAACCAAAAAAGAGCCCGCATCACCAAGTCAATCCTAAGCCAAAAGAACAAAGCTGGAGGCATCACACTACCTGACTTCAAACTATACCACAAGGCTACAGTAACCAAAACAGCATGGTACTGGTACCAAAACAGAGATATAGAACAATGGAACAGAACAGAGCCTTCAGAAATAACGCCGCATATCTACAACTATCTGATCTTTGACAAACCTGAGAAAAACAAGCAATGGGGAAAGGATTCCCTATTTAATAAATGGTGCTGGGAAAACTGGCTAGCCATATGGAGAAAGCTGAAACTGGATCCCTTCCTTACACCTTATACAAAAATCAATTCAAGATGGATTAAAGACTTAAACGTTAGACCTTAAACCATAAAAACCCTAGAAGAAAACCTAGGCATTACCATTCAGGACATAGGCATGGGCAAGGACTTCATGTCCAAAACACCAAAAGCAATGGCAAAAAGACAAAATTGACAAATGGGATCTAATTAAACTAAAGAGCTTCTGCACAGCAAAAGAAACTACCATCAGAGTGAACAGGCAACCTACAAAATGGGAGAAAATTTTCGCAACCTACTCATCTGACAAAGGGCTAATATCCAGAATCTACAATGAACTCAGACAAATTTACAAGTAATAATTTTTATATATAAATTATGTAATCATTTATATATAAATCATGTAATCATTTTTATATATAAATTATGTAATAATTTATCATCTTGTCAGTGATCTACTCAAGTAGCCACTGTTATGCCAGTTGAGAGTTGAGAAGACTAAAATCCTGAAGGATGGTGTTAATTGGTAGAGTTGGCAGGTGGTGAAGCCAGAATTCAAACTTGGCCTATGAGATTCCATCGTGGCTGCATTCTTTCCACAGAAGTATGCCCTGACCCATGCTACGTTTTGTGGCCTCTTATGGAGTCTGTGCAACAAGGTAGATTCTGAGAGAATAAAAGCTTTTGCCAATTACCCCTTCTCCCCCAGTTTCTTAGGCATTGGAGATCATTCTCATCTAATACCTCTATGACATCAGAAACATCCTAACTGTTCAGTCATCTCTCCATCTTCCTGTTGCATCACCTTCAAGCTCCAGTTGATACAGTAGGCCCCCTGTATAGCTGTGTAACTTGGGATAAGTTTCAAGATTCCCAGTAGATGCCTGAAAACACAGATAGTACTGAACCCTATATACACTGTATTTTTTTCATATGCATACATACCCATGATAGAGTTTAAATTATAAATTAAGCACGGTAAAATTTTTACAATAACTAATACTGAAGTAAAACAATTATAAAAAATACCGTCCCCTATTTCATGGATAGAAGATTTGCTCTCACCCTAGATCTTAGCAATGTCAGCATACCATTTTTATTTTCTCATTAGGTAGAGAACTTTCACCTTTTCACTTAAAGAAAGCACTTTTGTGTGGCTTCTCTCTGGTATATCTGAATTGCCAGCATCACTACTCTTGCCCTTTGGGATTATTATTAAGTAAAATAAGGGTTACTTGAACATAAGCACTGTGATACTGCAATAGTCCATCTGATAACCAAGATGGCTGCTAAGTGACTAACAGGTGGGTAGTATAGATGGCATGGAGACACTGGACAAAGGGACAATTCATGTGTCAGGCTGGGTGGAGCAGGACTATGTCAGATTTCTTCACATTACAGAGGATGGCATAAAATTTAAAGCATATGAATTGTCAATTTCTGGAATTTTTCATTTGATATTATGAGACCACGGATGACCATGGGTAACTGAAATCATGGATAAGGTGGTAAGGGGAATACTGTACTCTTCTTCCCAGCATCAATTTCAACACCAGCTTACAGTGCCTCACCATCGTTCAATGTCTCTGGATCCCAATCAATGTGGGTCAAACCAGTTGCTCTTCATTTTTCTTTAGCTAGCTATCAGAAACACATAGTCCAGTGTCCTAGAAGGCTGCTCCCAACTTCTACAGCAAATCTATTCTACAGAGTTTTGAACTCAAGGTCTTCTATGGTGTTTTATAGCTCATGTATCAATATTTGCTTTGACTCCCAGTAAGAGAAACCCTTAAACAAGTGTCATAAATAAATCATGAATTTTCTTACTCATATACAATAAGAAATGTGGAGGCAAGTAATCCAGGGCTTCCATGGCTATTTCAAGATGCCAGTGGAGACTCAGGCTCTTCCTGTTATTTTCACTGAGCCTTTCTTTAGCATGTGTTTCCACCAAAATGGCAGATCCACTTCCAGCATCATAGTCATGATCTAAACCAAAAAAAGAGGGAAGGGCAAGGCATAAAAGGTACATGCTGGCTGAGTGGACCCCCTTTTAAAGACCTTTCTCTGAAGCCTTACAAATAGCTCTGACTATGTCTGATTGGCTAGCCCAGTCATATGGCCACTCCCAGCTGACGTTTTTAGTTGGGCTATTAATATTACTATTAATGTTACCAAAGCAGTCATTTACTAAATGCCAAGATGCTCTCCATCTTATCTCACTTATTTCTCAGAACAGCCCCTTGAAGAATACATTATGAATTGGAGGTATAGAGTGGGTTTTCTGCTTTCTGGAGCTACAAGTAGAATTGGATCTTGACTACTCCAGTGCTTTCTCAACCACTATGGCCTTTTTTTCTCCCTCTGAGATGATCTTTCATGAAAAACCACATTATCATTTGGTGTCAGCATTTTAATTTTACTATAATTAAATAGTTGTTTTTCTGTGAAATTACATGGTACCCACAAGGCTGAGAATTAAGGAAAGCAGAAATAACCTAAAGGGTATGAAGAGGCTTCGTAGAAGCTACACACTGGAGATGGGTAGGCTTTTAAAAATTCCTACCCTAACCTCTATTCCAGTGGTTCTTAATTGTAACCAATCATCAGAATCATCTGAGAAGGTTTAGAAAATATATATATTTCTGAATCTCAACTGAAGAGTCTCTACTTCAGGATACTTAGCATGGAAACCACTGCTCTATTTTTTAGATGACTCTGAAGGTCTCTGAAGTTGGCCCCCTCTGCATAGAAACTGGCTTATTCTTTCTGAATACATAAGTATTATCATGAACTCTCTGTATGCTTTGTGAATGCAGCACCTCATGGAAACCTAATATTTGTATGATATAAATAGCACTTTTTATTCCCATTTTCCAGATAATGCAATAGAGGCTTATGAAGTAAAAGTCACTTGATTAAGGTCATATAACTAATATATGGTGTTTCCAGGATCCCAAGCCAAGTCAGCCTGACTTTAAAACCATGGATTTTTCCACTCTGACATGTTGCCACGAACTGAGTCTGTCTAGGGAGAACATTCTTCAGGCATGCTAGAATCATTTCTCACCAGCATCCCCACAGACTCCATGCTGACTAATAAATGCCTACACAAATCTTATATCATTGCTTCCCAGAAGTCCCTGCCTCCATGGTTTCCCCAGACCTGTTCTGAAGGCCCCAGAGGACTGATAGATATGATCTATTCAGACAAATTGGGAACAGGTTGAAGGAGGGCTGAGGAATAAATGGGAATATCAAGCCAGGCCAGAAAATTGACATTCCAAACAATTTTCAGTTGGCACAAAGTGATTTTTCCTTCAGCATTTTTCCTCTTCCAATTTTGTAATTCATGTTTATTTCAAGCAAAATTCAGTCCATCTGTATCTGATTCATTCACACTTAATTTATCAGCAGACTGCTCTGTCAGAGAAATATATGCCAATGTGCCTCTAAGGTTTTACAATGAAATCTGGGTCTGTCTGAAATGCCAGTGCAAAGTGGCCTGTGAGAAATATATAGAGGAGCAGGTGAAGCTGGCTTCACACCTTCTTTTCCAACACACACATCCCTCCCTTTTGCTTTCTGTTTGTCTTAAGCAGCTCTAATGGTCTTTAAAAATAGTTTTATAATCAGCCTTCTGTACCAGTCTTTTTTGGTCTTCTGGCCTTGTTTCATCTACTCATAAACATGCTCACATTTCTCATCCTAAACACAAAACAAACATGTCCTCAGACAAAAAAAAACATTAACTCCAAATACCCTTCTCCACCTCCATTCACCCTCAAAAGCTTCTCCATACCAACTTCACAGAAGTCTGCACCATGCACCTTGTCGCCCCTACTTTCTCATTCCTCTGTCGTAGGCATCTGTGTCCCCCACTCTGCCAAGTCCTTCTAATGAAAGTCACCTTGGAATTGCCAAACCCAGTGGTTATGTTTTTCTTACTATTTGATCAATCTCTCTGTTGCATCTGATGTTGTTGACAGTTCCTTCTTTCTTCACACTCTCTGCTGTATAGCTGTTGGTTTCCTTCCATTCTTCCCCTCATCTTAGCTTTCTTCTTTTTGGTCTCAAACTTTCCTATCTTTCCATATTGAAAAACAATGTATTCTATGCTCTCCATTCTTAATTGAAGGCCCTGATAACAGAATATCTGGGTTCAAAGCCCACTCTGCCACTTCCCAACAATGTGACTTTGAACAAGTTTATTAAGATTCTCTATGCCTCAGTTTCCTCAACTGGAAATTAGAGAAAAACATAGTCCTTCTCTCACAGAGCTGATATAAAGATTAAATGAATTTATCACTCAGAACATTCTTCAAACAGCACCTAATGCCATAAGTACTCAAAAGATTTAACTGATAGTTGCAGTACTAAACACAATCTAATGATTTGTAAATGCTTATGTAGTAAGGTTGATGATAGAAAATAACATATTCTAATGAAATCCTCATGATTTTTAAAAAATTATGTTGAATGTATATTCTACTCGATAGGAAACAATGTCCAAATCTCTAGATGTAAAAGAGTCTATGTGGTTTTACTCATGTATATTACCTAAATTTAGAAACTAAGATTAAACCATTGCCTAATAATTCATCAAACAAGCAAAATAAAACCTAACATAATAATGATTTATTGTTTAATTAATATTTTAACTTTCAAAGTGCTTTTCTCATGCTTTGATTGAAAACAAAAATATTGGTCTTGTGTGGTATACACTCAAGGTTTCTAGAATTAAAGAACACTTCTATTTAAACTGGCCAAAATAATAGTAAACATACCCCACAAATAATTTTTTACTGAATGCAAAATAGTATGCAAATTATTATTGATGCTTTTTGATTTATTTGGCAATGGACCAATAAAAAGTAATATACACATTGAAACAGGTTGGTGTATTAGAGTAATGGGGTTTTAAAACAGGAGACACTTGGCCCTTGAAAAATAAAGTGAACTGGGTGAGGTTTACATGATTTTTTTATTTTAGTTTTTCCTTGAGACATTCCCCATATCATGTAGAAAGAGGAAGCTGGAACTCAAGCAGGAATCATCATCATTGTTGGCTTGAGAAGTAAGCAAAGTTTGGATTTGCCACAATGGCTTGAAAGTGAGGGAAAATCCTGCAAAGGAGAGAACATAAAGGAGGGAGCTCCCAAGTCTGCATATAAACACTGCCCAATGTTGGCTGACTATGCAAGCATGAGAGAGATTCTGAGGTATCTGGCAGAAAACTGCAGCTAGAAATATGGAAGACATTTACATTTCTCTCATCCTGAAACATTTCAGCTGCTGCTCACTCATGGGGAGACAGAATATCAAGGTTAAATCAAATTAACTATGTGGTGGAATGAAAATCAGTACTCTTAAGAGGAAAATACAGAATTCAGTATCTATAATATATAATTCACAATTTTCAACATACAATAAAAATTACTATACCTGTGAATAAGGATTTATAAGCAACGAAAAAGAAACTATGCAAGCGAAGTCCCTGAAATGATCCAGATGTTGGAAATAGCAAGAACTTTAAAGCAGCTATTATAAATGTGTTCCAGAACTTAAAAGAAAATACGACCATTACAAACATTCATTACAAATGCCCAAATATTAACCAAAAAATAAAAATTCTAAAACTAAGATGTGAAATAAGTAGAATTTTAAAATCACTGAATAGCTTAAACAGAATATTAGAGAAAGCAGAAGAAAGGGTCTAGAAGACAGATCAAAAGAATGTATTCAATCTGAAGAACAGAGATAAAACATTAAAAAAATAAAGCAGGGAGTTGGGGGGAGGTGGGGATGGTTAACGGATTTAAAAAAATCAGTTAGAAAAAAATTAATAAGACCTAGTATTTGATAGCACAACAATTTTCTATAGTCAATAATGATTTAATTATACATTTTAAAGTAATTAAAAGAGTATAATTGGGCTGTTTGTAACACAAAGGATACTTGAGGGGATATTCCATTTTCAATGCTGTGATTATCACACATTTCATGTCTATATCAAAACATCTCATGTACCTCATGAATATATATGCGTACTATGTACCTACAAAAATCAAAATAAAAAATACTTCAATATTTGTGGAATAATATCAAGCATTCTAATATACCAGGAATTGGAATCCTAGAAGAAGAGGAGATAAAGGAACCAAATATTTTAATTAAGAAAAAGAGTATTATGCAGCCAGAAAAAAGAATGAGTTCATGTGGTATGATGCAGCCCTAAAAAAGAATGAGTTCATGTCCTTTGCAGTGACACGGACGAGGCTGGAAGCCATCATTCTCAGCCAAGTAACACAGAAACAGAAAACCAAATGCCGTATGTTCTCATTCGTAAGTGGGAGTTGAACAATGAGAACACATAGACATGGGGAGGGGAACATCACAAACTGGAGCTTATTGAGGAGTGGGGGGCAAGGTGAAGGAGAGCATTAGGACAAATACCTAATGAATGTGGGGCTTAAAACCTAGATGACAAGTTGATAGGTGCAGCAAACCACCATGGCACATGTATGCCTATGTAACAAACCTGCATGTTCAGCACATGTATCCCAGAACTTAAAGTAAAATTAAAAAAAAAAAAAAAAGTAAAAGGGTTTTACTTGGATTTGATGAAAAAATAGATACTTACAGGTGAAAAAGCCCAGGAAACCCTAAGCTAAATGAATACAAATAAACTGCAACTATGAACATTGTAGGCAAACATCTTGGAAAAGATTGGGTCGGGGGGAGAAGAAACAGAGAGAGAGAGAGAGGGAAGGAATTTGAAAGCAGCCAGAAAAAAAAAAAAAAAAAAAAGAAAAGAAACCTTGACACATTACATACAGTTGATCAAATAAACAAATGATGGTGACATTATTAGAAGCAATAATGCTAGGGTGACGTGACAATAGAAGAGCCTCATTAAAGTACCAAAAGAAGAAACAAATCTACTACTAGCTCATAATTCTATAAGAAGAGAAAATACCATCCACAAGTGAAGGTGAGGGACTTCTGTTGTTGTCTAAGGTACAGAAAACTGGAAAAAAAGTGTAACTTTCATCCTGATAATGAGAAAAATACCAGTTAAGCCACAAAATCACAGCTTTCCTTGAAGCCATCAGAAAGCTGAGTTCACACAGCCACCAGGTAGCTGACAGGATCCTCTAAGAGACATGAGATGGGATCCTCTCAGCTGTGGCACAGCACAGAAGCAAGACCTTGCCACCATACAAGCAGCTAAAAAGGAATCAGATAAAGTAGTAACAAAGTGGTTCTTAGGATTTGCTTATTTTTAAAAAAAGATTTGCAAATAATAATTGTATGTATTTATGGGGTACAATGTCATGTTTTGGTATATGTATACATTATGAAATGATGAAATCAATCTAATTAGCATATCCTTCATCTCACCTACTTATTATTTTTTGTGGTGAGAATGTTTAAAGCCTACTTTTTAGATCCTGGAGCATGTGACTGCTGTTGTGGGCCATGGGCTGCTGACTGTAAGGGATATTTAACAAGAGAGAGGAAGAGAAGATGGCATTTCTGATAAAGGTTGTGATACAACCACAGGATTAACCCTCCCTCTTGAAGATCATCCTGTAAATGAGATGCTATGTATACCAACTTCCCACCACCTTTGTTTTTCTGTTCAGTAATCCTGGTGTGGATAAATGAAGTCTTCGCGTGTATGTTAAAAAAAAAAAAAAAGTCTACCCTTTTAGCAGTTTTGAAATATACAAAGCCAAGTGTGGGTGAGTGTGAGAGTATAGAAACCCTGGAAGCCTCACATTAAGAAAAGGATTCACAGCCACTTGCTGGGTCATTTCCATGGACCATCACATGGTGCTCAGGAGACAGAAGAGGGGCAGGATGGGAGACTGAACAGGGCCTCCTTTTGCATTGCAGGCATGAAGTAGGAGAGGGACAAGCTGGACTTCCTGCTCAGAACCTCTTCTCAAAATCATTAAGCCTCAGGGGGAGTGCGAGCATCTTCTATCTCTCCTAGGGCATCAGAAAAGACCCATTGCTTCTTGGAGGGGAAAGTGTAGCCTAGAGCAAAAACATTCTCTACCCCAGAGAGAAAGAGGTAAGAAACAGTTTCATGTTAGAAGGCTTCTAAGGCAGTGCCTAGAGAAAATAAAATAGTTTCAATGTTTATACTAGAAAAGTAAAGATTTAGAATCAACGATCTAAATGTTCACATTAACAAGATATACAAATAAACTCGAAATTAGTAAAAGAAAGGTAACAAAGTTCAGAGCAGAAATCAGTAAAATAAAAAATCAATAGAGAATAAAAATAAAGTGAAAAGTAGGTCCCCAGGAAAGTGTAAAACTTTGATAAATCTCTAATGAAGACTCATCAAAAATAAAAACATAAATTCCTTATATAATAGAGATGTAATTACTAAATGTCCCATACATATTCCAAGCATAGTAAGAGAATATTAACAACATGCCAATAAATACAACATGCCAATAAATACAACATGCCAATAAATTCAGGTGAAATGGGAAAAACAGTCTTGAAAAACAAATACAACTTAACAAAAAGTGACCAATACAAATTTAAAGAGCTCTATATCTTTTAAAAACCCTGGTTCTCAAAGTTGAATCCCCAAACCAGAACTATTAGCATCATGCAGTACCTTATTAAAATGAAAACTCTGCAGCTTCACCTCAGAACTACTGAACCTGAAACTCTGAAAATGATATTCAACAATTCGTGTTTTAAAGCCCCTACAGGTCATTCTGATGTATGCCAAAGTTTGAGAATTGCTATTTTTAACAAATTAAAAACATTACTGTGAAAAATATTTCCACAAAGAAAATCTAGCTTCAGCTGTTGTTACTGATGAATGTTATCAAACATTTAAGGAAGAAATGATAGTAATTACAAACTTTCAGAAAATAGGAAAGAAGAGAACACTTTCTCACCCCTTTTATGAGGCCATTGCCCTGAGAGAAAAACCTGAAAAAGATATTCTAAGCAAAGACAAAATGTAGTACATATACACCAAGGAATACTATGCAGCTATAAAAAAGAAAGAGATCATGTCCATTGGAGGGACATGGATGGAACTGTAGGCCATTATCCTTAGCAAACTAACACAGAAACAGAAAACTAAATACTGCATGCTCTCACTTACAAGTTGGAGCTGAGTGATGAGAACACATGGACACAAAGAGGGGGACAACACACGCTGGGGCCTTTTGGAGGGTGGAGGGTGGGAGATAAGAAAAAATGACTAATGAGTATTAGGTTTAATACATCGGTAATGAAATAATCTGTACAACAAACCCCCATGACACAAGTTTACCTATGTAACAAACATGCACTTGTACACCTGAACTTAAAATTTAAAAAAAAAGTTAAAAAGAAAAAAGAAAAGAAAATGACAGACCAATACATCTTGTAAATTTAAGGGCAAAAAAATAACTAAAACATTAACAAATTGAATCCAACAATAAATGAAAAGAATAAAGCTGCCTTTGTCCCAAGAAGGGAAAGTCATTCTTTTATATTTTAAAAGTCAAGCAATACAATTTATTATGTTAACAGAATAAAAGGAAAAAACACAATAATATCTTAATAAATTCAGAAAAATCATTGGAAAAGGCCCAATGCTCACTCATGATAAAACTTTTAATAAGCTATGAATAGAAAGAAACTTTTCTCAATCTGATTAAGTATCTAGAAAAAGATTTAGAGTTCACACTGTACTTAATTATTAAAAATTAAATGCTTCTTTGTAAAAATCAAGACCAAGATAAGAATATCCACTCTTACCATTTTGAGTCAACATTTTACTAGAGGCTCTGGTCTATGGAATAAGGCAAGGAGAAAAGGCATGGGGTTTAGAAATAATTAAAACTATTTGCATTGTTGTGTATAGAAAGTTCTAAGAAATATAAAAAGCAATTACTAGAAAAAAATGAACTTAATAAGATCATAGGATACAAATGGATATGTGAAAATTATCTTTCTATATGTCAGCAGCAAACAATTGAAAAATAATTTTTAAGTTATACTATAGCATCCAAAACCATACAATATTTAGGAGTAAATTTAATAAAATTTGTGCAAGATATACACATTGAAAACCACATTTCTGTGATAAATTTAAAAAGATCTGAATAAACAGAAAAATATACCATAATAATGGACTGGAAATCTCCATATTCTAAGATGTCAATTCTCAAATTGTTCTATAAATTCAAGGAATTCCCATTTAAAAACTCAGCGGACATTTTTTGTAAGAAATTCACCAGTAGATTCCAAAATTTACACAGAAATGTAAAAAACTGGGAAGAGTTAAAACAATTTTTAAAAAGAAGTACAAAGTTAAATTTGACTTCAAATTTTACTATGGAACTGCAGTAATCAATGTTTGTATGAGAGCAGACCTACATTAGCAGGAAACAATACAGAATCCAGGAATGTGGCACACTGATATGTTCTATTTATTTTTATCAAATGTGCCAAAGTAATTCAATGGAGAAAGGAATGTCTTCTCAACACATGGTGCTGAAAAGCAGCATATCTGTATTGAAAAAAAAATCTTGACCCCTGTCAAATCATATACAAAAATTAATTCAAGATAGAGCAGAAATCCTAATGTAAAAGCTAAAATTAATTATTTTCTAAAAGAAAACTTGAAATAGGTAAAGATTGCTCAGACAGGATCAATCAAATTTAAAACTTTTTCTCATGAAGACATCGATAACAAAGTTAAGAATAACAAGCCACATTATGGGAGAAAATATTTATAACACGTATGTCTGAAAAGGTCTTTTATTTTGAATATACAAAATTCAGATATCACGATAAAAATATAAATAATGAAATAAATGAAATTACATCAATACCAACAAAGGATGATATATGAATAGCTGATAAACATATAAAAAATTCTCACATCAGGAAAATGCACACGCAAACCAAAATTAGGTACCACTAAAAGAATAGTGGCATCAAATATTAGTAAAGTTGGATGATAAGCAGATTCTCATACATTTCTGGTGGGAGTAACAAATTAAAGAACTGCTTTGGAAAAATGTTTTGGTATTTTATTATGAAGTTAAATATATCTCTGTTGTCTGACTTGGCAATTCCACTCCTAGGTGTTTAGCCAAAAGAAATGAGCATATATGTTTACAAAATATTTTCTAAAATATATTCACAGAAACCCTATTTATAATTGCCTAAAACTAGAATGAATAAGCTAATCATGGTATAATCATATAATGAAGTAATATTAAGTAATAAAGATGAACAACTTACATACTCAGCAACATGGCCAGATAGCATAAACTTAATGCTAAGAACAAAAAGCCAGACACCAAAGAGGATGCACTGTATGATTTCATTTCTATGAATTTCTCGAATAGGCAAAACTAATCTATGTTGAAAAAAATTATTCAGAGTGGTGCCTCCTGGTGATATTTTAACTAATAAGTGGCTAAAGGGAAAATTCTAGGTTGACAGTTACATTCTATAGATAGGAATGTGAATTATATGGATGGATGCATTTGTCAAATCTTATGGAATTACAATTTAAGATTGTGTATCTTCCAGAATTTCATTTGGTCTTAAAAAAGGAACCACATTAAAAAAAATCTGTAAACCTCTCTGAATCCACAGCCAAGACTGCTGGTTTGGTTGACCTTGAATGCAAAAATGTTGATTAAACTCTATCCTCAATGGAAAGACACGAAATGCAGTATTGTAAGGCTCCTCAAAGTCTTCCATATTTGAATTAGTGTGTGATTTCTGCTGTGTTGAAGCCAACATCAATATTTATCTGTAAGTGGGAAAGCCTTTTTCTTGCCAGAATGTGTAAGTTCTCTTTTCCTCTTGCTATAAATGGGATAATTCCTACCAAACAGTTTTTGAAAACGAATGAGTGGAACATTAATTTCTCTACAGCACAATTCTCTAGCTTTCCAACAGTGTCAACTGTTTGCACATGTTTAGCCTGCCATTGGTGAGGCTATGGATTTCTGAAGATAAATCTTTAAAAGAAATTAAAATGTTTCTTAGTTTATGTTTTCCCTCAAATCAATTTTCAAAACTTAATTAGCTTCTTTTCATCTTAACTTTGCTTAGTAGGAAAATGCATCTGGAATCATCTGTTGGTGTCCTCTCCATGGTAAATAAAATTCTGATGGCATTTTTGTTGTCGATTTATGTTAAAAATAGTATTATGTATTATATATTTTTAAAAATTGAAATTTCATTCAATGCCTGGTTGTGCTATAAGCCTGACAAGCTGTAATATTCTATTACTTCAGTAAAGACTTGTGAGAACCTATTGAAAGTACAGAGATAAAGACAAACCTGTAACCAGAAAATGTACTTTATAATAGAAGACAGACAACTACACTAACAACTGCAGTTATTAAAGGGTGTGAGAAAGACCAATCCATACAAATAGTTGGTTGACTTTGGGTATAATTATGAGTGGCAGATAGCCTAATGCTGGGGGAAGTATATTAGACAAGATTTCAGAATTCTTTTCCACCTTCGTTACTGCTGCCCCCATCACCTTAGTCTTTGACTGGTTTATTTCAATTTCTTTTAGATCTCAGATCAAACATCATGTCTTTAGAGATCTTTTCTAAACCTTCAGCCTATGAGGTATCCTTGTTATGTACTTTCACAACACCCTTCAATTTTCTTTATAACCTTTATCACAATTGCAATGAAGACATTTTTGTGTAATTATTCATCTAACATCGATCTTACCTGCTGAAGTGTAGGTAACTCATTTGTTTTAGTGTTTGTTATTATGCCGGTGATTATCATATTAGTTGGTACATATTGGGTGACAAAAAGATTCTTACTGAACAACAAAAACACACAAAAAAGAAAGAATGAGAGAATACTCGAGGGACCAATTTTTCAGTACAGAACCTTTCTGAGTTCTTTTTCTCTGTCACCTAAACGAACAACATGCAACTGGTATGGCTACGCCAGAAACCAACAATGGGCATGCATGTAGTGTGAGCAAAATTAAACCCCTGCTGCTATCAGTGGCTAAGATTCCAGGGCTGTTTGTTGTAACAACATAACCTATCCTAATAGAAGCAGTGGCCACATCCCAAGTTCACTTCTGCTCGCTCACTCAGTAAAATGTGTACCAAATGCCATGGTGATATCTACAGGTTAATTAGATGTGGGCCTTGAGCTCCTGGAGCTCACAGTCCCTTCGTTCTAATCAAATATAGCCCTCCCTGAGTTCAGAAGAAATGCTTTCTTCTTACATAATATGAAATTTCAGATATGAGTTGTGTAGTTATGAGTTTTGAAGTTAGATAGATCTCAGTTATAAAACCTAGAGGTTTAAAAGTTTCTTAACCTCTCTGAAATTTATATATATTTTTTAATTTTTTGCTGGTGTCGCTGTTAAGACAGGAATAAGATTGCTCATGTAGGGGTTAACTCTTATCATGAGTCTATCCCACACCATGCATTCAATGGCGGTTATTTGTAATAAAATAGGAAAAGGGAGAATGCATTGTTATTATTCTGTGAATTTTGCATTAAATTCCTTTATATGAAATCACCTCGTACTCGCTGTTAAAGAAGGCCTCTGTGTCTTCCTTGTCTTACAGTATCTACACAGAGCTGGACCTGCAGCATATACTAAATGAATGTTGACTACAATTCTTTGAGGATTTAGAGGAGAGATTCAGGAATTTAAAGCCTAAGGGTGTCAGGGGAAATTTCAAAATGTCAAGAAATTTGACACATTTAAAGTGAAATTTTGAAGGGTAGGCAAAATTTTGATATGCTGGAGACAGGGCATGATTATCAGAGAAAATAGCACAAGCAGACATGCATTAGGAACTTCCGGGGATATGTGAGACAAATAGTAAGTGGTTCAATTTGGGTAGGTGCAGAGCATATAAAATAAGAAATTTTGCAAATAGGTAGGCCAACTCCAGAATGCAGAGCATCTTGAAGGACAAATAAGGAGTTGAGCCTAAAGTCTATGGGAAGCAGAGCTATTGAGAGCAGCTAAGAAAGAAGAAGTGGAAAGAGCAGTGCTTCTGGAAGTCTGTCTTGAAATGCAGTGCTAGGTTGACTGCTTTATACTTAAAGTTGTACAAACAACATTATTTTAATTTTATGTATGAGAAAAGTGAGATTCAGAAGTTAAATAACTTGTCCTGGTTGCAACCACCCGTAAGTGGAAAGATACCATATAAATTCAGCATTGTGTTTGATGCCAAACTATTTAGTTTTTTTATTTAAGACAAAAACGATAAATTTCACTTTTTAAATTTTATAGAAAATTTATAGAAAAATGATTTTTTAAATTTATAGAAAAAAACTACTCATAGATAATGCAGCTCTGTGGTGTCTTAAGCAAGTCCAAATGAGTTTCCTTAACTTGTTTATATTTTTCCCAAGATATATTTTGAAGATGCTTGTGAAGTATAGTGTTAGAAGACAAGCCATTAATACTAATGCTAATTAGAAAAGTTTCATTTAGAATGTCTTTAGAATGTCTAGATCTTTTATCACTAGTAAAAAAAAAGATTACTACATTAATATTTGATTTCTAACTTTCTTATTTACAATATCTACAAATCAAGAAATTCATTAACATCGTAGAAATTCATCTTAGTGCTTATCTTTTGTTTTAGTTTCTGTGGGAGATTAAATAGGTATCCAGGCTATGAAAGTTCAACAAAATCCAAGTTCATGTTCCATACTGGAGGTGAAAACTGAGGAACAATTTGGTGGTGCAAGATGTAGCCTACTTAGTCCAAGTGACACAGAACTATGCACTAGGGCTTCGTATTGCCCAAAACAGAAAAAAAAAAAAAAAACAAAAAAACTAAGAAGGATCCTAGTGTGTGTGTTGAGCATATATTCTTAGTGATTCATTGTTCACATTCAGAGGGTAAGTCCTAGGAAAGCATATATAAAGAAGCTTGGTATAACAATAATTGTCATTTATTAAATGCCTACTCTGTGCTGGATTTTAAAATCCATATTATTTGTAACCTTTACAACTCCTTTTCAGGGCATGTACTGCCATCTCTATTTGATGAACAAAATGAGGATCAGAACACTTTAAAAAATATATCTAACTCTTCTAGCTAGTTTGTGCCTAATTGAAGATTTTTGACATACCTTTTAGGAGTCAGACACCCACATGCTTTTATGTCAGCCACTTTGCTCAAGGCCTCTTTAACTTTGCCATCTTGTGATCCTGCCAATCATATCCAGTTCCTTCTCTTAAAATGGAAAGAGAAGATGAGTGCAGTTGTGTGCAGATAAGTAGGCTTGTTCCAGTCAAGAATGAACTCATTGGAACATTGTCTTCTTGGTTTTTGCTTCTCTTTTGTTCTACGGTTCACAGCCACCCTTTCCATTATACTTTTGATGAACAACTATGGACATAAAGCTCTATTAGGCAAATGGTCACTCCTGTTGCCCTGAAGAAGTTCCACCTCTCCTCATTCTACCTTGTCCTTCCTAGCAGAAAGGATCAGTGCCCTGCAAATAGTGAGAATTTAGCCTCTTACGAGACTGATGTTGGATAGTGTGAGAGTTTCTTGAAGTAAAGAACATCACAGCATAAACATACAGAACATGGTCCAACTCAATCTAGACTTCAATGTCTCAAGTACACATAGGAATCAATTCCTAAGCTCAGCAGGAATCATCTCACTCAGTCTCATGAGAAATTTAATAATTGTTGTTTATTAAAGCTGTCTGTATTTGCCCAAAAGAGTAAAGACAAAAAAAAACTTCAAAAGAATTTTGGTGTCTCAGGACTATAGGGAGTCAGAAGGACAGGTGGAGAATAATTCTTTAAGATCCGGCTCTGGCCTCTGCTCCCAGCTCCCCTCTACAAACATTGCAAACAACTTTAAATTCTTATTAAGTAGTTATGTTCTTCCCAAAGTCTTTTTCCTTCAGTTCACTACTAGGATTGTTTATCCTCTTCTGTTTTGCGAGCAGGAATAAACTTTTCAGACTCTCTCCTCACCTTATTCTTCCAAACACAGTTATTAACTAAAATTTAACTTTATTAATCCCATTAAAAGTGGGCAAAGAACTGAATAGGTATTTTTCAAAAGAAGATATACAAATAGCCAAAAAACTTATGGAAAAAAATGCTCAACATCACTAATCAAAAGATAAATGCACCCAGCCGGGCACGATGGCTCAAGCCTGTAATCCCAGCACTTTGGGAAGCCGAGGCAGGTGAGTCATCTGAGGTCAGGAGTTTGAAACCAGCCTGACCAATAGGGTGAAACCCCGTCTCTACTAAAAAAACAAAAATTAGCCAGCGTGGTGGCATGCACCTGTAGTCTTGAGCCAAGATCGTGCCACTGCACTCTAGGCTGGGGCAGAGCCAGACTCCATCTTAAAAACAAGAAAAAAAAAAAGATAAATGCAAATTAAAACCACAATGAGATACTACCTTACAACAGCCAGAATGACCATTATTAAAAAGTCAAAAAACAATAAATGTATAGATTTTGGCATGGATGTGGTGAAAAGGGAATGCTTATACACTGCTGATGGGAATATAAATTAGTAGATCCTCTATGGAAAACAATGTGGAGATTCTTGAGGAACTAAAAGTAGATCTACCATCTGATACAACAGTTCTACTACTGGGTATCTACCCAAAAGATAAAAAGTAACTATAGCAAAAAGACACCTGCATGCTTGTGTTTATGCTTATGTTTATTGCAGCACAATTTACAATCGCAAAGATAGGAAATCAACCTAAATACCCATCAACTGATGAGTAGATAAGGAAAATGAGGTGTGTGTGTATGTGTGTGTATATATATATTAAATATATAAATAAATATATTATATATTATATAATTATATATTATACATATTTGATATATATATTTATATATTTGATATATATATTTGATATATTATATATTTTTATATATCAAATATATTATATATTACATATCAAATATATTATATATAAGATATATATCAAATATATCAAATATATAATATATTTGATATATAATATTTATATATTTATAAATATGTATTTATATATAATGCATATATATAACATATAATATATATTTTATAGATATATATACACACCATGAAATACTTTTCAGCCAAAAAAAAAAAAGAAGTGAAATAATGTCTTTGGCAGCAACTTGGATGAAACTAGAGGTAATTATTTTAAGTAAAGTAACTAAGGAATCAAAAACTAGATAACTTATATACTCACTTATAAGTGGGAGCTAAGCTATGGGTACACAAAGGCATACCCAGTGGTATAATGGATATTGGAGACTCAGTCAGAAGGGGGAAGGGTGCAAGGTGGGTGAGGGCTGAATAACTACCTGTTGGGTATAATATACACTACTCAGGTGACGAGTACACTAAAGTCTTAGACAATCCATACTTGTAACCAAAAACCTCATATACCCCTAAAGTTAATAAAATAAAAAAATTAAGAGGAAAACTTAATTATCTTACCTTTGTATTATTTAAAACAACTTCAGATCTTTCTCTGCTTTTTACTACCCTCCCAAATTATAGACCTAGACCCATCAGGATGTTCATTAAAAAGAGGGCAGAAGTGCCCGTCTTCTTAGGAGACACCTAAAACATTACTCACTGTGATGGTTAATATTGAGTGTCAACTTGATTGGATTGAAGGATGCAAAGTATTGTTCCTGGATATGTCTGTAAGGGTGTTGTCAAAGGAGATTAACATTTGAGTCAGTGGACTAGGAGAGGCAGACCCACCCACAATCTGGCTGGGTACCATCTAATCAGCTGCCAGCACAGCTAGGATAAAAGCAGGCAGAGGAACGTGGAAGGACTAGACTGGTTAAGCCTTCTGGCCTCCATCTGTCTTTCGTGCTGGATGCTCCCTGCCCTCGAACATCAGACTCCAAGTTTTTCAGCTTTTGGACTCTTTGACTTACACCAGTGATTTGCCAGGGGTTCTCCAGCCTTCAGCTACAGACTGAAGGCTGCACTATCAGCTTCCCTACTTTTGAGGTTTTGGGACTCAGACTGGCTTCCTGTCTCTTCAGCTTGCAGACAGTCTATTGTGGGACTTCACCTTGTGATTGTGTAAGTCAGTTCTCCTAATACACTCCTATAGGGGGAACTCGCCCCCAATATTTCAATGTAGGTTCTTTCTAATTTCCCTAAGTGTCAGCCAGTCTGAGAAATAAAGAGAAAGAGTACAAAGAGAGGAATTTTACAGCTGGGCTGCTGGGGGTGATATCACATATTGGTAGGTCCGTGATGCCCACCTGAGCTGCAAAACCAGCAAGTTTTTATTAAGGATATCAAAAGGGTAGGGGATGTACGAACAGGGAGTATGTTACAAAGATCACATGCTTCAAAGGGCAAAAGGGAGAAAGATCACATGCTTCTGAGGCCAATAAAGATCACAAAGCAAAGGGCAAAGCAAAGATCACAAGTCAAAGGGCAAAGCAAAGATCACAAGTCAAAGGGCAAAATCAAAAACTCCTGATGAGGGTCTATGTTCAGCTGTGCACGTATTGTCTTGATAAACATCTTCAACAACAGAAAACAGGGTTTGAGAGGAGAGAACCGGTCTGACCTCAAATTCACCAGGGTGGGGTTTCTTCCCCACCCTAATAAGCCTGAGGGTACTGCAGGAGACCATGGCATATTTTAGTGCTTATCTCAACTGCATAAGACAGATACTCCCAGAGCGGCCATTTATAGATCTCTCCCGAGGAATGCATTCCTTTTCCAGGGTCTTAATTATTAATATTCCTTGCTAGGAAAAGGCACTAGCAAAAGTTGGCAGCAACTTTAATGGATATTGGAGACTCAGTCAGAAGGGGGAAGGGTGCAAGGTGGGTGAGGGCTGAAAAACTACCTGTTGGGTATAATATACACTACTCAGCGTATATATTCCCTACTTGCATGTCCATTTATAGGCTCTCTGCAAGAAGAAAAATATGGCTCTATTCTGCCCAACCCTGCAGGCAGTCAGACCTTATGGTTGTCTTCCTTTGTTCCCTGAAAATCACGGTTATTCTGTTCTTTTTCAAGGTGCACTGATTTCATATTGTTCAAACACACATGTTTTACAATCAATTTGTACAATAGTGGCCCTGAGGTGATATACATTCTCAGCTTACAAAGATAACAGGATTAAGAGATTAAAGTAAAGACAGGCATAAGAAATTATAAAGTATTATTTGGGAACTGATAAATGTCCATGAAATCTTCACAATTTATGCTCACAGATTGCAGTAAAGACAGGCCTAAGAAATTATAAAAGTATTAATTTGGGGAACTAATAAATGTCCATGAAATCTCCACAATTTATGTTCCTCTGCCATTGCTCCAGCTGGTCCCTCTGTTCAGGGTCCCTGACTCCCGCAACACATTCCCCTTCATATATACATCTATCCTATTAATTCTGTCCCTCTAAAGAACCCTGACCAATACACTCACTCAGGGCGCTTTGTCATTTTTTTCCCCAAAGAAATGCAATACCTTCTTAAAGAAACAGTTTAATGAATATGGCTGTCTGCATTCAATTACATGTGTCCTTAATTACTGGGATGTCTTCTTTGCTGGCTATTGAGCCATCTAAAATTCTTAGACATATGCAGAGCTTAGATAAAGAAATAAAACTAGTTAGTGTCAGAAGTAGCACCAGTTGACTTGATGTTTTTCTTCCATATCCAAAATAGTGTGAGAAATGGATACTAGATTTAAAAAGGAAAGGAAATGTTTTCCACTATTTATTTCTATTTTCTTATTTACTGTACTAGGCACTTTACAAGCATACAGTCTTTCATTCCTCACCATTGTCCTGCAAGATATACATTATCCCCATTTGACAGATGAGTGAATTGAGGCTCAAGGGGATGAAGCCCTTTGCCTATATAGGTCTTTCTGGAAAGCTTTGGTCTTTCCACTGTGTGCTTTGACACAGTGCAATAGTGAGCTACTTCGGGGAGGATTTTTTGGGCAGATTGATTTTTATTGGTATTATTTTAGAAAGAATACCACTGTAAGTCTGAACTTTCTTGCATTGGATTTATTTAAAGAGGAGGTGGCCTAGAGTGCTTTGATTGGATTATCGGAGTTTGTCTCCATAAAGACAAAAAAAAGAGCTAAAATGTCCAATGCATATTTACATATCAAGCCAAGGGGAAATGATCTTGCTGTAGTGATGCACTAGAGCAGTCGCCTGTTATGCAGAGAAGCTTCATATATTATTTCACAGGGGACCTCCTGGGCCAGGGGACATGAAAATGTAACATTTGGTAGTGGAGGTTGTAGTATGTTTCATTGCAGCCTCATGCTCTGGGGTAACCACAGAATGTTGTATCTGGCCTGCTAGGGTCACTGTGAAATGACTTGGACAAATTGTATGTGGCTTTTCTAGGAGCAATCACCTCATTGAGTCTTTCGTGGGAAAACTATTGGTAGGAAAAATGAAAGTGAGGATTGTTAATATATTGCTGAAGCTTGTTCTGTCTAATGTGGGTGATGTAACTCAGCCAGTAAGATGTGTGCCTCTAGGACACAGACATTGAAGTTTATTCATTGCAGTATTTCCTGCCTCAGGGATATTTTTTGTGGTTTGCCTTTAATCCAGTCTACCATGCCTGACACCATCTGTGGCTCAGTCTGAAAAAATAGGGGAGGCTGGAACAAGTACAACATTGCAGATAAGGCAATGTTTAAATTAATCTTACAGAAAGGATAGTAATTAGCTGGCAAAGAGGAAGTGAGGACAGTCGTCTCAGGAAAACAGTAAGTGCAAATGCACTGAAGATGAAGCAGTAGCACGATAGGTTTACACCTGTACCTGTACCTGAAATAGAGGTGGAGAGGAGGAGAGGATGACCAGAGACGATGCTGAGGAGCTTGCCAGTAACTACATGTTGAAAGAGCCCTTTAATTCAGCAAAGGGATTAGGATCATATTCTGAAGGCAAGGGGCAGAAACCCAAGGGTTTTAAGCTGAAGGTCAGATTTTTGTTTTGGAAATTTGACTCTATACAAAACAAAATGAAAGTATCCCAAAACTTGCATACAATAAAAGATACCTAAACAAAGAAGAAAGGCAAGTAAAATAAAGAATGCCAATACACGTCCTAAACATCCCTAATAGGAACAGGAAGTTCACAGAAGAGATCTCATTTTATACTTAAGAAATCATGCTCAATCTCACTAGTCCTCTAGGTAATGGAACATAAGACAGTAAGTAATAATTTGTGCCACTCTGATCAACATGTTTTAAGACATTGGAAAACATCTACTGCTTATGAAAGTATATATACAGTGTTGGTAAAATTGCCAAAGGCTTTTGGGTAAGTTATTTGGTAGCATCAGAAAACATTGAGAACTTCTAAAACCCTTAGAGTTGACAGTCTCACAACTAGCAATCTATCCTACAGAATTAAAAGCCCAGTATGCAAAGATATACACATGACATTCATTATAGCATTGATTGTAAAAAGCCAAACAGAGCAAAAACTGAGAAGGAATCATTTGTGCTGGGTAGTCTCCTTTTACCTTTCCAGATCCATTCTAAGTGTCTGCTGACTCCATCATGTGGGCACCTGGCCCTCTGGTATCAGGTGGACATTAGAAGAAGGTAGATGAGAGAAGCTGGGTATTTAACCTTCATTCCACCCTGCTCCTCTTTGCAGGTGCTGGTCTTGATTGTGGCTGTTTCTCCCTGATATGATCACAGTTTTACTACAATGGCCATCTCTTTCTCACAACCACAGATCTTGCCAGGCCCTGGTAACTATACTCTTTTCTCCTCCCCTTTCAGGTTTTCTATTTCCTTATTTACTGTGCTAGGCACTTCACAAGCATGCACTCTTTCATTCCTCACCATTGTCCTGCGACATATACATTATCTCCGTTTGACAGATGAGTGAACTGAGGCTCAAGGGGCTGAAGCCTTTTGCCTATATAGGTCTTTCTGGAAGGCTTTGGTCTTTCCACTGTGTGCTCTGACACGGTGCAATAGTGAACTACTTATTTCACGGGGGATCTCCTGGGCCAGAGGACATCAAAATGTAACATTTGGTAGTGGAGGTTGTAGTATGTTTCATCGCAGCCTCATGCTCTGGATCAACCGCAGAATGTTGCATCTGGCCTACTACGGTCACTGTGAAGCGACCTGGACAAACTGTGTGTGGCTTTTCTAGGAGCAATCACCTACTTGAGTCTTTTCTGGGAAAACTATTGTTTCCTAGTACCTGCTTATTCAACTCTCTTTAGTTTACCTTTTGAGTGTGATTTCTCTCCTATCAGAACTCAAATGAAGAGTAGAGGGTGAATTAGAGGGGGTAAGATTGGAAGCAGAAAGACAGCTGGGTGGGCCCTTATGGGAGTCCTGTGTGACATGAGGGAGAAACTAGGAATGCATTCTAGTTATATTTAAGACAATAGATTGTGTAATACATAAAGTCAATCTCTTTTTCAGGAACTTTCAATGAATTGTAAACTCAGCGTTGCTTAGGACACTGGGGTCAGGGAAGGAGGGTCAAAAAGAAAAGATGTGTTGTCCTGATCATAGAAGACTATTACGGGGACATAACTTGCCCCAAACTTGCCCCATCTCTTGCCCCAGAATTATTTGTTAATTCTCTGCATGCTTCTAGAGCTCATAGAGGCAGTGGAGAAAGCTTCTAGAGCTCGTAGAGGCAGTGGAGAAAACATGCAGGTTCTGGTAGCCAGCTCCCTGAGTTAGCATCCTGGTTCCTTATTATTTAGCTCAGTGATGTTAGCAAGACTTAATCTCCCTGTGCCTCAGTGTTCTCATCTTTGTAGTGGGGATACGACTAGTACCTTTCAGTTTAGCAGTTCTGAGGAGTAAATGAATTGCTACACATAAGGGTTTTAGAACTATTCTGGCACATATTAAAGACAAAACAAATATGGGCAATCATTATTATCTACTCATCCATGGTCATTACAAACAGGATGGACACAGAGTCTAGATGCAAGGACAAAAATGAGAAAATGAGGAAGGTGGTAACTCATTCTGCTTCTTTGCCTCTGCATGTGGTTTGGAACCTACAACCATGTACAAAGAGAACATGTGGAAGTCATTATCCAGACAGTCTCATTTCCTTTTTTGATACAGTTACCAGACTGACGGATTGGGAACAGCTTTGGAAGCAGAGAGCCTTGGTTTTAAAAAGGCATCTGAGAGGATTGTCCCTTGGGTCAGTTCAAATCTCTCCCTCTCGGGAAGTTTCCAGAGCACCTGCAGTAGGGTTATTCTCTACCTACATTACACACAAGATACCTTGAGAACTTATCCTCTTCAGCAGGGAAGTCAATTTGTCCTTTAGCAGGGTCATTTATATCTGTGCATGATGTACCCCTAAACTATGAACTGCTGGAGATCATTGTCTACTGATATGTAATGAGCAGTCAGTGCAGTGCAGGGGTTAACACAAGCAGCCTAAGCTTTAAAGTCAAACCACCATGACTTCAAATGCTTGTTCTGTCACTCATCAGGGTATGCTCTTGAACAAGTTACCTAGTCTCACAGTTTTAATTCCTTCATCTGTGAACTCGAGCTAGTAATGCCTTTGTTACTATGAAAGCTCACTAATTGACCACTTACTTTGTTACAAGTGAGGTCTCACATCACTCCATGAGAGAGGTAGATTCATTATTACCATTTTACAAAGATGGATAAATTAAGGCACAGAAAAGTGTATAGCAAAGCTCACCCAAGTTTACACAGTAAGTGGTGCAGTCAGAATCTGGCCCCAGGCAGCTGGAGCATCAAGCTTGTATTTCTAACCATTGCACTACACAGCTTCACAGATAGGCTGTGCCTAGTTTATGACAGATGCTTAGTGAATTTGCTCCTTGAACAAAGGCTTACTAAGTTCTTAGGACATGCCTGGTACTAGATGCTGGACACAGAGCAGTGATGATCCATTGAAGGTCTATGATCTCATAGACCTTACCTTACAGTGGCTAAGATAGACAATAATCAAATAAGAAACAAAATAAAGAACTATAGATTGTAATTAGTACACTGAAGAAAATAAACAGCGAGGAAATAGACAAGATTTGGATAGTAGAGAAGACTTAGTGCAATATCTTGGAGTGAGTAGGGACTCATCTTTATTGATTTTAAATATTCATGGAAAAGAGTAATTTTTGGCAACCGTAAAGAGCTAGGTAGATTTACCACTTGTAAACTAACCCCTTCCAAAGAATGCTGATCAGTACACTGCTGTAAGTTTGGAGACAGTGCTTATTCTGGTCAGGCCCTGAAACATCTTTAAAAATTATATCTGGTTTAATACCATACAGAAATGATGAGATTCGATTTTTGAGAGATGCAAATATTCAAATCAGACAGAGTAGAAATGATAGAGAAACATTCACTTTCTTTTGCAAAATATTATGGAAATCTTTTATTTTAAAGGTACACAAACATAGGATTTTATATTGAAAAGCCCCACTATTTCTAAACTACACCTTCTATTTTGCTTCTTCATATTTCAATGGTTAGCTAAGAATACACAGACTATCCTTACTAGCCAAGTCTCCTTTTTGGAGCCTCAACATTGGTTCCAAGGTAGGTAAAATGTTCCAAGTGCTTTCAACAAATGATTTCTCATCCACACACCAAATAATTGATGAAGAAAGAAAAACCACAATATTTGGTGTCATACAACAATAATCATAAACATGTAGCATGCATACCAGCAACTTTCCGTTTTCTATTCCTTTAACTTGGCCCCAGGTCCACAGGCTCTGAATTCCTGGGAAAGGATGTTATCTTAATAACAATGGCCTCAGAAATTTGACACCAGCTAGTATCTTATGCAGAAGTCAAATGCTAACTTCAAAAAATGTTAGTGAGTTTTGTTGAGTTCTAGGTATGCACCACTATGAATGAATTTGTATTTTATTAGCAGATAAACTCTTTGCATATTTTTAACATGCTAGAATTTGTTCCAGAATTGAGTATTTGAAGTGATGCAGAATACAGAATACTGAAAGAGAATTATAAAAGGCTTGGCTATGGAACAAAGCAAATGGAGTGAGAAAAGAACTCAGGAAGAATTAGGAGGCCTATTTGTCAGAGCTGGTTCTGTCACTGACTAGTTGTGTCATTTTGGACAGTCCTTTACACATTCCAGTCTTCTTACATACTCTAGGATTCAACTTTTCTCTTCGCAAAATGAAGACATAGAACAACATAAAAGGTTGCATCCTTGTTCCATAGTAAAAACCTAACTGTTGACTTTTGTGTTATGGCTTTGTTTTTTTGTCAGTTAAAACTTTATTTTTTTTTTGAGTTTTTATGATTATATTTTAAAAAAAATTTTAATCATATACAAAGATTGTAAAAATAGTACAAAGGACTCTCGAATAATAGAGATTCACCAATGGTTATGTTATCTTTGAATCATTTGGGAGTAAGCTGGAGAAATCACGCTTTTTTATCCTAATAGTTTCAGTATATTTCCTCAGGACAAGAAAATTCATATATACAACCACAGTATGCTTATCAAAATTATTTGCACTATTATTGTCATCAAATTCTATCCTTGTATTCTATAAGCCTAATGAATAACAGCTTTATAGTTTTTTCCTAATGTAATAATTTTTTAAAACAAGATAGTTATAAGCATGAATTTATATTCTTTTATATTTTTTATGTAGTTACCTTTATTGATGATATATATCTCTTCATAGGGATTTATGTTACTATATAATGTAATTTTGGCCTGAAAAACTCCCTTTAGTGCTTTCTGTACAGCAGATCTGTTAGAAATAGATTTTCTGTTTTTGTGAACTTGAAAATTTCTTAATTTATTTTTTACATTTATTTTTTAATTGACAAATAAAAATTATATATATTCATGTTATATAACAATTATTTTAAATTCCTATAGCTTTATTGGTAGAGTTTCTGGCTATCACATCTTATAAAAGAAGGGTACCTAGACATAGAATTGTTAATTGACAAGAATTTGGCTTCCATTGTTCCTAATAACAAGTCAACTCTTAATCTTATTGAAGGTCCCTTGATACTTTTCCTTCTGCTGTCCTCAAGATCTTATCTTTGTCTTTGATTTTTGTTGATGTGACTATTTTTTTTAGGTGTGGTTATCTATGAATTTAATCTACTTGAAGTTTGTTGAAATTCTTAGATGAAGCCTCAGATTTGGAAAGTATTTGGTCATTATCTCTTCAAATATTTTTCTCTCTTTTCTTTTTCTCTTCTCCTTATATAATTCCCATTATGTGTATGTTAGCACACTTTTTGGGGGGCTGGGGGTGGGTGTCACTCTATCACCTAAGCTTGAGTGCAGTGAGGTAATTATAGCTCACTGCAACATAGAACTTCTGGGTTCAAGTAACCCTCCCATGTCATCTTTCTGAGTAGCTAAGGTAAAAGGCACATACCACTAAGCCAAACAATTTTTTTTTAATCTGTAGAGATGAGGTCTTGCTATATTGCCCAGGCTGGTCTCAAAATCCTGGGCTCAAGTGATCCTCCTGCCTTGGCTTCCCAAAGTACAGGTATTACCAGCATGAGCCACCATATCCAGCTCACTTGATGGTGCCCCATACATCCCTGATGCTCTATTCATTTTAATTCATTCTCATTTCTGCACCTCAAACTAGATAATTTCTATTGATTTATCTTCAAGTTTGTTGATCCTTTCTTCTATTTGCTCTGACATGTTGTTGAATTACTTTGAAGTTCCATAGTTTCTTCTACATAGATACTAGTTTTTATCTGTAACTTTCACTTCAGAATTTTGAAAGAGTGGATTTTAGTTATTTTGCCTGTATTTTTCTTGTCATAGTATGAAAGCAATTTCATCAGGTATATTAGTCCATTTTCACACTGCTATAAAGACATGCCTGAGACTGGGTAATTTATAAAGAAAAGAGGTTTAATTGACTCACAGTTCCGCATGGCTGGGGAGGCCTCAGGAAACTTACAATCACGGCAGAAAGCGAAGGGGAAGCAAGGCATGTGTTACATGGTGGCAGGAGGGTGGAGGGAAATGTCAAATACTTTAAAACCATCAGTTCTCAAAAGAACTCACTCACTATCACGAGAACAGTATGGGGGAAACTTCCCCAATTATCCAATCACCTCCTACCAGTCCCTCCCTCAACATGTGGGGATTACAACTTGAGATGAGATTTGGGTGGGGACACAGAGCCAAACCATATCACTCTGCCCTTTCCCCTCCCAAATCCCATGCTCTTCTTATATTTCAAGACCAATCCTGCTTTCCTAATAGTCCCCCAGAGTTTAATTCATTCCACCATTAACTCGAAAGTACAAGTTCAAAGTTTCATCTGAGATAAGGCAAGTCTCTTCTGCCTATGAGCCTGTAAAATCAAAAACAAGTTAGTTCTTTCCAAGATACAATGAAGGTGTAGGCATTGGGTAAATGTTCCCATTCCAAATGGGAGAAATTGGCTAAAACAAAGGGACCATAGGCCCCATGCAAGTCTGAAGCCCAACAGGGCAGTCATTAAATCTTAAAGCCCCAACATAATCTTCTTTGACTCCATGTCTCACATCCAGGGTATGCTGATGAAAGAGCTGGTTTCCCAAGGCCTTGGGTAGCTCTGCCCCTGTGGCTCCGTGGGGTACACCCCCTGTGGATGCTTTCTTGGGCTGGCATTGAGTACCTGTGGCTTTTTCAGGTGCATGGTGCAAAATGTAAGTGGATCTACTATTCTGTTCTCTAGGGGAGAGTGGCGCTCTTCTCACAGTGATGCTAGGCAGTGCCCCAGTGGGGACTTTGTGTGGGGGCTCCAACCTCACATATCCACTCTGAATGGCCCTAGTAGAGGTTCTCCATGAGGGCTCTGATCCTTCAGCAGATTTCTACCTAGACATCCAGACATTTCCATACATCCTCTGAAATCTAGGCAGAGGCTCCCAAAGCTCAACTCTTGTCTTTTGCACACCCACAGGCCCAGCACCACATGGAAGCCACTGATGCTTGGGAGTTGCAGTCTTTGAAGCCACAGCTCAAGCTGCACCTTGGCTCATTTTAGCCACAGCTGGAGCTGGAGTGGCTTGGATGCAGGGCACCAAGTCCTGAGGCTGCACATAGGAGTGGGATGCTGGGACTAGCCCACGAAACCATTTTTGCCTCCTAGGCCTCCAGGCCTGTGATAGGAGGGGCTGCCATGAAGATCTCTGTCATGCCCTGGAGAAATATTTTTTCATTTTCTTGGCTATGAACATCTGGACTCCTTCTTACTCAAATTTCTGCAGCAGGCTTGAATTTCTACCCAGAAAATGGGTTTTTCTTTTCTACTGCATGGTCAGTCTGCAAATTTTACAAACTTTTATGAACTGCTTCCCTTTTAAATATAAGTTCCAATTTCAAATCATCTTTTTTGTGAACACATACAACTGTACTCTTTCAGAAAAAGCCAAGTCACCCCTTGATACTTTGTTGCTTAGAAATTTCTTTGGCCAGATACCCTAAATTATCTCTCTCAAGTTCAAATTTCCACAGATCTCTAGAACAGGGTAAAATGCTGCCAGTCTCTTTGCTAAAGCATAGCAAGAGTCACCTGTACTCTAGTTCCCAACAAGTTCCTCATCTCTATCTGAGACCATCTCAGCCTGGACTTTATTGCCCATATCACTATCAGCATTTTGGTCAAAGACATCCAACAAGTCTCTAGGAAATTCCAAAGTTTCCCACATCTTCATGTCTTCTTCTGAGCCCTCCAAACTGTTCTAACCTGTGCCTGTTACCCAGTTCTAAAGTGCTTCCACATTTTCAGGTTATCTTGAAAGTAGTGCCCTGCTCCCAGTACCAATTTCCTGTATTAGTCAATTTTCACGCTGCTATAAAGACATACCTGAAACTGGGTAATTTATAAAAGAAAGAGTTTTAACTGACTCAATGTTCCACATGGCTGAGAGGACTCAGGAAACTTACAATAATGGCAGAAAGCAAAAGGGAAGCAAGTCATCCTACATGGCAACAGGAGAGAGAGAGCAGGGGAACTGCCAAACAATTTTAAACCCTCAGATCTTGTGAGAACTTCCTCACTAACATGAGAACAGCATGGGAGAAACCACCCTCATAATACAATCACCTCCCACCAGGATCCTCCCTCAACACATGGGGATTACAATTCGAGATGAGATTTGGGTGGGGATACAAGCCAAACCATATGGCCAGAGTTCACACTTTTCTTTTCTGGATGTTGATCTTTATATGTTTCTTCTTGAGAAAGATTTGATAGTTTGTGTCTTTCTAGGAATTTGTTTATTTTATTTAAGTTGTCAAATTTATGGACATAAAGTTGATGTAGCATTTTCTTTCCATGCTTTTAATATTTGTATGCTCTACAGAGATGCCTGCTTTTTCATTTTGATATTTGTAATTTGTGTCTTATCTCTTTTTCTTTTTTCTTGATCATTCTGGCTACAGTTTTAGCCAAAGAATGACCTATTGGTCTTATTTTTTTTCGGTATTATCCTTTTTTGTTTCCATTTTTATTACTTCTCTTAAAAATTGTTCTTGTATTTCTGCTTCCTTTTGTTTTAATTTGTTCTTGCTAGGTCCTTAAGATGGAAACTTAGATTACTGTTCTTTGACTTTTATTATTTTCCAATATCGTGCTATATATTCCCTCCAAGTAAGTCAGTATTGTTTTCTAATTTCAGATATTGTTTTCCTAATTCTAGAATTTTGATTTATTCATTTTTATATTGTTTATCTTTCTCAGGGGAGATTCCCATTCTTTCCAATTATCATGAACATGTTTCCTTTCTGTCCTCAAGTATAATTATAACAGCTACTCTGAAATATCTGTCAGCTAATTATAACATCTGGGTCATTTTATTTTGGCCTTTATAGTTATATAGTTTTAGTTATATAGTTAACTTTCTTATGATTTGTCATATACAGATGACAAATAAGGTTATATAAAAAGGTTTTACATTATACATCATCAGGGAAATGCAAATTAAAACTACAATGAGATACCACTATACAATTATTAGACTGGCTGAAATCCAGAATACTAACAACATCAAATTCTCCAAAAATACATGGCAACAAGAGTGCTCGTTCATTGCTCGTGGGAAGGCAAAATGTTCCAGGCACTTTGAAGGACAGTTTGGTGGTTTCTTAAAAGATTAAACACACTCTTCCTGTACTATACTACACTATACTATGCTATGCTATACCATTACTAGCAATAATGTTCCTTGGTATTTATGCAAAGGTGTTGAAAACCTATTCCCATACAAAAACTTGCACATGGATGTTTATAGAGGCTTTAATCATAATAACCAAAACTTGAAAGCAATCAAAATGTCCTTTAATAAGTGAATTGATAAACTGTAGTATATCCATTCAGTGGGATGTTATTTAGTGATTAAAAGAAGTAAGCTATTAAGCCATAAATAGACATGGTAGAAACTTAGATGCATAATACTAGATGAAAAAAAGCCAGTCTGAAAATGATAATATGCTATATGATTCCAATTACAGTCATACACTGCATAATGACATTTCAGTCAAGCAACTGGGCGCATATATTCCTGCTGTTGTGTATACCATAAGGTTATAATAAACTGAAAAATTTGTATCACTTAGTGACATTGTAGCTGTCTTAACATTGTAGTGCAGTTTATTATTTTGTATAGATTTAGTGTAGCCTAAGTGTACAGTGTTTATAAAGTCTACAGTAGTGTATAGCAATGTCCTAGGCTTTTCACATTCACTCACCACTCACAGACTGACTCACTCAGAACAACTTTCAGTCCTACAAGCTTCATTCATGATATGTATCCTATACAGATGTACCATTTTTTATCTTCTATACTATAATTTTACTGTTTAGATATGTTTAGATACACAAATATTTACCATTGTCTTATAATAGTCTAAATAATTCAGTACATACTATTGCATACTACACAGGTTTGTAGCCTAGGAACAATAGGCTATATCATAAGCCTGGGTGTGTGGTAGGGTATAACATTCAGGTTTGTGTAACTATATGCTATGATGTTTGCACATGAAAGTCACCTAACAATGCATTTCTTAAAACCTGTCTCTGTTGTTAAGCAGCAAATGGCTGCATATTTAATTCTGGAAAACTCAAAGCTATAGAGGCAATAAAAAGGTTAGTGGTGTGCAGGAGTTAGGGGATACAGAGACGAATAGGTGGAGCACAGGATATTTTTAGGTCAATGAAAATACTCTGCTTTACAGTATATTGGCAAATACATGTCATGATACTTTTCTCTAACCCACAGAATATGCAACACCAAGAGTAAACTCCAATGTAAACTATAGAGTCTGGGTGACAATGATGTGTCAATGTAGTTTCATCAATTGTAACAAATGTACCACTAGATGGGGGATGTTGATAATTGAGGAGGTTATGAATGTGTGGGGGCAGGAGGAGATCTTTGAACCTTTCTTTAAATTTTTTTGTGAACCTAAAAGTTCCTTAAAAGATGAAATCTTTAAAAAATATCAGGAATGGTCATATTGGTTAAAAAGCAGAGCACAAGCATGTGTTGCTTATAAGAAAACCATGTTAAATATAAACAGAAACATAGGTTAATGTTCAAGTGATTAAAAATTACATACCTTGCTAACGGTAATAGGAAGAAATTTTGAGTGGCTACAATTAATGTAATCTAAATATATTTCAAAGCAAAGAATATTGCTAGTGATTAAGAAACATTTCATAATGACAAAAGTGTCAATTTATTAAAAAGTCACAAAAATTCTAAAGAAAAGCCCAAAATAAAATACATGATGCAAAATTAATAGATATATACAGGGATACATAAATAAATACAAAATAATAGTTAGAGATTTTACCACTCCTTCCTCAATAATTAATAAAATTAGTAGATACAAAACATTAAGAATATATAAATTAGAATAAATAAACAAATAAGAATAGATAAAACTTGAGCAATTTTCTCAACCAACTTAACCAAATTGATACTTATAAAACATTCCACTAAGCACCAGCAAAGAACAATTTTTTTCAAGTGCCCATACAACTTTTACCTAGGTAGACCATATAATGAAAGATAAGTTCAATAAATTTAAATATATTTAAGTAATACAAGGTATGTTTTCTGATGACAACTGAATGATTTTAGGTGTCAATAGCAGGAAGATATTCAGAAAATTATAAAACATTAGGAAATAACATTTTTTGTTTGTTTGTTTCTGAGACGGAGTCTCGCTCTGTTGCCCAGGCTGCAGTGCAGTGGCACAATCTCGTCTCACTGCAACCTCTGCCTCCTGGGTTCAAGTGATTCTCCTGCCTCAGCCTCCCGAGTAGTTGGGACTACAGCTGCATGCCACCACGGATGGCTAATTTTTTCGTATTTTTAGTAGAGACGGGGTTTCACCGTGTTAGTCAGGATGGTCTCGATTTCATGACCTCCTGATCCGCTCACCTCGGCCTCCCAAATTGCTGGGATTACAGGCGTGAGCCACCGCACCCGGCCCAAAATAACACTCTTATAAATAACAAATAGGTTTGAAAAGAACCCAAAAGGTTAGAAAGTATTCTGAAATTAGTAGAAACACAACATATCAAAATTTATTGAATATAGCCAAAGCAGTACTTAAGAAAAATCTTATAACAAACATCTTTATTAGTAATTGATGAAGATGTCAATCAATCACCTCTGATTACAACTCAAGAAAGTAGGAAAAAATCAAATTAAACACAAAGTAAGCAGAAGAAAGAAAATAACAAATATCTTAGAGAAACATAATAAAATAGAAGATAGAAAATCGATGAAACCAAAAACTGCTTCTTTGAGAAGAGCAATACAATTTACAAACTTCTTATAATTACAAGGAAAAGTAAAAACATATTAACAGTACCAGAAAAGAGAGATGTGACCTCTTTAACAGATTTTACAAATATTAAAATGTTAATAAGAAAAATTATGAACAATTGCATGCAAATAAATTCAACAACTTGGAATTTCTTGCAAGACAGAAAATATCAAACTTATTCAACAGGAAATAAATTAACTGAATAAAACTATATCTATTAAAGTAATTGAATAAACTGTTAAAAACGTTTCCACATAATAAAATTTAGGTCTAGATAGCGTTAATTGGGGAAATCATACCAAACATTTAAGGTAGAATTAACAACATCTTCCAGAAAACTGGAGAAGGGAGCATACTTTCCAACTCATTCTATGAGGCCAGTATTAGACAGATAATCAGACAGTGATATTACAAGAAAGAGAAACTACAGAATAATATCTCTGATAAAATAGATGCAAAATTGTTAATACAATTTTAGAAAATAAAGTGCACTTATATGAAATAATAAATCATGATCAATTGGGATTTATACCAGGAATTCAAGAATGGTTCTCCATTAAAAAAATCAATGTAAGTCATCATATTACTAAATTTAAAAAGAAAAACACAATTATGTCAATAGATGGAGAACAAACATTTGACAGAATCCAAAGTTTATTCTCATAAAAATCTCTTGGCACACTAAAAATAGAAGAGAACTATCTTAATCTGAGAAAGGACAATTACCAAAATCTACAGTTAATATCACACTTAATTACAAAAGACTGAATGCTTTTGTCTCAAGGTTAGGAATAAGGGAAACTGCTCTCAGCCCTTCTTTTCAACATTTTCAACATTCATTTCTACTTACTGGTGATGGTTGTAACCAGTCAGATAAGGAACAAAAACAAATAAAAGTAATCAGATTAAAAAGGAAGAACTAAAATTTTCTTTAATCTTAAGCAACATAGTCATCTTTATAAATAATCAAATGGAATCTACAAAAATCTATTATAAATAATAATCGAATATAGCAGCATGCAAGATACAAAAATAATGCACAAAAATCATATGTATTTCTATAAATTAGCAGCAAACACTCAAAAATTGAAATTAAAACTAACATTTATATAGTATAAAAATAGACATTCTTAGGGACAAATCTAACAAAAGATGTACAAGACAAGGTACAATGAAAACTACAAAACATCGTTGAGAGATTAAAAAGACCTAAATACATGTAGATAGATTGCATATTTATGGATCAAATGATAACTGTGGGTGAATATTTCAATACTTTCTAAACTGATCTATAGATTCAATGCAATTCTAATCAAAATTCAAGCATGTCAGTTCAAGATAGGAATTGATAAGCTAATTCTAAAATTCATATGGAAATTCAAAGGACCTAAAATAGCCAAAACAACTTTGGAAAAGAAGAATGTATTTGATGGATTTATACTATCTGACTTCATGATGTATTATTAAGCTAAATTAGTGAAGATGATATGATATTGCCATCAAGGTAGACAATTAGGTTAATGGGACAGAACAGAGTTCAAAAATTGACCCACCCAATGTGGATAATAGATTTTCAACAAAGTTACAAAAGCAATCTAATGGAGGAAAAATTTTCTTCAACAAAAATACTGGAAATATTAGATATGTGTATGCAGGAGAATAAACTTTGATCCATATTTTACGCCATATATGAAAATTCAGTCAAAATATAGGATAAACATAAATGTAACACCTAAAAGTATAAACTTTCCAGTAGAGAACATAAAAAAAGTATTTGTGGTCTTGAGTTACGCAAAAATTTCTTTGATGCAACATAATGAAAGAAAAGAAACAATAAATTGGATTTCACCAATATTAAAAAGGTCCACCCTTTGAAAGATGTTGTGAAGAGAATAAACAGACAAGACACAGACTGACATAATTGTAAATTACATATATAATAATGGACTTTTTTCCATACTGTAGAACAATCTTTCAAAATTCAAATGTAAGGGAAGAAACTGCCTGATTTAAAAAGGACAGTAGTTTTGAATAACGTTTTATTAAAGAAGTTTTATAATCGGTAAATAAGAACATGAAAAGATGCTCAACATTATTAGTCCTTAAATACACAGAAACATGGATAAATCTCAAAATAATTATGCTGAGTTAAGTAAGCAAGGCAAAAATCAACATACACTATGATTCAATTTCTATAAATCTCTGGACAACACAAACTAATATATAGTGACAGAAAACAGATTAGTAGCATGAGGGCTGGGGATAAGAGAGGCACAGGCAGGAGGCATGGATTACAATAAGACTTTAAGAAACTTTTGGGGATGTTATAAATATCTATCTTGATTGTGGTCATAATTTCATAATTGTATACATATGTCAAAACTTATAAAATATTACATTTTAAATATATGCAGCAATTATATCTCAATAAAATTGTTAAAATATATCAATATATTTAACTAAATACAAACATCAATAAATAAATATGATAGATGTCCAAGACTCCAAAATATAAATAACAAAACACATTTGAGAGAAATTAACTTGAATCTAAATAAAGTGGAAAGGTATACTAGGTTCATAAATTGGAAGACTTAATAGTGTTCAGATGTGAATTTCTCCCTTAGGTAATCTATAGATTCAATACGAACCATAAAATGTCTGTGTGTGTGTGTGTGTGTGTGTGTGTGTGTATACACACACACATAGATATATATGGGGGGTATAAATTGACAAGCTATTTTTAAAATGTCTGTGATAATGTTAAGATGTAGAACAACCACAAACAGTTTGAATATGAAAGTTGCCGTACCTGATTTCATAATTTACTGGAAAGCTGCAGTAATTATGACAATGTGGTAGTGACACAAAGGGAGATAATGGACACTTTGAATAGAAAAGTCTAGAAACAGACTTTCTTATAGGGTCACTGGAATAATGAGAAAAGTGTCACTGTAGTTCAATGAGGAGATAATTTTTGTCTAGTTAACAAAATCAGTCAGAAATAAGCATTTTCACCTCTGCTTCAAGATTCAATGATCACAGACTTAAATGTGAAACGCAAATCAGTAAGAGTTTTAGAGTAAAATGTAGGGGAACACTGATAATCTTTGAGCAGGCTATAATTTCTTAAGCAGAACATAACAATAAACATTAAAAAACATTGATCAATTGGACAATAATTTGGGTCAATAACATTAATGATTAAAATTAATAATACTGTTTATTAAAAGACAGCATTAGAAGAGTGATAAGGTCAACTACATACTAGAAAAATATCTGCAAATATTCAACCTTAGACTTATGAAAAGACTTTATCAGGGAATTTCTACACATCAGTGAGAAAGTAGAAGAGCAATGGGAAGAAAACTGAAAAGATACTTCACAAAAAAACAAAATATACATATAAAAGAATGGCTGTTATTAAGTCAAAAAAAACAATAGATCTTGGAATAGATGTGGTGTGTATTACTTCATTTTCAAACTGCTGATAAAAACATACCCCAGACTGGATAATTTACAAAGAAAAAGAGGTTTAATGGACTCATAATTACATATGGCTGGGGAGGCCTCACAATCATGGCAGAAGGTGATAATGAAAGGGGTTTCCCTTTACAAAAGCAACAGATCTCATGAGACCTAACACTACCATGGGAAGAGTATGGTGAAAACCAGTCCCATGATTCAATTATCTCCCACAGGGTCCTTCCCATGACATGTGGAAATTATGGGATTCAAGATGAGATTTGGGTGGAGACACAGCCAAACCATATCATTCTGTCTCTGGCCCTTCCCAAATCTCATATCCTCACATTTCAAAATGAATTATGCCTTCCCAACAGTCCCCCAAAGTCTTAACTCATTTCAGCATTAACTCAAAAGTCCACAGTTCAAAGTCTCATTTGAGACAAAGCAAATGTACTTTCCAGCCTCTGCATATTACCCAGTTCCAAAGTGGCTTCCACATTTTCAGGTATCAATAAAGCAGTTCCCCACTCTACCAGTAGCAATTTACTGTATTAGTCTGTTCTCATGCTGCTAATAAAGACATACCTGAGACTGGGTAATTTACAAAGCAAAAGAGGTTTATTGGACTTGGAGTTCCATGTGGCTTCAGAAGCCTCACAGTCATGGTGGAAGGTAAAAGGCATGTCTTACATGGCAGTAGAAAAGACAGAATGAGAGCCACGCAAAAGTGAAAACCCCTTATAAAAATATCAAATCTCATGAGACTTATTCACTACCATGGGAACAGTATAGGGGATACCACCCCCATGATTAAATTATCTTCCACCAAGTCCCTCCCACAACATGTGGGAATTATGGGAGCTACAATTCAAGACAAGATTTGGGTGGGGACACATCCAAGCCATATCATGGAGAAAGGTGAATACTTATACACTCTTGTTAGGAATGTAAATTAGTCGAACTTTTATGGAAAATAGTATGGAGATTCCTTAAAGAACTAAAAGTAGATCTACCATTTAATCCAGCAATCTCACTACTGAGTATCTACCTGATATGGTTTGGCTCTGTGTCCCCACCCAAATCTCATCTTGTGGCTCCCATAATTCCCACGTGTTGTGGACGGGACCTGGTGGGAGATAACTGAATCATGGGGGCAGGTCTTTTCTGTGCTGTTCTCATGATAGTGAATAAGTCTCATGAGACCTGATGGTTTTAAAAATGATAGTTTCTCCACACAAGTTCTCTCTTTGCCTGCTGCCATTCACATAAGATGTGACTTGCTCCTCTTTGCCTTCCACCATGATTGTGAGGCCTCCCCAGCCATGTCGAACTGTAAGTCCAATAAACCTCTTTCTTTTGTAAATTGCCTAGTCTCAAGGATGTCTTTATTATCAGCATGAAAACAGGTTAAAATAGTACATTGGTACTGAGAGTGGGTGCTGCTGAAAAGATAACTGAAAATGTGGAAGCGACTTTGGAACTGGGTAACAGGCAGAGGTTGGAAAAGTTTAGAGGGCTCAGAAGAAGACAGGAAAATGTGGGAAAGTGTGGAACTCCCTAGATACTTGTTGAATGGTTTTAACCAAAATGCTGATAATGATACAGGCAATGAAATCCAGGCTGAGGTGGTCTCAGATGGAGATAAGGGACTTGTTGGGAACTGCAGTAAAGATGACTCTTGTTATGTTTTATCAAAAAGATTGGCAGCGGTGACTCTTGTTATGTTTTAGCAAAAAGACTGGCAGCATTTTGCCCCTGCCCTAGAGATCTGCAGAACTTTGAACTTGAGAAAGATGATTTAGGGTATCTGGTGGAATAAGTTTCTTCCTTCCTTCCTTCCTTTCTTCCTTCCTTCATTCATTCATTCCTTCCTTCCTCTCTCTCTTTTTCCTTCCTTCCTTCCTTTCTCTCTCTCTCTCTTTCTTTCTTTCTTTCTTTTTTTCTTCTTTTTTGGAGTCTCACTCTGTCATCCAGGCTGGAGTGTAGTGGTGTGATCTCGGCTCACTGAAACCTCCACCTCCTGGGTTCAAGCAATTCTCCTGCCTCAACCTCCTGAGTAGCTGGGATTACAGGTGCCTGCTACTATGCCTGGCTAATTTTTTTTTTTTTTTGTATTTTTAGTAAAGACAAGGTTTCACCATGTTGGCCAGGCTGGTTTCAAACTCCTGACCTCAAGTGATCTGCCTGCCTCAGTCTCCCAAAGTGCTGGGATTACAGGCATGGGTGGAAAAAGTTTCTAAGCAGCAAAGCATTCAAGATGTGACTTGCGTGCTGTTAAAGGCATTCAGTTTTATAAGAGAAGCAAACTATAAAAACTCAGAAAATTTGCAGCCTGACAATGCAAAAGAAAACTTCCTTTTCTGAGGAGAAATTCAAGCCAGCTGCAGAAATTTGCATAAGTAAAAAGAAGTTGAATGTTAATCCCCAAGACAATGGGGAAAATATCTCCAGAGCCTGAAAAAGGTCTTCATGGCAGCATCTCTCATCACAGACCCAGAGGCCTAGGAGGAAAAAGTGGTTTCATGGGCCAGGCCCAGAGTCCCCATGCTGTGTGCAGCCTAGGGACTTGGTGCCCTGCGTCCCAACTTCTCCAGCCATGTCTGAAAGGGGCCAATGTAGAGCTCAAGCTGTGGCTTCAAGGGTGCAAGCCCCAAGCCCTGCCAGCTTCCATGTGGTGTTGAGCCTGCCAGTGCACAGAAGTCAATAATTGGAGTTTGGGAACCTCCACCTAGATATCAGAAGATGTATGGAAATGCCTGGAGGTCTAGGCAGAAGTTTGCTGCAGGGGTGGGGCCCTCATGGAGAACCTCTGCTAAGGCAGTGTGGAAGGGAAATGTGGGGTTGAAGCCACCACCCAGAGACTCTACTGGAGCACCATTGAGTGGAATTGTGAGAAGAGGGCCACCGTCCTCCAGACCCCAGAATGGTAGATCCATCAACTGCTTGCACTGTGTGCCTGGAAAAGCTGCAGACACTCAATGTTAGCCCATGAAAGCAGCCAGGAGGGGGACTATACCCTACAAAGCCACAGGGACAGAGCTGCCCAAGGCTGTGGGATCCTACCTGTTGCATCAATGTGACCTGGGTGTGAGACCTGGAGTAAGAGGAGATTATTTTGGAGCTTTAAGATTTTACTGCCCTGCTGGATTTCAGGCTTGCATGGGATCTGTAGCCCCTTTGTTTTGGTCAATTTATCCCATTTGGAATGAGTGTATTTACCCAATGCCTGTGCCTCCATTGTATCTAGGAAGTAACTAACTTGCTTTTGATTTTACAGGCTCATAGGCAGAAGGGACTTGCCTTATCTCCGATGAGACTTTGGACTGTAGATGTTTGAGTTAATGCTGAAATGAGATAAGACTTTGGGGGACTGTGGGGAAGGCAAGATTGGTTTTGAAATGTGAAGATATGAGATTTAAGGGTGTCATGGGCGAAATTATATGATTTGACTCTGTGTCCCCACCCAAATCTCATCTTGTAGCTCCCATAATTCTCACGTGTTGTGGGAGAGACCCAGTGGGAGATAACTGAATCATAGGTGCAGGTCTTTCCAGTGCTATTCTTATGATAATGAATGGGTCTCATGATATCTGATGGTTTTAAAAACGGGAGTTTCTCTGCACAAGCTCTCTCTTTGCCTGCTTCCATCTATGTAAGATGTGACTTGAACCTCCTTGCCTTCTACCCTGATTGTGAGGTCTCTCCAGCAATGTGGATCTGTAACTCCAATAAACCTCTTTTGTTTTTTTAAATTGCCCAGTCTTGGGTGTGTCTTTATAAGCAGCATGAAAACAGACTAATAAACTACCCAAGGGAAAAGAAGTAATTATATGAAAAAGACACACGCACACATGTTTATTGCAGAACAATCTGCAATTGCAAAGATATAGAACCAACCTAAGAGCCCATTGACCAATGAGTAGCTAAAGAACCTGTGCTATATAAATAGGAAGATACATATTTCATCCCTTTTTATGGCTGAGTAAAATATATACATATATATATATCTTCCTATTTATGGCTGAATACTACTCACCATAAAACTGAATGAAATAACGTCTTTTGCAGTGATTTGGGTGGAGATGGAGGCCACTATTCTAAGTGAAGTAACTCATGAATGGAAAACCAAATACCATATGTTTTCACTTATAATTGGGAGCTAAGCTATGTGTACACAAAAGCATACAGAGTGATATAAAGGACTTTGGATACGCAGAAGAGGGAGGTTGGGAGGGGGTTGTGAGATAAAAGCTGCATATTGGATACAATGTACACTACTCAGGTGACGGGTGGACTAAAATCTCAAAATTCACCACTATATAATTCATCCATGTAACCAAAAACCACTGGTACACCAAAACCTATTGGAATATCTATCTATGTATCTATGTATCTATGCATCTATCTATGTATCTATCTATCTATCTATCTATCTATCTATCTATCTATCTATGTATCTATCTATCTATGTATCTATCTATCTATTTTCTGTATCTATCTATTTTCTGTATCTATCTATCTATCTATCTATCTATCTATCTATCTATCTATCTGGAAAGGTGAAAAGTGAGACAGAGCTTAAGTCATCAGACAAATAAGAAGAGGAATAATTTTAGACAAAGAGGATATTATGAAGATATATTTTGGAAGTAGAATTGAGTATGCACAGAAAGAACAGAGGTAGAGAAATCACTAAAAATGTTTAACAGCATACTTGAGCAAGAAGAAGGTTTAACCAGTGAACTTGAAGTCAGGTCATGCACAACTTTCCAGAGAAACAGAAGATAAAAAAAAGAACGAAACATAATAAAGAAAGCTTATGGGACTTAAGGGGCACTACCAACCTTATCAATAAATGCATGATCAGAGACACAGAAAGAGAAGAGAAAGAAAGAGGAACAAACAGTTATAAGAAATCATGGCTGAAAATTCAAATATGAAGGAAACTGACATCCAAATTCTGAAAGCCAAAGCTTCCCAAATAAGATAAATCTAAAGATGACAAAACCAAGATGCATTATAATTAAATTATCAAAAGTCAAAAAAAAAACTTTATTCCTTTTTTTTTTGGAGACAGAGTCTTACTCTGTCACCCAGGCTGGAATGTAGTGGGGTGATCTCAGATCACTGCAACCTCTGCCTCCTGAGCTCAAGCGATTCTCCTGCCTCAGACTCCTGAGTAGCTAGGACTACAGGTGCACACCACCATGCCTGGCTAATTTTTGTATTTTTGGTAGAGACAGGAGTCTCACCATATTTCCCAGACTGGTCTTGAACTCCTGAGCCTAGGTAATCCGTCCGCCTTGGCCTCCAAAAGTGCTGGGATTATAGGCATGAACCACTGAACCCAGATGAAAAATAATTTTAAAAGCAGTAAGTAGAAAGTGAGTTGTCACATGGAGAGAAATTCCATCAGAATATTACTGTATTTCTCAGCAGAAACCTTGCAGACCAGTAGGTAGTTGGATGATATACTGACAGTGTTGACAGAAAAACAAATACAAGAAATGCTAAATAAAGTACTTTAACCTGAAATGAAAGCACACTAAACATATGAAAGCCCATGAAAGCATAAACTTTGCTACTGAAGCTTAATATATAAGTGAATACAGAATATTCTAATACTATAATGGTGGGGTATAAATCACTTTTAATTCTGATGAATTTAAAAGACTAAAGTATAAGTATAACCGTCTAAAATATGTTAATGGATATCCAGTATAAAAACATAATTTTTTACGGGTGTGGTGGCTCATTTCTGGAATCCCAGCACTTTTGTAGGCCAAGGCAGGAAGATTGCTTGAGCCCAGGAGTTTGAGACCAAACTGGGAAACATAGTGAAACCTTGTCTGTACAAATAAAAAAAATTAGCAGGGCATAGTGGTGAACACTTGTGGTCCCGGCTACTCTGGAAGCTGAGATGGGAGGACTACTTGAACCTGGGAGATAGAGGCTGCAGTGAGGCGTGATTGCACTATTGCACTCAGCCTGGGGAACAGAGTGAGATACTGTCTCAACATAAATAAAATAAAATACAAAACATATAATTTGTGACATTAATAATATAAAGTGTGTGTAGAGAAGGAAAAGTGTAGAATGTTTGTATGTGATTGAAGTTATCATCTTAAAATAGATTGTTTTAAGTATAACATGTTTTATACTCAGCAGTAATCATAAAGAAAACGCTTATAGAAGATTCATAAAAGAAAATGAGAAAGAATTCGAAAGGTATCACTTTAAAAAATGAACCAGAAGAGAAGACATCAAGAGAGGAAAAGAGAGACAAGAGAGCTACAAACAGAAATAAAACAAGTAACACAATAACAAATATCCTTCCCTATCAATAATTAGAAAGAATCAGATCTGAGTAATATTAAGTGCCCTTTGCAATGCCTGCCACAGAATTCAGTAAACAGCAGTTTTCCACGCTTCCATGCCTAATTTTTCCCACTTTACATGTGCTAAGGAAAGGGAATGAATCTCACTCATTTTTTATTTGCAAGACTGGAAAAATGTCTAATCTCAAAAAAATATTTCTTGGATGAATAAAAGAGAAGCTCCAATTTATTAAAATCACTGCTCTTAGATAAGAACTAATTTTGGCCATAATTGTGGAAGGAAAGGGAATTAATTTAGCAGATTCATTTTCTGTGTTAAATCAGCTGCTGAACACTTTACCAATGTTTTGTCATTGAAGTCTTACAACAAATATATGAGATAAACATTAAAACATTTTTCTTAAGAGCACTCAGAAAATTTATAATTGCTCATTTTCACCTAAAATTTGTTTTTTATACTACCTGTGTTAATCTCATATTAGAATGTTTGATGGATATACTACCAGAACTCTAGTTCCATTTTGGAAAAATTATTTGAAATAAATGCCTTATTCACACAAAAAAATCATTAATCAATTGGACTTAAATTTGGATTAATAATTTTAATGTTATTAAAATTAAGCATTTTGTTTGTTAAAAGACAGTATTAAATGAGTGATAAGATCAACTACATGCTAGTATAATATATTTACAAACATCCAACCATAGACTTATGAACAGACTTTATAAGAGACTTCTACGAATCAATACAAAGGTAATACAACAACGGAAAAAAAAATACTTCATGAAAGAACAAAATATACATATGAAAAGTACACAAATTCACTATCAGAGAAATGCAAATAAAACCACAATAAGATACCTCTACACAACCAAGACGTTGGCAAAAAGAAAAGATCAGAACTTACCAAAGTTGGTGTGGGACAGGGTTTCTTAACTTTAGTACTCTTGAAATTTTTGGTTACATAATTATTGTGCGGAGCTGTCCTGTGCATTATAGGATGTTTAGTAGCATCTTTGACCTCTACTCACTAGATGCAACAGCAGCCCCTGCCCCCTCCCCCTGCCCAAGTAATGACAACAAAAAATGCTTCCAGATATTGCCAAATTCCCCTGGAAGCAGCAAGATTTTCCTCACTTCCTCTGACTGAGAACCATATGCACTGGTAGTGGAAGTGTAAATTGGCATCTACTTCAATATTATCTAACAAACCTCAATATGTGCATAACCTGTGATCCAAAACCTGGGTAGGTATTTTAGCCCAAAGATTAGTACAACAAGATTCACAGAAGCACTACTTCTAATAGCAACATACTGGAAACAATCTATAAGTTCATGAGTAGAGGAATGAATGAATCCATATGCATATAATGAGTATATACAGTAATGACATACACAGATCTCACAAACATGGTGTTTAGCAAAAGAGGCCAGGCTTATAAAGAATATAACATTTCAAAAATGGTCAAAACTAATGTATGGTATTAAAAGTGAGGATAGTGGTTATTCTTGGAGGGAGGAAGGTAATGACTAGGGGGGATGACAGGGAGGGTGCTTGGTTTTTCATCTGGTTTAACATTACAAGTATTTGTTCACTTAGTAAAAATTAATTGAGCCTTGCGCTATGTTTTATGTAATTGTTTGCATTTTGGTTATAATTAAAATTAGTACCAAAGGGGGAAAAATATTCAAGAACTAGAACTCCAGGCAGCCCTGGCTTGTCTACTTCTCTTTTCTTTCCAAGTCTAGGTTTAAGCAGGCTTTTTTTTTTCTTTTTTTTACAGCTCTATTGAGATATAATGGATATAAAAATCTACATATTTAGTCTACATTTTGATGAGTTTGGAAACATCTCTACACCATGATACCATCACCACAATAAAGCTACTAACCCTGTCCATCACCTCTGGAAATGTCCTTGTGTCCTTTGTGTGTATGTATGTATGTGTGTGTGTGTGTTTGTATGTTTGCGATAAGAACACTCAACATCGGATTTATCCTCTCCACCTAAAGTGCACAATACCTTACTGCTAACTCTAGGTTCTATGATATATAGCAGGTCTCTAGAAATTATTTATCTTGCGTAATTGAAAATTTATACCCGTTAAGTTACAATTCCCCATTTCTTCCTCTCTCCACCCACTGGCAACAACCATTCTATTCCCTACTTCTATGAATTTAACCATCTTAGGTATTTCACATAAGTATAATCATGCAGTATTTTTCCTTTGATGACTGTCCTATTTCACTTAGCATAATGTCCTCTAGATTCATCCATATTGTTGCAAATGGTAAGATTTCCTTCTTTTATTGAGACTAATAATACTGCATGAATGTAAATGCCACATTTTCTTCATCAAGCAGAGTTTTATTGTTCTGTCCCGCAATCACAAAAATGTTTTTCCCAAGGACTATAATTGCATCTGCATTTAGATACCACTGTTCTATTACTTGAAAGTTTCTGTCTACCTGAATATTTAAGGGCATGAGCCTTGACACCTGTCAGCTGGTAGAAAGAGGAAGTTGCAGTTGCATATATTATCTAAATGTCATTCATATCTGTATGTCTCCTACTTTTTATTGATTGGAATCAATTGAGGGCCAGGCATGGTGGCTCACACCTGTAATCCCAGCACTTTGGGAGGCCGAGGCAGGCTGATCATGAGGTCAGGAGATCAAGAGCATCCTGGCCAACATGGTGAAACCCCATCTCTACTAAAAATACAAAAATTAGCCAGGTGTGGTGGCATGCACCTGTAGTCCCAGCTACTTGGGAGGTTGAGGCAGGAGAATCGCTTGAACCCGGGAGGCAGAGGTTGCAGGTTGCAGGGAGTCAGGATTGTGCCACTGCACTCCAGCCTGGGCAACAGAACGAGGCTCCATCTCAAAAAAAAAAAAAATCAATCAATTAGAAAAAAGTATTTTTGAGAATACCATACATCCTGCAGCTGGACTCTGGGTATGTGGAAAGTTACAGGTCATATCAGGCCAGGGAATCTTTCTTTCCATCATTCATTTCCTCTTCTTCTGGGACAGTACTCCAAAAGTACTTTGAGAAGTCAACCTCCCTTTTCTTTCTGTCCATGTGATACACAGCTGGGGTATCACTATGTGTGATAGTCTCATGGCCAGGGCTAGCCATAAAAGCTTGCAAATAAGATAATTTGGTGGGCATTTTGCTGCTTGGAACTAGATTGTGATTTTGTTAGTTAAGAGACAGTGGGAATAAATTTGGGGATGGAAACTAATGATGTCTCTGAGGAAGTGTCTTCCATGTGAACAAAAGAATGCTTGCTTTAAAAGACATACGTATAAGCCAGAAAATAAGATATTGGAACTATACAGAAAAATACTGAGTGGCTATATTTGAATGAAAATATAAAGATGATTTTCCTCTTTCCTTTGTATGTACATTATTTGAAATAAATACACTTTCTCTATATATGTGTGTTTGTGCATTTGTGTATGTATTTTTCCACTATTTGGATAAAAAGAACATTTTAAGAAAATAAGTAAAAGCAAAATACAACTATCTATTATGTTGTAACTTATTTATTCTTATTTATCCTTATTCTTTTCTGTCCAGCAAAGATAATCGCCATCTATCCCATGCTTAAAAATTTTGTTGAACTGTACAAAAAAATATCAACCAGTGCACACTGGCAAGATCATAACAGAAAAAGAGCCCATTTGTAAAAATGACATTGACATTCAAGGTTAGGTCACAGATGAATGATTATTTTATCATTTTTGATTAGTTCTTTTATTAGGAACCAAATGCTGAAGATTAAGAAAAATCTCAGAGTAATGATTACATGTAATAACATAAGCCGAAAACAATATTATTATTTGCTTGATCTTATCAAAACTAATCTCTTTACAGCCTTGTTTGGTGAGATGGGTTGTTCACATATGACTCTTCCCACTTGAAAATGGCATAGAGGGCTGAATGGCTAATACAAAATCACCCCAGCAGATTCATGATGTGGTCAAGACTCATGGATTCTCAGCCTACAGATGGGCTGGAAGCAGAGTTTTTATTAGCATGTTCTCTTAATATATGATAGTAAATCACTTATTGTCTTCTCACTCTATTCCTGGTATGTTCTAAATGCTTAAAATATTGGTTTATTAAATAACCACATCGACTCATGGCTTAAATGATTATTTATTTATTTATTTATTTATTTATTTATTTATTTATTTATTTTTGAGACAATGTCTTGCTCTGTTACCCAGGCTGGAGTGCAGTGGCATGATCATTGCTCACTGCAGTCTTAACCTCCTGGACCCAGCTAACTTCAAAATTTTTGTAGAGAAGGGGTCTCCCTATGTGGCCCAAACTGATTTTGAACTCTTAGACTCAAGATTTCCTCCTGCCTTGGCCTCCCAAAGTGCTGGGTTTACAAAGTGTGAGCCACTGTGCCCAGCCTAAATTATTTTATTTCTATTTTATTGTGAGAAAGATGAAGCACAGAGAAGTTGAAGCATTTTCTCAAGGACTCATAGCTGATAGGTGGCAGAATTGAAATCCAAACCTAAACATTATGGCTCCAGAGCCAAGCCTCTCTGAAGCACACTTATTGACCCTTCAGAATGATCTCATCTTAAACTAGCACTCCTTAATATATATTTTGAGACACAAAGCCAACATAGTCAAAAAAGTGTCTCCTTTTTGTATACACTTGCTCTTCTGACGGTAGAACCTGACAGTCCTTCTGAGCCCAAGTCTTCGAACTTAAGTTTAACCTTGAGCTCAGAGAGTCAGCCCAAGTTATTCATTTTATTGGCAACTTATACAGTTGCACAAGTCATTTCTGCAAGCAGATCCTCCCAGTAAGTGGATAAATGTGTGCTAAAATCCAGCTTGGTCTCCACTCACCAAGACAAGCACTTGCTGGATACATTTCTCTTGAGAGTCATGCTATTTTCACATGGTCACAAAAGCTGTATGTGCTGTCTCTATGTTCTTATAGTCAATAATCATCAGCAAGCAAGTGCCTGTGTACTTCTGCAAGTCTTCCCACAGTCCTGAAAGAGCTTTCCAAACGAGGAAACAAGAAACTTAGATACTTTACCCAAAGCCACATTTCAAAATGAACGAGTCTGGATTTAAGTCAAACCAGTGTTTAAACAAACAAACAAACAACAACAACAACAACAACAACAACAAAAAACTCATACCAAGAAAAAAGAAAGAAAAAGCAAAAGCAGATATCTTACTTCCTATTGACTTAAGCAATTCTGTTAAATGCAGTGCTATGAATCTCTCCATCATCATCCAGTCCACCCAAAATATAAACAGCAACAACTAATGATCCTCCCATGAAAGCTTGAAATGTACTGCGGGACTGACAATGTGGTCAATAACCTGTAATCTTCAGAAAAAATAAAGCTAAAGTCAATCCCATTTAGTCAAACTCCAACCTCAACAGACACCTTGCTTCCATACATTAGTGAGTTCTTTCTCTGTCGCCCAGGCTGGAGTGCAGTGGCGCGATCTCAGCTCACTGCAAGCTCCGCTTCCCGGGTTCATGCTGCCTCAGCCTCCCCAGCAACTGAGACTACAGGCGCCCGCGACCACGCCCGGCTAATTTTTCTGTATTTTTAGTAGAGACGGGGTTTCACCGTGTTAGCCAGGATGGTCTCAATCTCCTGACCTCCTGATCCGCCTGCTTCGGTCTCCCAAAGTGCTGGGATTACAGGCGTGAGCCACCGCTCCCGGCCGCATTAGCGATTTCTTAACCTGATGACCAGAATTGGGCTACAAAGGGTAAGGGGACCCTTTTAATTGAATGCAAAATATTTAGTTTATTTTTAACAATTATTTTTACATTATTTTGAGATAATTTTAGACTTACAGAGGAGTAGCAAAAATAGTATATATAGTTCTCATAAACCCTTCACCCAGCTTCCCCTTGTGTTATCGGCTTACATTGTTATCAGATATGTCACAACTAAGAAACTTACCTTGGTACAGTACTATTTACTAAAGTGGTGTGCTTACTGGATTTCACCAGCTTTTCTACTAACTTTCTTTTTCTGTTATAGATTCCGGGATCCCACATTATATTTAGTTCTGTCTCCATAGTCTTTTAAAATCTGTGAAAGTTTCTCAGTCTTTGCTGAGTCTTTGCTTGTCCTTCATAATCTTGATACTTTAGAGGAAGATTGGTCAGGTTCTTTGTAGAACATCCCTTAATTAATTTTTTCATGTTTTCTCCTGACTATATTGGTTTTGTATTATTGAAATGGAAACCACACAGGTGATATGCCCCTTTTCAGTATATGTGTCTCACACCTTTAACTTTTCTGCTTATGTATTTCACTCTTTCGAATGCTGTTGTAAATGGAATTTCAAGGAATATATCTGGCCCTACCCAGGAAAGAAAGGGGAGAGAAACATTTTTGGTTTTAATAAGTCTTCCAAGCCTTGACTGAGATTTACCTCTGCATGTGCGCGCAGGATCTGATGATATTTTCCATCTTGTAAGGCTTTTCAGGGGCAACTCTACTGGTAGCAGGAAGATGCTCATGGTTTAGATGACACATGGTTCTTAGTGCATTGTATCAGAGGATGCAATGTAAATATATACACAATGTCAATATTTATAATTGGTTATGTAATTTTGATTATTTAACTAAGGTTGTGACTGATGGAATTTTCTACTACAAACTTACTAGAGTCATGTAATATATGGGTAGATTTTTTAACATTGTGCAAATATCTCATTACCTTTCTCTCACCTAGTTTAGTATTCTTTGATGGCTCTTGCCTGGAGCAATTTTTGCTGTGGTGTTTCTAATAGTGATTTTTTTATTTCCCTCATTGTTTCTGCATTTTTAATTGGAACTATTTTGTAAGGAATTGTGTATATTTTACGTCTATCTGAAATCTGAAAAACTGGTCGTAATTTATTTTCTTTAATAAACTTTCGAAGGGAAAAAAATGGCCTTAAAAAGCTTAAAAACTACCATGTTGGCAGTGAGAACTAATTTCAAAGAAAATGTCTAACCTTTTCTAGGAAAGAGAAGGGACAAAAACATTTTTATTTTTAATAAGTCTTTCAAGCCTTGAGTGAGATTTATGTCTGACCAGGCAAGCAAAACCTAATGAAATGTTCCATCTTGTGAGAGTTTCCTTGGATACCTCTGCTGATAGCAGAGAGATACACATGGGTTAGGCCTACAAGATCCTTATAATGATCTCCTTCCTTTTCCTAACCTCCTCTGCTGCTTAGAAAGCAAACCTTGCTGAGTTATATTAATGCATACAGAATCATTGGCTTAAATTGAAGACAGTTTTAGGTCCCCAAATCTTAAGAGATTTTCTTATTCTCCCCCACTACCCCAGAATTAATGACAAAAGATGATGTTCAAGATCTGGTGAGAACATAAGATAAATAAACAAAAATTAGTTGTATTTGTATACACAGCCAACAAACAATCCCCCCAAAATTATAAAAGCATTTTAATTTACAAAAATGGGTAAACAACTTGAATAGGCATTTCTCCAAAGAAGATGTATAAGTGGCCAACAAACATATGAAAGATTCTCAATAGTATTAGTAGGTAGAGAAATGTAAATCAAAACCACAATGAGAGCAGTTGATATACATTGGGATGACAATGATTAATAATAATAATAAGCAGTTTCAGCAAGAAAATATAGAATTTGAAAGTTTTTTCCTTTGTTGGTGACAGTGCCAATATGATGCAACAGCTGTAGAAAACGTTTGGGAGTTCCGCACAAAAGTTAAACATATAATTACCATATGACTAACCAATTCTTCTAGCTGCATACTCAAAAGAACTGAAACCAGGTATTCAAACAAAATGCTTGCATAGAAATGTCCATAGCAGAACTATTCATGATAGTCAAAAGCTGGAAACAACCCAAATGTTCATCAACTAGTAAATGGATTTTTTAAATAGGGAGGTATGTATATACCAACTGTGGAATACTACTCTGTCATAAAAAGGAGTGAGTACTGATACATGCAACAATGTGGGTGAACCTCAAGAATATTATGCTAAGTGGAATAAGTCAAAAGTAAAAGGTCACATTTTACATTATTCCATTGTATGAACTATCAAGCACAGGTAAATTCAAAGAGAAAGAAAATACATTGGTGGTTTCCAGAGGCAAGACAGGGGGGAGTGGGAGTGACTAATCAATAGATACAGGATTTTGGGCCAGGTGTAGAGGCTCACACCTGTAATCACAGCACATTGGGAAGCCAAGGTGGGCGGATCACTTGAGGTCAGGAGTTCAAGACCAGCCTGTCTAACATGGTGAAACCCTGCCTCTACTAAAAATACAAAATAAGCTGGGCGTGGTGGTGCACACCTGTAATCCCTGCTACTGGGGAGGCTGAGGCAAGAGAATTGCTTGAACCTGGGAGGCAGAGGTTGCAGCGAGCCGAGATCGCACCATTGCACTCCAGCCTGGGCTACAAGAGCAAAACTCTGTCTCAAAAAAAATAAATAAATAAATGTAGGGTTTTATTTTGGGGTAATCAAAATATTTTGGAAGTTGATACAGGAGCTATTACACAACATTGTGAGTATACTAAGGTCACAGAAGTGTATACTTCAAAATGGTTAATTTTATATTATGCAAATTTCACCTCAATTGTAAAACAGAGTTGGGGAGATGGGTCACCAAGTGAAGTTACTCACTTCAAGGCCAATTAAAATGTTACTTTTAATTGATGCAAACTCTTTAAACAGAGGAATGCACCAGCTATAAATATATACCTCAATGCATTTTCACAAACTGAATACATTCATGAGCCAGCAACCAAACTGGAAAATAAAGAATACAGACACATCAATCCCCTATGAACTCCATTCAATCACTGTTCTCCTCTCTATCACCTCTAATGACAAAGTTAATGATATCTCTTTCTGACCTTATAGAAATAAAATCATACAGTACATATGCTTTGATGTTTGGCTTTTTTAACTTTATGTTTGAGATTCATTCTCATTGTTGTGTAGTATTCCATTATATGAATATACCACAGTGTTTAATCCATACAAATCCATCCATATGGAAATGTCTGTGTATAAATAGACATTTTCTCTCATAATTTTATCTTTACAAATACTCCTGCCATGAGAATGCATAAAGTGTTGATATTTGGTTTGCAAATATAACTAGGAGAAGAGCTGATGGATCATAAGGTACTCATATTTAGATCTAGTAGATATTGCCAAATTGTTTTTTCACAGTTGTTCCAGTTTATATTCTCACCAGCAATATATAAGAATTCTACTTGTTCTACTTCCTCCCTCAAAATTGGTGTTTCCCTGAGGGCTCAGCTAAAGTCTTTGTTGTAGTTTCATCCTTGTTCAATTTCTCTGTTAGCTCAGTCATACTTCACTTCTCTAGCTCACTTGAAGTTGTTGTTGCTGAGAATCTTCCCATCATAAACTCCCTGCATTCAAATCTTTGTCACAGAAGAGTTTACCTTGTTCTATCTATTTATCTATCTATCCATCCATCTATCTATTTCTATTCATATACATATATATACACACATAGACACACACATTGTATATAAGAGTTGTGTATTATGTATGTACACATTATGTTGTATATATTTATATTATATATACATTATATATATTATATGTGTGTGTGTGTGTGTATATATATATATATATATATATATATAAAATCAAGTCTAACCTGCCTATTCTGTACTTGGCTGTCTGTCTTTTACATATTACTCAATAAAAGGAACTCTTATATATTTTTTCAGAGTTTTATATCTCTCAGTACCTTTTCTAAGAGTTGCATTTTTAAACTTTTACTAGTTCTCTTGATGAACAGAAAATTTGAATATAATACAGTAATCCACGCTTTGTTACTTTATAATTAGCACTTTTCATGTCTTTTTAAAGAAATGTTTGCTTATGTCAAGGTTGTAAAAATATTCTCCTATGCTTTCATCCGTTAGTTTACTGGTTTACTTTTCCCATTTAGATTGGTAATTCATCTGGAATTGACTTTTGTGCACAGTGCAAGATCGAGTTCAAAATTATTTTTCTGTATGGATATTTAATGAATCCAATACCTTTTACTGAAAATATCACATTTCCTCATTTCACTGCAATAACATCTTTATAATAAATCAAGTGACTGTATATGTCAGAGGGCTTTAATCTGTCCCACTATCTGTTTCTATGCCAATATCAGAATGTGTTTATTACTACCCCTTTTTAATAGGTGTTGCTATCTGGTAGTATAAATTCTCCAACTAAGTTCTGCTTCTTTTAGATTACTTTGTTTCTTCTTGGCCTTTCCCATTTTCTGACACTTCATGTTTGTCAATTTTCGCAGAAAGAGTTTGTTGAGATTTTTATTCTGATTGCATTAGATTTGTTTATTATTTTGAAGGAGCATTGACCATTTAAAAATATTGAGTCTCCAACTTATGAACAAGAATCTCCACTTCTCTTAATAATTAATGTTTTGTTGTTTTTATGTGGAAGTCATCAACACACATTTTATTAAATTTAAGTATGTGGTGTTTCTGATGTTAGTGTCATTAAGCATAATTTTTAAAGTTTAATTTTCTATTTTTAAATTTCAGTATATAGGAATATGATTAATTTCTGTAATTTTGTAGCAGCTTTGCAAAATCCTCTCATTAATTCTAATAGTTTGCCATTTTTTTCTTTTGAATTTTCTACATACACAATCATGTCACTTACAAATGACAGTTTTATTCTTTTGTTTTCAATTCCATTGACTTCCTCCCCAGCCCCTTCCCTTTATTTTCTGTCTAGGGCTGCCAAGAAGACTTTGAATGGAAGTGGTGATAATGGATATCTTTGTGTAACTCCAATTCCAGTAAGAAATATCTTGAATATTTCACCAGTAATATGACAGGTGCTAGAGGTTTTTGGTAGATATTATTTGTCAGATTAATGATATTTCTATATCTTCCCACTTGGTTAGGAGGGTTTATCATGAATTAGTTTTGTGTTTTGTTGAATTCTTTTCTTGCATTATTGAGATGATTATACATTTTTCTCCCTTTGCTAATGTGATAAGATACATTAATGAACTTTAAATGGTAAATTCATTTTTAAATTCCTGGAAAAGCCAGATGTGTCCGTGGTGTATTATGTTTGTAAATATTTCTTGATTTAATCTGCAAATATTTTGTTTAGGATTTCTAAATCTGTGACCATGAGAAATGCTGATTTGTATGTTTTTTTAATGTAACAGAGGTCAATTTAACTGGAAGTCTCACATTGCATAGTCTATTCTATTCTATAATATATGCTTTTCTAGTATAAAATATTTAGGATTCCATAGAGTAAAACTGTATTTTTGGCCAATGATAACACACATATACTGTGGGTTTGCCTATTAGTTAACATTTTACCTGGCTTGTAAGAACCTCAGTGTAAGAGTATGAGCTAACACAGTATTTGACAAATATCTAATGTGTTTCTGGGTCTCAGGCAAAGCAAAAGTGATTGCCCCTGACCTAGGCCAAGTCTTGCTGGAAATCTTGGTATGGCCAATTAATGAAAATAGAAGTCACTATGGTATGTGTGTGGTGTCTGGGGGTGACAGTTTACAGGATTGCTAAGGGCTTACTTGGACCCTGATAGTCTCTCTAGGCAATTGGGTGGATACATAAAAACAGCACTGGGAATTGTTCCTCAAACACACACACACACACACACACACACACACACACACACAGAGATATTTAAATTTTATTCTATTTTATTTTAAGTTCTGAGATATATGTGCAGGATGTGCAGGACGGGCAAGTTTGTTACATAGGTAAAGGTGTGCCATAGTGGTTTGCTGCACCTATCAACCCATCACCTAGGTATTAAGCCCCACATGCATTACCTATTTATCCTGATGCTCTCCAACCCCCTGCCTCGTCAACAGGCCCCAGTGTGTGTTGCTCCCCTCCCTGTGTTCACGTGTTCTCATTGTTCAGCTCCCACTTATAAGTGAGAACATGTGGTGTTCTTATTTTCCATCTAGTCTAGGCTAGGCTACGTACAAGGAGTTATAAAGACATGTGAACATCCACAATTGATGCCTTTAAGCTATAACAGTATATTGGGAACATAAGATACGTGTATCAATACTATTGATAGAATAATTTCTTCATCTGGTGGTATGTAGAGCTGTATACTTGGAAGGGTTTCCAAATTATAATGAGATGAAGGCATGAATACATTAAAATGAATATTTTAATGTATTTATGTGCTTGCTAAAGAAAGAGAAACCTTCAAAGACAAAAAATTAAAAATAAAGAATAAAAGAACAAGAAAATAAGAGAGAGCTGATATAAGATTAGGAAGAATGGAACAGTATCTTGTACAGGACACAAAACCAGGTTTTCTCTGGGAATGAATGCCAGTAGCAGCATTAGAGTCTGGAGACTAATCATTGGATCCTCTGAACAGTAGGAGAATTACACTTAAGACTCCCACATTAAATCAGATTCCTGAAAGATGGAAAACAAGGTTCAAAATTTGATGTGTCCTCTGGCTCCCAGCAGACACAAAAGTAAATCTTCTGTGGAGGAAAGTGTCCCCAGTTTAGGTCCTCAGGGTTTTCATAGATAATTTTCTACCAAATATGAGCTCACAGTTCCAATCACTAAGAAAACACACAAGAACAGAAGCTAGTATCGGCAAAAACAAACGAAAATGTTAAATATTATAATGATCCAATATAGCATGTAAAATAACTCTGTAGAACATGTCTAAAAATAAAGTAAGAAACTGGGATTTTGAAAGTAACAAGCTATAAACAATGACCATCTATCTCCCTTTCCCTCCCCCAAAAAATACAGAGAAAAAAAATAAACAGGCACATTAAAAAAACTAACATAAAAATTAGAACTCCAAGAAATGAAGAACAATTTCATTAAAATTAAAACCTTGGTGGATAAACAGCAGATTAGGCATAACTCAAGACAGAGTTCATCTAAGATAGCTCTGATGCTAGAACACAACACAAAGAACCCAGGAAATAGAACATATCAGAAACAGGTTCAGGGACATAGAGGATGGAATGATACACACTGTTTTCTAACTGAAGAATACCATGGCCACCACCACAATATAAAGAGCATCTTTAAGGCAGCCAATAAAGAAAAGCCCTGTGTCTACAAAGGAAGAGAAAATGGACTAAGAGTAGACTTCTCAACAATAAAAATCAAAATCAACATGAACGAAATGACATGAATGAAATAATTTCAAGGTAGTGAGAAAAAAGCCAACATGAATCTAGAATTGTGTACCCACAAATTATCTTTTTTTTTTTTTTTTTTTTTTGAGACAGAGTCTCGGTCTGTCACCTAGGCTAGGGTGCAGTGGCGTGATCTCAGCTCACTGCAACCACCACCTTTCTGGGTTCAAGCAATTCTCCTGCCTCAGTCTCCCAAGTAGCTGGTACTACAGGGGTGTGGCACCATGCCTGGCTAATTTTTTGTATTTTTAGTAGAGACAGAGTTTCACCGTGTTAGCCAGGATGGTCTCGATCTCCTGACGTCATGAGCCGTTCACCTTAGCCCCGCAAAGTGCTGGGATTACAGGTGTGAGCCACAGTGCCCGGCCCACAAATTATCTTTTAAGAAAGAGAATAAAACGACTAGTCAGATAAATGCAAACAAATTATTAATACCAGCAGGTGTCACTAGAGCAGTGTTTAAAGGATTAACTCCAGGAAGAATAAAAATGATTTCCAAAGGAAGGTCTGAAATACAAAAAGAAAACAAGCATTATCTATGTAAAACAATAATTTTAGTAATGATTAATTTATGGGTTACAACAAAGTACCCAAACATACAACAATAAAATCACATAATCCAGGGATTGAGGGCCAACTCTGTCATAATTTTTGAATTTTTGAATTTCAATTCAGAATGCCAGTTATGATACTAATTGACTTTTGACAAGTACGCATAGCAAAGTTTTAAGGTTAACCATTCAGAGACTGGAAATAAAGCAACTAACTTCCAGACTAGAGAGATTTAAAAAAAATGTAGAATAAGAAAAATATCAATTAATCAAGATAAAAGAATAGAGAAACAGACGATTAGAAAAGCAGTGGAAAAAGCATAACATAAATTGACAGGAATATGTGCAAATATACCAGAAATCACAATAGATATGAATAAACTAAAGTCACCAGCTTCAAGGTAAATATTGTCAAATTGGATTTTTTTAAAGCTATATGTTCTATACAAATGGCACACCTAAAACATAGGAATAAAGGAATGTTGAAAATAAAAGGATTGGGGAAAAAAGATATACTAGAAAAAATACTAACCCAAACAAACTGAAAGCAATTTTATTAATATCTGATAAAAGCAATCTTTTTTTTTTTTTTTTTGAGGCAGAGTGTTGCTCTGTCACCCAGGCTGGAGTGCAGTGGCACAGTCTCTCTTCACTGCAACCTCTGCCTCCTGGGCTCAAGCGATTCACGTGCCTCAGCCTCCTGAGTAGCTGGGATTACAAGCACCTGCTGCCACGCCAGGCTAATTTTAGTAGAGACGGGGTTTCACCATATTGGCCAGGCTGGTCTTAAACTCCTGGCCTCAAGCAATCCACCCGCCTTGGCCTCCCAAAGTGCTGGCATTACAGGCCTGAGCCACCATGCACAGCCTGATAAAAGCAATCTTAAAATAATAAGCACCCTTAGAGGGAAAAGGTTATTGCATAATGATACCTTACCAGGAAGATATTCCAGTGTAAACTTTTACACATCTAACAAAATAGCACCAGATAATATTTGACAGAAACACAGGAAAATGTGACAAAAACAAAAATTGCTATCACTTTGAAGAATTTTTAGGTTTCTCACTGTACATATAAATTAAACTGACAAAAGTAAACATATAGAAGATTTTATCAACAAGATTATGAAGATTTACTTAATGAACATATAATAATGGATAATGTTTCCAAAGTGCCAGGTACTGAAGTGCTTTGCATGTATTAACTAATTTATTCCCATCGACAACAGTATGGGATAGATCCTACTATAATCCCCAATTTACAGATGCTTAAACTGAAGCACAGAAAATTTACTAATCTTCCAGGTTTCATAGCTTCTAGTGACACAGCTAGTAGGCAGTTGGGATTTGAAAACAGGCATTCTGGTTCTAAAGTCAGCACTTTGAACTGCTGTACCATTTTGCCTGACAACCATGCATACAACAATTACGGCATATTCCCTTTTTCAATTATATGTACATCATATACATACTAGTTTATAAAGCAGTACTCAACACATTGCAAGGAATAGGCCTCGCACAGCACGTGTTCTTTGACTATGATGAACAATTAAGTTAGTAATAAATAATAAAAGTTTAACTAAAGTGTCACATGCATTGGGGAATTTTAAACATTCTTAAATTATAGGACAAGTAAATAATGAAACTTCTTTTAAAATTAAAACTATAATGATAATAAAAACACTAATCTATCAACATTTAGAATATGAGGAAAACTGTTTTCAAGGGTTAAGTTAGCCGCCTATAATCATATTAAGAAATAAAAATGGCTGTAAATTATTAATGCAAGCATCTAACTTAACTGGTTAGAAAATAACAAGACTAAAGCAAATATAATTAATGAGTTCAAAAGAGTGATATAAACAAAAAGTAATGAAATTTAAACAAAATTAAAAACAAAAGTCAACAAAGCCAAGAAATGGTTTGTTGAAAATGCTAATGAAATTTGTAAACCTCTAGGAAGGTTTACTAACATGAAAAAAGAGACAGTAAGTAATATTAGACATGAAAACAGAGACATATCCACAGATACAGCAGATGATAATACATGAGAATAGCATGACCAATTTTATATTAAAATTGATAACTAAAATGAACATATTTCTAGATAAATATAATTCACTTAAATTGACTCAATAAGAAACAGGAAGTTTGAATCACTCTGTACCATTCAGGAAAAATTAAATAAATAATTGAAAGTCTTCCAAAAAATACCTTCAGGACACTGAGGGAACCAAAGCTGAAAGAGAATACCAAAATCACTAATATAAAGATTTTTTTAAAGTGTATAAATTGGACTGTACATAAACCCTAAAACTTCTCCTGTGGAGCTCTATATTCTCCTTTATTCCTTATCTTCTCTCTGTTGGCGGTCTCCTAGGTTCTATAGTAGGAGTCAGCAAACTTTTTTAGTAACAAGAGGTGATAACAGATATTTTAGGTTTTGTAAGCCACATAGTCTTTGCTGCAGCTACTCAGCTCTGCTGTTGTAGTGCAAAAGCAGCCATAGACAATACATAAATAAATGGATTTATGTTCCAATAAAATTTGTTTCAATAACTTGTGTGTGCTAATAAAACTTTATTTATAAAAGCAGACAGTGGGCTGAATTTTGCCTTTGGGCTATAGTTTGCTGATTCCTGTTCTAGGGCAATAGTTCTTCATCTGCTGTAATTTGGAAAATCTGAGGATCTTTAAAAAACACTGACGATGTTTGGCTCCTACTCCCAGATTCTCTGATTTAATTAGTATGGCATAGGAGCTGGGCATCAGAGTTTTGTATTGTCTTGCTTTGTTTTTTTAAGTTACCAACTTTACCCTAACATGCAGCAAAATCTAATGTGATAGCAGAGACACGAGGTGGAATGAACCAGGGAATTTATTAACTGCTGAGAATAGAGTCCCTGTTGCCAAATTTCATTCAGCTATGGTGGCAGCAAGAAATATACTTTTATTGTGAAAAGTCTTTGGGACACTGAGGTGGTTTGATACAGAATTACTCCGACTAATACATTAATTGGTAAATGGCAGTATTGCCACAGAAAATAAATATGTGTCTTTGGCTTTGTGGTTGGTCAGCTAGAAAAATGATATCAGAGGCTGTGTAGATAACAGACCATATTATGTGGTACAAGAGCATTTGGTAAAAGAGTTGCATGCCATAAGGTGTAAAGCAGACCATTCACTTGGAGAAATATAGCTTTAAGGTACACAGTTGGAAAAAAAAAAAAAACAACAGAGTGGGTATAGCTTGCTTTTTTTTTTTTTTTTTTTTTTTTTTTTTTAAGATGGCTTCTCACTCTGTTGCCATGCAGTGGTGTGATCTGTGATCTTGGCTCACTGCAACCTCCGCTTCTCAGGTTCAAGTGATTCTTGTGCCTCAGCCTCCTGAGTAACTGGGATTACTGGCATGCACCACCATGCCTGGCTAATTTTTTGTATTTTTAGTAGAGACAGGGTCTCACCATATCAGCCAGCCTGGTCTTGAACTCTTGATTTCAGGTGATCCGCTCACCTCAGCCTCCCAAAGTGTTGGGACTACAGGAATGGGCCACGGTGCCCAGCCTATCTTGCCTTCTTTTGGCTGACATTGACAAGGGATAAAGGAAAGAGATGAGCTCCATAAAGAATTTCCCAGTTTGGAACCTCAAATGCAAGATAATTAAAAAGATTCCAGAAATTTGTGGCATTAAATGTTTAGAAAAACCTACTGCTTCTAGGTCTCAAACAGTGAAAGATGAGAAGGTAAATAAATAAATAAATAAATAATTTTTAAAAAGCTATTTACATAGCAAGAATTCAATAAGTAGTCTGAATAACAAAAGGAAAAGTAATTTGGCCCTTCAGTAAAGATAATTCTGAAAAGAGCTACAGTTATCTCTCAAGCTTACTATTCCAGATAACTTCAAGGTTGCTGTCAACACATAAAGATGGGACATGAGGAAGCCTATGAGGAGGATGCAAAAAAAAAAAAAAAAATTTAAAAACTCTATCTGGGACAGAATGTTGGGTGTATTCACTAGTACATGAAACTGATTGGAATCAAATAAATCATAAGCCCACAATATTTTTGAGGAAACAATATTGCCATGAAAGCATCATCCCAGTTCAAAACCCTGCAAGGGCTTGGCAAAGCTTAGAACAACTTTTGGATTGGATATAGGCTGCAAAGTATAAGTAGCCCCCAAGGAAGGCATTCCCAAAGGTCCACTTCAATTGTGGCATAGGAGTGTAATGGATAGGAGAGAACGTCTGAGTTTGCAGCCAAGAGCCACTGAAAACAATGAGTGCCCAAAGAAGTATTGTTCAGAGAACAAAATCAGGGCTTATCCATGAACTTTCTCTCTTCTCCATAGAGGACCTTCACAATGTCTCCCCAGCGAGATTTCAAACTTGCATTAGTCCAGTAACTGCTGTGTGTCTCCTATTTACCTCTTTTCTGAATAGTTACCCAGAACCTGAGAACTCATGTTGTGAACTGATGGAGAAAACTATGCATCAGTGAAGTATCTTGGACCTTGAGCTAGATGAGGTGACTTAGTGGGACTTTGGCTTATTTCTCCTGGGAACAAGCTGAGTGTATTCTATGTATGGGAAGAATAGTAAAATGGATATTCAGTAACCAGAGCTGAGGACTGAAGTAGAAACAATGTGACGTGTTGCCTAAAACATGCTACATGGTTCCTTTTTCTTCTGGAGACAGCTAGACTATGTTTCTCAACTCTCATTGCAATGAACAGACCAAAGAAATATGAGTGGAAGTTATAAATGCTACTTCCAAGTCTGGCTTCTAAAATCTCCTGTGTGATACTTCACATGCTCTTTTTCTCATCCTCTGCAGCTGAATGAAATGAATATAGAGGAGAACTGAAAGGCCATGGAGGATCTGAGCCACTACATGGAAAGAGCAAGGGTCCATGAATGACAGCTTGAAACAGGGTCCCTCTCTGCTGCCAACCTGCATGGATGGAGACATGAATAAGAAATAAGCACTACTGAGTCAAGACAGAGAGATCTGAAGGTTGATTGTTATAGCAGTTGGACTTCCCTATTATCTAATATACTGTGCTATCTTCCAATGCTTAGCTAGTAAGGGGGGCTCTAGGGATACCAGTTAAAGAACTCTGGAATGCATCCCTTGCAAGTCTGAGATATGAAAGGCCACAATTAGGTCATGTTAAGAAATCTAAAGCTGACTGTAGACTGAAGTCTGGCTTCAGTAAATATGAAAGAGAAAAGAAGAGCTGACTAACTGCTTTGAATTAGAGCCAGGAGAGACTGTTGCATTGCTACTGACCTGCAGTTAGAAAGTTCATCAGGGCAAGGAGCCAGTGATTGTTTCCCAGGGAACATGTGTGGGCCAATGATACAGAGCTCACTGGAGTCTTGGTTGGTTTTGTCCAGTAGGTCTGCCTGGAGGGAGAAGGAAAACTTACAAAAGGAGACTGGGGGTATACTTGTGTGTGAAGGCCCAGATAATGAGGACAGATCCCCAGAGACCTCCTAGAATAGCTAGAAAAGCCTGGGGTCAAAGAAGCTGCAGGGGAGGAGTGTCCAACATGAAACCTCTGAGGAGTTCAGGGAAACACCCCAAGAGAAAGGAAGTCAGCTTTAATCTTCGGCAGGGCCTAGAGAGTGAGAAGTCAATCAGGAATAATAAATGACCCATCTCCTTGTCCCCTGTACCCTTTGAACCAGAGGGGAGCAAAACAGAAGCTAGCTAATGAAAGATGTGTTATAGAATTCAGGGTAACTGAGGTTATGCTGCAGAAGCAAATAACAAAAAGATCTCGAGGACTTCTTGTTTAAGTTCTTTTTTTCTTCACATACATTTATTTTCTGTTCACACTACAGTATGTTATCAGTTAGCATGGGTCTCTGTTCAGCATAGTTCAGGCAGGCACACAGGCCAATAGAGGTTCTGTCTTGATACATATTTCCAAAAGACATTGTCATTGCATAAGCACAGCATTGGAACACTGTGTGACTGTCCTATGGACCTCAACTGTCCCATTTTTAACCACTGTGTGACTGTCCTGTGGACCTCAACTGTCCCATTTTTAAAATGGGAATTCATGAAATGAGGCAGAAAAAAGGAACAACACATATCGACATTTCTCAATTTTTTAAAAAGAAATTATGTGTGTGTTCATCTATCCCAGATTAGAGTTTTTTTTTTTTTTTTTTTTTTTTTTTTGAGACGGAGTCTCGCTCCTGTCGCCCAGGCTGGAGTGCAGTGGCGCGATCTCCGCTCACTGCAAGCTCCGCCTCCCGGGTTCACGCCATTCTCCTGCCTCAGCCTCCTGAGTAGCTGGGACTACAGGCAGCAGCCACCTCGCCCGGCTAATTTTTTGTATTTTTAGTAGAGACGGGGTTTCACCGTATTAGCCAGGAAGGTCTCGATCTCCTGACCTCGTGATCCGCCCACCTCGGCCTCCCAAAGAGCTGGGATTACAGGCATGAGCCACCGCACCCGGCCAGAATATTTTAATTAATTTTTTTCCTCTAACATATTTCACAAAACACACTTTTGCAAAGACCAGAATACAAGCACACCTCTGTATTTTATGTCGTTGCTGTTGTTGCCATCATACTCCTCTGAGAGTGTATGGAGGTCCACACCCAACTTTCTTGGTAAAACAGCATCCTATTTTTATCTGTTGGATTTTCAATTCTAAGATTCAAATCCAAGCATCTTCTTGCTTGTAGGCAAAGTGACCACTAGAGGGAAGCAACTGCCAGGCAGAGCAATTTCTTCACGCCATGGGTAATTTGATCCCTGTGTGTCATACTCCAAGGGTTTGGACAGAATACCTAGTTCTAACAGGAAGTTAGTAGTCACGGAGCCTGGCTACTGCCAAGCTCTTTCACTGACTTTGATCAAACCACACTTGGGGCTGCGTGCAGTGGTTTATATCTGTAATCCTAGCACTTAGGAAGGCCTAGGTGGGAGGATTGCTTTAGATCAGGAGTTTGAGACCAGCCTGGGCAAAATAGGGAGACGTTATCTCTACAAAAAAGTAAAATAGGCATGGAGGTGCACAACTGTGGCCCTAGCTACTAAGGAGGATGAAGTGGGAGGATCGCTTGAACCCAGAAGTTAAAGGTTGCAGTGAGCTATGATTGTGCCACTGCACTCTAGTCTGGGCAACAGAGCAAGAACCTGTATCTAATAAATAAATAATAAACAAACAAACAAACCACATTTGGGCTCTGTGTCCCTGGGTCTTTATAGACACAAAGTATAGCCTTGGGAAACATGAGTGGCCTTTATTTATTTTTGTGAAACTCTCCCAGTAATTCTTTTTATAAGGCTCTTCCGTCACCTCTTTTAAGACTAACTGGAGCGGTAACCCCTCCTTAGGCTCAGAGATGACATTCTCTCCATTCAGCCAGCTTGTCCTCTGCCCTCATGGGACACATCGCTCTTCTTGAGCTGATGGGAGTCTGAGAAACAATCTTATACACCAAAGATAACCCTCCATTCCTCTATGGGCAGAAAAACAGATCGCAATTAGATGAGCCAGGGACCTTAATAAATGCAGATGTCCATTTAAATAAACCAGCAACTCTTGGGATGTAAACAGAAACAGAAACATACTTCATAATTAGAGATGAATGATGAGCAAATGAGTCAGTAGAGGATGGATTAAAGCAATAGTCTATAGCAATAATCAGAAAGTCAGAGCCCAAATCTCAGATCTCTCAGTAATTGTTAATTTTTGTTAGATTATTTAGTGTTTCTGAGTTTCAGCTTCTACATCTGTACAAAGAATCTGATGATACTTATTTGTGTGCATGCACAAAGCTAGGTACATTGTAGCATTCAAATGTTCATCTTAAGAAACAAAATGAAGGGTGAAGAAAAAGAGCAAACTTTGTGCATCTAATACCTGGTACAGTGGAGTCAACTAGTGCTTTGGGGCATATCACACTGGTGGTCTAATTCCAGCTCTGCCATCTACTGGCTGTGTGACCTTGGACTTGTCACTGACCCATATTCAACCTCAGTTTCTTATTTGGAAACCTAAAGTATTAATGGCTGCTTGATATCCAAAGGAGACAGATGATAGGCATCAAGTCAGTAGCTACCAAGGATTATTATTTTCCACATAAGGTACTTTTCTAAATTCATCCTGATTAATACTATAATATAATCTCATCATCAACCCTCTAAAGCAGGAATTATTATCCCCATTTCACAGGCCAAGAAACTGAGAGATTTAAAACTAGACAGTGTCTGGACTGTTTCTGTGGTCTAATTGTTTCATCATGCCTTAACTGAAGTAGAAGACCTGTTGACCCATGCTGACTACTAGAGCTCCTGGCTAAGGTTTCCTTTGCTTTCCTTTGTTTGTTTGTTTGTTTTTGAGATAGGGTCTCACTCTGTCACCTTAGCTAATGTGAAGTATCGCAATCACAGCTCACTACAGCCTTGAATTCCTGGGCTCTAATGGTCCTCTTGCCTTAGCCTCTAGAATAGCTGCTACAATGCAGGTACATGCCACCATACATGGCTAATTTTTTATTTTTTGTAGAGACTGGAGTCTTGCCATGTTGCCCAGGCTGGTATCAAATTCATGGCCTCGAGCTATCCTCCTGCACTAGCCTTCCATAGCCCTGAAATTACAGGTGTGGGCCCCCATGACCAGCCTAAGGTTCTCTCTGATAAGTGCTATTTCCTCCGCAGCCTTCCCAAAGCTTTGGGGGGTACACACTTTCTTTGCCTACCGTTTTCTCCTCTAGTGTGTGCATTGACTGAAATCACCCACTAGATGGTGCTGATATACTAACTTTGGTTTGCTTTGGCATCTACCCGGTGAATTAAAAATTTACTTTATACATCAACAAACCAAAATCTCTACATAAATCTCAGCTTGTAAGAATCATATACTTGTAAAGATTTTTTTTTTTAAATTCAGGGTGAACTCTGGAGGCTTAGTTATCTTGCTTAAAAATGCAGACCAGCCTTCTATAAATTTACCAGCTGAGGCTCTTCTATGGCCATGAGCAATCTCAACACTGTGTGTGTATCTGCTCCAGGGTGAGATGGAAATTATTAGCGGCTTTTTCTCTGAGTGTATAGCTCAATGGGCTTGTGAGAGCCCACCAGCTCTCCATAGCTTCTGCTTACTGCTCTGTGAAAGGAGACGCAGAATACAGACTCGGCTCACAGCTCATGTGAGGATAGAACAGGGTATTCTAGTAGATCTGATTACTCTCTGATTTCCACTTCTTTCTCTTATTGCCTGTCACAAATGTCTATAAAATCATCATTTTGGAAAAGTATCACACCCCTTTATAACAACAATAATAACCAACCTCTATATAGCCTTTTGTGGTTTACAAAGCATGTCTCTCTCAAATATTTAATATATCTAAATTAACAGTCAGTGTTATTTACTCCATTTTACAGAGGAGAAATTAAGGCTCAAGGGAGTAAGTAGATTCCTAAGGATCTACAAACTATTTAATTACAGTGCCAGAACTTGAACCCAAGCTTTCTGATTACAAGTATCTGGCTAATGTCACTACACAAGATAAAAACCTTTATTACATCTAAGGAATACACTTATAATGACAACTCATATCCTGCTACTTCTTTTCTGAATACCTCTGAATTTCACCTTACTTCAAAATTCAGAGTCCCTGGAGGGAGAAAACAACCCTCTCTCCCCACTTTTCTTGTTTCCTCCCTCCTGTCTTCCATTCTAGTGCCCAACCCAGCAATAAATGTTGTGGGAGGCAACAGAGAAGACACTGTCTGTGTTCCATGTAGCTACAGAACACCAAAGCTGGAAGGGATTATTGTGATTATCTCATCTAACCACCCCTTTTCCATTTAAGGAAATCAAGCCAGGAAGGACAAGAAATATTCCTATATGTGACGCCATGGGATTGTCTCAAATGACCTACTTTTAATTGCAGTGAATCTATACCTTGGTATACATTAGTTTAGAAACTGTGTTCATGCCAACTGCATTTCCTTTAAAAGAACATCTAGTTTAAGTTTTTCACTCATGCAGCATCCCCTCTTCCCTCTGACCCCCAACATACATACACAATAATCTTGGGATCTTCCAACTTTGTCTTATGAAATCTTATCAAAGTTGAAATCTTCATGTCACAACTTTACTATTTTAGGGTCTAAGGCAAAGCAAATTCAACGAAATCTGAGCTGTAATTGGCCTTTTTATTCTTTATTTGCCTCATACCTCCTGTTTGTCTTGTAGATGCTTCTGCTATTGAAATAATCTCAATGTATTACAGCTGCCTTTCTCCTTACCTGCTTCTCTCAGGGAGCTGAATAGCCTTTGGGAAAAGAACTGAATCTTAGAAATCTTTGTAACTCCAGAGTCTACTCTAGTTTTTGGCAAAGAGTACATGATCAATAATTAATTGCTAAATTAAATTACAGTGCATTAAATTGGACCTCCACATTAAGAACCACCTCTCTGGGCATGTATCATCAGGATTTTAAAATCCAGATGGATTTAGGAAAAAAGCACCTATTAATAGATATTGAAGGTTGAAGATCTATTAAGATATTTAAGGTTTAACAAACACTTTTCTAATTCTGCCCTCCAGGTCCCACTGGTTAGATGAGGGTATTTGAATTAAGGATTAAACCACACAGAATCTTCTAATTTAGTAATACTGTTTGAGCTCCTCCCATGTGAAAAAGTAAGCAATCAGGTGTTCTGAAGGCCACAGAATTCTTATAGGCAGCAACAAATCAGGGAACACCACCTGGAAGAGGAGAAGTAGAACCAGGCTTTAAGAGGCTGAATTTGGAGAGGCATAGAGGAGTCCCTCCAACAAAAAGAGGGTTGCAAGGTTTAGGATTTGCCATGATATGAAAGCCTGTCTAGTCCTCTGGCTTGGTGGACTTATAACTCCATCATTTTTACAGGTAGAAGGGGCTTTAAGGTCTTCTAGTTCAACCTTCCATTACACATGTGGGAAGACTGAGGCCAGAGCAGGGAGGTAACTTGGCCACTGTTCCCCAGCAAGTGAGCGACAGCACAGGGATGAGAGCCCAGGTCTGACTTACAGCCCTGTGCTCTTTTCACCACATTTCTTGAATAATCCACTGTGCACCTGGCGATGCTTTTCTTTCAGAATCCAGCCACGACTTCGTTTTCTCTGCATGGCAGGCAGCCAAGCGCCTTGAACTTCTCCATGTTACCATTTTGCCCTCTGCAGAATGGGATATTAAAGTATTCACTTGGGGGAGGGGTCATGGGGTTTCGTCAATAAATGTTTGTGAATTGCTCTGAGCTATTTATGCCAGAGGGATTCCAGAAGTGAAAGACCCTGGTGGCCGTGGTGGTTGTATCTGAGCCTTTTTTGAGGTCTTCCCTCTACTCTGCAGAATTAAAGAGATGGTTTAAGTGATAAACTATTCCTTATGAGCTGTATTTGTGTTGAAAGCACAGCATGAGTTCCCAGCACGCTTCCTCTAGCACAACCACAGCTATGCACCAATCCTCCTGGGTTCAGAGATGGAACTTGGGTTAAATGCATGGAATTTATTCTTAGTCCTTTTCTTAATTACGACTTTTTATTTCTCTGGTGTTCTCTAGGGGAGGGGTTAGAGAAGAGAGGAAAAGGAAGAAAGAAAGGGGGCAGGGAAATATAGATTCAATGCTTTTGTTTTGTTTCTGGGCTGCTTGCTATCAGCAAAGTAGAGAGATTTAACGGATCTTGCCGAGAATGCAAGCCTCATTCCAAGGAAGCCAGAGCTCAGAAGACATGGAACAAATACAATGAAAACATAACTTGAGGTGAGGGCAATCGTTATTTGACTAATAAATTCCGTAGGCTGATAGTGAAAGACTGAACCTTTTGTCTATCAGTTAATTTAATAAACAAATAAAAGGGACTTTCAAGTTAAGAGAGCCATGTAATCCTGTGGAAGATGTTTCAGCAAATTGCTATGTAAAAACCAACACCATTGCTACACTAGGCTAGTCTTGCAGATTTTCCTCCTGTGTCCAATCTGGCATCTCAGAGCACTAAAACCCTACTCCCTCTTACGTTCTGGTCTTTCTTTTATTCAAAATCCAGGTCGGAAAATGTCCCCTGAATATTTATGTCAATGTCCTACCTTAGTGAATATTACTTAATACTGTGGCTCCTTTAAAGCATGTAAGTAGCTTGCATGTAAGTACATTCTGACTACTTTTTTTTAATTATCCTTTCCCTCCTCCTCCTCTTTCTCCTTTTATATCTTCTTTTCCTTATCCTTTCTATTTTTTTTTAATTTTCCTTTTTCACTGTGATCATTAAGCCATATGCTACAGGGTACTGTGCAATCTACAGAGGGAGAAAGTTAAAATAAGATGGGTTTTGGAGGTAAATATCCTACTTGTAAATGCTGCCTTGGTAGAGACTGGCTGTGGGAAATCAAGCAACTTCTGAAACTTTACAAGACAGATTTCTCATCTACAACATGAAGAAAATAATCCATTGTCCACAGGCTTCTTGTGAGGGTAAACAGACTGAGTAGATTAAAGCACCACAGTACAATCTGGGATAAATGGGCACTTGACATTTGTGAGTTTCTGCAATCTCCTTTGATCATGAGCTCAGATGGTAGGCACTGGGAGTTCTGTTTCATACAAGCACAATTATGGAGCCCTGGGGGAGTAAGTTCCAAAGGGATATCTCCCTAGATGATTCTACCAACCCTCATTTTCCCCCACGGAGCAATTAAACCATCTGACCAAGAAGGTAGTTAGCACGGGGTTTAAGGAAGGTAGGTTAAGGAGTAGGAGAGAACTGAATTGGAGCCCAGCTGCTCTACTGACTAGCTCTTGATGTTGGTCAAGTGCCCAACACTTGTATTTAAACTCAAGTATGTTTTCCACACGTACAAAAATGGAGACAACCTACTTCATTTACCTTTGTGGTGAGGAGCTAGCAAATGTTAAGCACTTCAAATGATATCTGGCACACAGCAAATTTGGTTACTGTTATTTTTTCAAGAATAGCCCCAAGAGGGTACATGCTTAGGACCATAGGACTTCAGTAGAGTAAGAGGGCACAGTGAGCTGGTAAAAACCATGCTTTTCACCTGGGTGGGTTAGGCTCCCACCTCTTTCCCTCACTAATAACAGATTAGTATTGCATACACAGTTCTGGCCCAGTGCAAGGATTACCTGTCCCATGAAGCCTTCTAAATTCCATCTCCCTCCTCTTGTCCACCTCCAGAAGTGGCCATTCTTCTCTCTGAGTTTCTGGGGCACTGTGTGTCTCTTGTCTGTGTCAGTGAGCACTCTCTGGTGCCACAGAAATTGATACTCATGCTTCATTTTTCATGCCTGGACATGGTATCCTTTAGGACACAGACCATGGCTTTTACCTCTTAATCTATCTTTTGGGACAAGTTTATCAATTCAATATACATGAAATAAACAGATTGGCAAATGAGTCATCTGTCAAATGCATACTATAGTAATTTTTTTGGAGTTTATGGGATTGTGAAGTAAATGTCATGAGCAAAGAGACATGATGAACCTTTGAAACTGATTTGGTCTCTTCAGAATATCCAGTAAGATATTTTAGACAGTAGTTTTAAACTTGGTTCAGCCATTCAGAAGGAAGTAAGACCATTGATTTGTATCAGACACCGTAGAATTCTTAAATTGCAAAGGGATATACTAAGTAAACAAAAGGAGAGGCTTGCTCATACCCTGAATTAGTTGTCAAAATTGTCAAAGTAACTCAATGTTGTTGATTGCTGTCAAAGAACAGACTGAAAGAAAAACAACTATGTCTCAAATGCCCAGCAACTGAGTGGGTAGAGAGGTTTTATTGTGCTGGTCATAAATAGTTTTCACAAAGTTAGAGTGCTTACTTGAACCCTGCTTGAACTAGCTGGATGCTGGTGCATTCACTACTGAGAGAAGAATTTCTTAAAGGGTTTGGGTTGCTCCCACTTCTTGTCATGGAGTCAGCCAATTTTTATGTCTGTTTATTACTTTGTAGCCCAGCTGGACCCCAGAAGGATGGGCTATTTTCCCCAGAAGGATGGAAAATAACACAAATGCACACAGTTACCAAAATGAAGCCAGAAATCTTCTGGAGCTTAGACAAACATTAGTCTTGTAAATAAATACATTATGAGACCACACAAATACTTCCTACCAGGTCTCTTCCTCAGAAGTCACACTCCAGATAGCTTCTTTAATTTGCCCAGGTTCATATAATTAAGACATATTTATTGATTACCTACTGGGTGACAAACCCTAAGCTATATATTCCCAGAGACATAGTGACAAACTCTCTTGTTTCTTCTACAGAGTTAGAGGTACATATGTAGAAACAAATGCACAAACCTAAGTCAATTAGCAGCAAATGCAAGCCAGGATGAATACCAGCTTGTGATATGTTGGGATACAGATTGCCAAGGAAGGGGTCTGAGTCCCATCACTGCTACCAACTTGCTGGATGAGCATTTATCCATTTATTCATTTCATTAAAAACAACAACAACAACTAAACATAGTAGGTCAGGCCCTGTGCTAGGCACTGAGGGTAGCTTCAACAAGTCATTTAATTTGTTTATTTATTCACTTATTGAAGAGTTAATGAAAATGTAATAGGCGAGGCACTGTGCTAAGTGCTGAAGAAAGGGGAAGACACAGTCCCTGCCCTCTGGGGGTCAGGCTCCTCATCAGTACAATGGTGTGTACTGGGGAAAAGAAAGTAGAGGATCCATTGGTCTCTAATGTTCTTTCTGCCAAGAATATGCTAAGCAGTGGATTGGAGGATATTATGGTTCATTCGCTAAGTGTCAGGTCAAGATGATGAATGGTCATTTGTAAAAATGGAATAAACCACTAGACCTTGAATTATAGACTTTTGCATGGGGATCTTCTGAGAGCCTCAAGCACAGCACTTGTATGCCTATGCATTCCTTTAGGAATACAAGTCAATTCTGTTCGTCTTCTTGTACATACACATCTCTTTATAGTTTACAATGCACTTCCATGTGGAGTTTTATTTGCTCTACATAACAACTTTATGAAGTCAGGGTTTTAACATGCTCTTTTTAAAGATAAAGAACCAAGTCCACAAGAAACTGAATTTACTTACTAGTGTCAGTGAGGAGTAGAGCTGGGACCAGAGCCCATGTTTCTGACTTCATAGTCTGGTTCTCCTGCAGTGACAGCAATATTCATTCATTTGGTGGGTGTATTTTGAGGACAAGTTATGGCTCAGGTTTTGAGGACCAGTTATGGCCCAGGTTTTATGAGGTCCTGGAGAAGTCCTGAAGAACCAGGCAGCAATTTCAATGGTTTTACAGTCAGCTCTCTAATTCTTGTCTGAAATTAACAGGAATTCACACTGCTTTGTAGTTTACAGTTTTACATAGAATTTAAAGCAAAAGCTGCTAGGATCAGAAGTTCCTTCAGGCCGGGTGCCAGGTAGGAAAATCAACACTTTGTGTGAAGTACTTGATGAAACACTTTTATATCTTCATATCAATTTGATTAATGCATCATATAGAATATTATCTCTATTTATTGACAATGAAGTATAGATTCTGAGAGACTCAAAATTATACACGTGGTTAATAGAATATCTATAATTTAATCCCAAGTCACTTGAGTCTCTGTCAAGCAGTGCTTTGTTATGTTCAATCCTTAAACTACACTCCATCCATCTGCACCATATTTAGTGCCTGGGAGGGTACTTTACCTAGAGCAGTAGCTCGTGTCAATTGGGCACAGAGTAATTTCATTTCTGAATGGGCCACACATTCAGCTTCTAGCATCTAACTGTCACCAAGTCTGAAAGGTATCTTTCCTCCTGGAAAGAAGAGCACAGTGAGAGTGTGAAATGTGGAGAAGGATTGAGAAGAAAAGATAAAGGAATTATACAGAAGGAGAGGAAGAAAGACCAAGGGCTTTGGGGTTAGATCGACCAGGGTTTGATCTTAATGTTGTTACTGACTTACGTACAACTTAGATCAAGCATTTCAACTTTCACAGATTATGGGGTGGTTAGGAGAATTAAGGGCAATAATATTTGGTGAACATTTAGCACAGTGCCTGGTCTATAAAAAAATACTCCATAAATATGAGTTATTTTTATTATTCAAGGCAGAGAGAAGGTAGGGTCAAATACAGGGTTGTAAGGAAGTACGTGATATATTTGGGGGGAACTTTGAGAAATATAGAAAGATAAAATATGGGGAATGTGTGGGACATAGGAGGAGATGAAGTTGAAATAATACTATGGTGCCAATTTCAAAGGGCTGTCAATGTCAATCTAAGAGATTAGGGCCTATTCTGTTGTTACAAGTGGGCTATAACCAGCTGAGTGTTTTATAAACATCACTGTGAGAATGGACTGGAGTAGGGAAAAGAGTATACATGGAGAGATGTTGAGAAGCTAGATCAAGATAGAGTAGCATTTACATGGCGCCTTTCCCCCTGACTTGCCTTTAACAATACCTGAAATCAAAAGCGCCTGATGCCTAATTGTATAAACCTGAACCCCTCTGAGTTAGTCCAAGACACAAATCTTCATCCACTGCATCGTTGGAAAGGATATATACATATATTTTATAATGCATTAGCCTTTTTGGACTGTGTCCACGTCATAGAGGTTTTCTAATCTATTTTGAGCCCTAATTGATTACAGCATTTGGAAAAATGCACAGCAAATTGCTCCATTAATCAAGGTAAATCAAGCTGATGTCATAGATGCTAAATATATGTCTTTGCAGTAATACTATTTGCATGACTGGAGCTAAAGCTGTTGTCAGTTTTTCCACTTGACAGTCACTGTCTTCTCATGAGACCATGGCTTAATCTCTAAAAGCACTTGGTGGTTCTTCTCCATGGCTGGGTTCTTGGGTCCTTCTCCCCACATTTAAGGCAAAGGTTGTAGGAGAGGGTGAGACTGCCTCCTTATGTACAGAAAAAGGCAGTGAGAAGGAGGTCATAGCACAAAGGCTAGGAAGATGGGGAAGGAGATAGGGAAGGCAAAGGATTTTATGAAACCAGAAGGACCCTATTTTATGAAGTCAGAAGGACCCTGGCATGTCACATTCCTTGGCTGATGAGAGAATTGAGGAATTAGAGCTTTGTTGAGATAGAGATCACAGTATGGAAGAAGGCACAAAGACCATCCAGTCTTCCTGATAAGACCTCTGAAGCACACAGATAGAAAGGAATTTATCAGAGATCACACAGAAAATTACTCTCGGAGCTGGTATTATACTAAGAATCGGGTGTCCTGACTCCTCATGTAGTGCTCTTTCTACATGATAGAAAGCATTGTTGTCTTACATTTTTTCTCCTTTCTCACTTTCATCCCTAATATTTATCATTATCTTAAGGTTCAATATGTGCCAAGTTGTGTAATAAGTGCTCAATATTATTACAATGAGGTAAGATTAATATTACTTTTATTTTCATTCTTAAAATGAGAAAATGGAGACTCAAAGAGGTGAAGTAACTTGACCAAAGGAGCTCTGCTACTCAGGGATAATGGAGATTCAAATGGGAATATCTAACTCATATGCCTGGGACTAAATCATCATGCTGGACATCATTATCACTTTTCCAGCATTTTTGCATACCTTTCTGAACAACTCTTTTAACCCGGTGCTATGGGCTTCATACACAGTATTTTTAAACTTCATAATGACACTGGCAGACATAGAATATTATTATCTTGCTAGTTCTGGTGAAGTAACTTGTCAAAGTCTCACAGTTAGGAGGTTTCAGAATCAGCCATCAAACCCATCGTCCATTTGGTGAGGCTGGGTAAGGTGGTATATGGCAATGGAGATAAGAGATGGAAGAACTAAAACTCAGCTCTTCCCCTGAATGACTGTGTCCTATTCCTGATGAAGTGACTTTGCCTTTTTGTGTCCCAGTTAGCACATTTGTACCATGAAGATACTGAGGCTGCCATCATGCTCTGTTATTCTAAGAGAAAGATCAACAGCAACAACAACAATAATAATTTAAAAAGCAGAGGAAGAAAGTAATCCAAGAAGACAGACGCAGAGCCTCTAAGATCATGAAGGATGATTAAAAGAACAAGTTGGGGATGAAAATGGGGAATCAGAAAGCTTATCATCAGGTTAGTTTTGGAAGGTCATCTGTGGCCTGGGCGGTGCCCCATTAAGACTAGATCAAAAGCAGGACAGTGATGCAATCGGCTGTTTGTATACAGATGCTGGCCTCCAAATCCCCACATGGGAACATCTGCTGGGGACAACCACTTAACAAATAAGCAGGCAATTAGGTAGCAGATCCATCTGTGCCAAGAGCATGGGACCACCAGCGGCGGGGAGGCTGCAGCAGAGGGGAGAGCCATGCTGGGAAGAATGCTTTTGCGTTTGTGCAAGAGTCACACTATCTAAGGCAGGAGAAAGGAGAGAGGACCAGGTGCAGAAGTCAGGAGAGAAGATCATTTTCTGCTTGTTCTGGGGCTAGCTCCATGATGCTCAGCCTTGACTATACATTATAATCACCTGGAGATTTTAAATATACTGATGCCCAGGTTGTACTTCAAAACAATCTAATCAGAGTTTCTAGGAAGGGGATCAGCATCGTTGTTTTCTAAAAGTTTCTTAAGGTTACCTAGGTAACTCCAATGTATAGGCAAGCTTGAAAATCACTGGTTTAAAATCTCTAAACCTACCACTGGATTGGTGGCAGAATAATAGCGATCATTATAAAGCTATAGTATTTATCCCACTATGCTTCTCTTTAGAATAACTGCAAATATGCATTTTGAGTTTATAAAATTCTCATTCCAGTGGTCTAGGACTCAAGCAAACTCCATGTATTCTCTAAAACAAATGCTATCTATTCCTATCTCTGCTACTAGCTGACCTTAAGCAAGCTGATTATCTCTCCAAGATTTCACTACTTTATCTCTTTTCTGATAGAGTTGTTTCTTGGGAAGCAAAATGTGATTTTGTAAAGTGTTTAGAACATGACTGTAACATAATAAATGCTTACTAAATGTTGGTTGAACTTCAATCTGATTCATGAAGAAGAAGAAGAGGCAAAGACAAAGAAAAAATGAATGAGGGAAGAAAGGAAGGAAGGAAGAGGGAAAGAAGGAAGGAAAGAAAGAAGGAAGGAAGAAAGGAAGGAAGGAAGGGAAAAAGAAAGACAGAAAGAACAAAAGAAAGAAAAAGACTTGAGGAGGTCATCTTAGGCATTGTTCTTGATGCTTTTCCTTTCATTAGACACCACAGCTAATCTACAACTAATCTTGCAGATATTATTCCCCAAATCTTCTAAGACTGTTTCTTTCCTCCCAGTGTCATTGCTAGATTTGACTCTCACCATTTCTCACCTGAACCATTGCAACAGCCAAGAGCTGACTTCTATATCTCCAGCCTTGTAGACTTAGATCTGTTCTGTACACTATAGATAGAGGAATCCACAACAAATAGATCCTATCTCTCCTCAGCTCAAAACCTTTCTGGGGCACCATGTTGTCCCCAAGAAAAACACCAAGCTCTTCAATGTAGCATGTAAGATTCTCTATGACCTTGTTTATGCTGACCTCTCCATACTCGCCTTTTTTGTAAAGCTCCACCTTTTCACCCTTTTCAGACCATAACCAAGTTTACATCCCAGCACTATCAATTTGCTTGTATTTTTCTCTGCATGAACTTTGCTGTTTTATACATCTGGCCTTTTCTTATGCTGTTTGTTCATTTCCAAATACCTTTTTGACCTCCACCTAACTAACATCTCTTTATTTCTTGAAGCTCAACTCAACTCATGTACTACCTTCTACAGGAAGCCCTCCTTGAATCCTTTTGTCTTGGTTTACATTACGTGCTGTACCTTGTTTCCCTCCTATTACAACATTTCACATTTTGCTGAAACTGTTCAAACACATTTCTGAATCTCCACCAGTAGATCATGAATTCTTCAAGGGCAGGTGCCTTCTCTGGTCTTTCAATGTATATGTTCATACACACATACACACACACATACACACACACACACACACAGTAAGAGAGCTAGGATATAGGGAATGTAGATGCATGCTTTAACTCATAGTAAATGCTCAATTATTTATGAAATGTCAGCCCAGGGAATGTGAAACACTGTAGGGAGCTTTGTAACCAAAGAAGAAGTTGTTTATTTTCTCATGTGTTCTCTTGCAATTACCCATGAGAGAAGGCCAGTGCTGGGAGATCTGAGTTCAAATTCTGCTGGTAGTCAGCTCCTAACTGAGGCCAAGGTCCTGAAGGCAGTCCTCTGGGAAGCTTTTGGAGACAGGGATGGAGCCATGTAGGAATAGATCTTGCCAGATTTCTTTCCTCGGAACCAAACTGGCTCTGAGTAATGCCTTTATGAGTCTGACCACATCCTCCCCTTTCATTGCCAAAAACAAGGGGCCAGAGATTAACCATAGCTCAAGCTCCAAGACTTCAGGGAAGGTGACTCGCTTGCTGGGTCAGGGCCATATTTAAGGAAGGCTCCTTCAACTCCTTTGGGTCCTAGACTAGACTGTGTCCTTCAAATCTTATAAAAAATGCACTGTCAACAGCCAGTCAGAAAATATTAATGAGGTGGGCAACATATGCCCACCAAAAGGGGAGGGTTGCAAAAATTGCTGAGACAACACTCAGGAGGGTGATATTTTTGAAAAATTTGCCCTCTATTTCTAGTGACTTTCATACACAGTTGCTGCTAATTCCCTCAATGACACTGGAAATACTTAAGATTCTATATTTGGTTTCACAAAATTAAGCATGATTTGAATTAGAAGAGATAGTAGTGATAATCTAGGCCAATCCCAGCCCTTTTGTTTTTCTGAAGAGATGTAGGGGATTTTATTTTTCTGGCTGCCCAACAATCAATGTCATCTTGTTAACCAGACTCCCGTTTTCCTTTGTGAGTTTGTGGTAGACAGAATTCTAAAATGGCCCCTAAGATTTGTGTGCCCTAATATATATTCCTTGTATGATCCTCTTTGCCTGAGCATGCACAGAACCAGTGGAATACAATGAAATGTCACTCTCATAATTAGGCTACTAATCAGTTGACTTAGTCTATAGGGAGATTATCCTGGGTAGGCCTGGCCTAATCAGATGAGCCTTTCTTTTTTCTTTTCTTTTCTTTCTTTTCTTTTCTTTTTTTCTTCTTTTCCTTCTTTTCTTTTCTCTTCTCTTCTTTCTTTCTTCTTTTCTTTTCTTTTTTTTTTTGAGACACAGTCTTGCTGTGTCACCCAGGCTGGAGTGCAGTGGTGCAATCTCTGTCCACTGACTGCAACCTCTGCCTCCTGGGTTCAACAGATTTTCCTGCTTCAGCCTCCCGAGTAGGTGAGATTACAGGCATGCACCACCAGGCCCAGCTAATTTTTGTGTTTTTAGTAGAGAGGTGGTTTCACCATGTTGGCCACGCTGTTCTTGAACTCCTGGCCTCAAGTGATCCGCCTGCCTCGGCCTCCCTAAGTGCTGAGATTACAGGCATGAGACATCACATCCGGCCAAGGTGAGTCTTTTAAAAGAAGGTGAAGCGTCAGAGAGACACTCTCCTGGCAACCTTCAGAATAAAGAAAGCTACTGTATTGTGAGAGAATAGCCTATGTGGTAAGTACATGAGGGTGGCCTCTGGAATTAACAAGAAACTTAATTCAGCCAACGACCCCATGAGCTTGAAAGAGTGCTAGGAGCCCCAGGTGAGATGGTAGCCTTTGCTAATGCCTTGATTTCAGCCATTTAAGACCTGAACAAAGAGTATAGTTACGCCATTCTTGGGCTCCTAACTTACAGAAAATGTGAGATAATAAAATTGGGTTGTTTTAAGTGGCTATGTTTGTAATAATTTGTTATAAAGTAATAAAATAAAAAGAATACAGGGCTCATTCCTTTACTGTTAGTTATTTGAACAGAACTACCTTACCCCCATTTCCAGGAATGGCATGTGACCACAGCTTAAGCTAAACATTGTGTTCTATTCTCCTGCCTACAGTGATTGGTTCAGAGTTAGGCATATGAGTCAATGTCTACCAGTCAGAAACTGGGTTAAGGCTTTTATAGAATCTGTTTAGGAAAGAAAAGTGCTCTCTTCTCTTTGGAATGGAAACTCTGGGCCTTTAGCTCTGGAGCTGATGTCAACCATATTGCTACCATGTGGATCTTGGGAATGAAGCCAACATGGAAGAGAACAGATTTGTGCAATGGAAAACAAACAAACAGATTTTTTGACATATTTTGAGTCCTGGATTAACCTGAGCCTAAAGAAGAAATTGCCTAGGGAGGTTTCAATTGCCTAAACATGTAATTTCTACAATTTGGTTTAAGACTATTTGAGACTCGGTTTTTGCCTTATTCAATAAAAAAACTCTATCTGATACATGGTACAACTTGGGGCCAGAGTAAAAATACGTTGATCCAATCACATAATTAGTAAGCTGCAAGTATGACATAAATGATACCAGGTTTTCTGATGCCTAGACAAAAGGACTCAATATTGCTTTATTGCTAGGCTGAGTACCTCCCTGGGAATCACACAATATTAATTTCCCAAGAAGAGAATACAATGATGACAATAGCAGCAGCAACAATAACAACTGTATTTCAATGAATGTTTATTTTGTGCCAAGTTCTTTATTATGAAATTTATATATAGCATTTAATTTTATATTTTCATATAAACCTTATGAATTTTGTATCTTAGTAATCTCTATTTTAAAGATGACAAAAGTGAAGCTCAGCAATATTTACTAAGGTGAATAAGGTCATATAGCTAGTAAATGGAGGAGCCAGGATTTAATCCTTATCTGTCTGGCTCCAGAGTTTATTCTCTTAACTATCATGTTAATTGTGGCTAGGATAAAACAATAACAAAACAAACCTAGGAAACAAATGCTTCTTTATTACTTCAAATTCATTGAAAGTATATACCATAAGAAATCTTTTTTTATTCTTACATATCCACAAATACTGGCGTGTGTTTCTTAGCCAATCAGCAATCAGATGCTTGAAGAAATCTTTAATCCCTAACATTGAAATATGAAAACTGCACATCTCTTATCCTTACTTCGTTTTACAAAGTATACAGGAAGTATATTTGGAAGAAAAAATATGTAACTTGATATATATAAAAGAAAAGACTAAGTAGCAGTTGAGATGCTTGCATTTAAGATCTAATTCTGCTCCCAATTCCCTGTGTGATCTTGGGCAAATCGCTTCCTCCCTCTTGGCCTCAGTTTTGTGATCTATAAAATGAAGGAATTTACATTAAAGTTTAAGAAGTTCTTGTGTGTAGAAAGATGTGTTCTTTTATGAAGACATTTTGGTGGGGCTCCAAGTATTTCCGACACTTTTTTTGGTTAAACCAACATATTCTCCAATTTGGATCCTTTGGTGGGGTTCTGGAACATCCCTGAGATATCAGACCACCGAAATGCCACTATGCCCAATGTATACAAATATGGTGCACATGTTAATTACTTACCTGTTAAGATATAACATTGCATATGGCATCTTGAATACTTATTAAATACACATTACAGATGAGGAAATAGAGCTACAAATAGGTTAAGTAACTTTACCAAGAAGCAAAGCATACACACAAGTCCACCTAATTCTAAAGCTTGTATACCCACCCTAGGGCAAATTGTTCCCCACCCAAGTCCCGCCCTGTAATAGCTTCTCGAGTTTTAATTTTTATATCTTCTTGTAAGTCACCTGAAGCACTTTCTGAATAAGACAGAACACAAATCAAAATGAAGTAAATTATATTGGTTTCCAGAGACAAGGCATAACAGTGCACAACGGGATAATGAGAGGGTTGGTTATTCTTAAATCAAATCTTCTTTTTTGGCTTCCATTTTTCCATTGAATGACAACAGTGCCTTAAAAAAAAGTAAACTTTTTTTTAGAACCATTTTAGATTTACAGAAAAATTGGAAAGATAATACAGAGAATTCCTGTATACCACATACTGTTTCCTTTGTAATTAAATCTTACACAAAGTGTGGCACATTTGTTGCAATTAATGAACCAATATTGTTATATTATTATTATCTAAAGCTTGTTCTTTATTCAGATTACCTTAATTTTTATCTAGTGTTACTTTTCTGTTCTAGAATACCAGAAAAATTACCATATTACCTTTAATCATGTCTTCTCAGGCTCCTCTTGGCCCCAACCATTTATCAGACTTTCCTAAGTTTTTGATAACCTTGACAGTTTTGATGAGTACTGGTCAGGTAGAACATGCCTAAATTTGGATTTTATGATGCTTTTCTCACAATTAGACTAGAGCTGTGTGTTTCAGGGAAGTAAGAGTCCATTCTCACGACATATTATGGGTACATATGATCAATATGGCTTATCACTGTTGATGTTGACCTTGATTACCTGGCACAGGTAAAAGAGTACTTTTTAAACTCTCTCTTATTTCCTCCATTCTCTCTCTAGAGGCTGCATGTAAGCACTGCTTTTCCATCAACCTACCCTAGATGGCTGGGAGATGTGATTTTACCAAGTAAGATTCTGTGCCAGTCTGGTGACTGGAGGAAATTTTTGGGACATGTGAAGAGGTTTATTTGGCTTTCCTGACAATTGCCTTTGTTGCCTCATTTTCTGTGATACAATTAGCCCAAGAGGCTACATTCTTGATCTGTTGAAGAGCCAATGGTTTTAAGATTAATTCTCTTATCATATAGTGTTTGTCCCTCTGCATTTGGTTTATTCACCTAACATCCAGGCTCATCCATGTTGTTGCACATAATAGTATGCTGATTTCTTTTTTAAGGCTGAATAATGTTTTATACACACATATATATATTCATCCATCAATGGACACTTAGGCTCATTAGGCTAATTCCATATCTTGGCTATTGTGAACAATGCTGTAGTAAATATGGGAGTGTGGATATCTTTTCAACACCCTGATTTTATTTCCTTTGGATATACATTCAGTAGTGATATTTCTGAATTGTATAGGAGTCCTATTTTAAAGTAAGTTTTTGAAGAATTTCTATACTATTTTCAATAATGACTATTAAAATCAGACTCAGAAGCAGAGTGTAGAATGGTGGTTGCCAGGGGCTGAGGGTGGAGGAAACGAGGTGATGTTGGTCAAAGGGGACAAACTTTCAGTTATGAGTACGTTCTGGGGGTCTAAGGCACACATGGTGACTATAGTTAACAATACTGTATTGTATACTTGAAATTTGCTGAGAGAGATCTTAAGAAACCCCATCACACCAAAAATAAAAATAAAAAACCTATATGAGGTGATAGATATGCCACATATTAATTAATTTGATTATGGTAATCATTTCACATTATTTACGTGTATCAAATTATCACATTGTACACAATAAATATATGTAAGATTTTGTCAAGTATACCTCAATAAATCTGGAGGTAAAATATAGATTATATTAGCAGTGGGTGGGTTGTAGTTTAGAGTTTGTTTTATTTTGTTTTGTCATAGGATGAGAGATCACGGGATATGAATTTTGCTTATGTTTCCCACTCAAAATACCAGGGACAACAGACAGGCTTTAGCCCTTCATTATAACAGCTTATATTCACATAGAACTTTACTTTTGTAAAGTGCCTTCACATTTTAAATGTCCCCTACAAAGCAAAGCAAAACAAAACATTGCTTAATACTTGTTGAATGATTGGATAAAAGAATGAATGAATGAATGAATCAATCAATCAATCAATCAACGTGTACAGTCCCAGCTCACGGCAGCACCATGAAGTAGATAAGAAAAAGAGTTTAGATTTAGATAGAACTGGATTTGATCCTTCCTCCACAGCTTACTGATTTTGAGATCTTAAATTTGTGAGTTAATTTCATGGGATCTGCTTCTCATTGGGTATTCAAACCCATCTCAGGATAAGAGAGAGTTCATTTCAATAATGTCTGCAGAAAAAACTGACAGGAAGGTGATATCCTATGCATTTGTTGGCAGGTAGAATTAGAGTATTAAGACATTGAATATTGTATGTCAACATGAATGCAACAAATGATTATAATCCCCTTTAAAATAATATTATGCAACAGAATATCCACAACAGGAAAAGTCTATTTATTATTATTATTATCATTATGGACATTTGACAAAAGAGGAAACTGAGACTCAGAGGTTAAGGAAGTTGCATATGGGAAGATCTAGGATTTGAACTCCATTTTGTCCGACACCTGAATCTGTGCACAAAAAAAGTAGATTGTAACCATGAACCCTTTCCTCTTCTGGGGAGAATTTCACTGTCTGATGTACCTGTAGTGCTCTGTTTGGGGACTGCTTTGAGTATGAAGCAGAGCTATCACTTTTAACGACTTAATCTACTCTAGTCTGAAATATACCAGATCCCTTCTAGAAGAGCAAAGGGAAACTAAAAATTCCCTAAAAATAGAAACCATTGTTTCTCAGAAGAAAAGTTCACTTTATAGACACACTGTAGGAATCGCTCTGGGGTTTGTTTTACTTTTTTTTCATTGCTTCTTTCTTTAAGGAAAATAGAGTCATAATTGCTAAGATTTATGCAGGAAAATTCACCCTAGAGATTTCAAACAAGTTTGCAGACTTTCTTAACCTCCTCAGCTACCCCCTTGGGGTACCTCTAAATTGCTGTCTCATTAAAGAAGAAGTGCCCTACCCAATCTTTGGGGGAGAATGCATTCAGCCATTTCTCAGATGTATTGTATATGTAAGAAACGGGCTGGAGTTGGGGAATCTTCAGGTATTAGATCATCTCATTTATTCCAACTCAGGGAGATTGTTCCCAGTTGGATATCTCAAGTGTTGTGAGTGGCGGCTAACCTGAAGAACGTCACATCTGTTATTTGAAGCCAGTCTTTGAGAAGCAAAAGCTACTGATGGAATGTTACTGCTTTTTTTTCTTTTTTAGATGATTTTCTGCAATTTCACTAAATGGTGGTAAGAAAAACATAGAGATCATAACTCTGGACACAGTATTAAGACTAAATTATGCTGATTTTATTATCTGATGCTAAAGTCAATGCAGACACTTTGTGCCCACTCTCTGTCCTTAGCTGTTGAGGGAGGGAGGAGTTGAAGAAGGAAGGAAAAGTGGAGAAATTTGAAAAGATGGAAGAGGATCCTTCCTCGTTTTTTTCTGACTTTGTAACCAGTGTTATCCCCATCCATCTCCTAACACAGCTCTCATTTTCTTCCCTGAACTTCTAGTATAACTGAGGATTTAATCTACTCAGACAGTGGTAGAATTGGTTGCATTTTCTCTTTTATTGTGTTTGCAGTGGGTGTACAACATGTCTTCATTAACTCTCCATGACATTCAGAATAGCTTGAGATAAAAAAAGCACTCAATCAAAAAGTAAAAAACAGTCTTCTGCCCTCCCATTTCCAATCACAAGCATCCCCTAGGGCATGTATTAATTACTGAAGATGAATGCTAGACCTTCATTCTCAGCAGGGTCCTTCAAATTTTATTGCTCTGTTGGGTCAGAAGATGGTGCTCCATCTTGCAAAATGGTAAGGAGTCTCAACTTCTTGAGGAAGTTCCAGCTAATAATGTCCTTTGTTACCGAGTGCCTACAATATGTCTAGCATTATTAGATTCTTTTTATGAATCAACCCACCTAATCCCAATATCTACCCTACAAGACACATTATTATCCCCATTTGCTGGATGGAGAAACTGATTCCAAACCCCTGACAATTTCAGTCCAGTAAATGGCTCTCTGTGGTTCAAAACTGAGGGGGGTCTGTAGTTCCTCAAAGTAGTCTGGTGTCAATGAAGACATTGCCACAGTATTTCCATTGTTGAAGCCTGTTGGGAATTGAGAAGATGGTTCTCAAATCCCAGTTCATGTATCAACACTCTGAGGAAGTTTTCTTGGCTGCAAACAAGATGAAACTGTTTTCTTTTTCATATTAAGTAGGGGTGGTGGGTGACTGTCCCAAAAGTAGGCAATTTTCAGGTGGAGTTAACCTGATTTTGCTTAACTGCTGTATTGCCAAAGTACCTTCCAGATAGCCCCATTTTCTCTCATTCTTGCTCTACCTCATCCGAGCAACTTCAGTGTCCCATAGATCAAGCTAAAGAGCTATTAAGAGCCCAGAAAGGCATCATTTATCACTATGTTTTCTTGGGAACACTAGTCTCAATTTTTTTATTGATTTGCTTGATTTTGGAATAACACATTTGAGAAACCCTATATGTCTCCCCTTCCCAAGTTTCATTTGTTATCTCAAGAAACATGTGCTTTTTGAAGATTTTGAGATGTTCTGCAGAAAAGCAAAACAAACACACAGAAGAGAAAACACAAACAAAAAACATGTTTACTTTCATTTCACTTCTAGCTCCTCTCCTCCCCTCTTTTGTTTTCTGCTCTGGAAACACCTGCTCATATCTCTTGGAACTATGGCTTTCCAGAGAACATCTTCAGAATTTCTCTGCCAAGGACTTTTCAAAGTTACCATCATAAATCCCAAATAAAATAAGGATTTTACTGATTCTCTAGATAGATGTACATTCTCCCTCTTTTGAAATCCTATGTCACTTTATTTTTACAGCTCTTTTGGCTTGTAGATTAAAGATGATAAATTAATGGAAAGAAACATGTAAAAACAGATTAAGATAATCACTATTTCCTATCTTATTCTTTTTTTGCTCTCGTTTTCTCTGATTACAAATAAATATATGTTCATTATATAAAATTCAACTACTATACAAATGTAGAATTCATATGACGCACCTTGGGTTATGCCAAGACTTAATTCTCCCACAACAGTGTAAGCTTCCATAATGGGCATCCTGACACCAGGAACATTGTAGATCTTTAGGAAAGGAGAGTAGAATATGGGAATGAATTCTACTTGTATTCACTCAATCATGAGCTTTGTACGAATACAGACCTAAATCCTACTCATTTTTGTCCCCCAACACCTTGCTTAGTGCCTAGTGCATAGTAGACTTCAATAAATCTATATATATATTTTTCTTTGAGGCAGGGTCTGACTCTGTTGTCCAGGTGGTGTGCAGTGGCTCGATTACTGCTCCCTGTAGCATCAACCTTCCAGGCTCAAGCCATCCTCCCCCGTCAGTCTCCTGAGTATCTGGGACTACAGGTGTGTGCCACCATGCCCCACTAATTTTTGTAATTTTTTTTTTTTTTTTTTTTTTTGAGACAGAGTCTCGCTCTGTAGCCCAGGCTGGAGTGCAATGGTGTGATCTCAGCTCACTGCAAGCTCTGCCTCCAGGGTTCACGCCATTCTCCTGCCTCAGCCTCCCGAGTAGCTGGGACTACAGGTGCCCGCCACCACGCCCGGCTAATTTTTTGTATGTTTAGTAGAGATGGGGTTTCACCATGTTAGCCAAAATGGTCTCCATCTCCTGACCTCGTGATCCACCCACCTCGGCCTCCCAAAGCACTGGGATTACAGGCGTGAACCACTGCACCCGGCCATAACTTTTTTTTTTTTTTTTAAATAGAGACAGGATTTCGTTTGGCCAGATTGCTTTCAAATTCCTGGGCTCAAGCAATTCACACACCTCAGGCTCCCAAATTGCTGGAATTACAGGCATCAACCACCATGCTGGCCATTTGCTACAATCATTTGCACTTGAGTATTGCTCCTGGGCAGCCCTTGAGGAAGGTCTCTACACTTAGAACCAGACACATCTATGTTTGTGTTCCCATTCTGTAACTGAGAACCCCAGTATCTGCATCTATTGAATGGGGTTAATGCTACAGCTTTAAGAATTGCTATATAGCAACTCAAAGCTGTAGTATTAACCCCATTCTATATATATATATTCTTTGTAAGTGCTGGAGGGCTACTCAAGTTTGCTATTTTTATGATTATGAAGAATGTGATCTATTCCTGACATGAGTTATTTATTTAAGTAAACAAGCATTAACTAAGCATTTCCTCTATGCCAGGGAGATAAAGAGATAATGATAAACTGATATGGTAAGTGGTGACTGTCATGACTGGGATAGGTAGAGGATGCTTTTGGATTACAGAGGAGAAATGATTCCCAGTGGCATTGGTGCCTCAGGTGAAAGAATTGAAGGTCTGTGTTTGGATGAAGGACCTTCCAGGCAGAGGTAATAGTTAAAGCAAGACATAGAGATGAGTAATAAATACATGTGGAGGAAAGTACCCAGTCCCAGTGGGAATGTCAGACACGCAGCCCTGTGATCAACTAACCACTGCCTACATTATGTGATATTGTATACAGCCTTGGAAAAGAAGAAGCCAAGGATACTTTATCATGTATGTTGCCTCCTGTTCATTATGTGATAGAGCATGGCCCCCTCCTGCTAACCCCATGAGGATTACAAGAGCTTAGAGAAGTCAGCTGACCAGCATTACATAGATAGTAGAGGTCAAGGCTAGGATTGCAACTACGACCTAGACCAGATGGTCCTGTCCATCACGTTTTCTGCCTTAACACATGTCTCCTCATCTACCCTGAATTGAAGAGAGAAAGGGATGAGAATGCTTTTTCCTGCCATAAGTCTTCCTTTTGTAGTAGACTAGTGAAGGACACTCAGTCTGAGCTGGGTTTTTGCTCCAAATGTCTAAGTTAAGTTGACTGTGGCTGCTGTAGAAGTGGGGTCCCATGAAACCTGGCTTGCTGATTGTAATTAATCACAAGGCAGAAAAGGAGCCCAAGCTGTTAGAACACCCAAGAGGCTGTGGATTAGGAGTTCCAACAATTCACATTTGCAACTCAGTGTCTCCGAAAGAGACTGGAGCTTTGGAAACTCCAGAGCTCAGCAAAGATTCTGAGGCTTGGGAGCCTTGTCCTTTTGGATACCTTACCCCAAAGAGCTCTCCAAGCCCCTGACATTTGGGGGATTGTCAGAGCTCTGGGCCGCCAGAGAAAGGCCCTGTCTCAGAAGCCAAAGTCATCAACAGAAAAGGAATTGAATGAGCAGGTTTTGCAGAGGCTGGAAGAGAAACTGTTTCAAAAATCTGTTGTGACTTTTGCAGACACTGCCTTTCCCTCTGGCCCCATAATTGAATGAGGCTGGTGATGCTTATTCACCTCTTAGTCTATGGCTGAGTCACCTCCTTCTCATCAGAATGTTATGAGTATGCAGAAGAAAGTAAGCAACCTCACAAAATGTTAGAGTGATAGTGGTGTTGGGGGTTATGGTTATTACCCCCAGGCAAATTCCAGAAGAGTCTCGCACCTAGCTACTGAGACAAAAAACAATAGTACATATGAATCTGACCTAGATGACTTAGGCTTTCTTTTGGTGGGAGAGTGAGGGGAATCTATCTGTACAGAAAATAAGACAGCAATGTCTCAGTCATTAGGCTCCCTTTTTTAAGCAAATAAAATATCTATGAAAGTACCTAGCAAATTCTTGGCAAGTACCAGTTGCTCCATATCTTCATATTTGTTTTTGTTTTCATTTTTGTAATCTCTTCTACTCTCTATCCAGTTTCTTTCCTCTGATTATATTTGCAAACCCTAAGTTCTAAAGAGCTACTCTGAGCCAAGGGTCATGTACAAGAATAGTGCTATTGGTACAGATGCAATGAATCTAATCAAATTATTGTTGTAAAGACGTTTCCCATTTCCTTAAGAATAAAACTGAGGCTGAAGGGTGAAATAATATTGCCTAAAGCTACTCGGTAAGAAAGCTGTAGAACTGGAATCCAGATCTGTGAATTTGGCCGTTTGTTGCTCTGTCAGCTGTTCTAACAACTCTGCAGATACCCAAGGTTACAAAGCCAGTAAAATGAATTGCATTTACTCTGGATTCAGAAGTAGTTAGTATCTCAATAAGCTTTTGAGGAGCCTGGAAATTTGACTGCATTTTCAAGGAAACCAATAATATGTTTTCATTTCACCAATTTCTGCAGCACCAATGCTGAATGGCCATTCATTTCCATTACATTCATATTCTCCTCCTTCAAGGAAGGAAGGAAGGAAGGGAGGAAGGAAGGAAGGGAGGGAGGAAGGAAGGAAGGAAGGAAGGAAGGAAGGAAGGAAGGAAGGAAGGAAGGAAGGAAAGAAGAAAGGGAGAGAGGGGGCAGCAGGATGACTCCATGCATGTGTTCAGGCCATGGTGGGGTAGAAGGACTGGCTTAAATTTATCGGTTGCTGGCTCAAGCTCCTAGTACCTGCCTATGAAGCGTGTTGCTGTAAAATTGTAAACAGGAGTAAAATTAGATCTCTACATAAGACCTCTCATCAAGGATGGATAGCAGTGCTGTGCATTTGATCCTACTGAGAGGCCCATTAGGCTCTGAAGAAGAAATTACTCCCTGTCTTAGTGTTAGTTGAAATACATCTAAAGATTAGTTGAAATACATCTAAAGATTGGTTGTGCAGATCCTGCAGAAGTAAATACTGGGCATTTGGAGGCTATAACACATATCAAGAAAGAACATTGAGGTTATAAGGAAAATCTTACTACTAATTTAGCCCAATCTCTTCCTTTTACAAAGGAGAAAATAAAAGGACAGAGCAGGAAAGTGACATGCTCCAAGGTTATACAGTGAGTTATCAACAAAACAAGGGTGGATATCCCAGTTTCTATAGTTAAATTTTATGGGCTATGTGAGCCTTTAGGGGCACCAAGTATCAGTGTGGTTCATTATAGAAGCTCTGTGGACTGGACAGGAGCTGGCCCTTTCTTTTCCATTTATTTTCCATGTTGACATATAATCTAGAAGGACTTTTGTGGTCAACGCTCATTTCTGTGGATAATATTCATTTTCAGTGCCCTCTCTGCCTCTCTTACAGGGTCTGTCCCTTCACCCTGTCCTTCCATAACAATGATTGTAGCTTCCTCTTTTATTTCGTTGGATTTTTTTTTTTTCCACAGAGCTGCACTGGTTGGGTCACTGAAAAGTCTCATTCATTCAAAACCGGAAGCCTAGCCAGGCACAGTGGCTCACACCCATAATCCCAGCACTTTGGGAGGCCAAGGCAAGAGGATCGGTTGAGCTCAGGAGTTCAAGACCAGCCTGGGCAACATAGCAAGACCCCATCTGTATTTTTTTTTTTTTGAGACAGAATCTTGCTCTGTCTCCCAGGCTGGAGCGCAGTGGCATGATCTTGGCTCACTGCAACCTACGTCTCCTAGGTTCAAGAAATTCTCCTGCCTCAGCCTCCTAAATACCTAGGATTACAGGTGTGTGCTGCCACGCCTGGCTAATTTTTGTATTTTTAGTAGAGATGGAGTTTCACCATGTCGGCCAGGCTGGTCCTGATCTATTTTTTTTTTTTTTTTTTGAAAATTCAGAAACCTAAGACCGTGCTTAGATACTAATACTCTCTTGGCACATCCACTTCAAAAGATGAGGGGAGAGGAAAGTAAGATGGGGAAACAGAGAAAGCAGATACAAGACAGTCCACTACTGCTCTATCCCCAACTTCACAGAACATCCAGCTGATGGCTAGCTTATGGAGGATGGCTCTGAAGAGTTTACATAGAATCCATGTATATCACAACAGTTATTCAGGGTTGGGAGAGGGGAAAAGAAAGCAATTTATCACTTACTCTTTCTCTTCTATTTTAACTCATTGGTCATAATGTTCTCCCAAGTAAGCTGACTCTTCAACATTTTTGGTTTGTGTCATGTAACATCTCTAGAGTCTGCTCTAACAGTAGAGCATCTATGGATTGATGGTGTTCAGCTGGGCAGTGGAGATGCTGGAACCCACATCACAGTGGGGGTGTGTATTAGTTTGTTTTCGTGCTGGTGATAAAGACATATGCCAAACTGGGAACCAAAGGAGGTTTAATTGGACTTACAGTTCCACATGGCTGGGGAGGCCTCAGAATCATGGCAGGAGGTGAAAGGCACTTCTTACATGGTGGCATCAAGAGAAAAATTAGGAGGAAGCAAAAGCAAAAACCCCTGATAAACGCATCAGATCTCCTGAGACTTATTCACTATCATGAGAATAACATGGGAATGACTGGCCCCCATGATTCAATTACTTCCCCTGTGTCCCTCCCATAACACATGGGAATTCTGGGAGATACAATTCAAGTTAAGATTTGGGTGGCGACACAGCCAAACCATATCATTCTACCTCTGGCCCCTCCAATCCTCATGTCCTCACATTTCAAAACCAATCATAACTTCTCAACAGTCCCCCAAAAGTCTTAACTCATTTCAGCATTAACCCAAAAGTCCATAGTTCAAAGGCTCATCTGAGACAAGGCAAGTCTCATCTGCCTATGAGCATGTAAAATCAAAAGCAAGCTAGTTACTTCCTAGATACAATGGGGGTACAGGTATTTGATAAATACAGCCATTCCAAATGGGAGAAATTGGCCAAAACAAAGGGATTACAGGGACCAAAATCCAGCTGGACAGTCAAATTTTGAAGCTCCAAAATAATTTCCTTTGACCCCAGGTCTCACATCCAGGTCATGCTGATGCAAAAGAGGGGTGCCCATGGTTTTGGGAAGCTCTACCCCTGTGGCTTTGCAGGGTACAGCCTCCCTTCAGGCTGCTTTCACGGGCTGGCATTGAGTGTCTGCAGCTTTTCCGGGAGCATGGTGCAAACTGTCAGTGGATATACCATTCTGGGGTCTGGAGGATGATGGCCCTTTTCTCACAGCTACACTAGGCAGTGCCCCCAGTAGGGATTCTGCGTGGGGGCTCTGACCCCACATTTGTCTACTGCAGTGCCCTAGCAGAGTTTCTCCATGAGGGCCCCACCCCTGCAGCAAACTATTGCCTGGACATCCAGGCATTTCTGTACATCTTCTGAAATCTAGGCAGAGGTTCCCAAACCTCAATGCTTGACTTCTGTGCACCCACAGGCTCAACACCACGTGGAAGCTGCCAAGACTTGGGGCTTCCACCCTCTGAAGCCACAGCCTGAGCTCTACATTGGCCCTTTTCAGCCACAGCTGGAGCAGCTGGGACACAAGGCACCAAATCCCTAGGCTGCACACAGCACGGGGACCCTGGGCCTGGCCCACGAAACCCCTTTTCCTCCTGGGCCTCCAGGCCTGTGATGGGAGGGGCTGCTGTAAAGGTCTCTGAAATGGCCTGGAGACATTTTCCCCATGGTCTTGGGGATTAACATTAGGTTCCTTGCTACTTATGGAAATCTCTGGAGCCAGCTTGAATTTCTCCTAAAAAAAAAAATGTGTTTTTGTTTTCTATTGCATTGTCAGGATGCAAATTTCCTGAACTTTTATGCACCGTTTCCCTTATAAAATGGAATGCTTTTAACAGCACCCATGTCACCTCTTGAATGCTTTGCTGCTTAGAAATTTCTTCCACTAGATACCCTGAATCATCTCTCTCAAGTTCAAATTTCCACAAATCTCTAGGGCAGGGGCAAAATGCTGCCAGTCTCCTTACTAAAACATAACAAGAGTCACCTTTGCCCCAGTTCCCAACAAGTTCCTCATCTCCACTTGAGACTACCTCAACCTGGACCTTATTGTTCATATCACTATCAGCATTTTTGTCAAAGCCATTTAACAAGTCTCTAGGAGGTTCCAAACTTTCCCACATGTTCCTGTCTTCTTCTGAGCCCTCCATACTGTTCCAACCTCTGCCTGTTACCCAGTTCCAAAGTTGCTTCCACATTTTGGATATCTTTTTAGCAACACCCTACTCTGCTGTTATCAATTTACTGTATTAGTTCATTTTCATGCTGCTGATAAAGACATACCTATAACTGGGTACAAAAGGAGGTTTAATTGGACTTAAAGTTTCACATGGCTGGGGAGGCCTCAGAATCATGGCGGGAGGTGAAAGGCACTTCTTACATGGCAGTGGCAAGAGAAAAATGAGAAGGAAGCAAAAGCAGAAACCCCTGATAAACCCGTCAGATCTCGTGAGACTTACTCACTATCACAAGAATAGCAGGGAAAGACTGACCCCCATGATTCAATTACCTCCCCCTGGGTCCCTCCCACAACATGTGGGAATTCTGGGAGATAAAATTTAAGTTGAGATTTGGGTTGGGACACAGCCAAACCATATCAGGATGAGAGAGGTGATGCAACATCCTGGCCCTTGCCCCTGGGGAAGATGCAGACAGTAAAGTGTCAGAAGACAAGGTAACAGTAGAATCCAGAAAATACCACCTCAGATCATTGTCTCAAGCACATCCGAGATGCACCAACTATCACTAGAATCTTTTCCATATCCAAGATGAGGAATGTCAGAGCCCTCAGTTTTAGGAGAACCTCGAGAAGTCACTTTAATATTTCAATCCCTTGTGTTACCAAGATACATCAACTGTGTGTCAACTCTTCTACACTTCTGTTCAGCTCTCCCTCTGTTGTTCTCTCATTCTTTACTTCTCACTTCTGTTTCCCTTATATTCCTATCTGTTTCTGTAAAACCTCTTAGCCTTAGTTATTGAAGACAGATTAATACACTCTCTCCACCTTGCCAAAATTAAGGATGAGACTGAAGAAAAAGATTGGAGATAGGTGTTAGAGTGTTTATGCTTAGTGACTTGTATAATATTGGTCTCTAGTGAAGAGTCATACTGCACTTTTGCTCAAAATTATCCCCACCCTATCCCCATACTCCACCCCTTCTTTTCTCTCCTCTAATCGAACTTGTTACTATTTTCAAGGACAAACTGAATTTTTTATCACCTCTATTTTCCACTCATGCTTCCATTTAATTAGTACTTATTAGCATCTGCTAAGTTTTAGGTATAGATCACATTTCTGGGAAATAGAATGGTATATTAGTTTGTTCTCACACTGCTAATAATTACCCAGTCTCAGGTGAGACTGGGTAATTAATAAAAGAAAGAGGTTTAATTGACCACTTGGCTGGGGAGGCCTCACGATCATGGCAGAAGGCAAGGAGGAGCAAAGTCACGTCTTACATGGTGTCTGGCAAGAGAGCTTGTGTAGAAAAACTCCCATTTATAAAACCATCAGATCTCATGAGACTTATTCATTACCACGAGAACAGTAGGAGGGAAACCACCCCCTTGATTCAGTTACCTCCACCTGGCCCAGCCCTTGACACATGGGGATTATTGAAATTCAAGGTGAGACAAGATGAGATTTGGGTGGGGACACAGCCAAACCATATCAAATGATGTCCTAATGCTGTTAAAATCTAGTAGAAAAAGTTGTCAAAAAAACCCCAGAAAATTATAGTCTACTGTGAAAAGTGCTGGGGTGATAGTACCTACAGGAGGGTTCCCTAAATGGCCTTGGAAAGGGTTCAGGAAGGACTCCTCAGGAAAAATGCATCTAAGATATGGAATGAAGGACAAAGGTACTAACTTAAAAAGCTGGATGTGATGATCCCTGCAGAGGAAACTAGGTGCAATGGCTGGCAGGCCAAAGAGAGGATGGTGCTTCTGAGGACTCAATTTGAGTTAATAAACTGAAATACTTAGAGCCAGAGATGTGTGGTAGTTATCTTCCAAGAAGATCCTCAATGATTCTTGTTCTCCTGGAATTTATTTATAACCTTGTGTAGTTTCCTCCTGCACTAAATAGGGTGAAACTGTGTAATCGCTAAGGTATTTTGGAAATGATAATGTGTGACTTCCAAGGCCAGATCAAAAGGGACATTATAGCTTGTGCCATGTCCTTTTTGAATCACTCACTTTGGGAGATGCCAGCTGCTGTGTCATGGAGACACTCAAGTAGTTTTATGCAGAGGAGCACATAATGAAGAACTGACATCCCCTGCCAACAATGAACATTTACTTCTCAGTTGTATAAGTCAGCTACATTGGAAGCAGATCCTCCAGCCCCAGTCAAGCCTTCAGATTAGTGGAGTCCCAGAAGACATTTTGACTGCAACTTCATGAGAGACCCTGAGCCAGAACCCCCCAGCTGAGCTGCTCCTGAATTATAACCAACAGTAGCTATGTGAGATAATAAATATTTATTACTTTAGTATTTCCATTTTGGGATAATTTTTTATATAGCAATACATAACTGATACAAGAGGAAAAGGGGTATATGCTAAGACTAGAAGGGTAAGCATGGGACAAATAATATAGGATTTGTAGTTCCTGTTAAAATGTTGGAACTTCTGTCTAAGAACAACAGCAAGTCATTAATGGGTTTTAAGCAGGGGATTGATGCCATCAATTTTATGCTCCTGTGGACTCCTTTAAATAGCTGTTGTTAAATTTTTCTCTTACATGGTGCTGAACACAATATTTCACATTAGGCCTGAAAAATGTAAATTTCAACTAGAGAAAAATAGATTGTAGACATGGTAGGATCTCTCAGTAGCATCCAGAAAGGAGATCTTGGGTTCCCAGACTATGTCAAATTGATGGACTGTAACTCCAACATGTTCCCACTCCCCACCAAACCCATATTTATGGATGAGTGAAGTGAAATGTCTGCTGTCGAGCATGCTCAATGTTGTCTCTTTACAACATGGATGTGTGGGGAGAGGAAGAACATCTGCCTAACAGACCCATCATAACATAACATGATTTCTCCAGATATATTTATACTTTTGATGTGGGAGTTGGAATAATGATTTGACTTTAAAATGTCAAAATATGTGAAATAAAAAAATATAGAATTATATGGTCTTAGAGTAATAAAGAGACTGTAGAAGTAATGCTGAATTCATCTATTGAGAAGTTAATACTAGTACCTGCAGTTTATTAGTATTAACTATTAGGCACTCTGCTAAGATCTTTACTAACACAATCTGGTGTATCCTTGAAGCATAAGTGCAAGGCAGGCATTATTACCACATCTTTAATGAATAAATAACCAAATCAAAGTTTAGAAAGCCTAAGTCAGTGCTTCTCAAACTCTAATGTGCATATGTATGGGCTGCAGTTCTTGCTAACATCTAGATTTTGACCCAGGATTTCCGAGATGGGGCCCAAATTTCAGCATTTCTAACAACGTTCTCTCAGGTGATGTGAGCACAGTCTAGATAAATAATCTAAACTTTCAAAGTGGGGATGTGGCAGGTTTAAGGCCTCTTCTGCGTGACACCAGAGTAAGCTCTCACTCACTAACAATCCCATCCCCACCCCACTAAAGCAGTGGTTATCCAGTATCTGCTATTTGATTGGAAGTCCTCTACTTCACAAAGTAATGCTGCTTTCCAATTTTGAATAGCTATAAAGTGAAAGGTTCTTTCTTGTACTGAGCTAAACTCTGTCCCCACAGAACTTCAGTGGATCACTTGTTGAGCCATTATTTATTTAAAAAGCACTTTCTTCATCATTTGGTTATTATTCTTTTTGAGTGCTCCATTTGTCAGGAAGACATGGAGGAGAGCAGGGGAGGATTTGGACCCATAACATGAATGAATGAATGAATGAACAAATGATGTTGGACAGAGGTACAATATTCTTGAAGGAGTCCAGGAATTCACTAAACTGAGCTGGAACTAAAGCAATGCCAATGCAGGAAAAGGAGATGATTATAATCAGGATGAACTTTCTTTTTTCACATGACTTCTAATCACCAATAGGAATATGATTTGAAAATATTGACAAATAAAATATATCATGAGTCATGCTCATTAAATTTCTCCATAAAAGTTGACCCTAGTGATTAACTGAGTCTACTCTTGCTCTCATTTATACAGCGTAAGACAAAACAAGTTGCCCATGAGAGAATAAGTTAGGGTGCTGGTGGATTTAATTCATGAGCTACAAGTGGTGAGAGCAGCTTTGCTATGAACTGGCTGTATGCTCTTGAATGCTAAGCTAAATTACTTAGTCTTGTAGGGAGCAGAATAGTATATAGAAAAGACATCAGGCTGGGAGTCAGAAACCTGCGTTCTAATACTGCTTCTGCAGCTAATCCATTTGTGTCTTCATGTAACCATCCGCAAAAAGGTGGAGTTGAGGTAGACAAGAGAGGGTAGGGCAATCTCCTATTTCTCTTCCAGATCAGAAATTCTAGGCATTAACTTCAGAGTGTGCAAGCAAGACCTTGGGTTCCAAAGGAGACAGGTACCAAGCATCTCATAACCAAGAATCAAACTGCTAATTAGTTTTCTTCACTCTCAAACAGCAGTAAACCTTTCACTTTATAGCTACTCATTCAAAAAGTAAAAAAATAAAAAGCAAACCAGGGGTGTTAGAAAAATAAACAGCAATGTTGACAGAGAGTTCTAATCTGTTACTTTTCCATGCCAGGGTGTATTTCTCTAAAAAACCAGCAGAGATAAAAGGTTCACAGACAGATGGTGCCAATTCACACCACCTTGCCACTCAGTTCAGAATGTACTGAATTAATAGATACTTGGAAGCCCCTCTCAGTTCCATATCCCCGACTCGCAAATAGGAATTATGAGGTCTTTGACGTCCTGGTTATATTATATTGTTTCTTGTTGTTCTTTGGGTACGTTTCTTTAAGTGTCTCTACCCTTGGCTGAAATGGTGTCTCATAATTTTTTCCATCAATAATCCTTAGTGACTTGTAGAAGATGGGTCTTAAAATGCTGCCATCTACCATAGGGAGACCAAGTTTCCATTTAGATGATAAACCACAAGAATTTTAGAAGCTATGGGCCAACTTTTATGGAGGTTTCTTGTTAATATTACTCATGATATATTTTCCCCCTATTACTCCAAAGCCATATCCCTTTCAATGACTGGAAAGAGTGTGTATTGTCTGAGTTTAGTGTCTGTAGAGGCAGAGGCTTGGGGGAATAAGGCTTCATGGGTGTGGATTCAACATGAAGAAAGTACTCTGATTATGGAAATCCAGGATCAGAAATGTCATATACCAATCATTTTAATATTAGATGTTAGAGAATGAAGGACAGAGAGAAAGGAAAAGCTAATATTGATCAAACACAGCTTTATGCTAGTTCTGTTAACCATATCTAGCTAGTTAGTCCTCAGAGGAAACTATTAACTCCTTTTCAAATGAGAAAATTAAATGAAACTGTAAAAGTTTAAATAGGCTGCTCAAATTCAGGTAACAAGTAGCGTAGAACCAGCAGCTCCAACAGGTTTTTTGAAGTCTAGAATCTAAACTGTTTAACATGCCTGTCTCTGCCACTTATTTGAAAGGATAATCCTGAGTTACTTAACTAGTGGAGCTTCTACTTCCTCATCTATTAAAAAAACGGGGGCGCAGGGTTGGGCGGAGGATATGATCTTTTGTTGTTTTTGCCAGAAGGGAACAGAATGTTTGGCAGCAAATAAGCATGTTAAATATTGTAATAATTAAAGTTATCAACATCATCGTTATTGTAGCATGCTGCCTCCAATAATAAATAAATAAATAAATAAATAAATAAATAAATAAATAAATAAATAAAAAGCTGTGCTAAGATAGAGGAGGAGGTGAAGAATAAGAAGAAATACAATGCCATCTGCTCCCTGAATTTAACGCTGATGTAAGTTTTGAATTTGTGGTCATTAAAATGACACTTCAGGCTCCACCATGTGCTTCTGGGACCCTGGCCTGGGTGAATGTGGACAACATTTATAAATCAAATCTTTACTTCTCTTGAGAGAAGTGGGCCGTAGAAGCTGGTAAGGGGTGGTTTGGAGTTCAGATGTAACTGGCCAGATTTCTGTGGATCAGAAGAGCTTCTCATGGAGAATGTGGAGTTATGGGTAGGTTATACATAGTTACTCACAATTATCCAAATTTAGCTTCCTGAGCTGCAAGTATTGAGTAGAACTGTGAAGTCCCAGAAGTTAAACCAGTTAGGGTAGGAGAACCCTTAGAACTCATCTAGTATCCGTGGTCTATTTTACAGATGAGGAAACTGAAACACAGGTAAAGGAACTTTCACCAACCAAAGAGTGGGGGCAAAGGCTGTTTTCATGGCTGTGGCTATCTTTCTGATACATGCTAATGCCTCAGTCCCTATTTCATCTTCTCTCAGAGATACATTATTGTTATCTCAGAGATTTTAAATTGTCAATTATCTCTCCCTCTTTACCCCCAGGTTCCTGACTTGATACCTCTGAAAGATATTGTGAGGGCACTTTTATTATCCACTTCAAAGGCTTCTAATGTTTCCCAAAAACAGGTTACTCTCTTTTTCCAATCCTGAGTCTCAGCTCTGGAAGCTTCCCCAATGAAGAACTCCACTGAGTGAAAACAACAAAAACCAAATAAGTTCCAGGCTCATGAAACTAATATCTGTATGTGTGCATTTAAGCTTGTGTGTATGTGTGTGTGTATGTGTTCCACAAAAAACATAAGGCCTATCAGTAACTGACTTGCCTTTTAACACCGGACAAGTGGTTTTACATCTTTGGTCTCAGACTTCAATCTCTTAAGAATGAGAGGGTTTTCCCCTTACCCTCGAGATTTAGGATGCTTCTGAGTTGTTGAGTGTATTTGCAATTGCCCTTTTCTAACCTACCACCTTTGGTTGTCAAATGTTCAAACCAAGTTGGCTGCCAAAAGGAGGTACAGCCAGGTTGAAGAGGTGCATTTTAGGGAACTCCAATTTTTGGAGAATTGTAATTTTTTTTTTTTAACGTTTGAAGTCCCGGGCTCAAAGACCTTAGAGAAATTAAAAAGTAAATAAATAAAAAATAAAGCTAATAAATTAATGTTGGATTCTATTTGGAAATCTTTGTGCTTTCACTTATGATATTCCTCATCTCACTCCATTTCTGGAGATCAAAAGCTCCTATTTTGGACCAAGGGAAAAAATCATGTTTTAGAAATTGCCACACTTTCCCCACCCTTCTTCAGAATAGGCAGCAGCTTCGGCGTCTTGGATCTTAGCAATTGCATTCCCTCTTTGTCCCTGAGGTGGTCCATGCGAGGACCCCGGCCATTGTCTGAGGCTCCAACCTTTGTTGGGTTCTTGAGAAAGAGCTGCTAAAGCAGACGTGGGTCCGGCTTTTAAGTTTTCCCGCCTGGAAAACTCTATTGAGACGTTTTGTGTGGTTACTTGTGGGGGTCAGGCTTCTGATCTGACCCCTCTCATCCCTGAGTAATTAGGGCATGCAGAACAGCACCTCCTCCCTGGCTAATTGGCTCTCTCAATGAACCTTTCAGAGAGGAAGTTTGTCTCTGACTCACTTGCCCTCCACAGCAAACTTCAGGCCCCAAAGCATTCATCTCTGCCTATGTGATGGGATGGAGACTTAGGAAGTGATTAGAACTGGGATCAAACAAGCCCCTGATTGCCCCATTAGGAATGGGGCCCATTAACTCTTTGAGAGCAGTTTACCACCATGGTGGGAAATTGATTGCAACTGAAGACAATTTCTCAGGCTTGGTGATGCTAACATTTATAACGTACTCCCAGAAAGTATGGTAGTTCATGGCCTCTACCTGGAAGTCAATTTGCATGGTTTAAAAACAGTAATATATAGCTCGATATTAACACCTTAAGAAAAGACAGGAAGATGCCAGGGAAAGGAGTAGAAATAGAAAATAGTTCTTCTAATGAGTCATTCCACAGTGGTGGCAGAAATTGGGGTATGAGGAGGCAACAGGGATTCTGTCTTACGGTTGTCATTATGGTCACATAATGCTCTATGGAGCTTTGTGTAGTTTAATTCAAGAAAGCCATGTGAATGCCCCTACATTGCTCCAGATGTAAGGTCTTCCTCAATACAATCCTTGTAGACTGCCCTCAAGCCAGGCCACTCCATCTGGAAATGGCAACATTACATTTCCTGCTGGAAAGGGTAAGAATGATTCTTAGCAGGCTCCAGTGCAGACAAATGAGGTCTTGGTTTTGTAGGGCATCTCTTGTTTTTCATGAATGATTTACTACCTACTTTCCTGGCTGATGCCCAGGTCATTTACAGACTGTAACTGGAATCTTCCCTGACAGGTTATGACTTTTAGGAGTTCGTAAATGGTGACTTGGATTGGCAAGGAATACAACACGTTAAAAATACTGACAAACACCAGGCTGTTAACAACTGGGTACTTCAAGGTGGTGAGCAAGGAAAGAGGAGTTAGGGGTTGGAAGAAGAGTATTTTCTCCTTTATACAGCTTTGAGTATATGCTTATGGTAATGCAATAAGATTTTGATTTTGAATATTTTTTTAAATACTTAAAAAATATGTTTATATATTTTCTATAAAGAGAACATATAAGTTGACTTTTATTTACTCAATCCATCTTGTATCAGAATAAGCATAAGATCTTGTTAACGATAAAAATTCATATTTAAGAGTCAACTTATATATCTTCATACTAAATCTCACCTCTACCACTTACTAACTGGATAATTTGGGGCAAGTTATTTATTCAATTTTATCAAATACCAAAGACCTTCATCTACTAAATGAAGATAATATTAATAAATAATAGGAGTTCACCATGTGGCTTAAAAAAAGACAATGCAAGTATATTGTCCAGCGTGGCACTGAGCACTAGGTACTGGCTTTGTCAATGAAGCTAACTCCAGTGTTATTATCATGGTTGAGAGAACTGTGTTCCAGGGGAGTGCAGTCAATATCACCCAAGGGGAGAGACAGTCTCTACTCCAGGGCCCTTGACTCCAAGGTTACTGCTATCTCAGGGTCCCAGGTGGGGCCCTTCTACCTGGTCATGTGGTGGGATGGAGACTTAGGAAGTGATTAGATCCTCACAGCTATCTCAGGGGTTACACGGAACATGCTTGCTTCATTATTTCCCTTTTATATTGGAAGCAATAAAATAAATATTCTAAAACTGGTTCAAATAGTCCAGAACTCTCTCCCCAGCTGAATCAGGATTAATGCTTTCTCAAAAATCTACTACTTTCATAATTAGAAAAAAATTGACATTTTTAGGGTGCTATGGATGATCTCCCCATGTAGAATGTGGATATTATGACAATTTTTTTCTTTTCTTTTTTTTTTTTTTGCTGTGGGATGTTAACAAGCTGGACCCACGGGTGGAAGTGATTGGATCTCTTTCTCTTAGACCCACAGCTCCTTAAGGATATAAATTCCTTATCTCTTTACAGTGCCTTTGAATGAGAAATCATGACAGTTTAACTGGTAAAAAAATAAATAAATAAAAATAAAGCCTTGAATACAGTGTAGATAATTTTCCCATCTAGATTTTAAATGTTAATGATGAAACAATCTTATTCGTTCATAGATCCCTAGCAATGTATGCTGTGCCTGGGACATAGTAGAGACTCAGTAAATACTCGTTGAATGATTCTAGCTAATATTTCAAAATCTTCAAAAATGAAAGCATCAAGGAATCACCACCACTTTCTTTGCTGACTGCAAGGCATTTCCCCAGAGGCCAGACTTTCAATCCATTAAGCCTAAGGAAAAGGAGGGAGGTGATCAGGGAATAGGAACAGAGAGGAGGAGCAGAGGAACACAGGGAGGAGGTGGAGAAAGAAAGAGGAAGGAAGAGAAGAAAGAGAAGAAAGAAATAAGACGTGTAGTCCTAAATCCTATCTTAAGGATCTGAAAGTGCAGGAAAGGAGCCTAAATGCAAATGAGCCTTGGCATGTGAAAGGAACAAGACAAAGGGTCAAGACTTTCTGAAGTAACAATAGAGGTGTTCCTAACATGCTCAGTGAAGTGTGTGACAAAGACTTCTATTCTCAGGCTTTACTATGAGTTCATGCAGATTTTATACAGTTGCACCTCATCTTCCTGGTTTTCTTTCTTCACAAACACAATGCACACCCATACACACACACACACACATTTTCATCTTATAGGCATATACTTTAGATGGGGCAATATCTGCTGAGAACTTTTCTTAAGTTTCATATTCAGGTCCACAGATCAGAGAAAAGATTAGGATGGGTACTTTCATGGTTTTTCTCCCTGCCACTTAGTAAGGCCCATGCGGTCTGTGGGTTCTTATAAACAGAGTGCTGTGCTAGAAGGCATGCTGGTTGGAGTCAAGAAACCAGATTTCCAGTCCTTTGAGTTCTAGCACCAGCAACTTGTGGACCTGGGCCTATTCTTTTTTTTTTTTTTTCTTATAGTCTCAGTTTTGATCCTGTGAAAGGAAGAATTCACAATTTTAAAAAATCTTTACAGTTTCTTCTGTTTTGAAAATCTTCTATGTTGTCTCTTTCTATGACAACTTAGGCCCATGACCTGGAAGGAATGTGCCCTATGGGCTGGCAGCTGTTATTTATTAAATTATCAGGGTTCATGCTAAGGGCTTAATGTGCAATATTTCATTTAGTACTCACAGCAACCTGCAAGAGGGCATTGCTTTCCCATTTCACATATGAAGGCCAGAAACTCAGGGAAATGAATTTTCCACCATGTTTCTTTGAGCTACAGCTCATTGAATGGCCCTTCTTATGACTTAATACGATCTTCACAGGCATGAATTCTAAACAGATACCAGCTGACTGCCTTTCCTTCTTTCAAGTTCTCTACTGTATGGAGCACCCAGCTACATAAATAATAATGAAGTAAAGCCAACGCTTAGTGAGCTATTTGTTGGTTTCCTTTCCTTCCAGAAACTGTCAAATAGGATGCCTATAGGCTGAGAAGTAGGGAACTTGGTTTTCATTCTCTCTCTTCATAAGCTCATTGTATATTTTTGAAAAAACTTCTTCTTTTGGATTCATGTACCCAAACTGTAAATGGCAGGGGCCAAGGCATTGATCAGAAGCAATATAGTACATTTCATAAGTGTATACAAAGTCTCTGGTGCTGAATTTATATCCTAAGCCCGCCCTTTCTGTATGTGTGCCCTTTGCAAGTTAATTAACCTCACTAAACCTCAGTTACTCTGGCTATAAAATGGGAACAATATAACTTCGTTCCCCACAGGGTTTTTTATGAGTATTCAGTAAGTTAATGCATGGGAAGAGATTAGCATGGTGCCTAGGGTCTGGTGAAGTACTAATTTCCTATTATCAGTATTCTCTTGACGAAGACACTTGTGAATCATATGTATAGACCAGATAATTTCTAAGTACTTTCTTTGGGCTGGGTGTGGTGGCTCACGCCTGTAATTCCAGCACTTCGGGAGGCGGAGATGGGTGGATCACCTGAGTTTGGGAGTTCAACACCAGCCTGACCAACATGGAGAAACCCCATCTCTACTAAAAATACAAAATTACTTGGGTGTGGTGGCGCATGCCTGTAATCCCAGCTATTTGGGAGGCTGAGGCAGGAGAATCACTTGAACCTGGGAAGCAGAGGTTGCTGTGAGCCGAGATCACAGCATTGCACTCCAGCCTGGGCAACAAGAGTGACACTCCATGGAAAAAAAAAAAAAAAACTGGGCGCAGTGGCTCACGCCTGTAATTCCAGCACTTTGTGAGGCCGAGGCAGGCAGATCACTTGAGGCCAGGAGTTTGAAACCAGCCTGGCTAACATTGCGAAACTCCATCTCTACTAAAAATACAAAAATTAGCCAGGCGCAGTGGTGGGCGCCTGTAATTCCAGCTACTCGGGAGGCTGAGGCAGGAGAATGGCTTGAACTCGGGAGGCGGAGGTTGCAATGAGCTGAAATCGAGCCATTGCACTTCAGCCTGGGTGACAGAACAAGACTGTCTCAGAAAAAAAAAAAAGAACTTTCTTTGATATCTACAAATGGATTCTGTGTGGAGATTTTGAACTCTGAGCCATGAATCTAGTCATAAACTGGGGAACGGCATTCCAGGAAGAGGAATCGGAATATATAAAAGATAAAAACTGGAGAGCAAGTTACGCATAAGAAGCAAAAACAGTGCTATATACTTGGAGCACTGGGCATCAGAGTTTGGAGCGGAGTCAGAAACTCCTACAAGAGTGACGGCTCAGCGAGAAGAGAGAGTGAAAACAGGCATGTGCATAGAGATCCCTAAATGGCAAGTTCCAGAGGCAAGACTGAATCCTGAGGCACTGGGAACCAGAAGGGAGTTGTGATCAGCTTTACTTGTAAAGTGAGAAACAGTGATGATGTGTGTATTTGTACAGAGCAGGCACACAGCTAACGAGCTGGTTGGATTTAGATTTGTGTGTTGACATTGCTTTTATTTAGATTGCATATTGATTTGGGGATTATTTGGGAGGTTGGCTCCAAATGGAGTGATGAGGTATTCTGGGGGCTCTCCCAAAACCACTTCTTGGCACTGCCACTGGTGGGATTCAGAGAGAAGGAAGAGAAACTGAACCTTGGGAGGACTGCAAAGAGGCTTCTGTGGTAATCCCTGCAGAGATGCAGTGCGCTGGACTAGGGCAGTGGCCATGGGCTTGTAGAGGGACAAGTCCTGATCCATATTGAGGTTGGAAGGATAGACTCTCTAGCCTTGCTGTCAGGCTGGCCTTCACCCTTTGGTTCAGAAACTTGACTGCTACAACATTTGCCCATCCTAGGGCTGCTCTTCTAGGACTAGCACAACATAGAGAGCAATGAACTCAGCTCCCAGGCCTCTGGGCACAACTGCTTGCAGGAGGAGAACAGACATGCAAGGTAGGAGTTTCTCAAACACTCTTCCTTCTCCACCCCTTGATTTCAGGAATGCATAGAGAACCACTGTGGTTTGGATGTGAGACTTGGAGCTCAGCAGCCAAATGAAGTCAGGCTGTCCGTCTGTTCTAAATTTAACTTCTTAACCACGTTTGGACATAGTACCTTGTCTGAGGTTGTTTTCTACTCAAAATGTGTAATGTTAGGGTGTGCCAGGGAGGGATGTGGATGATGACGGCAAAGGGCCTAGGAGAAGAAAATATGAGCAGCTCCTACAGCCAATCTGATTAGCACAGAAACTCCTAACTCTATCCTCTACCCCAAAACCTCATTTGGTCAACAATGCCTGACTAGAGACAAGCTGTCTTCTTTAAACAGAATTTAGCAAAATTACAATTTTAGACTTTCTGTGTATAGGCATGATTCAGTATTCCTTTTCTTAACTTGCTTTAGAAGCATAAAATTTGGAAAATATTAATAATTGCTATTTTAGACATTTCCCATGTACAAGGTATTGGACGAAGCATTCTCTGTTTGTTATCTCATTTAACCCTCATGATAACCCTATGAACTAAATACTATTATTAGCTTCCTTCTAATGATGGGAAAAAAATTAGAGCAATTACACAGCTTTGCTGGGGTCTCATAGCTAGCAAGTAAAAGAGTCTAGACTTGAATTCAATATTATACAAAACTGAACAGTGCTGCGTACATTCCTTAGTGCATGAACCACTTGACACAGCCTACTGCCTATACAGAGGTAAGTTATTGTCATCCCTATAGAGAGACTGGGGGAAGAGACAGAGAAGCTAAATAATTGCAAGTCAAACTGAGTGGAAAAGCACCACATTGGAACCAGAATAAACAGCCAGTGTGCTGTCCACTAAAAAATAAACAAAAAAACAAAAACCTTTATACTGAACTACTTACAGTAGTCTCAGTGAAGAAAAGTTGCAAAAATAGAACAGAATTTCCATATATGTTTTACCTAACCTCCTCTAATATTAACATCTTGCATAACCATAGTGCAAAGATCAGAACGAGGAAATTCACATTGGTACATACTAATAAAGAAACTAAAGACTTTACTGAAATTTCACCGGTTTTTCCATTAACGTTCTTTTTGTGTTTCAGGATCCTATACAGGGTTCCATATTACATTTAGTTTTTGTTTCTCCTTAGTTTCCTACAGACTCTAGCAGTTCTTCTCTCCTTTTTTGTCTTTCATGATCTTGAGACTTTTGAAGAGTATCAGTAAATTATTTTGTAGAATATCCCTCAATTTGACTAGTGTTTTCATGTGATTGTAATAAGGCTGTGTATTTTTGGAAAGAATACCACAGAAAAGACATTCTACCATTCCTAGTGCATCAGATTACTGGGTTTATGATGTTTAAGTGTCTTATTATTAGAGATGTACTCTTGGATCACTTGGTGAAAGTGGTTTCTTCTGTTTTTTTCCGCTATAAAGTTTCAAATCTCCTCCCCATCTCCACCATACTGAGCAAATATCTTGGGGGAGATACTTTAAGACTATACACAACCTGTTTCTCTTTTTTTTTCCCTCCAATTGTGCAGCTTTGGCCATTACAAACTTTTTAGGTTTTCTTCCATCTATTTTACATCACAATACTCCTCAACTGTCTTTTCATTAATTCCAGCAGAAGCCTCAAATAGAAACAGAGACAATTTCTTTGTTACTCCTTTTCTGTTATTTTTTACTTTCATCTTTTTTTTTTAATATGAAGTCTTTTAGTTGCAGTTCCAAAATATCTCTCCAATCTCCTGTCATGATCTCTTCCCAGTTTGGACTGCATCATTTTTCATCTGAACCACTATGACATGTTGGTCTTGTTTTCCATTTTCATCCTACTAACCCCTTTTCCATAGTGCGGATGATATAATGTTCTGAAAATATGAAGATCAGACTCCCCTCCTTCAAGGTGCCTGCTTGCTGTCAAGAAGATAATGAGTGTTCCTTTGCCTGACTTGCAAGACCACCTGTGATTGGCCACAATCAACTTCTTTATTCCCACCTACTGCTCCTTCCTCTGTCTTGTGCTCCTGTCCCTAGGTCTTGATCTTCCCTACAATATGCTATACTGTTTCATTTTTTTATACCCTCATACATGCTATTGATTTTGCTTAGCCTGCCCTTAATCTTGAAGAATAGACTTTAAGTTGACATTAATCAGTAGTGTTTAGTAATTTAGTTTCCTCAGTTAGTGCTTTCTCTATTAATTTTGTAGATAACTTAATATCCCAGCTCAGAGTTGGTTGCAGTTGATAGGACCGATGAAGGAGTTCCTCACTTCATAGACATCCACTTACTCAAAGGAGCCTCGATTATTTTCTAAACGTTTTGAGCACCTAATTTACATCTTCTGGAGAAGGGAGTAGGAGGTTTCATGGAACATTCTAAAGTATTCTATTTGAGTTCCAACCTAGTGGCAGAGCCAGCAGAAGTGTTGACTATGATGGAGGGTAAATAAATTAATCTTTTGTGAGTTGATTGCCTCTTCTGGGCAACACCATCATCACGGTCATTATTACCTCACCATTATCACCATTGTCTCACCATCACCACCAAGACCAGAAACTCAACACTCCCACAAACATGATCACCATTATGAGTACAACTTGCATTATCATTATGACTATTGTCACCAGCACCATCAAATCCAGAACCAAAACTAAATGACTGGCATGTCACCACTACAATCACTGACAGCACCAGTACCCATCACACCACTAAACCACCAATAATTAGACTTTATTTAATACCCCACAAGTGTGCTAAGCTCCTCACATAGGTTGACTAATTTACCTTTCATTCTTAATATGCATATTTTATGAATGAAGAAATGGAAACTGATAAATAAAGCAATTTTCACAAGATTACTCAGTTGATAAGTGCTGGTAAAAATAGAAACAATAGATGTAAGTGCTGAGTGAATTTAGATTTCTGCAAATTCAACCCTCATATTATACAATTGGAAAGAAACTGAATGCACAAGAGGTGAGGAATGGCCCAAATTACTTCTGACTCTTAAACTAGGACCATGTTAATTGTGCTACACAGATCCATTCTCCCTTCTGTGCTTTTGTGTTATCACTAGACTATTCCTATTGTACAATTGTTTTTACTTCCTATACATGCATGTATTGAACACAGTAATCAATCAAAAGAAAATGAACACAGAAAAAGACATAAACTTTAACAAGTGGTTTTCCTTCTTCCCCAAACTAAACTTGACAATAAGTAAATGTATCTTATTCACTTAATTTAACCCCATTAACACTGCATGAATTTAGTATGCTGTCTCACAATGAACATGGAAGCTTCATTTAGTTGCCCAGACCACAGCTCGCCAGCCAAAAAAGAATAATTCTGAGTCCATGAGTAGGGAGAAAAGGTAGAGTTTTCTGATGTTATGTGAGCAGATGGAGAGGCAATGAAGCAGAGCAGTGAAGAAAGGCAGTGCCAGAGGGCAGGGGCGGATCCAGAGAGTCCTCTTTAATCTCAGTGGTGGGAAAAGGTTTGGGCTTGAGTGACACGGATTAGTTTCATATTTGAGGGATGAAATGGTTTATAGCTTCTGAATCGTTTCCTTCCTCAGGTGAAGCACTGCCAGGTCTATGGGAGGAGGAAACAAAGCTTCCACAAATTGAAACGAGTTTAGAACCAGGGCTTCCAGAATTGGATGGGGAGTGTGAGTTGGCCACAAAGCCTCTGGCTGGGTCTCTGAGACATTCTTCTGGGCAGGTTATGACACTCTGACAACATCCGACCCCTCTTCCTTCTGTAAGCTCTAGGCCATGCTTGCCATGTCCTGTACTCAGCCTTTCTAACATGCTTATCCTCTGGACAGTGAAGTCCCAATTGAGGCTAATGTCAAGATGCAATTGTCTGCTCTGGCTTCACTGTGGACACATGGTCTACCTTGTAGTGATACTTTATTTTCAGATTCCCATTAGAATATTACTGGGTGTAGGAGGTAGCAGAAAGGCAGACATGAAGACAGAAGCTAAGACCTGGTTTCAAAACTTATGTGGAATTAAGGAAATGAGAATCTACACACAAGGCCTCATATTGATTATGCATCTTGTCAGGAGTTGTAGTTATTCATAGCTTGATCAGCTGCACTTATGACTCTTTGATCTCTGTTTGTACATCCAACTTTAACATCTTTTCCAGGAAACTTTACTGCTTCCTCATCTTGCCATCACCTATAAAATCCTGCGTCAGTCTTTTGGCTTTCGTCAAACTTAGTACTGAATATTGAATCTGTTATTCAGATAGTCAAAAAATATTTTTGTGAATCTGCTATTCCACTAACAGAGGAAGGAAGGAAGGAAGGAAGGAAGGAAGGAAGGAAGGAAGGAAGGAAGGAAGGAAAGAAAGAAAGGAGAGGAGAAAAGGAGGGAGAGAGACAGGGAGGGAGAGAAAAAGGGAGGGAGGGAAAAAGGAAGAGTGGGTCATGGTTTGCTGCTCCAATGAAATTATAAGCAAAAGGGGAAGGCAGAGGGTAATAAACAATTTCAAAAAATTAGGATGTCCTAAGCACTGTGAAAGAGGAGCACAGAAAGATTTTTACTTGTGGACCTTGGTTGGTTGGGGAAGTCAGGATGGAATTTTTTGTGAAGTTACATTTAAACTGAGAGATGAATAATGAGTAGACTTCAGCCAGAATTTTTTTTTTTTTTCAAAAGCTCCTTCTAGGGAGAGAAAAAAATGTGATAAAGCCCAACATTATTGTAATGGAAGAGAACACCAGAGGAACTTCAGCTATGGTTTTAGGAAATGTCAGAGTGGAAATAGGGGGAATACTGGGAGTTGAGGCAGGACAGGTAAGCAAGGGACAGACTGTGCAAGACTTTACAGGCTGGGTAAAGAATGTTAGACTCTAATCTAGTGATACAGTTGTGTTTATGGATCCAGCATTTAGTAGAACCTTGTACAAAGCAACTTCTCTATAAATGCAAAGTTAAATGTGCTCTGTGAAGAGTAGTTGATCCAGAAAAATTCACTGAAGTATTGCACTTTGTTCATTTCTCACCCAGCTTGCTCTAAATGTCTTACAGAAAATAGGAACTTCACGTTCCTAACTCTTAGTGTTCTCATCTGTTAAATGGAGTACTATGATAGTCACATGAGGTATATACAAAATGCATCTAGCTCCTAATATGTGCTGAGTAAAAGTTTTTAAACTTTGCCTCCCTTCCTTGCTTTTCAATTTAGATAATCATAGAGCCTGTCTTATCAAGTAATGTATATGTTAGATAAGGAATACACATCAGAAGCTCCACAGACAGAATGTCTAAATTAAATAGCAATATTACAAATAATTATAAGCATTCTGTGACCTCTCATTTGCAAAGCATACTGATGTCAGGAGGCTGAGACTCAGAAAGTTGAAGTGATTCACCTAGTCACTCAGCTGCTTAGTGATAACACTGGGAGAAGAACCGAGGTCCCTTTTCTGTCTAAACCTCTTCCTCTCTGATCCCTCCCCATCTCTAACTTCTTATCTCCTATCCTTCTCCATCCCTACCATTCATACCAATGCTTAGTTCCCATTTTGCCCCTAAATATGTGACCCAAGGTTAGTCATACGAGTGTTTGTGTGTGTGTCTGTGTTTGTGCGTGCCTGTTATGTCTTCTATAAAGTAAGGACAAGAATAATCATTCATGTATTCTCTCCATAGACTAAGGTGAACACAGGAAACAAACAAATGAGAGAATAAACTAGACTCTCAGTCCATTGTGAACCCATATGTAGGTATGCTTGTGGAATTTGCACTATATAGTCCTAGAGAAAATGGAGACAAGTGGAAGGATGAGAAAGAACACTCATTAAAACCTCAGGGGAACATCAAGTTTTTTCACTTATGTATAGAAAAAGAATAAAAGAATAACCTGGAGCCTCAATAGTGGTCTGGATTAAAGTCACACTCCAAATGTTTCAATCCTAAAGGCCTCTTTCAATGTAAACTTTTGTCTCTATTGGTTCATAAATTCTGACTTTCTCCATATCCTATTCTTCAGCAAATTATTCTGATTTTTATCCTCTGAATATCTCTCATATCAGTTTTTCTTCTCTTCATCCATTTGCTGTGGTCATGAGCCAAACTCTTATTACCTTACCTATGTCTCTCCACTTCTTTTTTTCTTTTATTTATTTATTTTTAATATATTTAGGGGGTACATGTGCAGGTTTCCTACATGCATATATTGGGTACTGGGAAAGTCTGGGTTTTAAGAATGCTTGTGATTTTTGCACATTGATTTTGTATCCTGAGACTTTGCTGAAGTTGCTTATCAACTTAAGGAGATTTTGGGCTGAGACGACTGAGTTTTCTAGATATACAATCATGTCATCTGCAAACAGGGACAATTTGACTTCCTCTTTTCCTAATTGAATACCCTTTATTTCCTTCTCCTGCCTGATTGCCCTGGCCAGAACTTCCAACACTATGTTGAATAGGAGTGGTGAGAGAGGGCATCCCTGGTGATCATTAAAAAGTCAGGAAACAACAGGTGCTGGAGAGGATGTGGAGAAATAGGAACACTTTTACACTGTTGGTGGGACTGTAAACTAGTTCAACCATTGTGGAAGTCAGTGTGGCGATTCCTCAGGGATCTAGAACCAGAAATACCATTTGACCCAGCCATCCCATTACTGGGTATATACCCAAAGAATTATAAATCATGCTGTTATAAAGACACATGCACACGTATGTTTATTGCGGCACTATTCACAATAGCAAAGACTTGGAACCAACCCAAATGTCCAACAACAATAGACTGGATTAAGAAAATGTGGCACATATACACCATGGAATACTATGCAGCCATAAAAAATGATGAGTTCATGTCCTTTTTAAGGACATGGATGAAACTGGAAACCATCATTCTCAGCAAACTATCACAAGGTTAAAAAACCAAACACCGGATGTTCTCACTCATAGGTGGGAATTGAACAATGAGAACACATGGACACAGGAAGAGGAACATCACACACCGGGGACTGTTGTGGGGTGGGGGGAGGGGGGAGGGATAGCATTAGGAGATATACCTAATGCTAAATGATGACTTAATGGGTGCAGCACACCAACATGGCACATGTATACATATGTAACAAACCTGCACGTTGTGCACATGTACCCTAAAACTTAAAAGTATAATAATAATAAAAAATAAATAATAAATAATAAAAAAGAAAGTCTGGGTTTTTAGTGTACCCATCATCTGTATAGTGAATATTATACCCTAAAGGTAGTTTTTCAACCCTCATCCCTTTCCCATCTTCCTCCCTTTTGTATACTTCAATGTCTATTATTCCACTCTATATGTCCATGTGTACCCACTGTTTAGCTCCCACTTATAAGTGAGAACATGTGGTATTTGACTTTCTGTTTCTGAGTTATTTAACTGAGGATAATGGCCTCAAATTCCAACTATGTTGCTGCAAAAGATATGCTTTCTTTCTTTTCTATGTCTGAGCAGTATCCCATGGTACATATACCACATTTTCATTATTCAGTCCTCTCCTGATGGACACTTAAGCTGTTGATTCCATATCTTTGCTATTGTAAATAGTGCTGCAATAAACAGACAAATGCAGGTGTCTTTTTTATGTAATGATTTATTTCCCTTTAGTCATATACCCAGTACTGGGATTGCTAGATTGAATGGTAGTTCTATTTTAGCTCTTTGAGAAATCTCTATACTGTTTTCCATAAAGGCTGTACTACTTTACATTCCCACCAACAATGTATAAGCATTCCCTTGCCTTTGTATGCTTGCTAATATCTGTGGTTTTTAGACTTTTTATTAAGTCATTCTGACTGGTGCAAGCTGGTATCTCATTGTGGTTTTAATTTGCATTTCTCTGATGATTAATGATGTTGAGTATGTTTTCTTATGCTGGTTTGCCGCTTGTATGTCTTGTTTTGAAAATGTCTGTTCATGTCCTTTGCCCACTTTTTAATAGAGTTATTTGTTCTTTTCTTGTCGAATTGTTTGAATTCCTTGTAGATTCTGGATATTAGCCCTTCACTGGGTGTATAGTTTGCAAATATTTTTTCCCATTCTGTGAAATGTCTATTTACTTTGTTGATTGTTTCTTTTGCTGTGCAGAAGCTCTTTCATTTAATTAAGTCCCATTTGTCTATTTTTGGTTTTGTTGTGTTTGCTTTTGAGAACTTGGTTATAATTTTTTTTTTTTTGCCAAGGCCAATGTCCAGAAGAGTATTCTCTATGTTTTCTTTTAGGATTTTTATAGATTCAGGTCTTATGTTTAGGTCCACCTCTTGTTTTTTCTGTCTTAATTTCATGCTATACTTTGCCAGATGAATCTTTTTATATCCCAGTTCTGGTCAAGTCTCAATCAAAATTAGTCCATCCTTTCCAAGCAACTATAGAAGAGATTATAAACTCCCAGGTTTGAGATTCCAGGTCCTTCAAACTTCCCATGGTTTGCTCTGCCAAATTTATGCCCTGAAATCCTTTACCTGGTCACTTGCACCTGAACCAAATGACTGCCTTTGTTTTCTGTCACTATTCTTTTGAGTTTCCTTTGCTGGAATCCTCCTTGTTTCCATGCTCAAACTATGCTTGTTTACATCTTCAGCTCAAATGTATGCTCTTCCATGAAGATCCCCAATGATCTCCAACCTCACTGTAAAACATGGCCCTTCAAATTTTCAGCCAGAAATGTCCTCCAGAGTTTTGGATTCCATTCTCCTTTTCTTTTCTCCTGCAAAATATTGGTTTATTCAATTATTTAAAACGTTAATTTGCGGTGGCTATGTTTCATTTCTCACATTATTTCCCAGTGCCTAGCACAGTGCTTCACACACAAGAGCCTAATAAACCTCCTTGGAATAAATTGGTTATTCTGAGAATTTCAGCGAAGAGAAAGTTTGTCAAAAGTGTTGAAGGTAGCTCTGATAGAAACAAAAATAATCCCTGAATAATGGTTAATTCATAAAGTAATTTATATGGAGAAAAGACAAACCTAGAACAGTTTTTTCTCTTAATGTTTATCTTTGAAGGCCTCATGTGCATTACTGTTATGAGTGGCTTGGTCTTGCTCAAAATGGTTTTGTTTTTTCTTCTTTTCCCTGGCCCTCCCCCACCTCCTTTTCTTTTCACAATGTTCTTAAAAAGTTGAGAATGGTTTATCTTAGCATTTGTAAGTTTATTTGTGGATGCAATTGTGAAGCTCATCATGTCAGTTTTATGAGAAGTCTGAGTCCATTGTCCTTAGAAAACGAAAATGATTAACATTGATTTGTTTTGTTACCCAATTGTTTAAATTATAATAACTCTCCATCAGGGTTTTTTAAGTACAGCTGTGTTTATGGATTAAGATCTACTGACTCAAATATTTACAGTGTTCCAAAAATTATGAGAACATACAGTGTCAGGAATTTTCCATAGGCTGCTCCATTGGGCTGGAGTGGTTTTCTATTCAACTTGAAGAGAAGGCTTTAGGACAGTTTCAAAGGGCATCTACAGGTCTGTGTGATTGCATCTCCAGATAGGCCCCAAATGAAATAGCTCTGAAGAAGGAAAACATTGGCTAAAATGGCCCTATTAACATGTAATCCTTGGCTATTTTAAAGGAGCTGACATAGAAGGCTTGAGGCCATAAGATTATGAAGGACAGACCCTCCCGGCTTATAAAATCTAGACTGTTGCTGTCACTAAACTTTCTCTATGTTGCTTAAGGATGCCTTTGACTTGACATATTTGAAGTGCAACTGGCCTAGCATGGAAACAGCTCCATCATTGTCTAGTTCTATGATTGCACAAAGTATTTCACCTTTCTGGACCTTTTGTTCTTATCTACAAAATGAAGGTAGTAAGGAGGACAAAATAATATAGCGTGATATTCTGTATGTACAGATGTTCAGTGAACACTCATTGGCTTCCTTCTTCTTTAAGCCACATTCTGCCCCTGGAAACACAGACCTATAATTGGTATTTTTCCCAGAAGAAGCTTATAAAATGGTAGGAATGATACTGTCTTAGGGATATGAAAGTCTGAGTTTCAGCTTCTCTGTGCAATCTCCTTACCATGGACTTTAATTAATCCACTGTTCCCTCTCTTGATCATGTCTCTGTTTACTCCTTGTGATCATCTGTTGGCTTCCTCATGGCTGGGACTATGCCTTATTCGACCTTATGCTGTGCTGTGACAGAGAGCCAAGTTCATGATAAAACATAAAATGTGTTTTTTGAATAGAAGGATGGAAGAAAGTAGAGGAGGAGAAAAATTGGAGAGAAGAAAGTGGATGAAAGAAAAAATGAAGAAAGAAATCTACAAATCCTGAATAAGCAAACTTGTCCTATCTAATCCATATAACTAGGTGGAAGACTAATAAAACACACACACACTATGCTGAATGATAAAATCACAAGAATAACCTACTAACCTAATACATCTCCACTGAGCTTTATAGTTCACAAAGTTCTTTCACACCCATTATCTAATTTGATAATTCCTACAAAGTCCCTTGAACTAGATTGAGCAGGGATAATCACCCTCACTTATTGGGTGATCAGACTGATACTCAGAGCATTGAAATTATTCACCCAAGGTTATACAGGTAAATGGTGAGTTGAACTAAAACTCCTATTTTATAACTTGAAATGCAGAGATAATACACCATGCAAGTTTAGATGTACTTTCAGATTTCAGAAAAAGGAAATACAATTTTTAACTAAAGTAATGAAAAGAAGACAGTGAGCTAATTAGATAAACCAGCCATCAAGGTATTAATTGTTCAGAAAGGGAAATAAGTTCACATAAGAATTGCAAAAGTAATTGGCAGAATACAGTGTTGTTCTAAAACACTAGCCAAATTCCAGTAACGATTACTGTTTGTGGTATTTTGATAGAAGGTATAGAACAGGCATTTGAGGTCAGATAAACCTGCTTTTCAGTACCAGCTCAGCTACTTGTCTATTCTGTGATGCCAAGTCATGTAAACTGTTTGAGTGTCAGTTTTTAAATTTGTAAATGGGACTAATAATGCCTGCCTCACAGAGCAGTTATGACACTTAAATGTAATAATCGATGGAAAGCATAATATATGTTAATAACATGTCCTTAGTAAGGGAGAGATGCAAATTAACTTTGGGAAGCTGTTTGTACTCCTGAGGGGAAATCAGATTTTCTTCTGTCATGCTGTTATTCTAGGTGAAAACCATACCTTGTCCTGGCATTCTCTCCATAGCATATAACAAGTATAATCCAAGGCAATCCACCTGACAACAGATGTAATCCCTAAGAATGCTGAAACATGAGTAATTCCCCTGCATGGGAACATTCTGTGCCTGGCAACGGGAAAGGGTTTAGAAGGTAGCAATGGAGGTTTGTTCAAACTCTGCTTGCACTAAGAACCTCATCTTCCTGGAGACACTCTTCCCTAGTAGTTCCAACTAATATCCTAACGCCTGGCTTTGACCACCTTTTGTGTCAACCTCTGTCTGACTCTGGCTTCTTTGTGACAGCGTAACTCATCTGCAAAAGTTTTTTTGTTCATTAATTTATTGCTTCAGTCAGTTATATATTTAGCAAAAACATCTTTACTGCTACCATGCACCTGTTTCCATGCTGATTCTGAAACTCAAGTATGCTAAATCTTCACTCTAACAGCTATGACCTTAAAGACAGCCTGGTAAAGGAAAGTTTGCACTCTCAAGGAAAAGAGATTTTGATCTTAATTCTCCTTAGCATCATGAATTTGGGAATAATAAGTTACTTTTAGCAGGTGCTATTCCCCCTGCTTTTCCTTGCATCAATTAACTTACTGAATTATTATTGCAATCCTATGAGGTAGCACTCTTATAATCACCAAGTTAAACTAAGATACTCATATGAAGTTGTTCTTGATATAATTACATAAAATATCAGACACATTTAATCAGAGTTGACAAAATGTGATAGAGAAGGAAAACTGAAATAGAGTTTGGAAGATGAAAATCAAAATTTCAAATCTTCTCATCTAGCAGAATGTTGGGCCCTAGTCAGGCAATAGGGCTATGGCAGGCAGAATAAAGATACCCATCCTCTAATCCTTGAAACCTGTGAATATGTTACATTACGTGGTAATATGATTTGACTCTGTGTCCTTACCCTAATCTCATCTCAAATTGTAATCCACATAATTCCCATGTGTCAAGGGAGGGACCAGGTCAGGGTGATTAGATCATGCGAGTGGTTTTCCCTATGCTAGTCTCATGATAGTGAGTGAGTTCTCATGAGATATCATGGTTTTATAGGGCAGTTTTCCCTGATCTTGCACACTCTTCTCTCTCCTGCCACCATGTGACGAAGGTCCTTTCTACCCCTTCACCTTCCACCATAATTGTAAGTTTCCTGAGGCCTCCTCAGCCATGTGGAACTGTGAGTTAATTAATCCTCTTTCCTTTATAATTACCCAGTCTCAGGTAGTATCTTTAGAGCAGTGTGAAAACGGACTATTACACCTGATGAAGGAGATTTGGCAGATATGGTTCAGATTTTAAGGTAGGGAGATTGTCCTGGTTTATTTGGGTTGGTCCCAATCACATGAGCTCTTAGAAGCAGAAAACTTTCTTCACCTGAATGTAGGAGAGTTAGAGAGATTCCAGGCATGAGAATGATCCAACACATCATTGCTGGCTTTGGGATGGAGGGGCCCATGTACAAGGACTAGAAAAACAATACTGCATTGTTTGGTAAATACAGGGATTAATAAATGGATATCTATGGGATAAATCAAACATAGTAAGATGCTAATATAGCATCTAGGAAGTAAGCATATGTGTTTTCACTGTAGTTTTTACAAGTGTCCTTTATGGTTGAAATGTTTACAGTAAAATATTAGAAAAAAATACTGTCTGATCCTTGCTTGAATATTTACAATGACAGGGTAGTCATTATCTCACAAGACAGTCCATATTATTGTCCATCAGTTCTTGATGTCAGAATTGTTTTCAGGATACTAATACTTTGCTTTCCTTCCACCCAGTGGTCCTCATTTCAGGCTTGGGGGTCCATAGAGAAAGTCTATTCCCCTAATCCTTCAGAAGACTGCTGAGAGTGGTATAAGAAACATGGCCATAGGGGGTTCAAGACCTGGCTTTGCCCCTAGTGCTCCACTCTTAAAGTGTGGTCCTCTCACCAGCAGCAACATAGACATGCAGAATTCCAGGCTGCATCCCAGACCTACTAAAGCAGAATCTGCAATTTAACAAAATCCCCATGTGACTTATTTGCAAGTTGATGTTTGAAGAATGAGATGGGATACCAAGGCAAACAAAACAAAACAAAACAAACAAACAAAAAAAAAAACCAACCAACAAAAAAACAAAACTAGATGGAATTTCACTATGAAAGTAGCATCAGGGGGTGTATTACTTTGTTCTCACGCTGCTGATAAAGACATACCAGAGATTGGGTAATTTATAAAGAAAAGGAGGTTTAATGGTCTCACAGTTCTACATGGCTAGGGAGGCCTCATAATCATGGCAGAAGGCAAAAAGCATGTCTTACATGGTGACATAAAAGAACGAATTTGTGCAGGGAAACTCTGCTTTATAAAACTATCAGGTCTCATGAGACTTACCACTATCACGAGAACAGCACAAGAAAGACCCGCCCTCATGATTCAATTGTCTCCCACTGGGTTCCTCCCACAACACACAGGAATTATGGAGCTACAATTCAAGATGAGATTTGAGTGCGGACACAGCCAAACCACATGAAGGATAGAGTGAATTCAACAGTATAGAAACGTAGAAGAGAGAGTTCCTAGAAGTAGATTACTTGAGTGAATGTGATGAGGAATAAGGGGGAGCTAAAGATCATCCAGACATTTATAGACTGGGTGGCTAAGAGGATCTGGACTCAAAGTAGCCATAGCTTTTGCTGCTTTAACTGACGTCAATTCAATGCCAAACTTAGAGTAGCATGGCAGTCCTTAGCTGCTGTACTTCTTGAGCTTTCTTCGATATTCCCTCCAGGTATAAAACCTGTTTGCCTCAGTTCAGTGCTTCTATTAGCGATATTCTTAGGGCTCTCTCTGTCACAGGTTTGTCCTTGTTTTGCTTACTCAGAGGCACTTTCTGAAAGAATAATACAGCCTCCCTTCCATTTCCTGCCTCCTCCTTCCAATTACATAAGGACAGCCATGAGTGTTTTAAGCATTAAAAAATAGTATAGATCAATTTGTCAATATTTCTAAATGAGGCTTTGCATGACAGAATGTCTGCTCAGGGACTAGAGCTCTGCTTTCTTGATACTGATGACCTTAGTTACTGGGATTTCCTGAAGGGTCTTTTATTTTGTTGCTGTTTTAATGAATACACAATAGCATTTTCGACCCAGAGCAAATGTCCAAGAACACCTTCCATTCTCACCCTTCATGAGCCCTTCACTGGTTTTGAAACTTCTATTAACTCTAATGGTCTTTACTGGTGGTAAATTGTCTCTCTGAGCATGCTGGTAGCTCACCTAATTGGGTCTACCTTATTGTGACTTGAAATAGCACCAAGGAACGGGATGTCCTTGGACTGAGAACCTGATTATTTCATCCTTTAAGGTTCAGCTTAGATAAATATGTTTAGTGAAGTTCTCATTAACTTCCCTACCTGCCTCTAAATGTGGCTCAGACAGGTAGTTGCCTCCTAGTTGATAAGGATACTGTTTACTATATACACACGTCTGCTTTTTTTTTTTCTTTTCTTTTGGAGACAGAGTCTCATTCTGTTACCCAGACCAGACTGCAGTGGCTTGATCATAGCTCACTGCAGCTTGAAACTCCTGGGCTCTAGTGATCATCCCGTCTTGGCCTCCTGAGAAGGTAGGACTGCAGGTGTGCACCACCACACAGGGATAATTTTTCTTTCTTTTTTTTTTTTTTTTAGAGATGTGGTCTTGCTTTGTTGCCCAGGGAGGAGTGCAGTGGCATGACAATATCTCACTGCAGCCTCAAACTCCTGGCCTCAAACGGTCTTCTCCTCTTGGCCTCCCAAAGTGCTGGGATTACAGGTGCAAGCCACCACACACAGCCCACGTTTCTGTTTTAATCATAGAGGGAAGAAATACATAGACTAACCCAACAGCTAGCATGAAAATTCCTCCCAGAGTGGGAAATCTTTTGTCTATCAAAGTACCTTGATTAGCTGCTTTTGGTGGAAGATGAGACACTTAGGGCATGGTTAGAGTCAGGAAATTAAATGATTTTTGTTTTCAGCATTAAAAAATCAGTAAAGTTGAGGCATAGAAGAGAACAGAGAAGTGAGGGGAAATTGAACAACAATGGCGAGGGACTGGAGACTGAATCCCAGGCACATTTGAAACTTAAAACTTGAGCGCAGGTCATTTGATTACCCAGTAAGTAATTAATGGCACAGTTACAGTCTATCTACCACTTTCTAGACAAAAACATGCTTGGGCAGTCTTCATGGAAATGGCACTATGAACCTGTAGACACATTTATAAACACAAAGATATCTCACTTATTTGGAGATTACTATTTCCAGCACAGCCTGTGACCTATGAGTAGGCAGTGAAATGAGAGGATATAAAATAACCCCCAATAATAATACATAGCTCGCATTTATGAAGCTTGCTAGGCACCAGGCACTTTGTAAACAGTTTTTCTCATACATGATGTGCCTAACATTTGCAAAGATAGCGTGCATATTATGCATGTTTCCAATTTTTCTGGTAGAAAAACTGAGACTTGGAAAGGTTAAATGGATGCCAAGGTCTATGAGTTAGAATATGATGGACTAGCACTAGAACTCTAATTCCAAAAAGCCTGCTATTTACCAAATATTTTCAACCCAAGGCTTCTTCCTATGGATAACTAAATGTGCCTACTAAACCAAGTTTTAAATTTTAGTCATGAAATAGCCCCTTAAGTTCCAGAGTAGAGCTCATTTACTCTTTTTTTATATGATAACTTAATGATGATACCTGGTTATCTAGTTGACACATTAAAAACTATAAATTTAATAAGTCATAGTGATGAGGGAATCCAAGAGGTAGGCCTGTGGACAATGTCAGTGAGTATTGGAAAATTAAATGAGAGCGGACACAAAAGAACAAAAACAAAACAAAACATGGAATTCAAACAAACAGAAACAGTCAGTGTGAGAAAATTCAAAGTTTGTTAAATTCAGCGAAATTGTCACTATATTCTGGTCCAGAATGTCACTGTGAAGAGTGACAACTCTGGGTTAAAAAGAAATTATGTTATAGTTCCCATTTTGAAGTAATATGACAGAATAAAATATACTTCAAGGGAAAATAATCTAATTTAAATGACTAAAATATGCACTGGTGCAGTAAATGGCTTTAGCTTATGGAGAGAAGATATTTTGGTACCCACCCTGGCCTTGCACATACATGTTAGTTCTGTGTCCTGGAGTTTCACCACTTTGAGTCATATTTACTAGTTTCTACAGTAGGAAAACTAATTATTTCTGAGGGTCCTTGTGAAGAGGAAAATAGATGACGTGTATAACACGCTCGACACATAGATTATGTTCCATATAGTTGTATTAAATCATGTTGAAAGGTCATTTTTTGTGCCCAAACGGGAATGTTCTGGCAATTGTAAAGACTTTCCAACATGGTGCAGGTCTTGCCTGAAAATAGCATGTGCATGGAATATTCACTCATCATTAGGAGAAGAAAACAGAGAGGGACTTTCCCATTCCTGCGTTATCTATTTCCACTTTGTGGAGAAAGCCATAATGTGTCAGATACACTAACTCTTGTTCTTCATATCCCAGCCAGCATAGCCCATGAGACAGAAATAGCATTCATCGAAAGCCGCAATTACCTCATTTCACTGGCCCGTTTGTGTGAGATGTGCCTTGCCTCACAGTGACTGCATGGGGCCAAAAGTCCAGCAAACAGAGCTGCTGCTTGTCCAAGAAATGGCCCTGCAAACAGGAGAGGACAACATGTTCCCTGAGCAGATTGGGACCCTTGGCTGTTTCACGAGTGTTTTGTTTTTCAGGCCAGAAACAGTGTCTGAAAACTCCTGGGGATTTCCCAAGCCCCATTCGTCAGGCGGCCAGGCTTCCTCTGACATCATCTCTGAGTGATGGGGTGCAGAGAGGGGGTCACGCAGAAGGCAGTCCAGGGGAAGCTTTAGCACGATTGCGGGAAATCAAACAGCTAGTGCTAGAGTGATCAGAAAAACAAGGAGAGCTTTCTGAAAACAGTGTCTGGCACATTATGGACATTCAAGAAGCAGGTCTTGAATGAAACACTGGGAAATCTAATGACTGGAATCCCAACTTATGTGGTCAGTATATGGCAGAGATGAGATTTCAACTAGGGTGACCAAATATTCTTCTTTTCCCAGGACTAAGAACTTTCTATGGATGTGGGAATTTGTGTGCTAACGTTGGGAAAATCCTGGGAAAATTGGGATGAGTTTGTCACCCTAATTTCAATACTGGTGTGTCCTGGCTTCAAAGCTGATGCCTTTAATCATAAAGCAAAAATCTGTCTTCAAGGAGACTTGAGTTTAATAAAAAACAAAACAAAACACAGGAATAGACAACTATCATATAAATGGAAAGAGTATACTTGCTTGAGGAAAGGAGTTAGCAGCTTAGCCAACTGTTCACCAATTACCACCACTTCTTGCTAAGAGCACTGTCATTTGTTTAGAAAATCCTCCCATTAAACATGTATTTCAATGAGCCCAGTCATGGAAATTGCATTCTCCTTGCCAATGAATGGTTTAGGAATGAGCATGTAACATAATTTTGGTCAATGAAACATGTAGGGAGGTCTGATAGGCAGATTCTTGGAAAGGTTTTCATGTTCTTCAAAAGAAACCAACAAAAGCTTCCATCACCCACTGGACATTTTTATATCAGTAGGAGACACTTGTAACTGGGTGGCTGTTTTAGATTTACCAAGGGAACTAAAGCTAGGTTAGAAGATGGGGAAGGTAGAAAGAATGTGAGTCTTTTATGACATTGTTGAGCTGTTAAATTAATTGGCCTTGCAGTCATTTCACCTCCAGACTTGTGAGATAATACATTGTCTTTATTATTGAAGTAATTTGAGACAAGGAATTCTAAAGGCAGTCAATAACATCCTAGTCAATAAAATATCCAAAAAGTAATAGGACAACAGAGGAAGGAGAGCAGCTCATTAGATGATACCATCAGGGATGGTTTCATGAAGGATCTAACATTTGAATCTTGCTGTGGAAGAAGGGTATACATTTAACAGACAAAATCAGACATAGGAAACAACACTAGAAAAACTACAAAAGATGTAGAGCTCTGGGTATAGCTGGAGGAAAGTAAGGAATCAAATTTGGCTAAAGCTAGGTTTTACAAGAGTGATTAATTGAACAGAAAGCAGGAAATGTTCTCAAGAAACAGAACATAAAAAGTTTTGAATTCCAGGCTAAGCAAACTAGAATTTCCTCATAGATGGCAGAGAGTCTGAGGATGATTGGCTAGGATGTCACCCTACATCTTCAGAGAACTACTATTAGCCACTGTTATCTCTCCTTTATTTGAACTCACTTCACATTTAGAGCCATAGTTCTCAGCTTTAGAAACATATTAGAATCACCAGAAGAATATATGAACATGTGTGTGATTCTAATATGGTGATTGTAATATGACTTACCTTGGTTCATACACATACCCTTCAGATGATATATATATAGGGCATGAGCCTCTGCTCTGAAGAGAGAGGCCTGGATTATTATTTTTTTTATTTTTTTGCTCTCTGTTAAGCTATCAGGTGACTTTGAAATGCAATTATGCTTGAGACCCATAGACATGGTCATCTATAATTTTGAATATTTTAACCTTACTTATATGGAAAGTCTCCCATAATGTCAATCTAGAAAACATATCAGAGATTTTCTAAGCAAACACCTTCAATTTTATCTCTAAAATAATGCAAACGCATTGTAAACTCTATAGGGCCATGCAAATGTACTAACTCTTATCACCGTCACCATTATCATTATAATTGATGATCAAAGAAAACACATAGAAATTAAATAATTTATTCAAAGCCAACCTGCACATTAGCATCAGATCTGGGGCTGAAAACAAAGTTTCGGCATCACTTATCTAGCATTCTTTCAATTAAGCCAAGTTGCCAATATTTCAGTAATGCATATTTCCCCAAATATTCTGCAACTACTTTTTGTGGAAAACATATGTTATATTTCTTTTGATCTTCCATAATCCCAGCTATAGTCTTCCTGGATAACTGACTCCTATATGATAATTAAATCTCACTTTTCCAGTGGTTCTAAAACATGAACATACATCAGAATTACCTGAACCTGTGTAAAAATACATATTTTGTGGCCAACTCTAGAATATGTGATTCAATAAGTCTGAAGTAGTGATTCTGGTGATTCATACTTGTAAAACATTTTTTACATAAGGTCTATCCTACTTGGAATCACACTTTGAGAGATACTACATTAGTCCAACTCCATAGGTGAAATTTTTGTCTAAAAAAGTCATTTTTTAGTTAAGTAAAATGGATTTATATCCTGGATCTGACACTTTTTAACTATAACTTGAGAGAATTACCTTCTCTAATACAGTCTCAGTTTGCAAATATATAAATGGGGCTGGTAACAAATACCTGAAATGTCTACTATGGCAGCACAATGTGCCTGGTATAGTGTTTGGCGTGTGAAAGGACTCATGTAACTGTCCATTTTCCAGCTCGCTTTCCCTGTGGATCCTCTTTCCCCATAAAGAGAGAGATTCTCTGGCTCCAGTTGGAGATTCATGGCTCTTCTTCTAGCTGGCTCTCCTTCAGTGAGCTTGAGTTTACACTTCTACCACCAAATTACTAAAACGCATATGGAGCATATTTCTAGGAAATGTTATGCAAATCATTTCAAAGGGGGAAAATATGATCGGCAAATTATGTCAATATAATCCTCAAAGTAGTTCTTTGGAGATAAAACCTATCACATATGCTCTGTATCACTTACTTTGGCATTTTTAACAGTTTAACCATAGCAGCTGTTCCTGCTCACTAATTGCCTGCAACATTAAACAATGGTTGCACATCAGTTCCCAGACTTTTCCTTCTGTGTCAACCTCACAGCTTCCAGATACATGCAAGTTTCCCCAGGTCGCTTCATTCCTCTTGTGCTAAAAGATGTCATCATATGACTGAGCAAAAGATGGTTTGTGAAAGATCAAGGTGACCTTTGGTGTGAACCTTGGTGAAACAAGAGCAGTAATAGGGTTCCCGAGCCTGAGAGAATCTGTCCACAGACACAATCTTTCCATGACTCAAAGGACTGCAGCTAAGTTTGCATCACCACCCCTGGTGGATGGGTGATTTTTCCACGTGAATTTGCTGGGACCTTTTATTTTTTTACCAGAGATGATGTACAGCCATGTATCCTGGTGTTCAAGCTAGAAACTTCAAATTTATTGTTGATTCTTCATTCTGATCCCCTACTGAAGTCACTCTGTGAGTCTTATTAGTGTTTCCACTTAAATTCTTGACTGTTCTCTCAAGCCTTGCAGCTCTTAACACAAGCTACCATCTTCTCTAGCTAGCATCACTACAATAGCATTCCAGCTAATATTCTCTGACTTCTGTTTAACCCCACTCCACTCACTCATTCTCCACCCCTCCTGGAATGATCTAAAGTGCAAGTTGTATTATACCATTCTCTTCCAACTCTTTCCAGTGACTCCCCACTAGTCTCAGAATCTAAGTCCAATGTCATCATCCTGATGGACTAGAAATGAACACTGTCCAACATGGTATCCACTCAACACAGGTGACTAATTAATGAAAATTAAATTTAAAATTCAGTGTCTCAGTGATACTAGCCACATTTCCAGCATTCAATAACTCCATGTAGCAAGTAGATACCATTTTGCACATTGAAGATATAGAATATTTCCTTCATCACAGAAATTTCTATTGTACAGTCTTGCTCTAAATATTGAAAACTGGTTAGTATTTTTTAACTTATTGTATTGTTATGCATGGCGATTATATGGGTAAACAATGCCTGGAAGTGCTTCTAAGAAGAATGAAAACTGATGTGAGCATTCTAGAAAGCAACTGTTTTTTAATGAAATGAGAATGTTTATTGGCTCCAAATAATTCTCACACAGATCCTAAAGGGAATGGATTCAAAGATGTTTACTGCAGCATTATTTTCTGCTGGTAGGGGTTGAGAGACAACCTAAGCGTCTGTGACCAGGGGACTGGATGAATAAAATATACAAGGTGCATATTGCAGAATGCTATGAAGTAGTCAGAAGAAAGGAACTAGATGCACACATACCTTTATTAAAACATAGTGTTATACTTTTACTGTAGAATATTAATAAGTGACAAAATAATAATTTAAAAATTACTGATATAGGCAAACACTTGGATGAATCTCACAAATATTAAGTGGAATAAAAGATGCCAGACATCAAGGAGTACGTACCATGTGATTCCATGTTTATGAAGTTAAACATGCAAACTAATCTGTGGTAATAGAAATCAGAACAGTAGTTGCATCTATTTTGGGATTTGCTGTAAAGGGAGAGAAGGACATTTTCCAGGGTGATGGAAATGTTCTATGTTTTGGCTATGGTGTCCATTACACAGGAATAGACATTTGTCAAACTCATTTAACTGTACACTTAAGAACTGTGCATCTTACTGCATGTAAATACACCCGAATAAAATTATTTTTAAAACAATATTTTAAAGGCAAAAAAGATTAATTTTAGATGAGATATTTATCGTAAGTATATATGCATGCAAAACCATAATATATATTTTACAAAGGTACTTATATAGAAAAGTATATTATAACAAAATATGAGGCAATATTTTTGCTAAGGGTCAGGGAAAATAAATGATAATAAGAATTAGGGATGAAAGAGCCAAAAATTAGAATAAAGTAAACCAGAGAGAATCCTTAAGTGGACGAGAGGTGACTGAGCCATGACTGGGGCTTATAATAATTCAATTCAACTCTGTTATTGAAACCAGTAAGACCTTCACTGGGAGAGAGTCTGTCTTTTCTAGGGATACTAAACTGGGATTGTATATTATTGGATTTGTCTCCCTCTTCTCATAAATTAATGCTGGCTGCAGGAAGGAGAAATGAGTTACAAAGAAAAGGAAGTGGAAACAAGAGGAGAGAGAGGATGAGGGAAACAGGGAAGATGAGGTTACAGAGAGACAGGGATGGGCCAAAAGGAAAAAGAAACGGAACAAGTTGACATTTGAATCTTCAGTTTCTGAGCCAGCTCCATCTCTGGAACTTTCAGTAATTTAAACAAATACATCAAATACATTTCGTTTTTTTCCCTTTTGCTTAAACTAGTTTAAGCTGAGTTTCTGTTACTTGCTATAAAAAATGTACTAATTCTTTAGTGTGGTTTATCATTATAAGAAATATGTGTTAAACCCTATTTTACCATTTTAAAAACTTTTCATCATTGAAATATTCAAACATATACACACATAGAGAAATTAGTATAATAAATACTTAACTTCAACTAGTTTTAGTATGTTGTTAATCTTGTTTCATTCACCCCATCTCCCTGCCCCTGTCTCCCCTCTACCCAAGACACTACTGGATTAGTTTGAAGCCAGTCCAGACACCACTTGGCCATTCAAACATAAATATTTCAATATACATCTCTAAAATTAAGAATCTTTCAGAAAAATATAACCACAATATAAAGATCATACCAAAAAAATCTCTTCATGGTGTAAAATATGTGCCCCATATTCAGATTTCCCTGACTGTCTAATATATATAATTTTAGCATAATTTTAAGGCAGGATGCAAACAAGATCTAAAACAATTAATCTGAATGATATGTCTCTGCAATGCATTTTAATGTACAGGTTCCTTATCCCTCTTTGTGCGTATGTGCTTGTGCACCTGAGCTTGTATGTAATTTGTGTGTTGCAGAAACTTGGTATCTTGTCTTTCAGAATTTTTCTCATTCTGAATTTTTATATTGCATTTTTATTTAATATCTTACTTTAGTCTTGTATTTTCTGTGAACTGGTAAGGTTTGAATACTTTATAGGAGGCAATCTATCGGTTCCTATTCCATCATATCAGAAGATAATTCATGTTTGATGATGTCTATTCTTCTGATGTTAAGATTAATTAGTTGATTCAAGTGTTTTCCATCTGACTGAACAATTTTTAGGCCTTATCAGATTTATTATGAATTGTTAATTTTTGTCTCCTGCTTCCTGTTTAAGTTTCCAAACTTAGTGTTTGGCATCTCCATGACTTAACTAATTTATCTTACTCTTTTTTTTTTTTTTTTTAATCTTTCCACAATGTCAGACTTTTAACTTTAAGTTCAGAGGTACGTGTGCAGGTTTGCTACACAGGTAAACCTGTGTTATGGGGATTTGTTCTACAGATTATTTCATCATCCAGGTATTAAGCCTATTACTCATTAGTTATTTTTTCTGATCCTCTCCCTCCTCTCGCCCTTGACCCTCCAATAGGCCACAGTGTGTGTTGTTCCCCTCTATGTGTCCATGTGCTCTCATCATTTAGCTAATATACAGAACTCTCCACCAAATACTGCATATTCTCACTTATAAGTAGGAGCTAAATGATGATTAAACTTCTTAAAGTTCCTCATTGGCATTTCACCTAAGGTTTTAAAATCCATGAATGTTCATTGCCTAGATTTATTATTATTTCATGAGGGATGCCAAAATGTTAAGAGTCTATTATTACCCCTAGGTTTAATAGCGGCAATTGTTCTATAAAGAAATATCTTCCATAAATATTTGGATAATAATATACAGTTATTATGGAGAAGAAGAATTAATGATTGTGTTTTTCTTCTTGTTTAGAAGTTTTCAGAATATATTGGCTCATATAAAGGTGAAAAATGTGAGTTTGTGACTTTGTTTAAAGGTGTCCTTATGAACTCATGGATTATAAAACATTGTATATATTTTAATCTATTTCAGTTATTAGTCTTTTCATGGCCCAAACTCTCCCACTTTTTGGCCAACTCCTGAGAATATTTTTGGGGAACTCCTAAGTCCTTTTGACATATTCTCATTTCTTAATAGAGTTGCTTTCTAGGTATGATACAATATCTCAGGCTCATCTTGTAAGTTTCTGACACCAGATCCAGAAGTAATTAATCATTTCTTCAAGGTGCCCTTGTTCTCGTTAGTGGGAACTGACATCTTGAAGCAGTCACCTGGAAATTAGAGGGACTTCTTGCTACTGGTTAGTACTGGTCAAACGTTGTTTCTAATGCTTTTTGTGGACAGAACTAGGAAATATGTATATCTTTAAGATAAAATATTTCACAAAGTCATACTATTTCTAATTCAAAATTGGGTAATCTTTGGTTTGTTTAACATCTTGATTTTAAATTATCTGATGAAAAATTTTGGTTCCCAAGCACTTATATGTTTTATCCAATTAAAATAGCTAATAATATTAGAATACAAGCCAATGTTTTTACTATCAATATGACTGCTGAAAGCAAGTTAAGAAGTTTCTTGCATTTTATTTTGTTCTTGGTGTATATTTCCACTTCATTGTGCTTTATAGTCAACTAAAATAAATCTTTCGTGTGTGTCTTTGTCACCAGCTGAATACACACATCCATTTATTATGTTTTGCTTTCAATTTTTATATATTTCCCGGTTTCTTTTATTTTTTTAGAATGATGTAATATATTTACTATGGCTCCAAAGTAAAATTTACAAAATGAGATACATTCAGAGAAATCTAGATTTTATTTGTACCCTCTATTTGTCTCCTCCCTCCTCTGTAGAGAAAATCATTTTAATTTGTTTACTTTTGCTTCTGTTCCATTTTAATATATGTGCAATGTGGATCTTAGAGAAGAGATATGCTATGCATATGGTATGCTTTTCTGAAATTTGTCAAGCCTTGTTTACAAAGTGAAAAATCCTTTCTTTAAAATATTCTACTTTTCCTGCACCTACTTCAATTATTTAAGCAAAAGTAGGAATTTATGTAGAGCAAGTTCTCTTAATAAAAGGCATGTTTATATTCTGTAACCAATGGGAAAGGGACTTAAAATGTTGAGAAAGTTCCTTTGAAGGCTAACATCTATAACTATTAACATTCACAGCAGAGTTTCTTTCCTCTTTGGAGTTGAACAGATTTTCGATGAGAAAAGTGTAGGTTTTACTAATGGAAATGGCCTTGTGTGTATACAGAACTGGGTTTGTGGACATTAAAAGCTATTTGACATGTGCCGATCTTTTCCTAGTAAGAATTTGGGAATAGAAATATCTTTCCTGCTTCTTTGATCTCCTTTCAAATCCCATGGAGGTATATTATGGCTGCAGAGAACTATAAATGTTATCGAGCTGCAATTTGAACGCACTAAAAAATGTAGTTGCAAAGGCAATTCAAACATCAGGTATCCTTTTCGTCATCCGGACTCTGGTTTTAGAGCTATTGAGGGAGTTCTTTTAACTCTCAAACTGCATTGTATTGCTGACCTGGTATGAATACTCAAGTTACCTTGAATATCTGCATTTTTGATGCAAGATAGCAGCTATTACTTTCTTCTGCTCTTTTCTTTAAAAATACATACATGCAGATAGATAGATAGATAGATAGATAGATAGATAGATAGATAGATAGATAGAATCACACACACACACAGAGACACACATATTTCACCCAAAAAGCACTTCCTTTTGAGGACAAACATAACAGTTTTGAATAAAGGGTTTATAATCTCTACCCAGTTTAGATATATGTCTGATTCCTGAAGTTATCTCACTGAAATGTATTTTCATAACCATTTGCCATTTGAGAATCTTGTTCAGTAAGCATGTTTAAGGAGGTTGATGACAAAGAAGGGAGGCGTTATATATTTCCTGCTACAATAATTGGGAAGAGACTGAAAGACAATAAAAAAGGCAGAAGTCCTATGTTCTCTTCCTCTTTCCCATAAATAGTATGTAGAAGATAAATGCATAGTGTATTTTTAACTGTATAACATAAATTTTAATTTACTAATATTGCTCACATTCAAACACATATGCATTGTACATTTAGAATCTCTAATTCTGTAGATAATATTTACTGGGGTATCCCATCTTCCACCTTCTTGAATTATCAAAAGGGGCTAAGTCTATAAAAATGGAAGTTACTTGCCTCACAAGACTAAGTAATGGAAAAGAAGGTGGCAGTGAGGACCCACTTTTTCTTAAACATCTTTGTGACTACCACTTAAAGACTTTTAGAGACTGATACTGAAAACCCTTCAGTATCATTCACCAGCCTTCTGAGATAAATAAGACAGAAATTGATGTCCAACCAAATGGCTGTCTCCACATATTCTAACCAAGTCATTAACAACTCCAGAAAAAAAAAGAGCTGCTGTTTACTGTTTTACTGTGTCCTTTAGAATTTTAAACCTGCCTGGCTAAGCATTTAAGGAAAATTCATCTTTTATTATCTGAGCTATCCACACTCTACTCATACTGCATCCCTGCTGCCCTTTCCACATCACTCTCTGCTCTCCAAAATTAGAGACTTGCTCAGGAGAGACACTGTACTGGAAGACTGGGAGCCACATACAACTCTTGCTCAACTAACAACGTGCTGTGTGTGATCTCAGACCAGCACTTTTCCTCTCTGTATTTCCTTTCCCTTCACCATAAAATAAGAACCATGGAATAATGATCTCTATGGCTCCTTTCAACTCTGACATTTGGGGAATCTACAAAAACGCTCTAAAATATTAGAAGAGTTCAATTTAAACACCCGGCCACTTTAGAAGGGCTTTGCATATATATTGTATTTCACTTGCTAAATCGCCAAATAAACCTGACACGAGTGAGCCCCAAGAGGACAGGAGACCAAATTGCAAATGTCTGTTTGTGATGATGAAGGTTTTGTAATCTGAGCATTGATTCTAGAAAGCTGTTAGGTGCTTCTTAAAGTAACATAAGATTATAAAGTGATGTATTACCCACGAGGAATCATTTCCCATTTACATTTCATTTTCCTCTGTGGTATTTAACTTATTCTTTTTATTATGTGTAGCCATCATAAATATTTATGCTGCAATGTATGATTGGTCAATAAAGAAAAATCAATACTGGATTTTTTCTTCCCAGGAAAAAGATTGTGCTTTACTTAATTTTAACCAAGAATCTCAAAAACCAGCACAGATAGGATAGGAATCCAAGTGGAATATATATAATTTATTTTATATTTTATACTATGCATATTTTATACTTACACAGACACTTGTATCCATACACAAAAGCTTTTGGTTTAATATGGCATTTTTTGTTAGTAGCCCTCAATTCAGCCTAACTGCTGTGCTATAAACTACAAAAATAATGAACTTTAAAGAACACAGAAAACTATTAGAGTTACCATACCATGTTTATGGTAGAATCTTACATTAACTATAAAGAAAATGAAATTGGTAGTAAGAAAAAAAGAGTTTGTCTACTCTGTATCACGTAATATTTTAATGTGTGGGTTCCAGCTGAAAAAAAATTACACTCTTACTCTATAATGTGTGTGGGCGGGGATAGGGGTGTGGAGAGAAATGATAAATCCCATTCCAATAATTAAAACAAGTGTATGTGATAGTGTCACTGAATGTCCATTTAGATTGTTCAGGGACGTTCTTGAACATGAATTTTTAAAGCTGCAATCAGATTGCCAAAAAATGACAATAATTCAGTTGGAGAAGTAAGGCCTATAAATTAAAAAAAGAATCAGATAAGGCAAGAAGTCGAGAGTGCTCGAAACTCTTGCTATATTCAATGAGTAGTTTATGGACTCGCAGCATCAGTATCGCCTGGAAGCTTAATAATGCAGGGTATCAGGCACCACCTCAGACCTACTGCATTTTAACATATGTTCCAGATAATTTGTATGTATATGAGTGTTGTAGCAACACTGCTCTAAAAAGGGGAATTCAGGGAAAAAGAAACACTCAGTTTGCAGTTGGAATGATTCCTGGAGGAAGAAACACCCAGGCAACCCAAGAAGATGGATAGGATGCAGCCACATTTTGTTTGCCATTCCTTCTCCACATTCTTCGAAAAGGTTCATGGCTAGCCTATGCAATGAGTGTCATCAAGCTAGCACAGGTTATATCTCTCACAGATACACTTAGATATTTGGAAAGGATCACAAATGACAATGGTATGCCTTGCATTTGTTGACTTTGAATGTGTGACTCTAGAAGGACTCAACCTAAATGGATCATTTTTCATGCTCTACCTTGCAGTCATATTAGAAAAATTGTAGTACAAAATATAAATGGGCTTATAGTACATGTTTGTAAGTGTGTGTGCATATGCACTGTGGTGTAAAAGAAAGCACAGGATTAGAAACCAGATGGATCCTATTCCAATAATTTTGCTTTCCTCTAATCCTCAGGGTTCTTACCCATGAAATGGGATTAATAAAACCTATCCAAGAAAGTTGTTGGAAGAATCAAATGAACAGAAAAAGTCATCTAGTTTCATACCTAGCACTTTATATGTGCTCAAAAAATGCTAGTTACCTTCCATTTAATAAACACAATATATTATCTAGAGCTCCTGTTTTATAAAAAAAAACTAGACATATTATCTCTATAAGCAGGAGATATGACTTGAAATCATTTTACTATAGATTGTGAGAAATAAATAAGATTTCAAGATACTGACATTACCATTGAGATGCCAGATAGATTTTGTTTGGTCAAATGTATGGTATAAATAATAAATACATAAAATTAATTTGCACTGAGAAAATTAACAGATCCCTTGGGATTTCCTTGCCATTTTGGTACAATTTTGCTTGGGAAAGAAACAGAAGGAATAATGCTCTGTCAGTTCTGAGGTTAATTACTAGTCATCATGTTGGCTGTTTTATGAGAAAAACATGTATTGTAATTGTCACATGTTCAAATCTTACTTTGCTAATGACCCTTTAAGAAGATCTTTGTTAATTATCTAATTTGTCTGGAAAATTAGGCTGATTTAAGACCCCAATATGCATGCTACATTCTCTCTATAGTTTAAATTTTTCAGAATGTATGTAAAAATATTATTGGCTTTTGTTTTCCATTACGGAGGTACAATTCTTTATTAGGTTCTACTCCATGCCCCACCCAAATTCATCAGTTACATTAAATGAGGCAACAAAAATCACAGGACCTTGGAGAGGATCACCAGGGTCAAAGCTAATTGAAAATTGCTACCAAAACAAGGAATCATGAGTCTATTTTTTATGGACCATACATAAGACTTAAGGAATCATGAGGCTTGGAAAGATTTCAGTGCAGAGAAAGTGACAACAGCATAGCCAAGAATGAGAAAAGAATAGAAAGAACATTAGAGGAATGATTCTCTCAGCCAGGGCAAACCTAAGCACACTGTTCCACCTCATTTGCTTACGTTCACCAGCACTGTCTTAAACCTCAGGAAGTGAAGGTATGAAAAAAAAAGAAAAAGAAAAATGATTTTAAAAAGTCTCTCATCTGATGTAAGCAGGTAAGCAGTGGTTAAAAGAGTGTTTTTTTCTGGTAATATAGATGGAAAGACATTCTAGGCTTTTACTTTCTTTTCTTTCTCTCTTTTTCCTTCCTTCCCACCCCCACCCCCTGCATAGGAAGATAGAAGCATCTTGAAGTGGTTTCTTTCCTGACATTTTCTTATGAGAAAGGGAGGAAAATTCTTGGTATTCGAGCCTTGCCTGAGATATGGCAGCAAAGTGTACCCCTCTCTACTTCCCTTTCCCCACCTTCTCACTGAAACATATAAAGCATATACTCATCTTAGGCCCATCCTGTCATAGGCAGAAATAGAATAAAACCAACGGGATAAAAGGAGAAAGGTGGAGCAGGAGATGTAAGTTGAGGCCTGGGACCTGGCTCTCCACTAAACAGTGGTATGACTTTCAAAGATTCTCTTTTTTCTTTCCTACAGTGTCCTTGTCTGTAAAATGAAGGAGGGAAATAAATTTTATTAACTATTTGAACCACTATATGATAAGCCTACAAATATATGATTAATGTATGCATTTTACCTTAATGGTTTTATCATGTTTAGCAAAGCAAGTTTCATAGCATCTTGATGGTTAAAGCCCTACCCTTCAGAATATTTTGGACCTGAGTTTGAATTCTGAGCTCATACTTGGGACAAATCTAACTGCCTTACCTGTAAGGTGTAGAAAATATGATATTCTCAAGGTTGTTTTGTTTCCATGAAAATTAAATAAGAGAAGTACAACGCTTGGCTCAGAGTAAGTCTGTGATAAAAAGAGAACCGTTTTACAGAACTCTTATTGCCTTGCTTTAGGACACTAGTATGTGAGGTCTGGTGCTGGAGCAGCTATTCTATAACCATGAAGTGAAAAGCACACAGATAAAAATCTAGGTCCTTGATGGCATCATTGAGCCACAGAACCAGCCCTGGAATTGTCAATTATCAGCATTCTAAATAAAACAGCTAGTACATTTCTGTATTGTATTAATTACTAATAGTCAGAACCTTGTTGTTTCTAGTTGGCATGCTAGATAGTACAGAATATATGCCTAACTACACAGAGCTGATGGTAAAGGCTCAGGTATAAACTGTTAAAATTGAAAGTAAAGTTGGCTCTCCACATCCATGGGTTCCATATCTATAGATTCAACCAATACAGGTTGAAAATAGTAAAAAATAATTGCATGTCTACTGAACATGTACAGACTCATTATTGGTTTTTATTCTCTAAACAATAGAGTTAAACACCTATTTACAAAGCATTTACATTGTATTAAGTATTATAAGTAGGCAAGAAATGATTCAAATTATACAGAAGAAGTGAATACATTATATGCAAATACCTCACCATTTTATAACACAGACTTGAGCATCCTTGGATTTTGGTGTACTCTCAAGGTTGTTTAACCAATTCCCTACAGATACGGAGGGACAACTGCCTTCAGAATGGTAGTTGTAATGTAGGTACTGTGCTGAGGCATTTTTTCCCCTTTCTCCTACTTGACTGTGAGCTACTTGGAGCCATTAATGATTTCTGTCACTCAGCGTCCTACCCTGCAGATGACACTTCATAACATTTCTGGTCCATTAACAGGAATTAAATTTACCTCTACAGTGTGATTTCATTATGAAGTCAGATGGAATGAGGAGTGTGTAAATCCAGAATCAGAATCCCAGCGACGAAGCTTTTCTTGCTCTGTTACCTTGGGTAAGTCATTAGATTCCTCTAAGCCTCAATTTCCTCATCTGTAAAATGATGACAATATCTTCTGTTTCAGGGATAGGATCAAAGTTATAAAGGCAGGGAAAAGTGTACAAATGTCATAAGCTTCAAAGCATTCCCCCACTCCCATTTTAGTACTACCCTGAATATGACCATTTGTGGAAACTAGAAAAATGAGGCTCCTCTTCCAAGTCTGTGTCTCAAATGTGTTTAAGTGGCGGGCATCACAGTACATTCTCTAGCACGTTTAGAGATTTTGCTCTAAAACGTCTGGTAGTTTTATGACTTTAATCCCAATATTGAATTCCAAAATGCCTCACACAATAAAATGTTTCTTTATTCAGAAAATGCTTTGAACCAGACCAGATAAGAAAAGTAAAAGTCTGGAGTGTAATCCTTCCAATTGTCTTTTGGCTTCTCTTCTACTTCTACAAAAAGTTCAACAAGTAAGTCACTTCTCCATCAAGAATACGAGGGGGCTATGCCTTTATTTCATAATGGTAAAAGCATTTGAGCAAGTGAGCTGAGCTTAAGTCCCTATTCTAACACATACTAATCATGGTACCCTGGGAAGGTAACTCACTGATCCATTGTATTTTCATGAATAAAATAACACAAAAATATAGGCTTGACTTGGGAATGATATGAGATCATGCATGTGAAATAAAAGTCCTGGTAAACAACAAAGTTTTGTATGGTATCTGCAGTATTAAAATCACATGATTTATGAATCATTTCAGTGGTCTTTTTTTTTTTTTAAACAAAAAGCAACTGGAGCAATGGCTTGTAATTTATTATGGGTGCTTCCTCTCATTTTTCCAAGGAAATTCATTTTAAGAATTCTTGCTTGTGTAATGGAATCAACTGATCCAGAAATGGCTTTGAAAATAGCAATCAGATATGAGATGTTTTCTTTTAATTCCTTTTTATCCATTATCTATAGAATCTTCCTGTCAGGACAAGCCTTGAAACTAAAAGGGAGCAAAACAAAGAAAAGTATATATATAAAGCTATAAGATGTGAAAAAGAAAGGTATTTGTTTCTTAGGGATGTCATAACAAATTATCACAAACTTGGTGGCATAAGCCAACAGAAATTTATTCTCTCGTAGGTCGGTGGGCAGAAGTCTAAAATCAAGGTGTCAGCAGTGTGGAATCCTTCTGGAGGCTTTGAGGTAGAATCTGTTTCATGCCTCTCTCCTGGCTTTTAAGAGCTGCTAGAAATCCTTGGCATTCTTTGACTTATAGACACATCATTCCAGTTTTCTGCCTCTATCTTTACATCATCTTCTCTGTGTGTCTGTATTAGTCCATTCTCATGCTGATATAAAGAACTACCCAAGACTGGTTAATTTATAAGGGAAGGAGGTTTAATTGACTCACAATTCTGTCTGGCTGAGGAGGCCTCAGGAAACTTAAAATCATGGTGGAAGGGGAAGCAAACAGCCCTTCTTCACTGGATGGCAGGAAGGAGAAGTGCCAAACAAAAGGGGAAAAAGCCGCTTGTAAAACCATCAGATCTCATGAGAACTCACTATCACAAGAACAGCAGCATGGAGGTGAACATCCCCATGATTCAATTATCTCCCATCAGGTCCCTTCCTTCAACATGTAGGGTTTATGGGAGCTACAATTCAAGTGAGATTTGGGTGAAGACACAGGCAAACCATATCCTATATCTTTTCTTTTGTATCCTATCAGGACACTTTTCACTGGATTCAGGACCCATCCAGGTAATCCAGGATGACCTCAGATCACAGCTGCAAAGACCCTCTTTTCAAATAAGGTCACATTTACAGGTTCCAGGTGGATTTGAATTTTGGGTTTCACTGAACCCATTACAACAGGCTTAGAGTATACTAACCTGGATTTAAATCTCAGCTTATATACAGACTACACAATTTGTACTCTCTGTGCCTTCACATCCTCTCTTGTAAATAGGGTCATGATAATATGTTTCTAACACTGTTGGATGTTAAAGTGTGAATGTTCAAGGCCTGTCATGTAGCAAGCAGACACTCCACACATGGTATATTTTAAGGCAAATTCTGGCCTTTTCACATTTAATATTTGTAAAAATGAAAGCTAACGAACAAAAGAAAGAGAAAGAAAGAAAGAAAGAAAAAGAAAGAAAGAAAGAAGGAAGGAAGGAAGGAAGGAAGGAAGGAAGGAAGGAAGGAAGGAAGGAAAGAAAGAAAGAAAGAAAGAAAAAAAGAAAGAAAGAAAAAGAAAGAAACAAACTCAGATTTAATGGAAACTTCCCTGGATTGGGTCTCAGAAGTTCTTTTCCAAATTCTGTCACTAACCAGGTTATTCTAATACATTTGAGCATTTCTTCTGCCCCCCTTGGCAGTGGTATAGATCTCCTACTCCTCATCTGTAAATTGTATGGGGTGAACGCTAAGACGTTTCTTTTGCTTTCTCCTCTCTGATGTATTGGAGTTTTATAAGTGTAACATTTAAGTTTGTCTTGGGCATATTTGGGTGAAAAAAACACCTAAAAACCCCCTCAGAATCCAGTAAGAAACACACCCTCTAGCCATGCTGCTGACTTCACATAGTTCTGCAGATTGGTTTTTTAGGGATAGATTTTGCTTAGGCGCTCTTCCCACCCATTTCTAGAAAGTGCAGTAAGCTGGCTAAACTGAAACTTTGGGGACAGCTCGTATCTTCTCAGACTTTCTACTAATTCTTGGTTTGCTCCTATCCTTCTCTGTTGCCTCTATCACCAGATTTCTCAGCTTTTCAACGTTCTAAGTCCTGGCACTGTCTTTGAGAAATGTCCAGGCTTGCCTTCTTGGGCAGATAAAGGCTGTAGGCAGGAACACAAGGACTATCTGAAGAGCCACAAAACTATGCATGCAACCAAGGCTGGCTATACAATTTGTGAGGCTCCTTGTTTAACAAACATAAAAAGTGCCACGAACTATATTAAAATATAATATTTTCCTTCTTCACCAGTCTCCTCCCGAGTTGTCATATTGTTTGCTATTGTCAAGAGACAAAATTACAATAAATTTAAAGACCTTAGTTGGGTTTCTTTTGCAATTCCAGATTTGGACAGCACCTCATTTTATCAAATAGTATGAGTGTTCTGATGAGTTGAGCAGAGGAAGTTCACTTAATAGACAGAAAAGGGCTGAGGAAAGCAGAAACAGAATAAAAAGTGGGTTGGTTGTTTCAAAGTTATTTTTCTTGTAAAAGTTAAAGCAAATGTGACTTTCTTCTCAGGGTAAAACTGGCCTGTTTGGGGATTTAGCTATTATTTCTCTCACTTCTGACTTCTTGAAAAGTCAGATAAACAACTTAGTTTTGGCTTGGTGGTGTGGAACTTCCACATAAGTAACTCCACTTTGGTTCTGTCTGTTTGGCCGAGTGCAGGAGCTCAGTCCAAACCCATGCCCTCCTATAAACTTTATTTAACACTATTCAATGTCACCCTCTAACAGGAAGATACTCATTGCATGTGAGCAGACCCTCCCAGGTGACCAAGGTCTGTCCCATAATCTGCTGTGTGCATCTTGCTGCCTGGTTCTCTTTCCCATCAACCTCCACACTGGAGTGGAATGCCCTAACTGGGAGCACAGAATTCAGTCTTTTCTTTCCAGAGTTCATTGCTCCAACCCACTGGGATAGGAAACCACTAAAGAATTTCAGTCCTAATACTGGGACTAACCCGTGGCAGGGCATGTTGCTGCCGTACACTCCTAGAGACACCACAGGGCATGCACATCTGATCCTGATCTGCCCACCCTGCACCATGAGCAGACCCCAACTGGAGATGGATGATGACAGTGAACATAGGCTTCTCACCCCTGATGACACTACCAGGGTCCTCACAATCCTGGCTGGAGGGCAGCAACAGTCACAGAGCAGGGGCTTGGAGGGGATGGCTGGCTGGAATCCCAGGTACTAAGTACCAGGGACCTGGAGCAGGTGGCTGAAAACCTATCCAGGGGAGGTGAGAAGGCAGCAGGCTGTAGGGTCCATAGGACTAAGACTCCAAGTCCTGAAACATGCTCCATTGTCCTATCAGATTTCACTTCCACAATACAAGTTCAAACAAAAAATTAAGGATTTCAAGAAAGTGACTGTGGAGCTTTAAGCCCAAAGTACGGTGCCTTTCCAAGTGTTGGTCCTGTGTGGCTGCACTTATCTCATGCTTGTGGAGCCAGGCCTGTGTGCAACATAAGAATATGTTGGGTAACTTACCTCTTCTGGAATGTGTGATTGACTCATCTTCCTTTCCAGACTGAAGAATTTGTTTCTTCAGGATAAGTTTTCAGAAGCCCTTTTCTATGTTTCCTCACATGTGGAGTTCTTGCTAGGCTTTGTAAAGGGCTCAGCTATTTTCCAAAATGGGAATTGAAAAATGAACACTTGTGCATAGCTCACTGAGGGGCATCGAAAGGATTATGTGAGTCCTGAAAGGCACTGAAATAGCTTATTCCAACTGTAAGTATCCTGTGAGCTGTGTCTTCCTCATCTCTGTGTGAGCTGTTTTCCTCTAGACAAGCAGCTCGGTACTCTAAAATAAGCCACATTTCTTTTTATAGCAAAATTACTCTAGTATCAGCTTCAGCCAGCCTACTTGCCAAAAAATGGTGCTCCACCCCACCTATGTCTCTTGATCCTGTAGGGGATTTTCCAAGTTCCACTTTAGCACATGTAGACAGAGCCATTTCTTTATTTATTTCCTGCCATCTGCCTCTTGGTTGTGGTATCATCTAACTTCGTTGGTTGCCATTGGTCCTCACCAGATTGCCACTCCAGTGGGCACAGTGTCCTCAGTAGACTGGGATCATTCTTACCTCCTGACTTGACCAAGGGTGAGGGGACACTCCTAAGAAGCTGGGGATAATGAAATTGATACACAACACAGAGAGTAACTTATAATTGCCACTGGAAGTGGCTTCATTCAGAATCCACAGGTCAAATGCAATGCCATGGTTCCTTACCTACTCATACCTGACTAGCTCTCAGTCTTCCTTTAAAAGCAGGTATCAGTTCCCAATGCCATCCCACCCCCATTCACCTCCCCCAACAATTGCATGGGGTTTTCCAAGCATCTGCCTTTTACTTGACACTTGACATTAGTCTTATGTAATGTCCCCATAGAAAAGTGGAAACTTGGCTGGGAGCAATGGCTCATGCCTGTAATCCCAACAGTTTGGGAGGCCAAGACGAGCAGATCACGAGGTCAGGAGATGGAGACCATCCTGGCTAACACGGTGAAACCCGGTCTCTACTAAAAAATACAAAAAAAAAAAAAAAAAAAAATAGCCAGGCGTGGTGGCATGTGCCTGTAGTCCCAGCTACTCGGGAGGCTGAGGCAGGAGAATTGCTTAAACCCAGGAGGCAGAGGTGGCAGTGAGCCAAGATTGCACCACTGCACTCTAGCCTGGGCGACAAAGCGAGACTCTGTCTCAGAAAAAGATAAAAAAATTAAAATAAATAAATAAATAAAAGTGGAAACCTTTTGTTCTCTTTCTTTTTTTCTCTCTCTTTCTTTTCTTTTCTTTTTTTGAGACAGAATTTTGCTCTATTGCCCAGGCTGGAGGTCGGTGCCATGATCTCAGCTCACTGCCACCTCTGCCTCCCAGGTTCAAGCGATTCTCCTGCCTTGGCCTCCCAAATAGCTGGGATTACAGGCATGCACCACCATGCCCAGCTAATTTTCTTGTATTTTTAGTAGAGACGGGGTTTTGCCATGTTGACCAGTCTGGTCTTGAACTCCTGGCCTCAAGGGGTCCACCCACCTTGGCCTCCCATAGTGCTGGGATTACAAGTGTGAGCCACCGCGCCTGGCCTTGTTCTCCCTTTCTAAAGCCATTTTGCCCCAGGCCTCATCTTCTGCAACAGGATTACAAAATTTCCTGTGTAATTGATGACAGAGAATATACATTTGCTTCACCTTACACTTATTCACCTTAACCTTAACCTTACACTTACCCACTTACACTTATTATGGCCCCTTGATCCAGAGTATACAAGGTGTTCTTCCTTGTTTGGTACATGTCTATGCTTTGGTAAATAATACCAAGTAAGGGTATTCAGTCTGTGTTCTTTCCAATGCTGAGTTCTGTTCATTCCTTTTTTTCTTTTTTTAACAAGCTTTTCACCAGAGTGAGATGATGAACATATCCAATCAACAAACCCCTGCTGACAATTCCTTTCCATCTACTCTCCTTTTGTATGCAGCTGCTGATAACTCCACAAGAACACCCTATGATTTATAGCCCTGGGCAAGTCAAAATCCAAATTTAGGAAAAATATTGTTTTCCAGGGAAGCAATTTTCTGAAGTATGAGTTGTTTTTTTAAAAACACAAAAAACAACCAATTGATATCACTGAACAGAAAACTTCTCTAAATCTGCAGAATTTACCTTAGATCCTGTCATTCACCTTAGATATTCCTGCATAACTAGGGTGGATTTAGGTGGGTTAGATTTTTAGATTTAGCCCTAAAAGGTACTATAAAGTGCTTTCCTAAAAATAAAAGGGGCCTTTGGATCCACTCTGAAGCTATTGATTGTGGACCTGACCAGGTTTCCTGTGTATCATGGTGAGATTGGCAGCCAGGTACAGTACTGAACTAGATAGATAAAGAAGATGCCAGTTCCCATAGAGTTTCTGAGATAGGTGACCATGGACAACAAAGATGTAAGCAACTGAACAAGATCATTGCAAATAATGATAAATGCACAGGAAACAAAAAGCACCATAGTCAGAAAGTGACTAGGCTGGCAGTCGTTATATTGGGTGGTGACAGAAGCTTCTCTGAGGTCAAGACATTTGAGCTGAGACCTGAGAAGGAGGCAATGATCTGGGATCAGAGCTTTTCAGGAAAAGGAAACAGCCAGTGAAATGCTCCAAGATAGTAGTAACATTCTCTTGAAGTACAGCAAGAATGCCAGTGTACTTATAGTAGACTAAACCATTGGAGAGAGCAATTAGCTTGAAGACAGAGGCCAGATGACATAAGGCATGAGTGGCCATGCTAAGGAGTTTGAAATCTAGGCGGTTAGAGGGGTTAGCAGGAAATTGTATGGCATTTTTTTTTTTTTTAAGACGGAGTCTCACTATGTCACCAGGCTGGAGTGCAGTGGTGCGACCACTGCAATCTCCGCCTCCGGGATTCAAGTGATTCTCCTACCTCAGCTTCTTGAAGAAATGGTATGGTATCTTTAAGAGACCTGTTTGCTGTAGGATAGATGATAATACTGGAGACAGAGAAAGCAGTTGGAAACTTTCATGTAAGCAGTGACAGAAGGCCTTGCATCAGAGTGACAGCAGTAGAGATGGGCAGGGGAGGAGAGATTTCAAGATATTTTCTTCAGGCAGAGGAAATAGGACTCTCTGATAGGCTGGATGTGGAAGGAGTAAAGAAAATAATTGGCAGGGTACAGTGGTTCATGCCTATAGTCCCAATACTTTGGGCAGCTGAGACAGTAAGATTGCTTGAGCGCAGGACTTTGAGTCCAACCTGGGCAACAGAGGGAGACCCCTCTATCTAAAAAAAAAAAAAAAAAAAAAAAAGGCTGGGCTAGCCATGTGTGGTGATGGTGCATGCCTGTGGTCCTAGCTACTTGGGAGACTGAGGTGGGAGGATCACTTGGGCCCAGGAATTTGAGACTGCAGTGAGCCATGGTCGTGCCACTGCACTCCAACCTGGGCAAGAGAGCAAGACTCTGTCTCAAAAAAAGAAAAAAATAAAAGAATCAACAAAGACTCCTAGGCTTTTGTTTTGAGCAATTGGATGGGTATCATATAATAGCATCTTCTGAGACAAAGACTGGAGTAGAAAGGAATTTTGGATATACAATGAATAACTATCTTCTAAGGTGAGTTCCAACTCACTTCTAAGGAATCAAACTGTTCACACCCAACCAACACTTCCACTTTTACAAACAAACAACATGATTTTAACTTTCTGTCTCCACTAGGTACTCGACTGTGGTTCAATCTCCAGACCTAGAACAGGAATAGAAGCAAAGGGATTTTCAATATAAATATTAGTTGAATGGTATGAAGTAAAACAAACTTATACTGGTAATAGCTTTGGAATTTACAAAGCATTTTCCCATGCATTATGTCTTCTCCTCCTCATATTAACCCTGCAAACGAAATAACATTATTACCCGTACTTTACAGAAGAGGACACTGAAGCCAAAGGAGAAAATTAACTAGCTCAGTCTTGCATGACCCCTGTGAATGGACTGATCTTGAAACCCAGGTAACCTTACTCCCTGGTCCCAGCCTTTGTTAATGGGGACACAATCCTGGAAATTTTGCCTGTGTGTAAACCTCTAGGGGCTTTTTCTTTCATCGTTTTACATCAGCCAGACTCTGACTCACAGCTGGAGAATCAGCTTCCTTATTATGTAGCGAATTCCATGAACACACACCAAGAGTTGTTTTCTGTAACAGGCTGAAGTAGCTTCTTCTCCCAGTCTCTTTCTCCCATCAAAATTAGAATATCTTTCCTTGGAAAACTGTGCCCAGGTTGAGGGGGACTTCTCCCTGGTTTTGTGTAGACTCTTTGATATGCTCCAAACTCAACGCCTTTCCTTCAATCCCTGGGGCCTTAGGAACAGCCAACCCACATGTGGTGGGAAGTGAGGCGAGGGGGAAAGAGGAATGTGAGGGAGACACAAACACAGCACAATGTTTTCTTTCTGAGAAACTTCATCAAGGCTCCGATTCCAGTGACCTCACCTTCAAGCAATGCCAGCTCCTTTGCTTTAAATCAAAGTTGACATGTGGTGGTGGTTCACATATTTGGAGTCTAATGAGCCTGCAGCTTCTAATGCTGCAAAGGAAATCCTGAGAGTAATATCTGCCCTCTGAGATCAGAGGTGGTCAATAACCTTAATGTATGTCAGCTTCCACACTTTACTCCAGAATTCTTAAGGAAGGTACACATGAAAGGTTGGGCTGTCTATGTAGTGAGCAGCATTCAAATTGGGACACTTACCGCAACCCGCCAGTATACATTCTGTAGTCTAATTTCAAGAAAATGAAACTGAATTATACAAACAGGCTCTCAATTGATCTTCCTACTTTTATTCTTGTCTCGTAATCTTATGTTTTTTTCTCAAAGCACTGAATGTCCTTTCCCGGCTCAAATTCTTCTAGTCCTTACTTGTCACAAATAGAATATAATCGATGTGCCTTTTGATGTCCTACAAAGCCATGCATGATCTGACACCTGGCTATATCTATGAACTTTATTATCACTGCTTCCAACACTCATTCTCACACAAGCTATCTTAGCATCCTTCCTATTCCTAGAGCATGTAACCCGCTGTGACTCATGGTCATTGGCTCTGGTCTTCCCTCTGTAACTGAGGAAAAGGCTCTTACCCAAGAATCTCATGATTCCTTCAATTCCTTCATAATATTCAAGTTTTTGCTCAAATATTACATCTTTAAAGAGTCCTAGCTCCACCATGGTGGAAGTTTCTTCTCCAAGATTTAGTAGTGCCATGATGGTTAATTTTATGTGTCAACTTGACTGGGCCATATGGTGCCCAAATATTTACACAAACATTATTCTGTTTCTGTGAGGATGTTTTGGAATGAGATTACATTTAAATTGGTAGGCTGAGTAAAGAATATTGATTGCCCTTGCTAATGTAGGTGGGCCTCATCTAATCAATGGAAGGTCCAAGTAGAACAAAAAGGCTAAGTAACAGAGAAGTCTTTCTTCCTAATGACCTTTGAACTGGGACATTTGCTCTTTTTAGGTCTCAAGCCTGACAGTCCAGACAGGAACTAAACCGTCAGCTCTCCTCAGTCTCCACTCCAGCTTCCTGACTCACCCTGTAGATCCTGGGACTTTCAAGTACCCATAATCACATGAGCCAATTCCTTATAATAAATATATCTCTTTCTTTCTTTCTTTCTTTCTTCCTTTTTCTTTCTTTCTTTCTTTCTCTTTCTTTCCTTCCTTCCCTCCTTCTTTCTTTCTTTCCTTTCTTTCCTCTCTCTCTCTCTCTCCGTATGTATATAGAGGCAACCAACTTCAGATAAAATATTTGAAACAAAGAATATCTGCACTGAACATGTACTGACTTTGTCTTTTCTTATTACTCCCTAAATAATAAAGTATAACAACTATTTACATAGTATTTACATTGCATTAGGTATTATAAGTAATTTAGAGATGATTTAAAGCATACATGAGAACATGTGTAGGTTGTATACAGATACCACACCATTTTATATAAGGGACTTGAGCATTACTGGGATTTGGTATACTCGAGGATGGAGGGGTCCTAGAATCAACCCCCAACAGATACCAAGAGATGATAATTATTGGTTCTGCTTCTCTAGAGAATTCTGACAAATAGAAATTTTGGCACTGAGAGTGGTTCTAGAGGAATATTTGTTTTCTATTAACAATATTGTGGCCGGGGATCCCAGCACTTTGGGAGGCCGAGACAGGTGGATCACCTGAGGTCAGGAGTTCAAGACCAGCCTGGCCAACATGGCAAAACTCCATCTCTACTAAAAATACAAAAAATTAGCTAGACATGGTGGCGGGTGCCTATAATCCCAGCTACTCAGGAGGTTGAGCCAGGAGAATTGCTTGAACCTGGGAGGCAGAGGTTGCAGTGAGCCGAGATCACACCACTGTACTCCAGCCTGGGTGACAGGTAAATAAATTTAAAAAGTAAAAATAAAAAAATAAAAACATGTATTTTAACAGTTTATTACTCTTTCTAATGCCATAGCCAAAAGACATGACATACTCATCTCACATGTCATAGTCAGTGGCATGCTGGGGGAGGAGTGTGATGCTGATCTGCTTCAGATAGTCATTTAGGGACCCAAGGCCCTTCCATCTAGTGGTTCAATAATCTTCTAGAAGTCCCTTTCTATAAACTCAATATATGTATTATATTCTTTCTTTTTTATACTTACTGTGCATATTTATTATAAGGCATACAACATGATGTTATGGGATATGCATAGATAGTAAAAAAAAAATGCCCTTTCTTTTTCGGTTGTTGTTTTTGTAGCAAGAGCAGCTAAAATCTATTCATTTAGCCTGATACCATATGCAGTACAATTTTATTATCCATAGTTCTCATCCTACACATTAGATCTGTATACTTGTTCATCCTACATATCTGCTTCTTCATATCCTTTGACTTGCACCTCCCTCTTCCCCCACCACCTCACCTGGTAACCACTGTTTGGTTCTCTGTCTCTGTATATTTAAACAATTTTTTAAAATGTCACATATAAGTGAGATAATGTGAAAAATTTCTTTCTGTGTCTGGTTTATTTCACCTAGCATAATGTTCTCCAAGCTCAACCGTGTTGTGGCAAAGTGCAAGCTCTCATTATTTCAAGCTGAGTAACAGTCCATTGTATGCATGTAGTACAGTTTCTTTATCCATTTGCCAGTCAACAGGAACTTAGGTTGTTTTTATATCTTAGTTATTGTGAATAATGATACAATGAACATGGGAGTACATATATCTTTATGAGATTGTAATTTCATTTCCTTTGGGTATATACCCAGAAAAGATATTGCTGAGTCATATGAGAATTCTATTTTTCGTTTATTTAGAAACTTCTATATTGTTTTCCACATTGGCGACACCAGTCTACATTTCCACTGACAGCATTACGAGAGTTCTTTTTCTTCACAATGTCTCTAACATTTATTATCTTTTGACTTTTTGTCAATAGCCTTCTTAATGGGTATGAGGTGATATTCCATAGTGGTTTTGATTTGTATTTTCTTGATGGTTAATGATGTTAAGCACCTTTTTATATACCTGTTGTCCATTTTTAAGTCTTCTTTGGAGAAATGTCTATTCAGGTTTTTTGTCTGTATTTTAATTGGGTTATGTTTTTCCCACTATTGAGTTGTATGAATTCTTCATAAATACAGTATATTAACCCCTTGTCAGATATATGGTTTGCAAATTTTTTTCAATTTTTAGACTGCCATCTTATGTTTATTGTTTAAGAGAAACAGAATTTTAAGATGAGTTTTCTGAATGGGTTGTGGGGTTTATGAAATCTGCTCTCTAATCTGATTAGATTTAAATATGCTAATGATTCTATTTTCAGTGGTAGAAAAAGTACTGATGGTCTGTGGCATGGTCTGACAGTACAGATACACAAAATCTCACCATTGCATACTACTGATCAATGGCATATAAGAATCTTGGAAGGATCTGCATGATTATATATGATACTTTTAAACACTTCTGTCTGACTAACAAGTATAATGAGATTGGCTGGTTGCTCCTAATGTTGCTTAATTAAGTAGGAAAAGAAAAAGATGAACTCAAGGATTCAATGTCCCAATTCAAGTGCTACGTAAATGACTTGATAGCTTCTATATGAGCCCTGAAGGAGACTGCTATCTCCTGTAGCTCAGGGCTGAGGTTGTGGAAAACCAAATCTTTATCATGCAACTGGCTGAATTACAATACAAGTTTGAACTGCCAACCTCACAGGTTGCCTTCTGTTAAAATGTGGACATTGATTGCAAAGGAAGTAATGGGGTTCCTGAAAGATGAAATGGAGATATGTGGGAAGATCCTGATGAAGGTTAAGACATTGAGCCCCTAAATTCTGCATCATTTTTGCCAGTGGAAGCAGACTTTCCAGACATAGTGGAAGCATCTTTTCTATCCCCATTTGAGGGGATTTACTATGTATTGCCTGAAGAAACTCTAATGGCTTCTCCTGAGAGAGTTATCTTGTAAGATTAATGGTTCTCCTCAGGACCCATCCCCATGATCCCTCTTTGCTTTTAGACTTATAGCTAAAGTCCAGAAGGTGCCTAAAGGTGAAGTATACATCCTCATGAGTAAAACAAGGAGGTGCACTATATTCCAAAAGAACTACTTTGTGCTTTCTAATTTATACAGACAAAAATCCAGGGAACATGTGTGGGAACAGATACTAATGGTGTGGGATAATGGTGAAAGGAACATAAAGTTGGATCAAGTTAAATTATTCATATAAGCTCACTAAGCAGTGATTCTTAACCAATGTTGCAGCTCAGGGAGTTAAAAGGGGTTCTAATAGTTTGTTTTGTTGGTTGGCTGAAACAGGGACCAAAAGGTGACCAATAATTAGCAAGTCAGAAATACGTACTTGCTTTGGTTTAATGTGGAGAAAGGAATTTAAAAGCTTAGGGGGATTAGTATGTATATTAGCCAGGGTTCTCTAGAGGGACAGAAGTAATGCAATATACATATGTATTCTATATATATATGGGAGTTTATTAAGTATTAACTCGCACAATCACAAAGTTCCACAATAGGCCTTCTGCAGGCTGAGGAGAGCCAGTCTGAGTTCCAAAACTGAAGAACCTGGAGTCCAATGTTCAAGGGCTGGAAGCATCCAGCATGGGAGAAAGATGTAGATTAGGAGGCTAGGCCAGTCTCTCTTTTCACGTTTCTACCTGCTTTATAATCTAACCATGATGGCAGCTGATTATATTGTGCCCACCCAGATTAAGGGTAGGTCTGCCTTTCCCAGCCCATTAACTCAAATGTTAATCTCCTTTGGTAACAGCCTCACAGACACACCAGGATCAAAAATTTGTATCCTTAAATCTAATCAAGTTGACACTCAGTATTAACCATCACAGTATGTTAGGGTGGATTTGTCATTTAAGACAAACTCATCTACCCTGGGAGTTTAGAACTCACAACTTGAATCATGACTGTGAGAAATAAATGTGTGAGGTGGTCAGACAGCTACCTGGTCACAAATTAATTACATTGGACTGCTTCTATCATGGAAAAGGCAGTATTTTGTTCTCACTGCAATAGACAAAATCTGCATATGAATCTGCTGTCCCTGCATACAATGCTTCTGCCAAAAATACCGTCCATGGAGTTACAGGGTCCCTTATCTACTGTCTTGGTATTTTACACAACATTGCTTCCGATCAATGAACTCAACTCACTGCAAAATAAGTGCAGCAATGAGGCCATGCTCACAGAATTTACTGGTCTTATGTTCCCCACCATCTAGAAGCTGCTGGCTTGACAGAGTTGTGGAATGGCCTGTTGAAGACTCAGTTGCAGTGCCAGCTAAATGAAAATACCTTGCAGGCCTGGGGCAAAGTTCTACAGAAGGCTCTATATGCTCTGAATCAGCATCTAATAAATGATGTTATTTCTCCAACAGTTAGATTTCACAGGTCCAGGAATCAAGTGGTGGAAATGAGAGTGGCTCATCTCACCATTATCCCTAGTGACCCACTAGCAAAATTTTGTTTCCTGTCACCACAATCTTATCCTCTGCTATATTCTGCTGGCCTGGCGGTCTTAGTTCCAGAGGGAGGAATGCTTCCATGAGAAGACACAACAGTGATTAAATTGAAGTGGAAGTTAAGACTGCTTAACTTCCACTTTGGGCTCCTCATGCCTCTGAATTGATATGCAAAGAGAGTTACTGTGTTGAATTGGGTGATTGATCCTGACTCCTAAAGGGAAATTGGACTACTAGTCTACTCTGGAGGTAAGGAAGCATATGTCTGGAATACAGGAGATCCCTTAGGGGGTTTGGGTATTTTCATGTCCTGTGATTAAAGTCAATGGAAAATTATAGCCACCCAATTAAGGAAGGACTACTAATAAACCAGACCCTTCAGGAATGAAGATTTGGTCACCCTATCAGGTAGTTAACCATGACCAGCTGAGGTGCTTGCTGAATGCAGAAAGAATGCATAATACATAGAATAAGGTCATTATAAATGCCACCTAGGACCATGTGACCCCTACAGCAACAAGGATTGTAATTGTCATGAGTATGTCCTCCTTTGTCTGGTTATGAATATGTTTGTGTATACATGTTAAGCAAATATCTTTGTTTTCTTCCCTGCCTTAGCTCCTTATCATGTAACATAAGATTATTTGCTTTATATCATAGTATTTAAATATTTTAAACTTTACATCACAGTATTTATCTTACAATATATCAAGAAGAGTAAACATCATTCATGTACTTTATCTCCTTTTCTGGAGAAGGAATTAGTGTGTTTTCAGTTGCACACAGGATAGTTGTATTATGTTATGTGGCATATGGCCCTGTTATTGTTTTTATTTGAAGATGAAGTATGGTTTAGGGAGATGTGTATCTGCACTAAGCTGGCAAAGGGTGAACATGTGAAAGTTAATATTATGTGTCTTTTTAAAAATTTTATTATTTTTTTTTTTGAGACAGGGTCTCACTCTGCTGCCCATGCTGGAGTGCAGCATTGCCATCACAGGTTGCTGCAGCCTTAACCACCTGGGCTCAAGTGATTCTCCCACCTCAGCCTCCCAGATGGGACTGCAGGTGTGCACCACCATGCCCAGCTAATTATTTCTTTTTCTTCTCCTTCTCCTTCCTCTTCCTCTCCTTCTCCTCCTCCTCTTCCTCTCCTTCCCCTTCTCGTCTCTTTCCTCCTCCTCCTCCTCCTTCTCCTCCTCCTCCCCTTCCTCCTCCTCCTCCTTCTTCTTCTAGACAGGGTCTCTCTATGTTGCCCAGGCTGGTCTTGAACTTCTAAACTCCAGCTATTGTCCTGCGTCAGCCTCTAAAACTGCTTGGAATACAGGCATGAGCCACCATGCTCCAGCTATGTGTTTTTCAGATGAAATTAACATTTAAATTAGTAAACTAAGCAAAGCAGGTCGCTCTCTCTAATGTGGTTGGGCTTTATCTAAGTAGATAAAGATTAACATAGGACAAAAAAGCTGACTCTCCTCAAGTAGAAAGAATTCTTCCTGCCTGATTGTCTTTGAACTTGGACATCTGCTTTTTTTCTGGCCTTTGGACTTAACCTAAAACATAGGACTTCTCTGGGTCTTGAAGCTGCCAGCCTTTGAATTAGAACTACAACATAGGCTCTCCTGGTTCTCAGGCCTTTTGGACTTGAACTGAAACTAAGCCATTGGCTCTTCTGGGTCTTCAGTTTGCTGACTAACTGCAGATTTGGGTACTTGCCAGCCTCTATAATCATATAGGCTAATCCCTTAAAATAAGTGAATACATAAATGAATAAATAAATATCCTAATCTTAATGGTACTGTTTCTCTGGAGAATCCCAATATTCATGCCAAATTAGAAATTAAATGAGTCAGTGTTAAAATATTCAGCACGATACCTGACATACTAATTACTTAGTTTTTGTTTTGTTTCAAGGGAGGTAGGGAAGATAAGGAAAATGGGCATGGGACACTTCTTTAAACAGGAGTGTGGATAGGAGTGGAAAACAGTTCCCAAAGAGATCTGCATATAAAAGACAGATTAAAAAAATCTAATCATTCCTTAACAACTGTGTATTTTCCCTCAAATAAGTCTGTTGGAGATGGGAGAAGGTATTGGATTCTCCCCAAAATTTAAAGTGAGTAGATGAGAAATCTCACAGAAAATCTGAGTATTAAGCTATGGAAATGTTCAAACATATATAAAAGTTGAAAAAAAAATTAACTGAACTCCTATATACACACCATTTAGATTCCACTATTAACATTGTATAATACTTGTTTCCTCTGTTATGAGTTTGAACTCTCCAAGGAAATCCAACCTGACTTCAGTAACTGTGACAGTGTAGAAGTTATTTATTTTAATAAATCCAATTCTGTCTGCAAGTTTCAACTTATTCCTCATTTTGTTCACTTAAACATTAAATCATTAAGAAAATATCTGTTAAATGCCATACCCTAAACTGAATTATTGTGACAAAGAAAATTAATTTAGTTTCCCTTTGTCAATTGTATATGAATTTAAATAAATCATATTTATATTAAAATGCCGGCTATGGTTTTAATTGAGATGCCATGAAATCTATAGATCAAATTGATCTATATGAAATTGAATTGACGGCTTAACAATATTGAGTTTTTGTCCCACAACAGGATATATTTCTACACTTATTTAGGTCTTAATTTCTCTCATTAATGTTATGCAATTAACATTGTACAAATATTCTGCCATATTTTTCCATAGGTATTTTATATGTTCAATGCTATTGTAAATGGTATTTTTTCTTTAATTTGAATTTCTGACTGTGTATTGCTAATACATAAATATGAAATTTAGTTTTAAAGTTACTTCTGCATCTTACAACCCTACTAAACTCACTTACTAAGTTTAGGTTATGTTTTACTTTTCGGGGAGTAGATTTTTCATGTCATCTGCAGATAATGGTAGTTTATTTCTTCCTTTCCAAACTGGGAGTCATTATTTTCTTTTTCTTGCCTCATTATTTGGCTAAAACTCCAGTACAATATTAAAAATGAGTAGTGAGAACAGACATGTTTTGTTCCAGATCTCTTAGGAAAAATCATTCAGTCTTTCACCATTAAGTATGATGTTAGCTACAGTTTTTGTTTGTTTTAATAGACGCCCTTTGTAGATTAAGGAAGTACCCTTGTTTGCTGAAAATTGTTATTAGGAATGGATATTGGATTTCGTCAATGATTTTCTGCATCTATTGAGATAATCATGTTTTTATTTTTTAGTCTGTTAATTTGGATAATTACATTAGTTTATTTTTATTTTTTCAAATATTAACCAAATCTTGCCTTCCTGGGATAAAACCTACTTAGTAACTAAGGATTATATTTGTTACATATTATCTATTTGATCTAATAAACATTCATTCAAAATTTTGCATCTGTATTCATTGAGAGTATTGTTCTGTAGTTTTTTTGTAATATTTTTAATCTAGATTTGTTAAAAGAATACTGGGGTCATAGTATAAGTTGGGTAGTATTACCTCCTCTACAATTTTCTGGAAGAAGTTATGTAAATGGTGTTTAATTTCTTCATAAATAATTTACCAGTACAGCTATTGGGTGCTAGGGTTTTGTTTGTGGAATATTTACTACAAATTCACTTTATTTAATAAATATAGGGCTATTTACTTTGTTCTTTCTTGAATGAGCCTTTGACATTTTCTGTTTTTCAAGGAATTTTCACATTTCGTTTGAGTGTTGAATTTATTGGCATAACATTGCTATAACATCTCTTTGTTATCCTTTTAATATCTGTAGACTCTGTAATGACATCAATTTTTTCATTCCTGATTTTTATAATTTGTGTTCTCACACTCTCTCTCTCCAGTTCTTCCTCTCTTCCCCACCGATAAATTTTTCTAGTTATTTATCAATTTTATTGATATCCAGAAAAAAATAAATATTGGATTCACCAATTTATTTCTGTTATTATTGTTTTTTTATTTGTTCGTTTCCATGTGGATTTTTAGTATGTTCTTTCTCCTACTTACTTTAGATTCAATTATGCTTCTTTTTCTAGATTTAAATGATAAATCTGAGGTTATTTCATTGAGATCTTTCTTCTTTTCTAATGTATGTGTTAGTGCTATAAATTTTCTTCTAAGAACTGCTTTAATAGCAACTCACACATTTTGGTATATTGTGTTTGTATCTTTGTTCATCTCAAAATGTTCTCAAATTTGCTATGAAAATACATAAGCAAATGTATTTTCTTTTTGTCTCATGGTTATTTAGTAGTGTTATTTCATTGCCAAATGTTTTTGGATTTTCTAGAGATCTTTCTGTTGTTGATTTCTAACTCAATTCCCCTTTGGTTAGAGAACATACTTTGAATGAACTGTATCCATTGAAACTTATTGAGACTTATTTCATTGCCCAGAATACAGTTTAGGTATAGGTTATACGTACACATGAAAAAAAAAATGTTTATTATCCTGTTCTTGAAAGAAGTATACTATAAAAGCCAATTAAGTCAAATTAGATAATTTTTTCAAATATTTTATATCCTTTTTTGTTTTCTGTTACTACTTCTAGTACTTATTGAAAGATGGGTATTGATACCTCTGAATATAGTTATGAATTTGTCCACTTTCACTGATGTCCCGTTGATTTTTTTCTTCATGTATATTGAAGGTCTGCTTTTAGGTCTGGGATTGTTACATCTTCTTGATGTATTTTATCTTTTTATGAAACAAACTTATTTTATCCCTTGCGACATTCTTTACTCTGAAATCTATTTATTATAATATTAATTTAGCCACTTCAGCTTTCTTTTGATCAGTGTTAGCAAGGAATATCTTTTCATATCCTTTTAATGATAACTTGTTTTTATTTAAAATATTACCAAAACAGTGCATATGGTTCAGTCCTCTTTTTTTTAATCCAGTCTGATGATCTTTGGCTTTTAATTAAATTATCTAGACCATTTATATTTAAAGTAATTGCAGACATTATTAGATTTACATTTATCTTTGCTGATGAAATTACCATTGTTTTTTATTTGTCACATCTGATATTTGCCCCCTATTTTTCTGTCTTTATTTGAGTTAATTGAATGTATTTATTATCCCACTTGAATTTCTTTGTTGGCTTACTAATCATAACTCTTTAGTTGTTCTTTTAGTTGTTTATTTAGGATGTGTAATACGCATTTTTAACTAATTAGCCTACCTCCAACTGATATTGTATCACTTCATTTTTCCCCTACTGAACTTTATTATTTGTATATATTTCACTTTTATATGGTCATATAAACTACTCTACATGTTTGTTTTTGTTTAAACAATTATCTTTTAAAGGGTTTTAAATGTTAAGAAAACTCATATATTTACCCATGTAGCTTCCATTTCCAGTGCTTTTTATTCCTTTGTGTTGATTTATATTTCATTCTAGTGTTATTTTTCTTCTGCTTGATGGAATTCTTTGACATTTCTTTGAGTTCAGGTCTGATTAAGTGAATATTTCACTTTTGTATGTCTGAAGATATTCGTATTTATTTATTCTTTGTTTTCTTTTACACAGATGTTTAAACTGGGCATAAAATTCTAGGTCTTGAGGTTTTCTTTTCTTTTCTTTTTTTTTTTTTTTTTTTTTTTTGAGATGAGGTCTTGCTGTGTTGTCCAGGCTGGTCTCTGGTCTTGAAGTCCTGGGTTCAAGCAATTCACCTGCCTTGACCTCCTATAATGCTGGAATTACAGGCATGAACCACCACACCCAGCCTGCAGTTTTAAAAATTATAATTTTATTATTTTAAAGATGTTACTTCCCTGTCTTCATAATTATGTCTAATTATGTCTTTTTACTGTTTTAATGTATTTGCCTTCTACTTCTAACATCTGTGTCAGTTCTGGGTTGAATTCAGGTGATTGATTTTTCATTATAAGTCATATTTTTCTCTTTCATTGTGTGCCTGGTAATTTTTGAGTGGATGCTAAGCATTGTAAATATTACCTTGTTGAGAGCTGGATATATTTATATACTTATATTATTAAACTTTGTTTTATAATGAAGTTAAACTAGTTGTGAATACTTTCATGTCTTGCTTTTAAGATTTATTAGTTGAGACCAGAACAATGTTCAATCTAGAGCTAATTACTCCTCATTACTGTGGCACAGCCTTTCTGTGTTTTCCACCCATTGCCTTATGAATTAGGGGTTTTCTAGTCTGGTTGATGAGAAAATACATTTTTCTTGACCCTGAGTGAGTACTGAATGCTGTTTCTTCTAATTCTTTTGGTTGTTTTCCTCCACTTTACACTACTTTTCTTACATGCAAGAATTGTTCAGTAGACAACTGAATACTGGAGAGGGATCCTCTGGATATCTGTGAATTTCTGTGTGCTGCTCTTTATTTCCTGGTATGCTGTCCCATGAATTCTAAAGGCCTTGTCCTCCCTGGACTTACCATTCTATTTTCTAAACTCAAAAAGTTCCTTGGGACTTTGTCTATATTTATTCTCTTTGTGTTATGGTCTGGAAAACCTCTCAATACAATAACAGAAGGCAATTGTAAGGCTTATTTCATATTTGTGTCATATTCCAGGGATCACTGTTCTTTTTGCCTAATGTTCAGTATCTTAAAATGTGTTGCTTCAAGTATTTTGTCTGTTTTTTGTTTGTGTGAGTGTGTGTTATTGTTTTAGATGGAAAGGTAAGTTGTTTGTGTTAGTCTATCTTGGTGGAAGCAGAACTTATATAGACACCAGGAGGAGGAAACCAAATAGAATAAAAATGTTTAGAGACCCCATTTATCTGGATTTTATTTCTGTTTTTTCCATTTAGTAAACTTGTAAAACTTGTTCTTTATTAAAGACATCAGTTGTTCAACTAAAGATAGTTTCACGTCATTATTGTGAGGATTAAATAAAATAATGTAATAAGCCAGCAGAGGATACAATAAAGACCTATCCCTGTTCTCTTTGTGGCAGACTGCACAATTGATATGGTGAGCTTATGTCAACTAATCACATCCCTTTCCATCAGTGATTCTGCTTAGTGACAACTCCATAAACAGTTCTTGTGGAATTAGTTCTTTGCATTTAAAAGAAAGAATTTGAATTTATTTCTACTAGGTGTTTTTCTGTTACAAACAATTTATCTCTGCTCCACTTTCTTCCTATTTATCTGCATACTGAGTCTGAGAGCTATCCATGTCCTCTATATCTTTCAAACAATTGTCATTTACAAATTGGCTAAGCATACCTTCCATTTAATGAATAACCCCCCATCTTGAAGTGCTATTTTGTGATGAACACTTACAGAAATTAATCCCTGTATAAGTTATTAACACCAGTTTTCTTCACATATTTTGATATATGGAATATTGAATGTATTTGTATTTTCCAAAAACTATAAATCCAGAAAAATGAGACTACTCAGTATGTGTCAAGGGCATGATCAATGTATGACTTCACATCCAGAAAATATAGCCAACTAATTTCATCACATGTGACATCAGACCCAATATAGAAGAATCTTTTGACATCGAGTAATTTGAAGAATGACTTGCATTTTATGACTCAACATGATTTCTAGATGGGATTAATATCAGAGTAATATTGCAAGGGTCTCCAGTTTCCAGCCTGAGTGGTCAGATAAAATGAGACAAGAAGAACCTTCAAAAAAGAGTCAATACAGGGCCTAGCATTGATCATCCACATAGTTGTTTGGAGGTTCCAACACTAAGTTAAAACATTAGTTGCTGAAGAAAGGCTTCCCATTATAGTGGGAAGTGTTACATAAAATAAGTAACTGATATTTTATAGGTACTTACAGGAAATGAACAAGGTTATGAAAAGGAGTAAATTTTACAAATGAGAAAATAATAATGTTAATAATAATGGATTCTATTATAATTATTATAATATCTAGAATTTATACAGACTTTAAACTTTTTATTCAAGCCTAATGCATACACAGAAGAGAGTATCAAGAGAATTTTTATGTGTTACAAATGTCCTCCATATCTATCTGAATTTTTGTTATGAACTTTAACTTTGGTAATATCATTCCTAATTTAAGGTTACAAATACTAAGGCCAAGAGAGTTTAAGCAACTTTTAAAGTAGGTGATATTGTTATTAAGCATATGACTTAAAACTTGATTATGAGTGTTAGATGGTTCCAAAGCCAGTGTTCTTTACTAAAGTTGTATTCCTGTAGTCCCTGTTTTCTGAAATGTACATATGCTATCAAATTTAATTATCAAAGAAACTCTGTGCAGTAGATAGTATTCTCTGCAATTTACAAATAATGAACCCAAGGTTTACTGTGTTTCAGTAATGTTCTGAACATATCTACTATCTATCAGAATGAAGATTCAAATCCAGATCTTTTTTATTCTCTTTCAGCACACTTTGTTATTTCTCTCCATACCCAACCTGCCTAAATGCCTGTCTGAACACATGTAGCCAATATTTAATGAATAAAGTCTCTATCTGAGACACAGACAGGAGTAGTAAAACAGGTAAAAAGAGGGTTCTTAGTAGAAAGAAGCTAGAGACAAGAGAGCTCTTTGTGTGTTTGGATGTAGTTGCATAGTAGAAACATCTGTGGCAATTTTTTTGAACTACTGATTAATAACCTTATCTCAGACTAATTAAATCATCATTTGTATGAGGGTGAGGGGTGGAGAAGCATTTTTTTTTCTCCAGATGATCTTAAGGTGCAGTCAGGATTGAGAATACTGAATTAGAGATTAAGGGGAGGCCAGTGAACAGAGTAAAAGTGAAACGAGAAAATCGTCAGGGTTCTGATCTCATCAAGACTTGCAATCCATATTAGTGAGTTAGACTTTACCTGGAGGGCAACTGGAACCCTGTGGAGTCATAAGCAGAAGAGCAAAGAGTCCCACTCACATTTGAAACTGCCATATAGAAAATCCATTGATCAGCAAATAGTAGCATCATTAAGAAGTCAGCTGCAAGGATGATGGTAGTACGCATACATACACACACTAATATATATGTTGCAATTGGAGATAAAAGTAAGGAGAAAGATTTGAGAATTCTGAAAAGTTAGATCATAAAGACTTAGGAAGTGATTCATTATAAAAGGTGTGGCAAAAAGGGGAGTTGAAAATAATCCCCATATTTTTGTCTTGTTTTTGTCATTCACCGAAATAAGGTAACATGAATAATAGAACAGAATTTGTGTAGAAATTTGTTCAGTTTTAAGCATTTTCAGTTAGATATGTATATAGAAATAAAATTTTCAGTGAGATATGCAGATAGAAATGTCAAGGGGGCAAAAGAAGTACACAAGTTTATAGTTCAGGCGGGGAGAGATCTGGCCTGGGTCTATGAATCAAAAGTTCTCTACAAATGGGTGGTGATTGAAACCATGCATTTTCTGTTGTTGTTATGGTGGTGGTGGTGACGGTGGTGGTGGTGACGGTGGTGGTGACTGGTTACTTGTTTTTTTTGTTTTATTTCTGTTTTTGTTTATTGAGACACGGTCTTGCTCTCTTGCACAGGCTGGAGTGAGGTTGCAATCCCAGCTCACTGTAGCCTCAAACTCCTGGACTCAAAAGATCATCTTGCTTTAGCCTCCTAAGTAGCTGGGACTACAGGTACACAGTACACCTAGCTAATTTTTATTTTTATTTTTTTCTTGTAGAGACAGGGTCTTGCTATGTTGCTTAGGCTGGTCTCAGACTCCTGGCCTCAAGCGATCCTTGCACCTCAGCTTCCCAAAGTGCTGAGACAACAGGCATGAGGCACCACACATGACTAGTTGGTTGGTTTTAAATTTTGATGTTGTTTGGCTTCCTTTACTTCTTCTGTTATTTGCTTGCTTGGCTGTTATTGTTGAATAAGACAAGAGAGTAAATAGGTTTTATAAAATGTAGCTACCTGTAAGGTATTGCTTTTTTGTCACTTTTTTCTTGTTTTGTTTTATTTGTAGAAAGAAGAACAAATCAAACATGTATAGGTTTTACTAGGTTTTGAAATCATCATGCACATTATCCAGACAAAATGATAAATGGTAAAAAACAAATTTTTGGAGGTGGCAGGAAAAATGCCTAGGTCATGAATATATACATTCAGCCTGGTCATGGTGTAGGGAAGGATAAATTTCAAAAGCAAGCATTTGTTCTCCTGGCAAAGGTTGCCAGGTAGAACAGTTTATTCTATTTTTGGACATAAAATTATTGTTTGCTTTCCACATTATGGATATCATTAGATATTTTGCAAGAGAATACTATAAACTGGTTTCTATGCCTGTGACCTTGGGTTTACCAGACAACCAATTCTGTTGAAATTTTCCAAAGTGCTCTAAAGAAGTGCATGAACAATATTTGAGTAGTTCTGATGATGTGGGTAATTAGAGAACACTACTTTGATAAAAATTTAGCAAAGTGGAAGTAAAACATGTTGAATATTTTGAAGAGATCTTAATCACATCAGATAATCTCATTTTACATATGGAAAGATGTAGTCTTAATAAAGGGAAGTAACTTGCCTGAGGGTGTAAAGTTGAAATTAAATCAGGATTTGTCTGGATCCAATGTTCTCCATTACAAAATTCATGAATTGGGAAGAGCAGGTTCAAACTCCTGGTATGAATTGAGGTAAAGAGTATATAAATGGGAGTTAATTAGCCTCAACTGGGCCACATAATGGGAGAGAGTACAATAAGTCATTGCTCCTTTAGTTAAACTACATATGATACCACTCCTACTGACAAAACCTTTTCCCCTCGTTATAGAATTGTGAAGAAAGGAAGACATCATACACAATTACATTAGTGTTTGATTATGTTGAATGTAAGTTTGGAAAGGGAAAAATTAGATTAAACCAGTAAGTAAGGCTTAGTCACCAATTGGGTGAAACAAAAAAAGATAAAGGGTGGCCTGGCTGTCCATTTTATATTGAAACATTGGATGTATTAAATCAGTGGACCTCTTGAATTTCCTGAGAGAGGAAATAGTGGTAAAGGGGGGAATATAGCCCTTCAGATGGAAAGAAAATATATGATTCCAGCTCATTTGTTTAGTCTTTCTGCAACTCAGATAAAGCAAAAAGCTCATTAATTTACAATTGGTGATAATTTGTACAGAGCCTATTCTGAAGTTTACCTTTGCTTTATCTAGCTAAAAGGATTTGGAAAGCAAATTAACAGTGTAAACAGGATGGCAGGCAGCAATATTTAACCTCTTTAAGCGAGCAAACTTTTCCTCAATACATTTAAAACACAATTTATACATAGAGAGATGACATGCTAGTTACAGATTATTCTTATCTATTTATTATAGCAGGTCCCTATGGTGATTTCTACCTATGGGACTTAGCTTAGTTTGACCCAATGTATGTGCTCCTGAGAGAAGTCAGTTTCATTTATTTTGTAATCATCAAACTTTTAAAATATTGATACTAACTTGGACAGGCCATGAGTGCCATAATTAGTTCCATTTAATAACCTGTGACTTTATTTTTATCAAGAAAGAAACACAATGTTTTTAGTAGACTATGAAGTAGAATAAAGAGTGGATATGGAAACAAGAGATCTTGGGTTTAAGCCCCTGTTCTTCTGTTTCTTACTTATGTTACCTTTTACATAGTTGAGGTCAGGTGAGAATTATTATCCTAAGACCATTTCTGGTAAGAATCAAGATAGCTCTGCTGTGGGATTCCCAGGGATGATATAAAGATTAACTGTGCTAAGTGAAAGTGCATTGTGCACTATGAAACAGTATCAGAATATAAAGTAATTCTATTATTAATTTTAGTATTATTAAAAATTAAAAACTTAAGCAAAGAGGCTATTTTTTCATAAGCCAACTATTTTTTCTCATATATACCACTGTTTGACCCTTTCTTGATAATACATTGTCCTAGCTGAAATTGTTAGGAGATTTCATTTCATGCCGGTAAACACAGCCTCCAGTTTGTGGCACTGCTACTGTGGATTCCTCAATTTCTGTTGTATGTACTATTCATCTATGTATCCAAACTACTTCACACATAGTAGGCACTCAGTACAGGATTGATAGACCTATAACTGAACAAATGAGAAAGATGAGGACTTATATAAAAACAGATGGAGTTAAAAATTTTTATTGGACACAAGATCATGGTACTAGCAACTCCCCCATCTGAAAAGAAGCTGTCATAGTCATGGTCCCTGCTACACAGGAAGCTGTCATTTCCACCAGCTGAATGATTTATAACAATTTATTGAAATTGGGATGGGCACCAGATCCAAGGACAGATACATCCATAGATTAGCTAGGCAGCAAGGCTGTGTCATGAATCTCATCTTCCTTGACCACAGAAGGAAAGGCAAGAAGTAACCACTCAATCCAAAGCCAGGTCAATCAGACACCCTTACCACAAACATTCTATTTCATCTTGTCCTTGATAACACAATCTGATGTTTGTACAAGAATCAATTGTTTAGGAAAGTTGACTCTATTCCCCTGATCACATTTAAAACATGATTAGTCTAAGTCAAACATAGTAGTCTCATTCCCCTTGTCAGCATTTGGCTTAGTCATAGCATGTGTCATAATTCCGGTTAATGAAATGTGAGGTTGATGTGGGAAAGTCTCCGGGTGAACTTCTGGAAAAGGTTTCTTCATTCTTAAAAAGAAAACTTAGTAAGAGCAGTGCCTTCTTACACACGATGTTGCTATGTCTGGCTAAGATGGCTTAGATAGGATACAGTAATGATCATGAGGAGGAGTTAGCCCTAGAACAAAGCCACCACGCTGAGCATAGCAGATCAGATTCACGTATAGAACCTAGATCCTTGGGTCATCAATGGGATTTGCAGGGATGATATAAAGATTAACTGGCCCAGAAAGGCCCTATTTCAGGACTTTATGTTATTAGATAACAGACTTTCCTTATTGTTTAAGCCAATTGAATCAGGGTTTTCTGTTATTTGTAACTAACAACACAGTAACAAATACAGCAAATTTAGACACAGACCAACTACCTATGTTGCTGTCACATGCAGACATGCAGAAGGATAATCTAACTTTTAATTCTTTTTTCTTTTTCAGAAATTAGAATTTGAAACAACGGAAAGAGAGAAATTTTAGGTTAGTAGCTAAATCCCCAAGGATACTAATTAGAGAAAGATGTTGGAATTGCCTTAATGAGTCACTGCCAACGCAAGTCCTAAGGAAGCAAAGACTGTGAGTAAGCAAAGGTAGCCAGCTGCTGGGAAGAGGACAATAGAGGAAAAGGTCAGAGGGACTTTAAAAGACTGACTGTGGGCTCCCTGAGGGAAGGAGGGATGGAGAGAGTATCGGGTCCTATAGAATACCTTAATTGTTTTTATGACTTCTCTTTTCCATATCCAGTTCACATGTACTCCTTTCTGTGCATTAAATTGAGTTTCTATTGGCTTCTTTGTAACAAAAAGAACTGAACAGAAACACATATCTATTGGACAAAGAGCAATAAAATGATATAATAACTGTATCTGAGGGTTTTTTCATTTTAAAGAATAAAACAAAACAAAAATCAAACAAAAAAAACCATCTATCTGATGTTGCTCCACTCCCAACAGCATCACTAACCGGTATGTACCCAGCTTCAGCTAAATATCCCTAAAACACCTCTTACTTTCCAAGGCAAAGTCTCCCACTGTTGAGTCGTGTTGACTGATAAAAAGTTCCCTCTGGGGTAAAAAAATGAAATTAGTTTTACCTATCCTGGGGTCACCTCCAAATACATATGCCTGTAATGTATTTCAATTAGAATACATTACACACTCCCTGTCACCTTCACTAGGAGAAAATCAGCAAAGTCAACCAGCATTTTTAGTTGTCACAACTAAAAGGTACTCCTAGCATCTGGTAGGCGGAGGCCAGGGATGCTGCTAAACATCCTACAATGGACAGGACAGCCTCTCACAACAAAGAATTTCCAGCCCAAAATGTCAACTTTGCCAAAGTAGAAAAGCCCTGTACTAAAGGAGACCTTCCATATAATAGACGGAACCCCCTCTTAGAAGAGAGGCCTTAGAAATGCTATGGTTTTGGAGCTTTTCTATTGAGCCCCTCATATTTTCCATCAACAGCAAGGCCCAGGTATTAATTATATGGTCTTATTCTGTGACCTGGTTTGTCATTCCTGAAATAGCTAAAAGTAAAACAGATGTCATTTCAATATCAAGAAGCAGTGGAACAGAAAGTGCCAAGGAGCAGGTGTATCAGATACTCAGAGGTGGTAAAGTCATGGCTGTCCATGCTTTGGAGCTAGGGCATCTACAATGCAAAGGAAGATTTTAAATGTGAATTTTGTGTTCTGGTCTATGAGTAGATGATTCACGACACTAGTTTGAAAATGCCTGAGTAATAACTTGACTTTGTTTCTGCACTGGACATCTGTTGTTTTTGTTCACTGGCATCACTTCCCTTTTCTTTTTTTCTTTCTTTTTTTTTTTCTTTTTTTTTTTTTTTTTTTTTTTTGAGACACAGTCTTGCTCTGTCCCCCAGGCTGGAGTGCAATGGCATGATCTCGGCTCACTGCAACCTCCACCTCCCAGGTTCTAGCGATTCTCCTGCCTCAGCCTCCTGAGTAGCTGGGAATGCATGCGCATGCCACCACGTCTGGCCAATTTTATTTTAACTAGAGACAGGGTTTCATCATGTTGGCCAAGCTGGTCTCGAACTCCCGACCTCAGGTGATTCCTCTGCCTCAGCCTCCCAAAGTGCTGGGATTACAGGCATGAGCCACCATTCCCGGCTCCCTTCCCTTTTCTTATGGGAACAGCATTGAATTTTCCTTTGAGAAAATACCTCTCCCTATAGGGGTAGTTCCTACAAAGTTTCGATGGAATTATGTCAGAGGCTCTTATACTTTCACACCATGGCTTGGCAAGTATCTCAATCTAGGCCAATCAGTCTTTGTTTCCTTAGGATATACATCTTGAGTGAAGTAATGCGTGAATGGGAAACATTTAAAGCTGATTCATGTGAATTGGGATAGTTCCTGAACAGAATGCCTACGGTTCTTTCTATCTAGATTCTCAATTGTCTCTTGCCTGTGACTCAATTGTTCAATGACCTCTCAATTCTGTAAGTTGTTTGTACTTACTTTCATTGTTTCTTCTCCTCAGGTAAATTCAGACTCTTTTTGGTTTCTTACACTAAAAAATTATCAACTTTTACAACCATAGAATTAGGCACTGGAAAGGGAGACTACATTTGGGTTCTCATTGTGTCCCTGCTCTTAATTGGTTATTATGGTGGGAGGAAATCACTTTTCCTCTTCTGGCCTATCTCCCCATCCATGAAAGAAGAGTGATGGACCAGGTCATTCTTAAAGGCCCTTCTAGTTCCAAGGTCATAAATTTCTAGTAAATACCAGACCTTCTTTAACTAGAAAAGGTAAATTAAACTTTCAACACAACCAGGAGGTGGTGCTCCAGTACCATGATGACACATCACTAACGGTGTCCAAGCAGTATTGCCCCTGTTGGGGCTAAGGGATTCCAAGAATCCTACAAGGTCTTTCCACACTGTCTGGTTGATTGAGCAAATTTTCTTCTATTGTGAAACACATTTTTATGTGTGGCTAATGTGGGAAGTCTTTGCAGGACCTCTATAGAGATGGATAAGCCTTCTTCCTCAAATGATTTCCTGTTGGTCAGTGTGGGAATATTATTCCTCGATATTTGGTAAGTCACAGTGATGTTGCGTGGAGATAAGTGGTGATATTGTGCATGTGGGAAGATAACTAGAGTGAGATGAGCAGCTACAAACATCAGGGGCTTTGCATTCTGGCACCAACAGTGCCATGTATTTGATGTGTAACTTTGGGAAATAATCCTGGATTTTGTTTCAGTCACTTCCTTTAAAAAAGATTACATTGCATGAAATCAGTGGTTCCCAAATTTATATTTTCCCAATGATAAACAGTGGAAAAATATTTTATTAAATAAAGTCATACATGAAATTCTCATATAAAGTACTTCTCAAAACTCTTTATAAGGGACAGAAACTCAATTCAAACAAGCTTAAAAGTAAAATAGGAAATTTATTACCTAAAATAACCAGGAAATCTAAGTGGAAGAACCATGTCAGACATGGCTGGGTGAGGAATTGAAAGCTGTCATCAGAGATCCACATCTCCATTTCCTATGTACCTATATCTACTTGGCTTTCTTCTCAGTGCGCTCTCAATGTGTGGCAGCAACATGGTTCTAGGAGAAGAGAAAGAAATAAAAAAGCTGTCTTCCTCATCTCTGCTTTCTTCCTTGGTAGGTTATCCCTCAGGTGCCTCCATAGAACATCTAAGTCATAAGGAACAGAACCTGAAAACTATGGGACAAGAAGATCTATAACATTTCTTGCAGCTCTGAGGAACTAGATCTCTAAGTTGTGAAAAAGGTGACACAGTTCTGTCTCCATTCTTTGTCAGGTTAATGCATTTTCCCATCTCTATAGAGGTCCAGCAAAGACTTCCCACATTAGTCACACACAAAGATATGTTTCACAATAGAAGAAGAAATTATCTACAGATAAATGGGAAAATGCAAGTTTGGGGAAATGCATTAAACTTGTATTTTCCTCATTATCTGTGGGCTAGCTATTTATTTAGAAAACAAAATGACAATTTGTCATCTTTGCTTGACTATTTCCTCATTCTCCAAAATATCTGTAACCTCATTTACATCATACAATCTCTTTGTACATGGTAGGAAACCCAAAGATAAGTTTCTCTACTATTCCAATGACACAATTGAGGAGCAGATAATCAAATAATCCAGTTACCAAAAGATAAGTATAAAATATTGTATCTACAAGAGCCCAGTGAAATCACCTTGCCCAACTCAATCATTTTTCACTTAAACAGATAGATCCAAAGGGGGAACTTTTGTTCTCAATACCATGTAATAATTTAGTCCCCAAGCAGGAATTGGAAGCCAAGATTGCTGCTTCCAAACTCCTTATTTCATCTAATTGTTGTTTCAGTGTAACTAGCAATGTCTTTCTCAATAACACAATTCTGATCATATCACTTTTTCCATCAATTATTTCTATGATTTTCCATTTTTAGTAAATGGTATGAACAACTTAGCATGACAATCAAGACCTTTTTTGATGCAGGCTCTAGCCTACTTGCCCAGCCTCATCCCTACCACTCCTTGCTCTTCCCATCATGTTTCAGCACAACTGACTCTTCTTGGCATCCCTTATATGTTTTGCTAGTTTTAGCTTCTAATCTTTGCTCAAAAAATCCCTATGTCTAGAATACTACCCCTTTCCCTCTTTTGTCTCATGATTTCTCCTTCTCTAAGATTCATTTCATGGGTTACTCTTTTCGAAGAATCCTGTGATACATCCTCTTCCCCCAAAGTGGTTTTCCCATGGGATCTCATGATTATTCCTATGGTTACTCTTACTAAATTAAGTGGAATTGTCATTTTATGGATCTAGCATTTTGCATGTCACTTTGGATAAACAAATTATGTTAATATTCGACTTGAAAGATAAGTTGAGGAACGAAAATGCTTTTCCAGGGCCTCTAAAAATACACTAGAGCAGGCATCACTCACTAATGGTTCTCTTTATTCAAAAGCCTGAACAAAGTTCCAGAATTCTCTACTCCATGATGCAATCACTACCTTTTGATTGAAGTTTGTAAATAAATGGAAACCCTATTTACCATTCCTATCTGTATCTAAAACAAAAAGTGAAGTATATTTCTTCTAAGGTGTCATATTTATTTGATCCTGAGGTCACTGGAGAAAACCTTGAGGTTACAACTTTGTTCAATAGCAAAGAGGACTGAAATCTGATAGTGACATCTGCCAATGCACAGGAGGTGAGAATATGGCATACATTATGTCAATATGTTGACTCCTCTGCACTGCAATGGTTCTCAATCTTTTAATCCCAGTTCTACATTTGGGGGATCACATTTACATCTTGGCAGACTCCAAACATAGTGACAGTGCACTATTGGCCATTTTTACTCAGGTAAAGAGGGTGCAAATTACATGCAATCCTCAGTTCTAAGTATAACGACACTTATTTCTCTTACTCTGAAGAAAGTGAACTCAGGTCTAGGTCACGGCTGCAACCCAAACCTTCCACTTATCCGTGTCTCTCGCTATTGAGTATCTAGTAATTTATATTCATCTTCAAGTATTTATGGTACTCAAGGATAAAGGAAGCACCTTATTCATCTTTGCATCCAAATTTCCTCTTTATATGAGATAAGCTCAAAGTATTTCACATGTTCCTATCCTTAGACTAGCACCTTCAAAAGTCATCTCAGTTTATCTTTATTAGAATCCTATAAAGCAATTCTGATTATTTACTCCTGGTAAAATAATGTAGGGATAAGATAAAATAACTGATTTACCCAAAATCAGTTTATAAATTTCAGAGTTTGGAACCAAGTCATCCTAAATATAAAATGCATTTATTTTATTTCAATGAAACATGCTTAATAAATATTTGCCAGATGACCAAATGGATAAATGAAGGGATGTCCAGGCTATAAGAGCTGTTTGAAATATTTTCCACTTCTGGCATAATATGTGTTCCCAATTTATTTGACTGGCCAGCTTTTACTTTTTTGCCCTACATTTGCACTCTTTGCAGAGAGATATCAGAGTAGAATCCTGCTTGAAAGTTTACCTATATCTTTTCTAAAGCCTCCCTTCATACAAAAACTACCACATCAAATACAAATGCTGAAAAAAGAGATATTAAGTTAAAATAAACTTATTGTAGCCATCCCTCGAAGGCTATCTAAAAATACTCATTGTAAAATATTTGTGTGTGTGTGTGTGTGTGTGTGTGTGTGTGTGTGTGTGTGTGTGTGTGTATGTATTTTCCTGGAAGAAGGAATTACAATGTTCTCACTCTTTAAGATTCTGACCCCTGCAAAAATATTTCTTGATTAGCCACACAAAGGGGATAACATATTTTGTTTCTGAAAAATAAAATAATTGAATAAATTCTGAGTAATTTTTTAAGCTTGATACATTACATCTTCTAGAGACGCTCTTTATATGGTTACATCGAGCTCTTAAGAAATCCTTATACTGGCCGGGCGCGGTGGCTCATGCCTGTAATCCCAGCACTTTGGGAGGCCGAGGGGGGCAGATCACCTGAGGTCAGGAGTTCGAGACCAGCCTGACCAACATGGAAAATCCCCGTCTCTACTAAAAATACAAAATTAGCCGAGCGTGGTGGTGCTTGCCTGTAATCCCAGCTACTCGAGAGGCTGAGGCAGGAGAATAGCTTGAACCCAGTAGGCGGAGGTTGTGGTGAGCCAAGATCGTGCCATTGCACTCCAGCCTGGGCAACTGAGTGAAATTCTGAAAAAGAGAGAGAGAGAAGGAAAGAAGGAAGGAAGGAAGAGAGAAAGAAATTCTTACACTTCTTTTCCCCTTTGTCATTAAGTTTTCATCACCTGATGCACATAGAATCTCCTTGTTTCTCTGATACATTCTCACTCACCCACTGTCTTCACTGCTATGGCTTCCTGTACAATGACTGACACAGGCATTTATCATATTCCCAGTGTACAATTTTTAATAGAAATGAATGATTGTCACTATGTGGTTATTTTCATTAAGAGATTTTGATGGCCAAATTTCCCAGGTCTGCATTTAACTGGGTCCACACAAGCTAGTAAGTGCCCAAAGCAAACTTGAAAATGAAAGATTTCATTGTCATGAAAGATTCTTAAAGATACGAGAATTTTTTTTTACCATAAAATCAGAGAATGTCAAAAATAATGATCCTTCAAACACTGGGATTGCAATTTGCAGAACGGATTTTGAAGGACAAGAGTGGAAGCTGGCAGCTAGTGAAGTTACTGCTGATCTACTTTAATCAGAGGAGAAATGATAGCGCTTGGGATTAGAATGGTGGCCGTGGGATGGAAATAGCTCCATGGAATTAGTAGATACGTAGAAAGTAGAATACACAAGATTTTGTGTTCAACTGTAAGACAGTCTACAGGAGGCAGAGGAATCAAGGATGATTTCCAGGTTTTATTTCTACTTTTATCCTAAGTCTGTAATTTTTTTTTTTAACCTAGAAAGTTAAGTTTGTACAAACTTATTACTACAATGATTCTTTGTCAGAAATCAAAAATAATCCTAGATTATTACCACTGGCTGGGAAGGGTAGGAGGAAGTAGAAGATGAAGAGAGGTTGGTTAATGTGTACAAAAGTACAGTTAGAGAGAAGGAATATGTTCTAGCATTTCATAGCACAGTAGGGTAACAGTAGTTATTTATTATATATTTCAAAGTAGCTAGGAGAGAAGATTTGGAATATTCTCAACACAAAGAAATGGTAAATATTTGAGGTGATGGATGGCATAACTATCCTGATTGATAATTACGCATTGTATACATGTACCAAAATATCACATGTATCCCCATAAATCTATACAATTGTTATGCATCAATAAAAACAATCCTAGAGATTCTTGCCTCTGCATAAATGCTTTTGTAACCTATTTCCCCACAGAGCATGCAAATTCCTTAACTTCAATTCCTTAACACTTCATGTATCTTCTCTTTATTTGCCTCTTTCACTACTGGGAATCTGATAGATGGTTACTATTATACTTAAGGACAGAATATAAGGAGGGAATGGATTTGATGTCTCACTCTGAGCTTGCAAAAATGGAAAAAGCAATTAACTTAATTCAGCCAAGATTTAATGGCACCCTGTACTTAGTTGGCCTATCAGTGAAATAGAAGATATGGATAAGCAAATACATTTTGAACAATCTTGCTTCTATGTTTTTGTTTCAGCTACAGTCCTCATTTATCCTATTGAAATTAATGTTCTCAATTTCTAGAAACGGTTTTATATCAGAGCACATAGTCACTTCTCTCTTTGATATCTCTTTTGACTCCAATAATTATTATTACACAAAATTCTTAATCTGAGTTTAATCTTGCATGTCTACATCACTTCTATTAAGATTTATAAGAAATTCAAATTGAACTTCCAAATCAGTATTTAATATATACTCTATTTTTTCCATAATTGAAATTCATAATTAATTCTGTAAATGCAGGTTAATATTCCTATACTTACTTCTGTTTCCCTTAGTGCCTAGCACAGAGCTATACATGTGTTTCATACTTATTTCATGAAGTTCACTCAGCCCTTATAAAATGCCTGCAATGTGCCATATTTTATGAAGAAAAATTTCTTATAATTTTATGAGAAAAATCTTCTCACTGTTTTACAGATACAAAAACTTTAAAAATCCAAAAATACTAGGTATTTTTCTAAAGAGCTAAACAGATCGAAAATGTCAACATGATAATGGTAATGGTGGTGACAATAATAATAAAAGACCTCATTCAATAAAGGCCACCAACAGAACAACGTAAAATCATCTATTTTGCTATTTATAACATATGTAGAAATAAAACTCTGAACACGATAGCACACAGGATGAAAGAATAATATAAAAATGCTATGTTATAAAGTACTTACACTATATATAAAGTGGTATAATATTAGTTAATGGTTGAATAACCACTAAAATGTAAAACGCATTATAACCAATAAAACATAAGTATATGTATCATGGAATAATAAAAATAGTCAATTAACCTAAAAGAAATGGGGAGAGAAGAACACATGAGACAAATAGAAAACAATTTGCAGAGTAGTAGATTTACCAAATTTTAATTGCATAAAATTTAAAGGGTCTAAATGTACCAAATAAAAGGCATAGATTTTCAGATTGGATAAAATGTAAACCATACTTATATATTGTCTATAAGAAATTCATTTCAACATAAAGACAGAGAGTTTAGAAGTAAACGGAAAAAGAAGATATGCCAAGGAAAATCGTACCAAAAGAATGATAGAGTAGCTATATTAATATTAAACAAAACAGATTCAGAATAACGATATTACTAAAGACAAAGAGAGACATTCCATAATGATAAGAGGTTAATCAACAGGGCATAATAATCTTGAATATGAATGCATCAAGTATTGAAACTTCAAAGTGCATAAAGCAAAAAACATTAGTAATAGAAAAGGAAAGAAAAATGTACAAATCTAGTTGGAGGTTTCAACACTCCCTTCTCAGGAACTGATAAAACAAGCTAACAAACATAAAAATCAATAAGGATAGAGAAAATCTGAACAAAATCATAAACCAACCTGACCTGATAAAAATTTATAGAATACTTCACCCCAAAGAATAGAACACACCTTCTTTTCAAACAGCATTCACTATTATAGGCCATATTCTAGTACATAAAACAAATTGCAATAAATTTAAAATGACTGAAATCATGCTCAATGCATTCTCAAAATGAGCTACTATTATAAAAAGTCAACTATTATAAAAAGTCAACTATAGACCAACATTCTTCATGAACACAAGTGCAAGAATGTTTTTCAAACAAATTGAATCCAGCAACATCTAAAACATTTAGTACATTATGACCAAATGGGTTTAGTCAGTAATGTAAAATTAATTTAACAATTGGGAAACAATGCAATCCATCCTATTATTAGACTATAAAATAAAAAATATATAATCCTCTCAATAGATGCAGAAAAAAACTTTTGATGAGATCCAATACATACTCTTAAGTAATTTTTAGGAAAAGTAGAAAAAATAAGAAAAAATTATCAAACTGATAAAGGCACCTAAGAATTCCTAAAGCTAACATAAAAATTAACAGTGAAATACGAGATGCTTCCCGCTAAAATTAGGGAAAATAGCAAAGATGTTCACTTTCAAAACTTCTGTTTATCATTATATTATTGTTCCTAGCCAGTGCAACAAGGCAAGAAAAATATCATATAATGTTGAAAAGAAGTGAAGCTGTTTTTATCTGCAGATGATATGATTCTCTATTTCAAATATCCTTATAATCTTACAATATATGTTATTAGAATTAATAAATTAGTTTGGCAAATTTGTAAAATAGAAAGTTTATAAGAAAAAAATAATGTTACCTAAAAAATAAAAGTCCAGGATCAGACAGCCTCACTGGTGAATTTTGTAAAATATCTCAAGAAGAATTAACATTAGTCTTTCTCAAAATCTTCCAAAAATGTATAAGGAAACACTTTCTAACTTATTGTATGAGTCCAGCATTAACCATATAACAAAGCCAGATAAACACATCAGAAAATAAAATTACATACAAATATTCATCATTGAAATGGATACAAATAGCCACAACAAAATGCTAGCAAACTGAACTCTATAGCATATCTAAAAGACCAAGTGGGATTTACTGCAGAAATGCAAGAGTGGCTCAACATTGAAAAAAAATCAAAGTAATACATCATATTCATAGAATAAAGAGGAAAAAACCCACACAATTATCTCAATTGATTTCAAAAAACCATTTGGCAAAAATCCAATCATTTAACATCATGTCATGTTAAAAGTACTCAAAACTAGTTTACAGTCCCACCAACAGTGTAAAAGTGTTCCTATTTCTCCACATTCTCTCCAGCACCTGTTGTTTCCTGACTTTTTAATGATCGCCATTATAACTGGTGTGAGATGCCATTGTGGAAGACAGTGTGGTGATTCCTCAGAGATCTAGAACTAGAAATGCCATTTGACCCAGCCATCCCATTACTGGGTATACACTCAAAGGATTATAAATCATACTGCTATAAAGACACATGCACACGTATGTTTATTGCAGCACTACTCACAATAGCAAAGACTTGGAACCAACCCAAATGTCCAACAATGATAGACTGGATTAAGAAAATGTGACACATATACACCATGGAATACTATGCAGCCATAAAAAATGAAGAGTTCATGTCCTTTGTAGGGACATGGATGAAGCTGGAAACCATCATTCTGAGCAAACTATCACAAGGACAAAAAACCAAACACCACATGTTCTCACTCATAGGTGGGAATTGAACAATGAGAACACCTGGACACAGGAAGGGGAACATCACACACCGGGGCCTGTTGTGGGGTGGGGGGAGCGGGGAGGGATAGCATTAGGAGATACACCTAATGTAAATGTTGAGTTAATGGGTGCAGCACACCAACATGGCACATGTATACATATGTAACAAACCTGCACATTGTGCACATGTACCCTAGAACTTAAAGTATAATAAAATATATATATATAAAAGTACTCAGAAACTAGGAATAGAAGGGAACTTCCTTAACATGGATAAAGGACATTTATGAAAAACCCACAGCATGCATCTTACTCAATGGTAAATGGCTGAAATATTTTCCCTGAAGAAACAAGAAAAGATTTCACACTCTGAACACTGTTAGTCAAAATTGTGTTAGAAGTTCTAGCTATAGTAATTATGTAAGAAAAAATAATAAAACATATTCAAACCTTAAAATATGAAGTAAAGTGATTGTATTAACAGATGACATGATTCTATATTTAGAAAATCTAAATGAATTAACAAAAGAGCTACTAGGGCTAACACATAAATTCAGCAATGTTGTAATGTTAAGACCAACGCGCAAATATCAGTTGTTATTCTATATACAAGCAATAAACATTTCAAGAAGGAAATTAAGAAAACAAGTCAATTTTTTTAGCATCCAAAATAATAAAATACCCAGGAAGAAATGAAAACTATAAAACAATGGTGAAAGAAATTGAAGACTAAAATGAATGAAAATGCATTCAATACTCATGTATTAGAAGATTTAATATTGTCAAGAAATGAAAGAAAATTCATTCCATGTTCATGTACTGGAAGATTTAATATTGTCAAGATATCAATATTACTCAAAGCAAGCTACAGACTCAATGCAATCTATGTTTCAATGGCCTCTTTTTTTTCTTGCAGAAATAGAAAAGCCAATCCTCAAATTCATATGGAATTATATATGTCCCCAAATAACCAAAACAATCTTGAAAAAGAAGAACAAAGTTGGAGGACTCATGTTTCCTGATTTCAAATCTCACTACAAAGCTTAAGCAATCAAAACAGTGTAGTACAGTCATAAGGATAGACACAAAGGCCAAATGAGATAGAATTGAGGGTCCAGAAATAAATCCATATATCTATGGCCATTTGATTTTCAACAAGGGTGCCAAAGCAATTTAAAAGAGGAAAGAATAGTTTCTTTAACAAATAATGCTGGAACAACTTGATATCCACCTGAAAGAATGAGAGAAAATACTTACAAATAGTATATCTGATAAGGGTCTAACATCCAGTATATATAAATAAGTCAACTCAACCACAAAAAGACTAACAACACATTTTTAAAATGGGCATGTAATTTGAGTAGACATTTCTTCAAAGAAGATATATAAATGGTCATCAAGTAAATAAAGTGATAATGACGTTCAATATAATTTGTCATTAGAGAAATGAAAATCAAAATCACAATAAGGTATCATTTTATTGGTACCACTAGGATAACCATAATAAAAAAAGGAAAAGAAAAAAAAGTTGACAGGGATGTGGAGAAATTGGTCCCCTCAAACGTTTCTTGTGGAACTGTATAATAATTTAATCACCATGATCTGTCATTTCCTTAAAAATATAAATATACAATTACTATATAAACTTGTAATTCTCTTACTAGGTATATATTCAAATAAACTGAAAGAGGTACTCAAACAAGTACATATAAATATATGTTTACAGCAACACTACTCATCACAGCCAAAAGGTGAAAACAGTTCATATGTCCACTAACAAATGAATAGATTTAAAAATTATGGTATATACATACAATATAATATTACTCATTCACAGAAAAAGATGAAGTATTCATACATGCAACAATGTGGGTGGGTCTGCAAATATTATGCTAAATGGAAAAACTAGGCACAATTTTTATAATTCCTTTATATGAAATATTCATAATAGATAAATCCATAGAGACAGAAAGCAGATTGGTGGTTGCCAGGGCATGGAGGAGGGAGGAAATGGGGTAAAACTGATTAATGAATAAGAGATTTTACTTTGGAATGATGGAAATATTTTTGAACTTGATGGAAGTGATAGTTGCATGACTTCATGAATATACTATAGGCAATTGAATTATTCACTTTAGTTAATTTTGTGTTATTTGAATTTCACCTTCATAAACTCTTTTCTTCAAATACATTTATTTGTTTATATTAACATAAAATAACTAAAATTAAATTTTTAAGTACCATTTACAATTGCATCAAAATTATGAAATACTTAAGGGATACATTTAACAACATATGTACAAGGACTGTACTTTGAAATCTACAAAACTGCTGAAAGAAATTAAAGAAGACCTAAGTAAACAGAGAGATATACCATGTTCATGAGGAGAAAACACAATTCATTAAGAAAACATTTCAACAATTCTTGTCAAATAGATTCAAAACAATCCCAAACAAAATCCTAGCAGGAGTTGTTGTAGAAACAGACATGCTGATAATAAAATGTATGTGGAAATGTAAGTAACATGGAATAGTCAAAAATGTTATTGAAATGAACAATACAATTGGACATCTTACCCTACTTGTTTTCAAGACTTACTATAAACTGTGGTTTAGGATAAGAAAAACATATAGATTATTACAATGAAATTGAAAGTCTAGAAATAGACATGTTTATATGTGATCAGTTTATTTTTAAGAAGGATGTCAAAGTAATTGAATGGTTGTATATTTGTCTTTTCAACAAACAGCAGAGAAACTGGAGATCTATTGAAAAAATTAACCCTTATCTCACATTACATATAAAAATTAACTGGAAGTGCATTATATAGCCAAATCTGTTAAACATTTAGCTTTAAAGCTATAAAGCTCATAAAAATCATAGGAGAAAAAACCTCTTTTTAACAGTTACTTTATTAAAAATAGAGTTAAGTCATTAGATGATGTGCTCTATTTAAACTCTCAATTGTCTATGCATGGATCAGAGGGACTACCATTTACCTTTCTTAATTTTAATTTTTTATTTCAATAGGTCTTTGGGCAACAGGTGGTGTTTGGTTACATGGATAAGTTCTTTAGTGGCAATTTCTGAGATTTTGGTGCACCCCTCACCTGAACAGTGTACACTCTACTCAATGTGTAGACTTTTATCCCTCACCCACTCCCACCCTTTCTCCTGAGTCCTCACAGTTTGTTGTATCATATTTATGCCTTTGTATCCTCATAGCTTAGCTCCCACTTATAAGTGAGAGCATATGATGTTTGGTTTTTTATTCCTGAGTTTTTATACTTAGAGTGATGGTCTCTAGTTCCATCCAGGTTACTGAATATGTCATTATTTCATTACTTTATATTCCATGGTGTGTCTCTGTGTGTGTGTGTGTGTGTGTGTATGTGTGTGTGTGTGTGTGTGTGTATCACATTTTCTTTATCTTTATCCACTCATTGATTGATGGGCATTTGGACTGATTCCATATTTTTGTAACTGCAAATTCTAGTGCTATAAACATGCATGTGCAAGTGTCTTTTTCAAATAATGACTTCTTTTCCTCTGGGTAGATACCCAAGAGTGGGATTGCTGGATCAAATGGTAGATCTACTTTTCGTTCTTTAAGGAATTTCCACACTGTTTTCCATAGTGGTTGTACTAGTTTACATTCCCACCACCAGTATAAAAGTGTTCGCTTTTCACCACATCCACACCAACATCTATTATTTTTTATTTTTTGATTTAAAAAGTTCTTGCACTCTGTTTGTCTGTTATTGGTGTATAAGAATGCTTGTGATTTTTGCACATTGATTTTGTATCCTGAGACTTTGCTGAAGTTGCTTATCAGTTTAAGGAGATTTGGGGCTGAGAAGATCGGGTTTTCTAAATATACAATCATGTCATCTGCAAACAGAGACAACTTGACTTCCTCTTTTCCTAATTGAATACCCTTTATTTCTTTCTCTTGCCTGATTGCCCTGGCCAGAACTTCCAACACTATGTTGAATAGGAGTGGTGAGAGAGGGCATCCCTGTCTTGTGCCAGTTTTCAAAAGGAATGCTTCCAGTTTTTGCCCATTCAGTATGATACTGGCTGTGGGTTTGTCACAAATAGCTCTTATTATTTTGAGATACGTTCCATCAATACCTAGTTTATCGAGAGTTTTTAGCATGAAGAGCTGTTGAATTTTGTCAAAGGCCTTTTCTGCATCTATTGAGATAATCATGTGGCTTTTGTCTTTGGTTCTGTTTATGTGATGGATTACGTTTATTGATTTGCGTATGTTGAACCAGCCTTGCATCCCAGGAATAAAGCCAACTTGATCTTGGTGGATAAGTTTTTTGATGTGCTACTGGACTCGGTTTGCCAGTATCTTATTGAGGATTTTTGCATCGATGTTCATCAAGGATATTGGTCTAAAATTCTCTTTTTTTGTTGTGTCTCCACCATGCTTTGGTATCATGATGATGCTGGCCTTATAAAATGAGTCAGGGAGGATTCCCTCTTTTTCTATTGATTGGAATAGTTTCAGAAGGAATAGTACCAGCTCCTTTTTGTACCTCTGGTAGAATTCAGCTGTGAATCCGTCTGGCCCTGGACTTTTTTTGGTTGGTAGGCTATTAATTATTGCCTCAATTTCAGAACTTGTTATTGGTCTATTCAGTGATTCAACTTCTTCCTGGTTTAGTCTTGGGAGGGTGTATGTGTCCGGGAATTTATTCTTTTCTTCTAGATTTTCTAGTTTATTTGCGTAGAGGTATTTATAGTATTCTCTGATGACAGTTTGCATTTCTGTGGGATCAGTGGTGATATCCCCTTTACCATTTTTTATTGCATCTATTTGATTCTTCTCTCTTTTCTTCTTTATTAGTCTTGCTAGCGATCTATCAATTTTGTTGATCTTTTCAAAAAACCAACTCCTTGATTTATTGATTTTTTGAAGGGATTTTGTGTCTCTATCTCCTTCAGCGCCACTCTGATCTTAGTTATTTCTTCATGAGTGAACCCCCATTCACAATTGCTACAAAGAGAATAAAATACCTGGGAATCCAACTTACAAGGGATGTGAAGGACCTCTTCAAGGAGAACTGCAAACCACTGCTCAATGAAATAAAAGAGGATACAAACAAATGGAAGAACATTCCATGCTCATGGGTAGGAAGAATCAATACTGTGATAATGGCCATACCGCCCAAGGTAATTTATAGATTCAATGCGATCCCTATCAAGCTACCAATGACTTTCTTCACAGAATTGGAAAAAACTACTTTAAAGTTCATACATAACCAAAAAAGAGCCCACATTGCCAAGACAATCCTAAGTAAAAAGAGCAAAGCTGGAGGCATCATGCTACCTAACTTCAAACTATACTACAAGGCTACAGTAACCAAAACAGCATGGTACTGGTACCAAAACAGAGATATAGACCAATGGAACAGAACAGAGCCCTCAGAAATAACACCACACACCTACAACCATCTGATCTTTGACAAACCTGACAAAAACAAGAAATGGGGAAAGGATTCCCTATTTAATAAATGGTGCTGGGAAAACTGGCTAGCCATATGTAGAAAGCTGAAACTGGATCTCTTCCTTATACCTTATACAAAAATTAATTCAAGATGGATTAAAGACTTAAATGTTAGACCTAAAACCATAAAAACCCTAGAAGAAAACTTAGGCAATACCATTCAGGATAGGCATGGGCAAGGACTTTATGACTAAAACACCAAAAGCAAGGGTAACAAAAGCCAAAATAGACAAATGGGATTTAATTAAACTAAAGAGCTTCTGCATATCAAAAGAAACTACCATCAGAGTGAACAGGCAACCTACAAAATGGGAGAAAATTTTTGCAATCTACCCATCTGACAAAGGGCTAATATCCAGAATCTACAAAGAACTTAAACAAATTTACAAGAAAAAATCAAACAACCCCATCAAAAAGTGGGCAAAGGATATGAACAGACACTTTTCAAAAGAAGACATTTATGCAGCCAACAGACACATGAAAAAATGCTCATCATCACTGGTCATCAGAGAAATGCAAATCAAAACCACAATGAGATACCATCTCACACCAGTTAGAATGGCAATCATTTAAAAGTCAGGAAACAACAGGTGCTGGAGAGGATGTGGAGAAATAGGAATGCTTTTACACTGTTGGTGGGACTGTAAACTAGTTCAACCACTGTGGAAGACAGTGTGGCAATTCCTCAAGGATCTAGAACTAGAAATACCATTTGACCCAGCCATCCAATTACTGGGTACATACCCAAAGGATTATAAATTATGCTACTATAAAGACACATGCACACATATGTTTATTATGGCACTATTCACAATAGCAAAGACTTGGAACCAACCCAAATGTCCATAAATGATAGGCTGGACTAAGAAAATGTGGCACATATACACCATGGAATACTATGCAGCCATTAAAAAGGATGAGTTAATGTCCTTCGTAGCCCCATGGATGAAGCTGGAAACCATCATTCTGAGCAAACTATCACAAGGATAGAAAACCAAACACTGCATGTTCTCACTCACAGGTGGGAATTGAACAATGAGAACACTTGGACACAGGAAGGGGAACGTCACTCACCAGGGCCTGCCGTGGGGTGGGGGAATGGGGGAGGGATAGCATTAGGAGAAATACTTAATGTAAATGACGAGTTAATGGGTGCAGCAAACCAACATGGCACATGTATACATATATATGTAACAAACCTGCAGGTTATACACATGTACCCTAGAACTTAAAGTATAATAATAATAAAAAAAAATTATTGCAGGAGTAAGGTGGTATAGCATTGTTGTTTTGATTTGCATTTCCCTGATCATTAGTGATGCTGAGCTTTTTTTTCATATGTTTGTTGGCCATTTGTACATCTTCTTTAGTGAACTGTCTATTAATAACCTTAGCCCACTTTTTGTTGCCATTGTTTGTATTTTTCTTGCTGATTTATTTGAGTTTCTCATAGATTCTGAATATTAGCCCTTTTTCGGATGCATATTTTGCAAAGATTTTCTCCCATTCTGTGAGTTGTCTGTTTACTGATTTTTTTTTTCTTTTCTGTACGGAAGCTTTTTAGTTTAATTAAGCTCCATCTTTGTTTTTCGTTGCATTTGCTTTTGGGTTCCTGGTCACAAAGTCTTTTCCTAAGCCAATGTCTAGAAGGGTTTTTCTGATGTTATATTCTAGAATTTTTTATGATTCAGGTCTTAGATTTCAGTTTTTGATGCATCTTGAGTTGATTTTTGCATAAGGTGGGAGATAATCCAGTTTCATTCTTCTACATGTGGCTTGCCAATGATCCCAGCACCATTTGTTGAATGGGAAGTCTTTTCCCCACTGTATGTTTTTATTTGTTTTGTCAAAGATCAGTTGGCTGTAATAATTTGGCTTTATTTCAGGGTTCTCTATTCTGTTCCATTGGTCTATGTGCCTATTTTTATACCAGTACCATACTATTTTGGTGATTATAGTGAGAAAAATCTTCCTGCTACTTGTTTAGACAAATATTTCTTAGAAAGGATGCATAATCATGAACTGAAAACTTCAAAATGTCTAAGATGTATTTTACCAAAGTTAAAAATTTTGCTCCTTGAAAGACATTGTTAAGAAATAACAAAGGTAAGTCACAGAGTAGACTGAAAGAAAAAATTTACAAACCATACATCTGATTAAGGGTTTATATTATATATGTATGCATATATACACATATATGTATACACACACACACACACACACATACATATATATATATACTTAAGGCTTAATAACAAGAAAACAAAAACTCCAAGTTAAAAAAAAATGTTACGGCCAAGGCACATGAAAAGATGTGCAATATCATTAGCCATTAGACAAATGCATATCAAAACCAGAAGATACCACTACATACATACCCAAATGGGTATCATTGGTTTAACCATCCCAAGTGTTGATGAGACTGTAGAACAACTGGAACTCTCAATCATTGCTGTGGGAACGCAAAATTGTAAGCTACTTTGGAAAGTAGTTTGATTTTTCTTACAAAATTAAATAAGTATTCACTACATAATCTAGCAATCCAATTCCTAGGTATTTATGCAAGAAAGGTAGAAACCTATGTTGACAATAAAACCTGTACTAGAATGTTCACAGCAGTTGTTTTCCTTAATAGTTAAATGTAGGAAACAACCAAAATATCTATCAACTGATAAATGAACAAATAAATTATGTTATACCAACCAAATACTAATCAGCCATTAAAAGAAACGAACTATTAATACATTTATTATTAGTTTCAAAATTTCAAATTTTGGTTATTCTAAGGGTAAGTAGGCAGGCAAAAATTCCTCCATGCTATATAATTAAATTGTTAAGAAATTCTAGAAAAGTTAAAACTAGAGTAACAGATAGCAAATTGATAGTTGTTATGAATCTTTGCCTGGCAGAGGTGTTTGCAAGAGAGCAATAAAATGCTCTATATCTTTTGTTGTTGTTGTTGCTCTGTCGCCCAGGCTGGAGTGCAATGTTGAGGTCTCTGCTCACTGCAACCTCCACCTCCCAGTTCAAGCGATTCTTGTGCCTCAGCGTCCCCGGGTGCAGGTGACTCTGGTGCCTCAGCCTCCTGAGTAGCTGGGATTACAGGCGTGTGCCACCACACCAGGCTAATTTTTGTATTTTTAGTAGAGATGGGTTTCGCCATGTTGGCCAGGCTGGTCTTGAACTCCTGACCTCAGGTGATCTGCCCACCTCGGCCTCCCAAAGTGCTGGGATTACAGGTGTGAGCCACCACTTCTACCCAACATTTCTTGACTTTGGTGGTGGTTACATGATTGTAGACATTTGCCAAAACTCAAAAAACTGTATACTTACAGTTGGTGAATTTTTTGGCATAAAAATCCATCAGTCGAGCTAGTTTTTAAAAGATATCAGAATAATCACACTAAAAAATAACAATAAAAAACTTTATGGGGTCTCTACATATCCAGTTATAATTGACTTGAGATACTCTCACACCTGTATTATCTCTTCAAATTCTAACTCTCTCCACTTCGGACTCAGAATCAACATGCTGTGGAACAATACCCTTAAAGATTTTTAGCTCTGTGGACTACCTGAGAAAGATTTAAATGTAACAACTTAAAAATGTCTGATGTCTTAATAATGGGTGATAAAACCACACCTTAGATTTGACCTTGATCCCATCCTCACGTTTCACTGGAAGTATCCAGGTTATTACATTTGCCCCGAGGTCATATCTTACTTTCTAGTCATATGCCAGCGGGAGTAGATGAGAATTAGATACAGTTCTATTTTCGAGTCCTGTAAATCCTAGGTTGGAAGTATTTTCTCTAAATTCTGATTGGGAAATGAACATCTCTTTCTTAACTGAGTCTCCATTCTCATAATAGGCAGACAAAAGACCCAATTAATACTGTCAATATTCTTCCTGAAAATCTCGGCAAGATTCACAAGCTCATTGGGTCGATTTTTTCTTAAAATTTCAATTTTACTCTAAGTAATAATGTTTCTACTCATAACACCCATCACCCTTCCTGCAGCCCCCAAAGCAATTTCCACACTTCTGCACCATCCTCCACTAAGAGTTTCATCACCCTCTGGCCTCCGCTTGCAGCCTGGTCCCAAAGCCAATGCCACGTATTTTATATTTTTGTCACGTTCACACTAATTTCTTTTCTTTTTTTTTTTTCCCCAGTTATTTAGCCCTATCTAGCATTTCTCTTAACACTTAAGGACTTAAAAACAACTTTTTAAAAAAACACTTTTCTTATAATTTTGGGATCATCTTGTGGTTCTTCTGCTGCATATGGTGTTGACTGGAGTCAATAAATAAGGGTGCTTCCTTCAGTCAGGAGCTTGGCTGAGGCTATAACATTCCGGGGAAACACTTAAGTATCTGGGGCCCCAGCGCTGGCTGTCTGCTACAGAACCTCAGTTCTCATCTTCTGATCTCTCTTTCCTTCTCTCTCTTCTCTCTCCTCTCTCTCTCTCTCTCTCTCTCCTCATACCTACTTTTCTCTTATCATTCAGCAGTCCAGTAGTCGGCTCAGGCTCATTTACATAGCAAATGAGCAAAAGAGCAAGAAAGGCAGCAATTAAACGTCTTAAGGGACAAGCCCAGACTCTTTCAGCATCACGTCTGCTACATTTTATTGGCCAAAGAAGCTTACAAGTTTTAGCTTGTAAATTCAGGGATAGGGGAATTAGACTCCACTTTCTGATGCAAAGTGTTTTAAAGTTTCTGCGGGGCTAAGTCTCAGAACCCCAGCACTGGAAAGTGTTCGTCTTGCAGGTTAGTAAGAATTATATGACGACAACAGTATAGGTTTGAAAAAGGAAAGTTTTATTAGAAAGAACACTGCAGAAGAGTGCAGCGGGATGCCTCAGCAAGAGAGGACTCAGTGTGTGGTGGTGGATTTTTCCTGAGGGGTATATATGGACCTTAAAGTGGGAGCTTGGGATAATTTAGACCATATTAGCCACATAGGTCATGATAAATGATTACATTTGTAGACATTTTGGTGCCTTGATGTCAGCAAGGGTTGCACAGTTAGTTTCAACATGCGTGCATTCCAGAGATGTATAGAAATTCCAGTTAATTACACATTTTTGGGAAAGAAATCTGGAACCAGATGCCTGCTTTAGATAATAGGGAAGTCTAATTATTTCTAAATTCCTCAGATAAGGAATTTGCCTCTGGATGGTCTGCTTGATGGTCACCAGGTGATCTTTGCTCTCCTCAGTTTCAGAGGATAGAGGAGTTCCTGGTGCCCATCTTTGGCGACAATCAATTATGCTATGTTATTCTTGAATTTTTCAGATATCATAGGCCAAAACTATTCATTCCCAAACCATTATTTTATTTTGGTACTTTTAGTTAGGCTTCCATAACTAGAGACTAGAAGGGTTCTGATTAACACAAATATAGGAAGTGAATGTATGTGACAATTAGCTAAGAGTGGAAAGTAAGGTAAGAAAAAAAATTCTGAATAAGGGCCAACGCCAAATGAGAGATAATTATCTGGAACTACAAGTCTCCAAGCATGGTGTACTCTCTACAGGACCACAGTTTAAATCCCAAAGAAGTGTCTGAAAGTACTCCATCTGGTTTTCCCAAAGCATTTTTTTAGGTCCTTGTTTCTACAGAATGCTTTTAAGTGATTCCATGAAAAAATGAATTTCATTACTTAAGGGCCAATCTGAACTTTTGATAGCTAATATGCACTATGAATCATAAAGCGTGATGTGTGTTACAACATCAACTGAATTCATTTTAACACAGATTCCTTACTTCAGCATCTTGAGAAATGATGTTCCACTGGATATACTCTGGGGAGTTCTGGTATGGTTTGAGCTACTTATTTTAGAAATTAGGAATCTGAAGCACAGAGTTTGAGTCACTTGCTTGTGGGAAGTAGGAGCAGAACTTGGGGCCTCTCACTAGGTTTCCAGTCTGAATCTTTTTTCTCCTAGTGGCTGAGGTAGGTATGAACACATATACCACAGGAGCATGATTTTTACTGCTACGGTTTCTTTTTTTTTTTTTTTTTTGAGACGGAGTCTTGCTCTTTCACCCAGGCTGGAGTGCAGTGGTGCGATCTCGGTTCACTGCAAGCTCCGCCTCCCAGGTTCACGCCATTCTCCTGCCTCAGCCTCCCGAGTAGCTGGGAATACAGGCGCCTGCCACCACGCCTGGCTAATTTTTTTTTGTATTTTTAGTAGAGACGGGGTTTCACTGTGTTAGCCAGGATGGTCTTGATCTCCTAACCTCATGATCTGCCTACTTTAAGTTTCTTAAGCCCTCTCCTTATTTACCCTTTCCACACCCAATCCATGATGTAGGAGTCTTCAACTCTGGAATGACACAAAAGTAGGCTCATGTGGGGTTGACATACATCAGTTATTGATGAGTGTCCTGTCGGAACCTGAGTAACAGGTTTCCTTGTTTGGAAACTTCATCATGCGATCATTAAGAATCACATGAAATTAGTACCTCTCATTATCAAAGACCTTATGAGACAGGTTTCTTTCTGGAGCTAATTCTGATATTTCATAGATCATCACCTTCCATATACTTTTTGGAAAAAATCTCCATTGTACCAAAACCAAACTTCAAAGCCTTCCTTTTCTTCCCATGAAAACATACACACATTTGAGCACCTACGTGTGTTTTCCAGACAACGTAAGTGCTTTGGACACATTCTCCTTGACCAACTTGGAGTTCTGGTCTTATATAAAAACATTCCACTCTTTCATGTTTTCCAGACAGTGTCTAATTGGAATGGAAAATGGCACAGAATTGGGTGTTTGGTGAAGGAAATGACATGTGGCCCTCTTAGAACTAAGGGGTGATGTCACTTACTAAGATGAAGACTCCATTGCCTGATGACTTTATGGCCAGGAATTGGTGAGATGTGGTAGAGAGAGCACTGGACTGGGAGTCAGAAGGTCTGGTTTCCAGTTCTGGTGTGGTACTACCTCTTCACTTGATCTTGGGTACACCACTCTCCTCGAGTTTGTTAGATTCCTTATCTACACAATAAGCCCTCGCCACCCAAGTCTGGTTTTCACTAAGCTAGATATATTAACTTTGAAAGTCAAGGTGTAGAAGTGAAAGGGTATACTACTGGGATGTGAAAATCTGTCATTTGGAAGAAAGATTAAGCTGGCTCTGTACAGTCTCCAAAGTCTAACTCAAATGAATGGTGGAAATTGCAAGGGAATTGCAAAGAGACAGATTTTTACACCAAGGCTGGATGATCAATAAAAGGAGTTTTACAGAAGAAACAAAGGAATCACTTAATTTTGCTTGGTGGGGTTTATTCATCTATAGAGATTTATGCAGAAGAGTAACAGGATAATGAATTATATCTTTAAGAGATCTCTGTCTTTTGTGTAAACAATAGATTACAGTGGACTTTAGAAGGCTGGGGTGGTAGAACTAAGAGACCATCCAAGTACTCCACATGAAAAATGATGGTGAGTTGGGCCATGGTGGTGACATTAGAAATTCAGGTGATTTGGGGTAGATACTGAATGGAGGAATTATTATGACTTACTAATGGATTGATTACAGGTAGTGAATAAAAAGATAGAATGAAGAATGTCTCAAGGATTTTGGCCTTATCAATTGAGTTGCTTTTGTTTCCCATTTGCTGAAATGGCAGAGATTGGGAGCAGGATATATTTGGGGTGGAATAAGAGTCAGCATTTCCGTTTTAGACATGTACATTTTGCAACTTCCAAGAGCAGATGGCAAACAGAATGTTGAGTGTATAAATTTGGCTCCCAGAGAGGAGATTTGGGCTAGAGACAGAATTGGAGAGTGAGGAGGATTTATATGATACTTGATAAGCTTCAAAGAGGGGTACCATTTGAATTGACTCCTGAAGGATGAGTAGGGTTTACCGGTAGAGAATGTGAAGAAAAATGTAAAAACAAAGGGAACCAGGTGGGAAAAGAAAGAGCACTAACGAGGTCAAGCCAAGGTCCAGTGGGCTCTCAATGTCTGAGCTTAGACCACTGTACATCACTCTCTGTAACAGCAACACTATCTTCTCTCTAGAGAAATCCACTAGCCTGCTCAGATCCTTAGACATTTGGGTTCAAAGCCAACAAAAGATTATAGCTAAGGGTAGTTTATTTAAGGATAATAATAGAGCCTACAGGTTATTTCTTTTTTCCTCAAACTAGAGATAATTTTCTTTTTTCCCCATGAATAAGATTGAATTCATCAGTATTTGGCTTTTTCCAAGTCTGGAAACCTCATCCACCATAATTCAGTTCAGACTTCAATGTCACAACCTGAGGGACTAGGATAGATTATAAGCAATTTAGAGATGCCTTGTCACAATTAATTTGTGTTTAGCCAGAGATCGCGAGTTTATTTCTGAACTTTTTTTCTTTTATATCAGTTCCAAAAATAATGTATGATGTCCTTTCTTTAGACTTTGCCAAGCAGCAAGTGTACTTACAGCATAAGCTTCGAGGAACTCTCAAACCCATGTCACCTTAAGTTTTAGTATCTCAGGATGTTCTTTCAATTCTCCTCCTCTATAAGCAGGGTTCTGATCTCTCTGTTCTTCCTGACACTGTCTACCTTGCTATTTTCACTTTAGAGTTGATGCATTAGTTTTCTATTGCTGTCATAACAAACTACCTTAAATTTAGAGGCTTAAAATAGCTCAAATTTATTATTTTACAGTCTATAGGTCAGCAGTTTGGCATGAGTCTCACAGGGTTAAAATCAAGGTACCAGAAGGCTGTGTTACTTTTTGGGGACTATAGGGAAGAATTCAATTCAGTTCCATGTGGTTGCAGCACTATAGTCTCCATTTACCTGTTATCAACCAGAAACCACTCAGGCCCTAGAGGCCCCTATATGTCAGAATCAGCAACAAGGTGTCAAGCCTTTTCACACTGCCATCTCTCCTGACTCTCCTTCTGTCCTTCTGTTTCTCTGACCCACTATTCTGCCTTCCTTGTTTACTTCTAGAAATTCATGTGATTAGACTGGGCCCATCCAGATAAGCCAGGATAATCACTCCATCTCAAAGTCTTCAATCTTAATCACATAGGTCAAGTCTTTTTTTCAATTTAAGGTAATATATGCACAAGATATAGGTATTAGAGCATAGATACAAGTAGGGGATATTATTCTCTCTAGCACAATTAAGAAAGCAGAGGCCAAAAAATTTAGAAAGTTTTGTCCATGATGGGAGAACAGTACAGGTAAATGAGTTTAAATTTGAATCCAGGAGCAAGATTTCTAACCTCATATTCTTTCCATTATAAACAAAAATACATATAGCTCAAATGTGAGTGTGGGTATTTCACAAGAGTAGAATGATGCATCTGGAATCTCATAGATTTAGAAACTTGTTCCTTCTCTTATTAGCCATGTGACATTGACTCAAATCAGTTTGTCTCTCTGAATCACAGTTTTCTCATCTATAAAATGATAAGTATAGGATCCACTTTTCAGGATTTTCAGTGAGTATTTAATAAGATATCAGTTGAGAACAAAGCATAGTTTACATAAAAATGCAAAACACTAAAAGGATAAATTTATGTCCCTATATTGCACAGATGAGAATACAGGCACAGAGAGGAGTAACAACTGGCACAAGGTCATAAAGTGGGTTAGTGGCAAACCCCAGACCAGATTACACAGTGGTACAAGAATTTGCAGGGAAAGTAATTACAAGAACAAAATTCCACACCTGCTTTCTACAACATTCCATAAGCAGCTTGGGGACTGAGCTTCTTGATTCCTTTCCACCCAGGCATCCCACAAGAATTAGAAGTTAAAGACAGGCATGCTGGCTTCATCCGATGTGACAACTTTGGTCTTCCCTGGCATTTCCAGTTCCCACATTCCTCTTGAACCTCTGCCCCTAGAGCCAAATCAATGTCAGCTCACTTAGCACTAAATGCTTCCTGCACACCAAGCCATTTTACATCTGCTTAATAAAAATGGAACCATCTAGCATCAATTGACATGAAATAATTTTCCACTTCATGTCAACTGAAAATCACCAATTTCCTGCTACAAGTGACACTTAGTACTAGGAGGCACTTGGAGTCATTATGAGTTATCATTGCCTAGGCTGCTTGCCTTCATGTGATCAAATGTTATACCTAAAAGCACTATGGATTAAAGCTGTGTTTTCATGTAATTAAATATAAGGATTAAAATATGATCCATTTCACTATCAAGGTAGAATCTCATCATAGCCTGAAGACAAAAAGTAAATTGTTATTGGGTTTGTAACTCCAATGTGGCATGTAAGAGTAGAATCATTGATTCATTTGGTGAGCAAAATACAGACCTCCTGTGTTCTATGCAGTCTTGCTGATAGAAAGACAAACAGGCTGGGTGCGGTGGCTCAATACTGTAATCCCAGCACTTTGGGAGGCCGAGGCGGGTGGATCACGAGGTCAGGAGATCAAGACCATCCTGGCTAACATGGTGAAACCCTGTCTCTACTAAAAATACAAAAAATTAGCCAGGCGCGGTGGCGGGAGCCTGTAGTCCCAGCTACTTGGGAGGCTGAGGCAGAAGAATGGTGTGAACCCGGGAGGCAGAGCTTGCAGTGAGCTGAGATCACGCCACTGCACTCCAGCCTGGGCGACAGAGCGAGACTCTGTCCACCGCCCCCCCCCAAATAATAATAATAATAATAATAATAATAATAAAAGAAAGACAAATAAGGTCATTACTGTTAAAAGAATCATAGAGTCCAATAGGGACAGTTGACTGTGTACACAGCTACAATAAAAGATGACCTTTATTATCTGCAGTGTTAAATATTGCATCTTAAACTATGATATTCAATAATTTGTGGCTGTGAACATTTTCATTTAAGTGAAATTTTGCAAAGAAGTCCAATAAATAAAACTGATAATAGGGGACTACTATGGCTGAAGTAGAAACAAGAGGCCTGTAGAGTCAGCAATTAAGTACCTCTCTTTCCATCTGCTCTCCAACACACTGTAGTTTCTGAGAGAGCTCTTTATAATATGTTTAAAAAGTATTACTTTACAATATTTTAAACTGGCTTATTGAATGTATGGGTCTATAGGTATAAGTAGAAAATAACTTTTCTTTTCAATGATTATCTCTCTAACTTACTCTATATACTAAATTTTCCCATATTCCTGGTTTATGTCTTAGGTAGATTTCCTTATTTTCTCTGGTCCTCCTTTGGAAAACATAATCCTATTTTCCAGGTACTAAAATGTTCAGCTTAATGTAAAACTAAAGTCAATCTCAATCAATGTTTTTTAAAAAAGCAACTTTTCCCATATATATTACATATATATGTTATATATAAATATGTAATATAATATATAATATATATATAACAATTTTTTATCCACTCATCTGTGGATGGATACTTTGATTGTTTCTATATCTTGGCTATTGTAAATAATGCTCCAGTGAACCTGGGAATGGAGATATATTTATAAGATGCTGATTTCATTTCCTTTGGGTATACACCTAGAAATGGGATTGCTGGGTCATATGGAAGTCCTGTTACTTGTGAAAATATGGATGAATTATACTAAGTGAAATAAGTCAAACACATAAAGACAAATACATGATGCATCATCTCACTTATATGTGAAATCTTAAAACTGAATACATAGAAATAGAGAGCAAAGTGGTGGCTACCAGGCTGGGTATGGCAGGGGAAAATAATACATTATAGGTCAAAGGGTATAAAGTTACACTTACATAGAATTAGTAAGTCTAGAGATGTAATGTGCAACATGGGGACTACTGTTAATATGATTGTTTTATATACTGTTAATTTGCCAAGAAAGTAGATTTTACGTACTCTTACCTCCAAAAAATAAAAGAAAAAGAGAAAGGTAGTTATATGAGATGATGGTTTTGTTAATTTGCTTGACCGTAGTACTCACTTCACTATGTTTATGTATATCAAGTTAAGTGTAGCAAAACCTCATGTTGTATACCTTAAATATATATAATAAAACAAACAAACAAACTTCTTCCTCTCCCAAGCTCTGGCCTGGCACAATTAGAAATCTTAGAGAGAGGTAAAGAGACTTGTCATCAGTCTCCTAAGTATTTTCCCACTATACTCTTTTATTTCTCTTTCCCCACTTATTATGACTATTTGAGTCCTCCCAGAATGGTCAGGGTGAGGTGAGAGAGGAAAGAAACAAAGGATATCTTACTTGCCTTCTAGGCTACCACCTACAGTTGTGTAAGTTACATACTGCACAAGTGTACCCAGCTAATGTAGCAAGATATCTAGCTCACTCTGCTAGGGAAGCCATATACTCTGGGGAGGAGCTTCAATCATCTGGGAGAAGGGGCATGTTTGTAAATTATCACAATAGTGTCATTTTGTCACCAAGTTCTTGGCTGCCCCTACCAGGAGGATGTGCCTTTTAAAAG